>NC_000017.11:48185980-48810980 GCF_000001405.40 Homo sapiens | reverse complement strand
TGTCTACAGGAGGCATTACTGAGCTCTGGTTGATTGCTGGCATGAAGGAATAGAGACCTCTCCAAAAGAAATGGAAATCTGCATTTTCTAGTTGTTGGCAACTACATATATATACACACACATACTATATATATATATATATATATATATATATACACACACATACTATATATGTGTATATATGTACTATATATATATACACACATACTATATATGTGTATATATGTACTATATATATATACACACATACTATATATACACATAGGTTTTTTTGTTTGATTGTTTTTTGAGACAGGGTCTCACTGTTGCCCAGCTGGAGCGCAGTGGCATGATCACAGCTCACTGCAGCCTCAATCTCCTGGGCTCAGGTGATTCCCTTACCTCGGCCTCCCGAAGTGTTAGGATTATAGGTATGCGCTACTATGCCCCAGAAGTAGACATTTCTGCAAGCTAGATTCAGCATGCCTGTCCCCAGTAGGCAAACTTTGAAGGAGATGCTCTTTCAGGATCTTTGGAGAGACAGGATTCAGCCTTGGAGATTAAACAGGGAGAGAAGCTTGGGGGAAATGAAAGCAAGGAGGCCAAAGACAAAGCAAAAGTAGTCACATGGCAAGTACCATTTGCCATCTTGCACCTGTCTCGGGTACCATCCAAGATGGCTCTTATGTCATAGGCAGCCTAGAATACGAGGAAATGCAGGCAATAATTCCATGGTGAAACAGTTTATCTAAAAGTGCATGGGCTCAATTTTTTACTTTACATGCATGAGGCCCTCTCATGCAAGAGCAAACATAATTTGACCTTTTTTTTCTTTTCTTTTCCTTTTTTTTTTTTTTTTTTTGAGACAGAGTTTCGCTCTTGTTGTCCAGGCTGGAGTACAATGGCATGATCTCGGCTCACCGCAATCTCTGCCTCCCAGGTTCAAGCAATTCTCCTGCCTCAGCCTCCTGAGGAGGTGGGATTACAGGCATGCACCACCATGCCTGGCTAATTTTCTGTATTTTTAGTAGAGACGGGGTTTCTCCATGTTGGTCAGGCTGGTCTCGAACTCCCGACCTCAGTTGAGGCCTCCCAAAGTGCTGGGATTACAGGCATGAGCCACCGCGCCCGGCCTTTCTTTTCTTTTTTTGAGACAGGGTCTCTGTCATCCAGGCTGGAGTGCAGTGGTGCAGCCATGGCTCACTGCTGCCTCAAACTCTTAGGCTCAAGCAATCCTCCTACCTCAGCCTCCTGAGTAGCTGGGACTACAGGCATGCAGCACTGCACTCAGCTAATTTTTTTTTTAATAGAGATGGGGTCTCACTTTGTTGCCCAGGCGGGTTTTGAACTCCTGGGCTCAAGCAATCCTCTCACCTTGGCCTCCCAAAATGTTGGGATTACAGGCGTGAGCCACTGCACCTGGCTTACTCTTTGAGGCAGACACATAGAAGGAGCCATGACTTGTTCTTACCACTCAGGCAAGGACTCAAAAATGAGCAAAGAGAACCCGCACTTCTAGAGGTCAAACTCAGGGTCAGTTTTCTCTCCCCAAGTTAACATTAACCTTTAGGTAAACAGAGCCACTCCTCCTTGAGGGCTTGGTACATAGGAGCCGTTGCGGAGGGCTAGGGGAGTGGAGCTAGCCGTTTACCTTCAAGGAAGGAAGTAGTCCAAGGTCAAGATTTCAAGTACCTTAGTTCCCCTGAACTTTGCCAAGAATGTGCCTGTTCACTGGGAACAATTGACTCAGAAGACCCAGGTTTTATCTGTCCTGAGCACATCTCTTCCTCCCCCTGCTCTGGTGTCACCATAAAGGGTCTTGCCTATAAGTGGCAGCCCTCTTCAGAAAGAGAAAGAAACAAGTGGCAATCCTTGGCTGACGTAACAATTCTGCCATCCCTCTCATTGTAAGCATTCAATGGGAGCATGAATATGAAAATTCTTTGAAAAGCCCAGAGAACTATCCCCACATAAAAGCTTATAATTATATTATTTATAGGTAGCTTCCATAGTTAAGGGCTCCACACCACCAAATTTGGATTTAGAAAGGAATAGAGAAAGGTGGAAGGGTGCAGTCATATCAAAGACATTGGCTGTAGGGTATAAAAGTTGTCTAGAATTAGCAAGTTTGGGCCAGGCGTGGTGGCTTACGCCTGTAATCCCAGCACTTTGGGAGGCCGAGGCGGGCAGATCGTTTGAGGTCAGGAGTTTGAGACCAGGCTGGCCAACATGGTGAAACCCTGTCTCTACTAAAAATACAAAAAAATTAGCCTGACGTGGTGGCAGGTGCCTGTAATCCCAGCTACTCAGGAGGGTGAGGCAGGAGAATCGCTTGAACCCAGGAGATGGAGGTTGCAGTGAGCTGAGATTGCACCACTGCACTCCAGCCTGGGTGACAGAATGAGACACCATCTCAAAAAACAAAACAAAACAAATAGCAAATATGTATAGAGAGGGGAGATGATTCCCAAGAGATTGTGGGGCTCTGGTGAGCCTGCTCTTGTTGCATATTGCTGGTAGTATTCCAAATTATTGCAATCCCTCTGGGAAGCAACATGGGAATATGCAATCCCTCTGGGAAGCAACATATATCTATGCACGTGCACACACACACACACACACACACATACATATGAGAAGCGATGTAATTTGCATATTCATTAGCCCTGTAATATCAGGATATTAAGAAAATAACCCCAAGTAAGTAAAAGGCCTTCTTCACCTGCGATAATGCATTTTAGAGCTATTTGTATAATATTAAAATTGGCAGCAGCTTACATTTCCAACAATAGGACAATGATTGGTTACATACACTCAGGTGCATTCTTTCAATGGAATACATACAGCCATTAAAAACTAGAAATGGCCGGGCGCGGTGGCTCACGCCTGTAATCCCAGCACTTTGGGAGGCCGAGGCAGGCGGATCACGAGGTCAGGAGATTGAGACCATCCTGGCTAACACAGTGAAACCCCGACTCTACTCAAAGTACAAAAAATTAGCCGGGCGTGGTGGCGGGCGCCTGTAATCCCAGCTACTTGGGAGGCTGAGGCAGGAGAATGGCGTGAACCCAGGAGGCGGAGCTTGCAGTGAGCCGAGACCGCGCCACTGCACTCCAGCCTGGGCGACTGAGCGAGACTCCGTCTCAAACAAAAACAAAAACAAAACAAAACAAACAAAAAAACTAGAAATGGCCATGCACGGTGGCTCATGCTTGTAATCTCAACTCTTTGAGAGGCAGAGGCGGGCAGATTGCTTGAGGTCAGGAGTTGAAGACCAGCTTGGCCAACATGGCGCAATCCTGTCTCTACTAAAAATATAAAAGTTAGCCGGGTGTGGTGGTGCATGCCTGTAATCCCAGCTTCTTGGGAGACCGAAGTACAAGAATTGCTTGAACCCAGGAGGCAGAGGTTGCAGTGAGCCGAGATTGCACCACTACACTTCAGCCTGGGCGACAAAGCAAGACTCTGTCTCAAAACAAACCAAAAAACCCAGAAACATGTAAACTTTGCCACAGTGAAAAGGCTGTTTATAATCTACTAAGTGGACAAAAAGCAAATACAAAATTGATTACAATTATATTAGAATAATTATGCTTAGAAATTATTATTTTGGCAGGGCACGGTGGCTCACACTTGTAATCCCAGCACTTTGGGAGGCCGAGGCAGGTGGATCACCTGAGGTTGGGAGTTTGAGACCAGCCTGACCAACATGGAGAAACCCCCATCTCTACTAAAAATACAAAACTAGCCGGGTGTGGTGGTGTATGCCTGTAGTAATCCCAGCTACTCGGGAGGCTGAGGCAGGAGAATCACTTGAACCCGGGAGGTGGAGGTTGTAGTGAGCCGAGATGGCGCCATTGCACTCCATCCTGGACAACAAGAGTGAAACTCCCTCTCGAAAAACAAAAAACAACAACAAAAAAAGAAATTATTTTTATTTTTAAATTAATTAATTAATTAATTTTTTTTTTGAGACGGAGTCTCGCTGTTGTTGCCCAGGCTGCAGTGCAACAGTGCAATCTTGGCTCACTACAACCTCTGCCTCCCGGATTCAAGTGGTTCTCCTGCCTCAGCCTGCCGAGTAGCTGGGATTATGGATGTGCACCACCATGCCTGGCTAATTTTGTATTTTTAGTAGATATGGGGTTTTGCCATGTTGGTCAGGCTGGTCTCGAACTTCTGACCTCAAGTGATCTGCCTGCCTCAGCCTCCCAAAGTGCTTGGATTGCAGACGTGAACCAGCGTGCTTGGCCTTATGCTTAGAAATTAAGAATAAAAGTGAATTCATAGACAGTTTAAAGTGACTATGATAGAGTAGGAAAGCTACAGGTGATTTCTCATCCTACCTCATTTTCTAAGCCTCCTTTAATGTTATATTCTTTCAATGATAATACATTGTAATGTATTATTATCTTTTTTTAAATCCAAAGAATTTGTGAGGGAGGAACAGGTAATAAGTAGCAAGGGGACTGTGGACATCGGAGGAGAGGGGTTGAAATGTGAGGAGGTTTGCAGGATTTTCGGAGGTGAAGAGAGGAAGGGAAAGCACCAGAAAATTGGCTCTGTGGTCATAGGTGCCTTGGATGTGAGGGAATATGAATCCATTAATTGGGCCTGGCAGTTCTGGGTTACCCAAAGGCAAACTAAGCATGTTCTTAAGGAGGAGTGAAGCAGGGGCATTCACATCCATTAAAAATAGTTGATATTTGACATTTCTTTTTTTTTTTTTGAGATGGAGTCTCGCTCTATGGCCCAGGCTGGAGTGCAGTGGCATGATCTCGGCTCACTGCAACCTCTGCCTTCTGGTTCAAGCGATTCTCCTGCCTCAGTCTTCCTAGTAACTGGGATTACAGGTACCCACCACCACATATGGCTAATTTTTTTTTTTTTTTGAGATGGAGTTTCTCTCTTGTTGCCCAGGCTAGAGTGCAATGGCACGATCTTGGCTCACCACAACCTCCGCCTCCTGGGTTCAAGCGATTCTCCTGCCTCAGCCTCCTGAGTAGCTGGGATTACAGGCATGCACCACCATGCCTGGCTTATTTTGTATTTTTAGTAGAGACAGGGTTTCTCTGTGTGGGTAGGGCTGGTCTCAATCTCCCGACCTCAGGTGATCCGCCTGCCTTGGACTTCCAAAGTGCTGGGATTACAGGTGTAAGCCACTGCGCCTAGCCTTTTTTTTTGTATTTTTAATAGAGACGGGGTTTCACCATGTTGGCCAGGCTGGTCTCAAACGTCTGACCTCAAATGATCTGCCCGCCTTGGCCTCCCAGAGTGTTGGGATTACAGGCGTGAGCCGCTGCGCCTGGCGATATTTGGCATTTTGAGTAAACATGAACGAAATCTCATGGGGCCAGGGAGGATGAGATCTTTACTGGACTTCCTTACATGTATTTTATAATTTGATCTTGTTTTTATTTTGGAATGGATGGTGGGAGAGACACAGCCTTCTCTGTGGTTGGTGTCTCTGAAGGTCTGCATCTGGCCCTGGGCTTGAATCTTATTGTTCAATCAGCTACACATTAGTCTTGTACTCCACGAGCGGCAGTTGCATTTATTTTCAGGCCAGCATATTGCTGTGTGGAGGTTCAGTGCAGTGCTGAAACAGTTAACAGACCTCCTCAAAGCACCTCCACCTGCACCCTCTAGGACTAACTCTCTCAGCTAGGAAGGCTTGGGGCTTCGCTGTCTCCAGACACTCACTCACTTTAATAAGATTGTTTACCAGGTGGTGCCATGCACAGCATCTCAGGCTTCTCCTGAAAATCCCAGGAGGGAAAAACCAAGGCTAGCGTTGGCTGAGTGAGTCTCCAAGGTCACAGCCAATGGCAAAAGGTGGAATCAGCTCCCTCCCTGAGCTTGCATCAAACCGCGGAGGCCGGGTGGCATTTTATAAACTGCAACCTGTTGCGTTGAATTAGAACCCTGGGTCTCTACCCACATGAGCGAGGGAGGGGGTCCCCCTGCAGGTGGATCTCTGTAACTGCGGCTCCCTCTGCCCTCTCTCTAGGGGCCTGGTATTTCCCCAGAGCCTCCTCCCAGGCCAGGGAGATGCCACAGTGCCCGACTTTGGAAAGCCAGGAAGGGGAAAACTCCGAAGAGAAGGGGGACAGTTCCAAAGAAGATCCAAAAGAAACCGTCGCGCTGGCTTTTGTGAGAGAGAACCCAGGGGCACAAAACGGACTTCAGAATGCCCAGCAGCAAGGCAAGAAGAAGAGGAAGAAAAAGAGGTTAGGATTGAAAGCTGGGGAATGGGGAGCCATGTTGGTAATAACAGGAAGGACTTGGAGGGAAGGGGGTCTTGGCTGATGATGAGAGAGTAAAGGAGAAACTGTGTGCTGAGACTGTCAACATCTCACCACTTTTGGTTCATATAAAAAGAATCTACTTTCGATGATCTGTTTTATAGAATCAAATGATTGTGTGTGTAATCTAAAAAACCATGCCTTGTCCTAATTTTCATTCTATTTGTGTTTAGGATGCCTTTAAAAAATAGCAGGAAAAGAAGATTTCCTTGTTTTAAGAAGGCGCTGATTTGTCCTGGAAATTTAGTACGCCTTCAGTATGATAGCACCATACTGACTTATCAGGATCCAACTGCAGCTTGTGCATTCCAGTTCTTGTTTAATATTTCACCATGCCTTGCTCCATTCAGACTGATTGATGAAGGAAAGCTTGTCCACTTTCTTATTCATAGCTTCCCTTAATGGGGGGAAGAGGAAGGAGACAAGTATTTTGGCCAAAAATATTTTCAATTCCTGTCCCTGATGAGCCAGTGGAGTAAAAGGCTTGAGGCAATGATGTTAGTGAGAAGCTGCAAGCAAGATCAGCTGTAATTGCAATACAGAATTTCTACCTTCTGGGTAGAGTAATAGTACCCTGATGCCATGTTTTCCACCATGCTGTACCCCCTTGGACTCGTGTCCTCAGCAACAGGGACGGTCAAACCAGGCTTAGCATGGCAGGCTAGATTTCAGACAGCTCCACCTGGGACAGGATGTTTCTGGATACAGTCACTTGTTCTGGCAAGTGTGTCTCTGTCTTGCTGCTTTCCTTTTTCTCTTTTCCAGATGATTGGTGATCAATCTATCCAGCTGCCGGTATGAGAGTGGTGAGCATCTACATTCAGGAGATCTATAATGGGGACCCACTGGATTCTCCCAAAGGGTTGGGAAGAGTCACTCTTGTATATTTGTGAGGATGAAAGGGCGTATCTTCAAATCCTGTCCTTCAGTTCTCCTAGCTCAATGAACTATTTAATTAAAGAGGTTGGGAATCCTATTCCAAGAGTCATGGGTTTTCACCACAATGGTGTGTACTTCAACTATCTGTAATTCTTATATATAGTGATTTGGGGATCTACTTGTAAAAGAGACAGCTGTTGCTGCAGCCAGTGGCTCTGTTTCAGAGTACAAGTTACAAACTTGCAGTTCGTGAACTGAATCTGATCTACAGACCTATTTTCTATTTTAGAACACAGTGTTGCTGTTGCTGTTTTTTTTTTTTGTTTTTTTTTTTGACACGGAATCTTGCTCTGGAGTGCAGTGGCGTGATCTCAGCTCATTGCAACCTCTACCTCCTAGGTTTAAGTGATTCTCCTGCCTCAGCCTCCCTAGTAGCTGGGATTACAGGCAAGTGCCACCATGCCCGGCTAAATTTTTGTATTTCTAGTAGAGATGGGGTTTCGCAGCATTGGCCATGCTGGTCTAAAACTCCTGACCTCAAGTGATCCACCCGCCTCGGCCTCCCAAAGTGCTGGGATTATAGGTGTGAGCCACTGTGCCCGGCTCTTGCTGTATTGTATTGTATTGCATTTATTTATTTTATTTTTGAGACTGGGTTTCACTCTTGTTGCCCAGGCTGGAGTGCAATGGCACAATCTCGGCTCACCGCAACCTCTGCCTCCTGGGCTCAAGCGATTTTCTTGCCTCAGCCCCCTGAGTAGCTGGAATTACAGGCATGCACCACCTCGCCCAGCTAATTTTGTAGTTTTAGTAGAGATGGGTGTTTCTCCATGTTGGTCAGGCCGGTCTTGGGCTCCCAACCTGAGGTGATCTGCCCGCCTCAGCGTCCCAGAGTGTTGGGATTACAGGCATGAGCCACTGCGCCTGGCCATTTATTTATTTTTTTTGAGATGGAGCCTCGCTCTGTCGCCCAGGCTGGAGTGTAATGGCATGATCTTGGCTCACTGCAACCTTCGCCTCCCGGGTTCAAGTGATTCTCCTGCCTCAGCCTCCTGAGTAGCTGGGAGTACAGGTGCACACCACCATGCCCAGATAATTTTTGTATTTTTATTAGAGACAAAGTTTTGCCATGTTGGCCAGGCTGGTCTCGAACTCCTGACCTCAGGTGATCCGCCCACCTTGGCATCCCAAAGTGCTGGGATTACAGGCGTGAGCCGCTGTGCCCAGCCTGTTGCTGTATTTTAAATTAGAATTGAATGCTTTAGGGTAGTCTTGTCCTGTCCCGGTTACTGCAGGCACTTCTCCCATTCTAGGCCCTTGAAGGCATTTGAGTTTGTGTTGGAGTCAGCTCCTACTTATTAATCCTGACAGGAACAGAAAGAAGGATATGACATCACAAATGTGGTTTTGAAATCCAGTGTGTACTTAAAAAAATGCATGCTTAATATACCATATACTAATTAAGCTTGGCTCTGGCTAATGTTAAGGATTAGTTTATATTCCCTGAACATTCAGAGCTTGGTGTTTGGAGGAAAGCCAGAAGCTTGCTTTCTGGCAAAGGGAAGCCAGAACAGGGAAATCATTCACCTCAGATAACCTTCTACGGGGATCATTGAGCACAGGCTGGATTCTTCAGTAGTTTTCAACTCTCCATGTTCCTTTATTTTCTTTCTTTCTTTCTTTCTTTCTTTCTTTCTTTCTTTCTTTCTTTCTTTCTTTCTTTCTTTCTTTCTTTCTTTTTCTTTCTTTCTTTTCTTTTCTTTCTTTCTTTTTTTTTTGACAGGGTCTCCTGTTGCCCAGGCTCAAGTGCAGTGGCATGATCACGGCTCACTGCAGCCTCGACTTCCAGGGCTCAGGTTATTCTCCCCCTCAGCCTCTTGAGTAGCTGGGATTACAGGCGCACCCCACCACACCCAGATAATTTTTTGTATTTTTAGTAGAGGTGGGGTTTTGCCATGTTGGCCAGGCTGGTCTTGAACTCCTGGACTCAAGTGATGCAGTGACAGTGTTTGACTCTCCATTCTTGCATCCAGAGAGGGCAAGATGGCTTCCAGTCTCGAGGAGCCGAGATTTTTTGCTTCAGTACTTGGTCTGGGAGCACCTAGTAATGGAATCTCCCCACCCCATACTCCTCCCCCACTTCCTGGGCTAATAGGCCTTTCTTTCTTCAATAGTGCGCAGGGCTGCCCAACAGTACGGCTTTAGAGAGGGAGGGGAAGACGATGACTGGACTCTCTATTGGACAGATTACTCAGTGTCACTGGAGCGGGTGATGGAAATGAAAAGTTACCAGGTATTTGGGCTAGTGATGGTCCTTGGTTTAAGTGTGCCATCTTACCCGGCGGGGCCCCATTTTTACACCTGTCTCCCGAGGAGATCTTGTAGTACTCCCATGTCCCTCGATTGCTCATGAATTCCGGCTTCCCTTCCAGAAGATCAATCACTTCCCCGGGATGAGTGAAATCTGCCGGAAGGACTTGCTGGCCAGGAACATGAGCCGCATGTTAAAGATGTTCCCTAAAGATTTCCGCTTTTTCCCTAGGACCTGGTGTCTTCCTGCTGAGTGAGTGCCCCCCGCCCTGTACTTCCTTCTCCACTCCCCTCCCCATTTACATTTCCTCTTGCCCCCGATTCCCTGGTTGCCACTTTCCCTGCCCATATGAACTCCCATCTCTCTGGCTACTTTTCAGGAAGAGAAGGGATAAAGGGTGTGTCCAAGGTTGAGAAAACACAAGGCTCTGCCTGTAAAATTAGATGACATTTAGGGGCTGGGTGCCCTGGAGCCTGTACGTGCAGTTGGGGTGAGAGTTTGTTCTGACCCTGAAAGCTGTTGGTTTTGAACTAATTCCAACCACGTAACTGTGCAGTTTCTGAATCTTTAAGGACCATGAGCACCTCTGGAGAGAGTGTGCTAGTGGTTAGCACCCCGGTTAGGAGCAGGGAGGGATGCCTGACCTCTGTCCCATGCAATGCTATGGATAGCAGTCAGCACTTCCCCTTCTCTGCTCTCTTTATATCCATTTCAAAACAACATCAGTTCCTGGTGTGTAAAGTACTCTGGACCACACCACCGAGGAACAGGAGAAATGTGAGATGACATCCATGACCTAGGGTGCAATCTGGTGGCTGAGACAGGGCAGAGGGGTAGAACACTGTCACCATCAGATTATACTCACATGGCAAGGGTATCAGAGGAATTCTACCCTCCCCTCTCCACCCAGTGCTTTCCAAAACCAAGAGCACCAGGGTTCTCAGACTTTCCTTGGCTTGTCTGGAACAAGTTTCAGGGCTTAGCAGCAAATTAGAAGGAAATGTATTTGCCATCAGGTCAACAGGAGCTCCAGATTTCATGGTTACTGAGGAACATTGCAGTTAAGTGACTTCCTGGTTACAAGTTTCCTTTGAGTTAAAACACAGAAGTATAGCGAGACTGATAGACCGAATCCATTAATTTAGTTTCTTTCTTTCTTCTGAATATACTTTCCTCAAAATATGTTCAAATATATGATTTGCTCTCCCATACTCTGGCTGAAATGGAGGTGTCACAGACGAAACACTGAAGCCCAGCATGGGGTGAGAGACTGACGGATCCAAAATCACATCACTTGTCAGGGCTTGAGCCAGGTCCAGAACTCCAAAGCTCCTACCTGCAAACCCAGAAAACAAAACTACCTGTGCCATGGTCACCTTGATGGGACATGCAGCACTGTGCCTGCATTATGTCATGCAACTAGGCACCACAGGAGGTGGGTGTCGTTATTATCCTCACTGTATAGATGATGAAGTTGAGGTTTAGAGAGGTCAAGTCCTTGCAAAGGGTTGCACCACTGGTAAGTGGTGTTGCTTGGGCTTCAACCCAGGCCTGAATTCCCTCTGAAGCCCACACTCCCCACTGCGTGTGCTCTACTCTCTCCCATTGCTGGACCTCTGGGCATCTGTCAGTGCCAGGGATTTGTCACATTAGACAGCTTTTCTTTCTTTTCTTCATAAAGGGCTAGCCTTCCTTTTCATTGCTCCCCAGCTAAAGATGTATCTTGTTCCCTCCCTGCTCTGGTAGCTGGGGAGATTTGCAGACCTACAGCAGGTCAAGAAAAAATAAGACATACATTTGTAAGCCGGATTCGGGCTGCCAAGGGAAAGGTATATTCATCACCCGGACAGTGAAAGAAATCAAACCAGGGGAGGATATGATCTGTCAGCTGTATATTTCAAAGGTACTTCCTCATTGTGATTATTTATTTATCACCCACAGCAACCGCGGACTTTAGCTCCACTGGACAGAATGTGAAATGAGGGGATGGAGGGTGAAGGTGGAGGTGGAGCTGACCTGGCTTCTGCCTTGCACTTTGTCAGACCAAACGTTCTGACCGGGGTGCTGACACGTGCCCGGGCCAGAGTGTCTGTTATCCTTTTACCCTTGTCAATTGGTCTGGCCCTGCCAGGCTGGCCCTTTTCCTGTAACACATTAGGGCTAGGAGAGCACCTTTGGTTTGGGGAAGCCCTCATGTGGGAAAGGGGCATGATGCTGGAGAGCAATCAGCTTTTCTCTTTGACTTGAGGTCATAGGTCACAGCCCACTGTGGGGAGGGAGCCCTCTAGGAGTGTGGACAGAGGGGGACACACTGATCTCTCTGGGAAGAAATGGCCAGGGGACAACATTGCAGGGAGAACTCTTGTAGAACTGCAACTATGCATTGGCTGGGCAAAGTGGCTCACGCCTATAATCCCAGCATTTTGGGAGGCCGAGGTGGGTGGATTGCTTTGAGCTCAGGAGTTTCAGACCAGCCTGGGAAACATGACGAAACCCTTTCTCTACAAAAATTAGCCAGGCGTGGTGGCACATGCCTGTAGTCCCAGCTACTCTAGAGGCTGAGGCTGGAGAATTGCTTGAGCCCGGGAAGTGGAGGTTGCAATGAGCCAAGATTGTGCCACTGCATTCCAGCCTGGGCAACAGGGTGAGACCCTGGAGACCCTGTCTCAAAAAAAAAAAAAAAAAAAAAGAACTGCAACAATATGTAGTCCCGAATGGTGACAATATGTCCATTCATCAAAATACTTTATTTTATTTTTATTTCTTTAGAGATAGGGTCTTGCTCTGTCACTCTGGCTGGAGCGCAGTGGCACAATCATAGCTCATTGCAACCTCAAACTCGTGAGTTCATGCAATCCTCCCACCTCAGCCTCCCCAGTAGAGCTAGGATTACAGGCACATGCCACCACATCTGGCTAATTTGTAATTGTTATTTTTTTTGAGACAGAGCCTCACTCTGTTGCTCAGGCTGGAGTGCAGTGGTGCAATCTCGGCTCACTGCAATCTCTGCCTCTCAGGTTCAAGTGATTCTCCTGCCTTAGCCTCCCAAGTAGCTGGGATTACAGGCACCCACCAGCACACCCGGCTAATTTTTGTATTTTTAGTAGAGACGGGGTTTCACTATGTTAACCAAGCTGGCCTCAAACTCCTGACCTCAAGTGATCTGCCTGACTTGGCCTCCAAAAGTGCTGGGATTACAGGTGTGAACCCTTGTGCCCAGACTAATTTTTTATTAAAAAAAAATTTCTTTGTAGAGGTAGAGTCTCTATGTTGCTGAGGCTGGTCTTAAACCCCTAGCCTCAACAGATCCTCCTGCCTCGGCCTCACAATGTGCTGGGATTCCCAGTGTGAGCCACTGCACCTGGCCTATCAAAGAATTTTTATCTATTTATTTTTTTTGAGACAGGGTCTCACTCTGTCACCCAGGCTGGAGTGCAGCGGTGTGATCAGGGTTCACTGCAGCCTCGACCTCCTAGGCTTGAGCAATCCTTCCACCTCAGCCTCCTGAGTAGCTAAGACTTCAGGCATACACCACCACACTTGGCTAATTCTTTTTTTGAATTTTAGTAGAGAAAAGGTCTCACTTTGTTGCCCAGGCTGGTCTTGAACTCCTGAGGTCAAGCAATCCTCCCTCTTCGGCCTCCCAAAGTATTGGGATTATAGACATAAACCACTGCACCTGGCCCATCAGAGGACTTTTTTTTTTTTTTTTTTTTTTTGAGATGGAGTTTTGCTCTTTCGCCCAGGCTGGAGTGAAGTGGCGTGAACTTGGCTTGCTGCAATTTCTGCCCCCCGGGGCTCAAGTGATTCTCCTGCCTCAGCCTCCTGAGTAGCTGGGATTACAGGGGCCCACCACCGCGCCTGGCAAATTTTTGTATTTTTAGTACAGACGGGGTTTTGCCATGTTGGCCAGGCTGGTCTCGAACTCCTGACCTCAGATCATCCATCCGCCTCAGACTCCCAAAGTGCTAGAGTTACAGGCATGAGCCACCACGCCTGGCTTCAGAGGACTTTTTAATGTTACTTTGTTTAGTTGCCAAGGTGCCTCTTAGAGGTGGTTACTTGTGTCACTTGACAGATCAGGAAACCAAGGCACAGTGTGGTTTAGTGACCTCCACAGGGTCACATGTTGGGACACAGAGCCCAAGTCTCCTTGTTCCTCTCTCTGACCCTGGACAAGCCTGCCCTCCACAACACTAGGCAATGTTGGAGCCAACTCCATGGAAACAAGGCGGGAGCTAGTGATTTTCAAGTGTAAATTTCTCCTCTAATGCATGTCTGACTTCTGTTCTCTCCTTCCAGCCCTTTATCATTGATGGGTTTAAGTTTGACCTACGGATTTATGTACTGGTGACATCCTGTGACCCTCTCAGGATTTTTGTGTACAATGAAGGACTGGCCCGCTTTGCGACGACCTCTTACTCCCGCCCTTGCACAGACAACCTGGTGAGCTAAGGAGACACACTACCTCACCCTACCCCCATAGCGTGATTAAAAAAAAAAAAATTCTAGTTAAATCCACATCCTCAAGACATTGTGAGTGTCATTTGTTGAGCACTTGCTATGTGCCGGGTTTCATTTAGCGCTGCCAGGATCCCTCAGAGAGAGGGATTATTATCCCCATTTTACAGATGACGAGATTAAAACCCAGAGCATAAGGGACTTGTCCAAGGTCACACAGCTAGGAAGAGGTGAGTCTGGGGCTTGTGGCCAGGTCTGCCTGACTCCAAAGCCAGAACCACAGTTCAGGGGTAATCAAGGAGAAAAGGCCGTGGATGAGCAACCCTGCCATCCCCACCTTTCCTGGACCCCCAGGACTCCTGAAGTTTTTCTCAGGCTGGGCACCACCCAATCTCAGAAAGAACTGGAGTTTCTTTTTTTTTTTTTTGAGATGGAGTCTCGCTTTGTCGCCTAGGCTGGAGTGCAGTGGCATGATCTCGGCTCATTGCAACCTCTGCCTCCTGGGTTCAAGCGAGTCTCTTACCTTAGCCTCCTAAGTAGCTGGGATTACAGGTGTGCACCACATCCCCGGCTAATTTTTGTATTTTCAGTAGAGATGGGATTTCACCATGTTGGTCAGGCTGGTCTTGAACTCCTGACCTCGTGATCTGCCTGCCTCAGCCTCCCAGAGTGCTGGGATTACAGGCATGAGCCACCACGCCCAGCAGAATTGGAGTTTCTTAGGCTCGAGGCTGCAGGACACCCCTTCTTACTTCCTGTATTTTGCCACACTAAATAAGCCCTAAAACTTCCCTTTCTTTCCATCCCTTCAAGCCCCAGGGGCCATGGGAGGGCACAGAGAGGAAGCAGGGGGCCTGCCCTTCCGAGCTGACCCGACAGATGTGTGTCTTTTTCCCCAGGATGATATCTGCATGCACCTGACTAATTATTCCATTAATAAGCACAGTTCAAATTTCAGTCGAGATGCACACTCTGGCAGTAAGAGGTAAGGAAGAGGCTTCATTTTTCTTTCCTTTCCCTACCAACCTCAGAACTGCTTTCTGGGATTCTACCCAAACCCTGTTAGTCCCCATCAGTGTTTCCATCTTGGGTCACATGGTCTGAGAATATACTCCTTTGCCTCGCAACCCAGAACAAATTCCTTCATCTCTGCCCTCTTGGCTGTTAATCATTAAAAGAAGGCCCCATCGTAAACCCTGGGAGGCTGGGAGGAGGAGAGATAAACATGAGCTGTTTCCCCAGCAGAATATATACACACACCAAAACATACCCTTATTACAGTTGGCCCTTCTGATATTTCCAAATCAACAGATATTTATTGATCGCTAGTCTGCCACGTGAGAAGGACTTGCCAGGCAGTCATTGCTTGGCCCATGTTCCCCTGGACGTTGCTCCATTAGAGATTCTCAAATGATGTGTCACAGTGCCCTGACATGTGGCTAGCCGGCTTGAAGATTCCTCAGAAGGGGGGAAATTGAGAGCAGTTCATGAGAGTATCTTCACGAGAGGCTTTTCCATTCCTGTTATTGTCTAATCGGGTCTCATTTGAGTTTTAAGAAAACGGGGGACTGAAGAATGTGAACTTGACCAGGTGAAGGAGGAAAGGGAAAAGGAGCAAGTATTTCTGAGGCTTCATGTGTGTTGGGGTCTGTGCTTGGTGCTTTCTGTGCATTTTTTATTGCTGAATTTTTCTTTTCTTTTCTTTTTTTTTTTTTTCTTTTGAGACTGAGTCTTGCTCTGTCGCCAGGCTGGAGTGCAGTGGTGCGATCTTGGCTCACTGCAACCTCTGCCTCCCGGGTTAAAGCAATTCTCCTGCCTCAGCCTCCCAAGTAGCTGAGACTATAGGCATGTGCCACCACACTCCGCTAAGTTTTGTATTTTTAGTAGAGACAGGGTTTCAGCATATTGGCCAGGATGGTCATGATCTCTTCACCTCGTGATCTTCCCACCTCAGCCTCCCAAAGTGCTGGGATTACAGGCGTGAGCCACCGCGCCCGGCCTATTCTTGAATTTTTCACAGCAACACTATGGCAAAGGCATTACTATCTGCCCTCTGTAGGTGGAGAACTGTGAGTTAGGTGCCATCTCCATCTTACAGATGAGGAAACTGAGTCTCAGAGGTTGCGTGAGTTGCCCCAGGTCCCGCAGCTGTGACTGCTAGACTGGGTGGAGAAGCGAGGTCTGTTAGACCCCAGAGCTCATTCTCTTTCCGCTGCACCAGGCTTCAAAGGACCTCTGAACAGGCAATTAGTTTGGCTTCAGACCATCAGAGAGGCATGTGACAGTTCATGACCCCCTCAGTGGCAGCATTCCAAAAAGCACACAGAAAATCGCTAAGTTAAGGCTGCTTAAAGGGGATGTGGAAGGCTGGTGGGAGGCAGTCTCCCCCTTTTCCAGAAGATGTCAGCCACCTGTGCTGCCTGAAGCTCTGCGACTTCCTCCTCTCCTCCCCACCTGGGCTGTGGGCATCAGCTGGGCCTCTTGCATTGCTGCGTTCTGAGCGTGGCACTCTGGGAGGTCTAGTTTGTAGTCCCGGCTCCGACACTTGCCAACTAGGCTTGGACAAGTTACTTCATCTCTCTGAGCCTGCACTTCTTGGTCTGGAGGATGAACGTGATGAGACTCCCTGCCCTGCCCTGCCACCTCACAGGGTCTCTGTGAGGTTCAAATGACTTGTGATGGCAACACAGACAGTGTGCGTGGTTACTGTCATTTTTCCTTAGTCTAAGGGCACAGAATGGAAAGGTTCTCATTTTCCTCCTCCAATGAGAATTGGCACCCCAACAGCAGGCCCTGGGCCCTCGGCTGTGATGGAGGGGTGTCTCGGGGTAGCAGAACTAAGGTGAGGTTGCAAGGCTTCAAGTGTTGTTCTGCCTCTTCCATTTCCCCTGTCCTCTTCCTCTGTTCATCTCCCTCTCACCCCACTGTACTTCTCCATCCACTCTCTCCTGGAGCAGCCGTGTGCCCCCGTGGCCTCCGCCTGCCCTTGCTGGGCTCAGCCTGTCTCCCTTGGGCTCCAGGTCCATCTCTCCTCAGTTCCACCTGGACGTCTTCAACTCAGCATTTCCCAGAATGGGTGTATTCTCTCTCCTTGCCTCCACCGCAGCACTCCAAATTGGTCTCCCTGCCCAACTTCCCCATCTCTACCTTCTCATCTCCAGGGGTGGAGAGCTTGGACATTTCTTTTCCTAGTGATAATTTACATACTTGAACCCACTTAATCCTCCTCACAACAACACTATGAAGTCAGCATTATCATCATCCCTATTCTGCATATTAGGAAACTGAGGTGTGAAAAAGTTAAGTAACTTACCTGGGTCGCACAGCTAGGAAGCTGGGATTGAAACCAGGGCTGCCTGACCCCCGAGTTGGTGCCCTTACCCACTAAGCCATGCTGCCCGTGCCATCCACTTCATGGACAGGGCACTGTCTTTTTTTTTTTTTTTCTTGAGACGGAATCTTGCTCTTGTCACCCCAGACTGGAGTGCAATGGCGCGATCCCGGCTCACTGCAAAAGTTTCGACTCCCGGATTCAAGCGATTCTCTTGCCTCAGCCTCTCAAGTAGCTGGGATTACAGGCGCCCACCACCATGCTTGGCCAATTTTTTGTATTTTTACAACCCTCATGGTCAACATCAGCCATCGCCCATAACTATTCTTTGCCCAGTGCACATTTGTCTTTTGTCCCTAGTTGTACTTTGCTCCTTGAGGGTTACAATGGTGCCCTGGCCTTTGGGGTTCTTCCCATAGTGCTGGGCAGAGTTCATCTTTCCTCCTCTCCCTCCCATCTTGTTTCTCCTTTCCTCTTCCTCCTCTCCATCTTTTGAGACAATCTTCTTCTCATACTGACTGTCTCATCTGTCCCAAAGTTGGCGTTTGAGGTCAACTGCCCTCCCTGTCAATACCCCACTGGCGCACAAACTCAGGAGTAGTGCTGCGGTCACAGTGAAGGAGAAGACAGGAAACCTGAAAACCTGGCAGGATTCTGGGGCAGACACCAAGCCATCTTCATCTTTCAGTGTGCTCAGCACATGGCTGGTATTAAATTGAATTGACTTACCACTGGGCATTATGAAATTACACAATGAAGTATATTCATTGTGATGAGCCTGAGTCATCAAGAAAAGGTTATGTTATATGTTGCCAGGGAGGTGTATAATCTATTTCAGGAAAATTTATTTCCCAATTAGGCAAATTAAATACATTTTCTCCACTTGAAAAAAATTGGCTTAAAGCGATCTGGAAAATCCATTTATGTGCAACACTGTTTTCTGACAATGGCAGGTGGAGGAGGTGGCCTCTATATTGAGTATCCTTTGCTTATCTGTCTTTATATAAATGCATCCTTGGTTGTTTCACATGTGTGTTGACTCCCTGAATGGTCCTGAGGCTTCCCATGACAGAGGTGACAGTTTCTAGTGTCCCCTCCTTGCATGAGGCTTTGCATGCACCAAAGGCCCTTATCAAATGCTCATTGTCTGGCTGACCCTGCTTCCTCCTTCTTGACCCCTTGGGCTGGGATCTAGTGAGCTTTTGAAACTGCCTGGATGAGCCGTGTCTCTTGTCTTTTTCATTCTTTCTGCTGTTCACTCCCCTGCACCTCCTCCTTCCACACTGCCACTTCCACTTTGGCTGTCTGTGCACATTTGTGTGCATGTGAGGTGGCAAATGTCTGTCCCCACCACTGCCTCTTGGATTTGTGACATCCATCCTCTCTCTGTAATGCCCAGCTCAGAGCTGGCTGAGTACCCACTCAGGTATTTCCTCATGAACTATTCCACATGAGGTAAACATCTCTGAGTTCATCTGTGATCAGGTGACCAGCTGTCTCCGTTTGCCCACGACTGAGGGGTTTCCTGGAATTCAGGACTTGCAATTCTAAAACTGGGACAGTCCAGTTTGCCTGGCACAGTTGGTAACCTTATCTGTGGACATGCCCTTGGGTGCCTTTTCCTTGTGGGCAGCCCTAAAACAAGTTTTCTGTGTCATTAGTGTCCCTAGAATCCCCTCAGATGGCTGAGGTGGGACCCAGGCATCAGTGTTCTTAAAAGGCTGCCCACATGCTTCTAATGAACACCAAAGGCTGAGGAATCATTGCTGCCAAAGTAAAACCATGGTGTCAGGGGGTTTTCTTGACTCATCCCTTCCCCTGCTGATAGATGTTTTCTGGGTCACAGTGAAAGTGAAAGTGTCCTGACCATGTCCTATGTGACTGCATCTGCACCCACCCTGGGGCTCTGGAGACTTGGAGGGTGTGGTCCTGGGATTCCTGGGACCTCATCTGGCACCGACACAGCCCAGGTGTCACCCTGGTTCCTGGGCGTTCATCCTCGCTGGCTCTGGAGCCTTGTCTCCGCCAGGAGTTTCTGGTTTCCAGCATGCCATGGCCTCGGGTGACCAGAAGCCAGCTACACTGCCTCCTGGCCTGTGGTTCCCTTCCAGGAAGCTCTCCACCTTCAGTGCATACTTGGAGGACCACAGCTACAACGTGGAGCAGATATGGAGGGATATTGAGGACGTCATCATCAAGACCCTCATCTCGGCCCACCCCATCATCAGGCATAACTACCACACCTGCTTCCCCAACCACACACTCAACAGCGCCTGCTTTGAGATCCTGGGCTTTGACATTTTGTTGGACCACAAACTCAAACCCTGGCTGCTGGAGGTAGGGAAGTTTGGGCGAGGGGCGAAAACGAACTCCTGTTATTGGGGCCAGCCCGCTTCAAGGATTCCGCCCTCCTGGCTCACCTAAATTGTTTCAACTTCCCAGGCCACTTCCTCCCATGGTGCCTGCTGCCTGGGGCTTCTCTCTTAGCTGAGAAGTGGCCACCAGAGGGGGGTAGACAGCTGGGAATTAGAGAATTCCTTTGCCTTCTTGAGGTCCTCTTAGACAAGGAAGTGCTGATCTTAGGCACAGAGTGATTCTAAAGACAGCTCGATCTTTTGTAAGAGTTGTCTCCCAGAAAGGGGCGTTTTTCATCAAAGCTGGGTTGGCAACGTTCAGTATCAGACAGGAGCGGCGGTGCCCCACTCTTAGGGTCCTGGATTACTCAGTTCACACACACCAGCAGAGAGCGTCCTGGGGCCTGCTGCCACCGAAATGGATGGGGGGCCATGTAGTGAGTTTCCTGCCTCCCCTAGACCCATACGGCAGTGTGAGGAGGAGGAGAAGCTTTCCTGGTGACTGCCTCTCTTCCTGATAGAATTGTCCTCAGGAGCCCTCTCATGTGGCCCTTCAGGGAGCAAAGGGTGCTAGTGCCAGGTGCAGTGACACAGGTCAGACTCTGGGGTGGAGAACCCGAGATTACAGGTCAGATTCCTGCAGCTTTGCCCTTCTTCCATTCCCAGCCCTTGTAGGTGTGGTGGGAAGAGGGATGTGCCTGTTTGCAGCCCTTACCCAAAGAGCAGAATGAGCCATCAGGACCAAGCCCTTCAAAAACTTCTAGAAATCTGCAAATGTCACATGGTGCCTCCAAACAATACAGACTTTTCAGTGGGCGGGAATGAGTCCTCTCCTTCCTCCCACATGTCTCCCCTCCACCCTGGCCAGGCTCCTGAATGCCACTCCTCTCTACCTCCTATGTCCAAGCCTGTCCCTTTGGGAAGTACCCCTTCCATCCTGCTCTCTGGATGCCCAGTGCATATGAGAGAACACATGCACCCCAGATGGAGTGGAACACACACACCAAAGAGAGGGTAACCCTGATGCTCCCAAAGAAGAAAGGCCTGAGATAAAAGCTGGTTTAACTAGAGGGAGTTCTGCTGCCTCCTTTTTTCACTGTGGCTCTAGTCCAGATGCTCTCTCCCCTCCCTTTCATCTTGGTAGTGAGGGCCCTGAGGTGGGCTTTGGTAGTGCCCTGGAGGTGGCACCTCGGCCTCACTCTCTGCTTTCATTCTGGACGGCTTTGTCACCAGCTGCCAATCTTGCCCTCACAGGTCAACCACTCTCCAAGCTTCTCCACCGACTCTCGGTTGGATAAAGAGGTGAAAGATGGTCTGCTGTATGACACCTTAGTCCTGATCAACCTGGAAAGCTGTGACAAGAAGAAAGTCTTGGAGGAGGAGAGACAACGGGGGCAGTTCCTGCAGCAGTGTTGTTCTCGGGAGATGAGGTACATTCGCACTCCCCAGCCTTGCGGGGCTCTCTCTCTGACTCCCCTGCTCCCAATAAGAATGATCTGTCCTGGGCCGGGTGCAGTGGCTCACACCTGTAATCCCAGCACTTTGGGAGGCTGAGGCAGGCAGATCACCTGAGGTCAGGAGTTCGAGACCAGGCTGGCCAACATGGTGAAACCCCGTCTCTACTAAAAATACAAAAAAATTAGCCGGGTATGGTGGCGCATGCTTATAATCCCAGCTACTCAGGAGACTGAGGCAGGAGAATTGCTTGAACTTGGGAGACAGAGGTTGCAGTGAGCCGAGATCACACCATTGCACTTCAGCCTGGGTGACAGAGCAAGACTCCGTCTCAAAATAAATAAATAAAAGAATGGTCTGTCTTCCTCCAAATTATGACTCGACAGCCTACTAGTTATGTGGCCTTTCTGTCACTTCTCTGAGCCTCAGTGATCTTTCTATGAAATGGAGCTATGATACATAAGGTTGTTGGGCGAATGAAATGAGATAATGCATATAAAAGGCTTAGCATAGTGCCTGGCACTATAATATATATCGAAGGCTATTACAATCTTGCCTGGAGTTGGAGGGGGTCATTTTAACAAACGATAATCCCATTTGGAAAATGAGTTTATATTGGCAGAATGTAGCAGTTTGAATAGTTTTACTCTGAATATTCCTTTGTTCCTAGAAATAGGAGATTAAGTTACAGATATATAGCTATATATAATGGATAGAAATTAATTAATACTAAGTGAAGCTTTAGGAATTACCAGTATAAAAACAAGACCATTCCTTTTTTTTTTTTTTACTATAAAGAAAGATGTGTCTGTCCTTCTCCATGTTCCCCTGTTGCCAGGAGCTAACGTCTCCTGCTTCCTGTTGGGCAGCACTTGCCTTGTAACTGGTATTTCCATTCTGAAGAGTGATTCTAGTGTCTGGAGACTCTGAGCCTAGTCAAGGGGATCCTTTGTTGCTTTTCAGACCCCACTACAGCCCCCTGCACTCCTCATGGGCAGAACCAGTCTAATCCTTTGGGGTTGAGTTTCTGGAACTGATGCCATAAATAGCATTTATGTTTGGATGGCACAGTGTTTCTCAGGCACTTGCACTGTCTTCCCTGTAAGGAGCGGGTAGGTAGGTAGGGTGGAGTGCTGTGTGGCCTTGTTCTGAAAGCTAAGGAAATCAAGACTGCAGAAAGGGAACTGACTTCTACAAGGTCACCCTGCTGGTAAATGACAGCTCTGGACCCAGAGCCCAGTGAGTCTGCCGCCTGGGATTCCAGGATGCCTTCCACCATGCCCTGCCATCTCTAAACTCCTCGAGAAGGAGGCAGTGTCCTGTTGAGGAGCAGCTGTCAGGTTAAGGGCCTTCTCCGAATCAGTCTCCTCATTATTTGGCCCTGGATATTTCTGTGGCTCTGGGTTTCCCTGCTGTAAAAGGGGGCTTATCATTTCTCCCTGTCTGACCCCCACTTCCCCCAGGGGGCTGTGAGGAAGAATGAGATCATTGCAGCTCGTAAACGGTCATCAAGGTCATCCAGGAAGCCCTCAAATTCGGCAAAAGTGCAAGTTGCCACTCTCTAGAAAAGGGTAATCAGGGCTGTGAATGGGAAGGTGGCGACAGTCTGCCTAGTCAGAGCTAAGCCGAGTAGAAAATGGGTTTTACTTGGAACAGGACAGAATTTGGTGAGTTGTTAGAAAGACTGTGCTAACCAGCTTTTAGTGCATTATGACATTGGCTGTCCCAGGAGGGCTAGAATCTCCTTTCAGGGAAACAGTCATGCATTTATTTAGCAAATCCTGATTGACCGCCATTATGTGCAAGGCCTCCATCTGGCCCTAGACGACCTCCAGCTTGGACATATCCCTTCCAGGCTTTGTCCCAAGAAAACCTGACAGCAGCCCCATGTTCTGCTTCCCAACAGGATTGAGGAAGCCAAGGGTTTCCGGGCCGTGCAGTTAAAGAAAACTGAAACGTATGAGAAGGAAAACTGTGGAGGGTTCCGACTGATTTATCCCAGTCTGAATTCGGAGAAGTATGAGAAGTTTTTCCAGGACAACAACTCCCTCTTCCAGAATACTGTTGCTTCCAGGGCTCGGGAGGAGTATGCCCGGTAGGAAGACATCCGGGATGAGGTCGGTGGAGGGGTTCTGGGGATTGTGTGTGATCTATTGGCTGACTGGCCTGGAGTGGCAGGGAGAGTCCCCAGCCATGAAAGTTGCCAGAGCAACCAGGCGCCGTGGCTCACGCCTGTAGTCCTAGCACTTTAGGAGGCCAAGGCAGGTGGATGGCATGAGCCCAGGAGTTCAAGACCAGACTGGGCAACATGGCGAAACCCCATCTCTACAAAACAACAAAAAGGAAAATTAGCTGGGCATGGTTGCATGTGCCTATACTCCCAGCTACTCAGGAGGCTGAGGTAGGAGAATCACCTGAGCCCAGGGGGTGGAAGCTGCAGGGAGCTGTGATTGCACCCCTGCACTCCAGCGTGGGTGTCAGTGTCAGACCTTGTCTCAAAGAAAAGCAAAAAAAGAAAGTTGCCAGATGAACATCTGCCCTGGTCTCGCAAGGACAAGGAATTGGAAGATTCCCTATGTGAAGTGGAGAGAAGTAGCTCTTTCTAGAAACTCACTCCTGAGGATAGCCACCCCCTCAAAGCTGCCTCATGGATTCACACAGGCGTAAACTCCAGGAGCTGGAGGGACTCATCCACTGAGTCCAGTCCTCTCCTACCAGCTCATTTTGTGGAAAGAGAAGGCAGAGCAGAGGAGGGATCACATATAAAGATGATGACAGGCCAGGCGCGGTGGCTCACGCCTGTAATCCCAGCACTTTGGGAGGCCGAGGCAGGTGGATCACGAGGTCAGGAGTTCAAGATCAGCCTGGCCAAGATGGTGAAACCCCATCTCTACTAAAAATACAAAAAATTAGCCGAGAGTGGTGGCATGCTCCTGTAATCCCAGCTACTCTGGAGGCTGAGGCAGAGAATTAAACCTGGAGGGGCAGAGGTTGCAGTGAGCTGAGATTGTGCCACTGCACTCCAGCCTGGGGGACAGAGCGAGACTCCATCTCAAAAAAAAAAAAAAAAAAAAGATGACAGAAGAGGGACCAGAACTCCCCTGTGTCCTGATTCATGAGACTGAGTTATTTCTGCTATATTATGTCACCTTTTGTCCACTCTCAGCATCCATTGGCTAGACAGGCCCAGCACATGAAATGGCGCAATATGAGAGCCTCTGGCGTTAGCCTCCTACCCAGACCCTCTCCCCAGCACCTGCCATGGATGGGAACTGGCCTGCTGGGAAGTGGGGAACAAATAGGGCTGTGATGGACTAGGGAATAGCCCCCTTACTGCACATCTCTCCTTGGATGCTATTCCCACACAGGGGATGGTATGGTTGGCAGAATGATGCTTTCCTCCACACCCTGCTCCTTGACATTCAATCACTTGTGCAGACTGGATATGTTGGAGGAGGGAATGTGGAACTTGCTAACTTTTCGCCCAGTCATGTCCATCCCTCAAGGAGAATGCCTGCCTGCGCAGCGCATTTCTAACCCCCATGATGTTCACTTGTTCTTCATGGGCAGGCAACTGATCCAGGAGCTGAGACTAAAACGGGAGAAAAAGCCCTTCCAAATGAAGAAGAAGGTAGAGATGCAGGGGGAATCGGCAGGCGAGCAAGTGAGAAAGAAGGGCATGAGGGGCTGGCAACAGAAACAACAGCAGAAAGACAAGGCCGCCACCCAAGCCTCCAAACAGGTAAACCTGGATTGAGGGGAACACACGTAGCCACACCCTTCCCCACCTGGGCCTGATCCGTGGAGGGGTGCTGAGGAGACCACTGCTCAGAGCCCAGACACACCGAAAGGCTGTGCAGAGGGCTGGGCAACGACGGGGCGGTGCGGGGAGCCCTGAAGGCACACAGGAGCCGGCATCTTTTAGAGGATCCCTCAATCCAGGCAGCAGAGGACTCTCACCGGTCTGTCCTGCTTGCCTCCTCCAGTAGGAGTAAGAGCAGCCAGGCCATGCTGGGAGGCTGAGCATGAACCTTATTTAGGGAGCGGGCTTCAGGAGTGCATGTACTCCTGGTCCTCAACTGCAGCTTGGGTTGGAATGCTCCCCTCTAGCAGGCCAGGGCACAGTGGAGAGAGCAGGCCACTGGGAAGAGCTTCTGGGAACAGGACTCTCAGAACATTACATGGGATGTCGGTCATGGCTGGGTCTCTCCTCCTCTATGCAAAGCGTGGACCAGTCCTGGCTGTGGGTCAGCTATCCAGCTGGCCTGTGGTCTGTCTACGCCTTCTCTGCTTAGCACTCTCTTCTAGCTCAGTGGGAAGATTCAGCTGAGTTTTCAGTCCATCTACTTTGTCTCAAAGGCTCACCTGGATTAGAGCAGGGATTTTTGTTTCGTATTATTCAACTTTGTTAGGGTCACAGACCCTTTAAGAATCTGATAAAAGCTATGGAATCTCTTGCCAGAAAGTACACAATGCACAGTTTTTAAACTGCAATTTCAAGTGGCTCAGAGACCCTGTGAGCTATCCATGAGTCCTCTAAGGGTCCCAGAATTCCAAGTTGAGAGCCCCACATTAGAGAGACTTTACTATCGACTGCTTTCCTTCTCCTCATCTCTTTTTCACCTACCCCTGGGTGCAGATGAATCTGGAAGTGGATAGAGCTGGGTTCCCATGGCTGTGTGTTGTGGTTTCTTCCTCCCTCAGTACATCCAGCCATTGACATTAGTATCCTACACACCTGACTTGCTCTTGAGTGTCAGAGGTGAAAGGAAAAATGAAACAGACAGCAGCCTCAACCAGGAGGCTCCCACGGAGGAGGCCAGCTCTGTTTTCCCCAAGCTGACGTCTGCGAAGCCCTTCAGTTCTCTACCCGATCTGAGGAATATCAATCTCAGCAGCTCGAAGTTGGAGCCCAGTAAACCCAACTTCAGCATCAAGGAGGCCAAGTCTGCCTCTGCAGTGAACGTATTCACTGGCACTGTGGTAAGTAGTGAGCCGAGCTCTGGGAGGGAGTGGTGGGAGTCTTGCTTACTGGTCCTTTCTCTACCCCCAACTTGCTGTGACCCTTTGAGTAAGCCACTGAGCCTCCCTGGGCCTTGGTGTCTCCCCTTGAGAAGCCCACACTGTGGAATGGCATAGCTGCTGGGAGGACCGGCATTTAGGAAGATGCTCTTGTGCGTCCCCTCTTGGGAGGCAGGTTATCCCCTGGAGTGGTTCCTAGAGCTGCTGTGGCAAATTGCCTCCAACTTGGTGGAGGCAACACCGTTTATTCTCTCACAGTTCTTGAGGCTGGAAGTCTGAAACCAAGGTGTTGGCAGGACCATGCTCCATCTCAGGGCTCTAGACGGAGGATCCTTCCTTGCTTCTTGCTGGATTCTGTCTGGTGGCTGCTGAGTGCTTGGCAGTCCTTGGTTTGTGGCAGCATAACTCCAATCTCTGCCTCTGGTGTCATGTGGCTTTCTTCTCTGTGCTTCTCCTCTGTGTATCTTATTTTTTTTTTTGAGACAAGGTCTGGCTCTGTTACCTAGGCTGGGGTGCAGTGGTGCAATCTCCGCTCACTGCAACCTCTGCCTCCCATGCTCAAGCCATCCTCTCGCCTCGGCCTCCCAAGTAGCTGGGACTGCAGGCACACACCACCATGCCGGGCTAATTTTTGTATTTTTTGTCGAGAAGGTTTCACCATGTTGCCCAGGCTGGTCTTGAACTCATGAGCTCAAGCCTCCTAAAGTGTTGGTATTACAGACGTGAGCCACCACGCCTGGCCTTCCCCTGTGTATCTTTACATGGCCTTCTTATAAGGACACCAGTCATTGGATTTAGGGCCTACCCTAATCCAGTGTGATCTCATAATCATACCTTTGACTAATCATAACTGCAAAGACCCTCTCTCCAAATAAGGTCACATTCTGAGAGGTTCTATCCAATTGGACATGAATTTTGGTAGTACACCTTTGAACTCAGCACAGCCTAAACAGTATTTCTCAAACTCTGTTGATGTATGGACACCTTGTTTTGAAGGAAAGAAAACTCTCTCAGACCCCCATTGTAGACTTAAATTATTTTTATGAATATATACAAGCATAAAAGCAGACATAAAATCTTTATACTTAGAGCACTTAGGCAACCATAGAACCAAACCAAAACAAATAGCACCAATAAAATTTAAATAAATAAAAGCTGAGTGCAGTGGCTCATGCCTGTTATCCCAGCACTTTGGGAGGCCGAAGCAGATGGATCACTGGAGGTCAGGAGTTTGAGACCAGCTTGGCCAACATGGTGAAACCCCATCTCTACTAAAATACAAAAATTAGCCAGGTGTGATGGTGCATGCCTGTAATTTCAGCTACTTGGGAGGCTAAGACAACAGAATTGCTTGAACCCGGTAGGTGGAGGTTGCAGTGAGCCCAGATCATGCCACTGCACTCCAGTCTGGGCAACAGAGTGAGACTCTATCTAAAAAAAAAAAAACAATATTTTTTAAATAAAAAATATTCACTTAAGGTGACAGTTGACTTTTCTATTTTGCAGAAACGAAGTTGCCACATGAACATGGTACTAACTGCCCTAGCACAGATCTCTTTGTGTTCCTCCCACTGAAGCCCACCAAGGGCTGACCCTACTGTAATTACTGGAAAATCTTCAGCATTGTTGGGCCTTCATTTGGACCAAGTGCAGTAGAGAGTAGGGCAATGCTTTTCAAAATTTTTCACCATAGCCCACAGTAAGAAATCCACTTTATTTCACAATCCATCACCCCCGCCCCACCTCCCACACACACACCTGGAAAAAAGTTTCTAAAACAGTGCTTAGGCATACTACATATGATACCTCAATTAACATTTTCTATTCTGTGCTATTCTGTCTGTTCTATTCTTTGAAAAAGTACCAGTTAAGGCTAGGTGCAGTGGCTCACACCTGTAATCCCAGCCCTTTAGGAGGCCGAGGTGGGTGGATCACCTGAGGTCAGGAGTTCAAGACCAGCCTCGGCAACATGATGAAACCCCGTCTCTACAAAAATACAAAAATTAGCTGGGCATGATGGTGGGTGCCTACAATCCCGTCTACTTGGGAGGCTGAGGCGGAAGAATCACTTGAACCCAGGAGGCGGAGGTTGCAATGAGCCAAGATCGTGCCATTGCACTCCAGCCTGGGTGACAGAGCGAGACTCTGTCTCAAAAAAAAAGAAAAAAGAAAAAAAAAGTACCAGTTACAACCTACCAGATTAATTCATGATTTCATAGGTTTACAACCCATGGTTTGAAAAGCACCTTTAAGAGAGTATGTTTTGCAGCTTCATAATTTCTTGGGCATATGCCACTAAAAGCACAGTGAACAGAAGCAAAAATAGACAAATGAGACCATGTCAAACTGAAAGCTTTTGCACAGTAAAGGCAACAACCAACAGAGTGAAAAGGCAACTTGGGCAATGGGAGAAAATATTTGCAAACCAGGGCAGGGTGCAGTGGCTCACGCCTGTAATCCCAGCACTTTGGGAGGCCAAGGTGGGAGGATCACCTGAGGTCAGGAGTTCAAGACCAGCCTGGCCAACGTGGTGAAACCCCAATTCTACTAAAAATACAAAACCTAGCCTGGCCAACGTGGTGAAACCCCATTTCTACTAAAAATACAAAACCTAGCCAGGCGTGGTGGTGCGCGCTTGTAATCCCAGCTACTCGGGGAGCTGAGGCAGGAGAATCGCTTGAACCTGGGAGGCAGAGGTTGCAGTGAGCTGAGATCATGCCACTGCCCCACAGCCTGGGCAATAGAGCAAGACTCTGTCTCAAAAAAAAAAAAAAAAAAGAAAAGAAAAAGTATATATATTTACAAACCACGTGTCTGATAAGGGATTTGCCTTAGTCTGTTCAGGCTGCTGTAACCAAATGCCTTAGACTGCGTAATTTATAAACAACAGAAATTTATTTCTTACAGTTCTGGAGGCTGAGAAGTCCAAGATCAAGGTGCTGGCAAGTTTGATGTCTGGTGAGGGCCTATTCCTCATAGACGGCAGCTTCTTGCTGTGTCCTCACACAGTGGAAGGAGCTAGTTAACTCTCTGAAGCTTCTTTTATAAGGGTACTGATTCCATTCATGAGGGTTCTGCCCTTTCCACTAGTCATCTCCCAAAGGCCCCACCTCTTATTACCGTCACCTTGGGGGTTAGCACTTCAACATGAATTTTGGGGGGACATCAGCATTCACACCATAGCAGGCTTAATATCCAGCATATATGAAGAATTCCTACATCTCAACAGCAACAAAAATGCAATTTAAAAATAGACAAAGGACTTGAACAAACATTTTTCTAAAGAAGATAAACAAATGGCCAATAGCATGAAAAGATGCTCAACATCACTAGTCATCAGGGAAATGCACATCAAAACCATGAAATATCACCTCATAGCTGTTAGGATGGTCATTACTTTTAAAAAAATGAAAAACAGAAAATAAGCCTCGGTGAGGATGTGGAGATATTGGAATCTTTCTGCACTGTTGATGGGAATGTAAAATGCTGCAGCCTCTAAGGAAACAGTGTGGAGCTTCCTCCAAAAATTGAAAATAGGGCTAGGTGCAGTGGCTCATGCCTGTAATCCCAGCACTTTGGGACGCTGAGGCAGACAGATCACTTAAGGCCAGGAGTTCAAGACCAGCCTGGCCAACATCATGAAACCCCATCTCTACTAAAAATACAAAAATTAGCCAGGCATAGTGGCATATACATGTAATGCCAGCTCCTCGGGAGGCTGAGGCAGGAGAATTGCTTGAACCCGGGAGGCAGGTTTACAGTGAGCCAAGATCGCGCCACTGCACTCCAGCCTGGGCAACAGAGTTAGACTCTTGTCTAAAAAAAAAAAAAATTAAAAATAGAATTACCCTATAATCTAACCATCCCACTCCTGGGTATATACCCAAAATAATTGAAAACAGGATCTCAAAAAGATATTTGCACACCCATGTTCATTGCAGCATTTTTCATAATAACCAAGAGGTAGAAGCAACCCAAATGCCCGTCAACCACAGATAAATGAATAAAGAAAATGTGGTATATACATATAATGAAATATTATTCAGCCTTAAAAAAGAGAGAAATCCTGTCAAATGCTACAACAGGACTTACCCTTGAGGATGTTTATGCTAAGTCAAAGAAGCTAGTCACAAAAAGATAAATACTGTTATGATTCCACTTCTGTGAAGTATCTAGAGTAGCCCCTCTTAGAAAGTGGAATCATGGTTGCCAGGGACTGGGCGGAGGGAGAGAAGGGGGACTTGTCTAATAAATACATAAGTTTCACAAGGTGCAAAAGTTCTAGAGATCTCTTGCACAACAAATGTGCATATAGTTAACACTACTACATATAGAACACTTTAAAATGACTAAGATGGTAGATTTTATGTTATTTATTTATTTATTTAAACCACAATTTAAAATAGAGATTATGCTTTGGGGATCTGGCTGCCTTCGATTGGATCCTGGAGTCTCCTTTTAATAGAACTTCCTTTTAGACACTTTAAATTCCCTAAACCTCAGTTTTCCCATTTAAAGAATGGATTTTTTAAAGTAGAGTCTGGGCGCAGTGGCTCCCATCTGTAATGCCAGCATTTTGGGAGGCTGAAGTGGGCAGATCATTTGAGGTCAGGAGTTCGCTGAGGCAGGAGAATTGCTTGGACCCAGGAGGCAGAGGTTGCAGTGAGCCGAGATTGCACCATTGCACTCCAGCCTGGGCGACCAGAGCAAAACTCCGTCTCAAAATAAATAAACAAACAAAATGTATTTAAATATGATTTGATTATATATCTCATTCTATGTCCTCTTTTTTTTTTCTGAGCCCTATTTTTTCCCTAAGATTAAATTTACTCAAATCTTCACCGTACAATTTTGGCAAATAAATGTACCCTATAACCTACATGCTATCATGATATATCATGATACGAACATTTTGATATCTCCAGAAAGTTTCCTCCTGTTTCTTCCCAGGCAATCTTCCTCCCCTCATCCCTCTTCAAGGCATCTGCTACCCTGACTCTGACTTCTTTGACTTTTTCACCTTAGTTTTGCCTGTTCTAGAATTTTACGTAAATGGAATAATATAGTATATGTTCTTTTGTGTCTGGCTTCTTTGGCTCAGTACCATATCTCTGAGATAAATCCATGTTGTTGGGCTAATCAGTAGTTTGCTGAATTGTATTTCACTGTACAGATATACTACAGTTTGTTTATCCATTCACCTATTGATAGACTTTTGGGTTGTTCCCAGTTTTTTGTTTGTTTGGTTGTTTATTTTATGGTCATTAAAGCTCCTGTGAACATTTTTGTACACATCATTTTGTGGACAAATGTTTTCATTTCCTTGTATAACTACCTAGGAGAAGGATCACTGGATCAAAAGGTAAATCTATATGTAACTTTATAAGAAACTCCAAAGTCTTTATCCAAAGTGACTGTATTATTGTACATTTTAAGCAGCAATTTATGAGAGTTCCAGTTGCTCCGTAGCTCCATATCTTTGTCAACGTTTTGGCGTTATCTGTCTTTTTTTTTTTTTTTTTTTTTTTTTGAGACAGAGTCTTGCTCTGTTGCCCAAGCTAGAGTGCAATAGCACAGTCTTGGCTCACTGCAACCTCAGCCTCCCGGGTTCAAGCAATTCTCATGCCTCAGCCTCCCTGTCTTTTAAATTTGAACCACTCTAATGGCTATGTTTTGATATCTCATTGTAGTTTTACTTTGTATTTCCCTGATGTTTACTGGTTATTTATCTTTCTTTGTCAAGTATATTCAAGTTTTCATCCCCTCCCTTTTTTTCCCCCTCTGAGACAGAGCCTCACTCTGTCACCCAGGTTGGAATGCAGTGGCACCATCATAGCTCACTGCAACCTCAAATTCCTGAGCTCAAGGGATCCTCCCTTTCACCTCAGCCTCCTGAGTAGCTGAGACTACAGGCCCTCACCACCGTTCCTGGCTAATCTTTTTTTTTTTTTTTTGAGATGGAGTCTCACTCTGTTACCCAGGCTGGAGTGCAGTGGTGTGGTCTCAGCTCACTGCAACCTCTACCTCCCGGGTTCAAGCGATTCTCCTGCCTCAGCCTCCTGAGTAGCTGGGATTACAGATGAGCACCACCACGCCCAGCTAATTTTTGTATTTTTAGTAGAGACGGGGTTTCACTATGTCGGTCAGGCTGGTCTCGAACTCCTGACCTCATGATCAGCCCGCCTCAGCCTCCCAAAGTGCTAGGATTATAGGTGTGAGCCACTGTGTCTGGCAATTTTTTTTTTTTTTTTTAAGAGACTGAGTCTTGCTTTGTTGCCCAGGCTGGTTTCAAACTCCTGGGCTCAAGCAATCCTCCCACCTCAGCCTCCCAATGTGCTGGGATTACAGGCATGAGCCACTGTGCCTGGCCTCCTTTTTGGGTAGGATTGTTTGTCTTTTGACTATTCCATTGTGGGAATTACTTAATTTATATATTCTGGAAATTTACTTGATTTTTTCCTAATAGTGTTTTTTGATTAGTGAAAAATTTTAATTTTGATAAAGTTTATCAATTTTTCTTGTATAGCTCTTCCTTCCTTCCTTCCTTTCTCCCTCCCTCCCTCTCTCTTTCTTTATTTCTTTCTTGTCTTTTTTTTTTTTCTTTTTTGAGATGGAGTCTCGCTCTGTAGGCCAGGCTGGAGTGCAGTGGCATGATCTTGGCTTACTACAACCTCTGCCTCTCGGGTTCAAGTGATTTTCCTGCCTCAGCCTCCCAAGTAGCTGGGACTACAGGTACACACCACCACACCCGGCTAATTTTTGTATTTTTAGTAGAGACGGGGTTTAGTCATGTTGGTCAGGCTGGTCTTGAACCCCTGACCTCAAGTGACCTGCCCGCCTGGGCCTAACAAAGTGTTGGGATTACAGGCGTGAGCCACCGGGCGCCCAGCATGGTTGTTGCTTTCTATATCCTATCTAAGAGATTTTCATGTACCTCAGGTCACAAATATGTTCTCCTATGTTTTTTCTTTTTTGAGATGGAGTCTCACTCTGTTCCCAGGCTGGAGTGCGGTAGCACAGTCTCGGCTCACTGCAACCTCTGCCGCCCAGGTTCAAGCAATTCTCCTGTCTCAGCCTCCTGAGGAGCTGGGACTACAGGCGCCCACCACCATGCCCGGCTAATTTTTGTATTTTTGTATATTTTTTTTTTTTTGAGACGGAGTCTCACTCTGTCGCCCAGGCTTGAGTGCAATGGCACGACCTCAGCTCATTGCAACTTCTGCCTCCCAGGTTCAAGTGATTCTCCTGCCTCAGCCTCCTGAGTAGCTGGGATTACAGGTGCCTGCCACCATGCCCAGCTAATTTTTGTATTTTTAGTAGAGACAGGGTTTCACCAGGTTGGCCAGGTTGGTCTCGAACTCCTGACCTCAGACCATCCACCCGCCTCGGCCTCCCAAAGTGCTGGGATTACAGGCATGAGCCACCACGCCCAGCCTAATATTTGTATTTTTAGTAGAGACGAGGTTTCACCATATTGGTCAGGCTGGTCTCGAACTCCTGACCTCAGGTGATCCTCCTGCCTCGGCCTCCCAAAGTGCTGGGATTACAGGCGTGAACCACTGCACCTGGCCACTCCTATGTTTTTTCTAGAAGTTTTATAACTTTAGCTTTGTGTTTCAGATTCATGATCCACATCAAATTAATTTTTAAGTATGTTAGATGACAAGATCCAAGGTTTGTTTTTCCCATATATATGTTCAGTTGTTCCAAAACTATTTATTGTAAAGACTTTCCTTTATCATTGAATTGCTTTGGTAACTTGGCTGAAAAGTGATTGACCATGTAAATGTAGATCTATTTTTGTACTCTATTCTGTTCCTTTGATTTTTTAGGGGTGTGTGTGTGTGTGTGTGTGTGTGTGTGTGTGTGTGTCTATCCTTATGCCAATACCACATTGTCTTGATTACTGAACCTATATAGAAAATCTTAGAATTAGATAATATAAGTCCTCCACTTTTGCTGTTCTTTTTCAAGACTGTTTTGGGTCTTCTAGGTCCTTTGCATTTCCACTTAAATTTTAGAATAAATTCATCAATTTTTGCAAAAAAAGCACACTGGGATTCTGATTGGCATTGTGCTGAATCTGCAGAAAATTTTGAGGAGAAACAATGTCTTTAACAATAGTGAATATTTGGTATTATGCAACAAGAAATCAAAATAAAACAAAATAGTGAATCTTCTAGTCTTCCAACATGATTTATCTTTCCATTTATTTAGATATTCTCTAATTTCCTCAACAAAGTTTTATAGTTTTCAATGTAGACATTTTGCACCTTTTGTTAAATTTATTCCTAAGTATTTGTTGTTTGACAATATTGTAAATGGAATTATTTCTTTAAATTTTAATTTCCAGTTGTTCTTAGCATATAGAAATAATGATTAATGTATACTATCTTGAATTTTGAGACTTAAATTTCTTTTTTTGAGACAGAGTCTCGCTCTGTCACCAGGCTGGAGTGCAGTGGCACGATCTCGGCTCACTGCAACCTCCACCTCCCAGGTTCAAGTGATTCCCCTGCCTCAGCCTCCTGAGTAGCTGGGACTACAGGCGCACACCTGGCTAATTTTTTTATTTTATTTTAGTAGAGACAGGGTTTTACCATGTTGGCCAGGATGGTCTCGATCTCCTGACCTCGTGATCCGCCCACCTTGGCCTCCCAAAGTGCTAGTATTACAGGCATGAGCTACTGCGCCCAGCCTAGACTTAAATTTCTTATGAATTCTAGTAAGTTTTTTTGTTGATTCTTTAGGATTTTCATCATATGTCACTTTCAAATAAAGACAGTTTTATTTCTTTCCAATCATTAGTCTCTTTATTTTTCTTGCTTTATTGCACTGGCTAGGACTTCTGGTACAACGTTGAATAGGGGTGGAAACAGCGAACATCTTTGTCTTGTTTCTGATTTTAGCGGGGAAACATTCAATCTTTTACTATTAAGTATGATGTTAGCTGTCAGGTGTTTGTAGATGCCCTTTATCAGATTGAAAAAGGTCACTTCTATTCCTAGTTTGCTGAGAGTTTTTTAAAATAATGGATGGATGAGGCTAGGTGCAGTGGCTCACGCCTGTAATCCCAGCACGTTGGGAGGCCAAGGTGGGCAGATCACCTGAGGTTGGGAGGTCGAGACTAGCCTGACCAACATGGAGAAACCCCATCTCTACTAAAAATACAAAATTAACCGGATGTGGTGGTGCATGCCTGTAATCTCAGCTACTCAGGAGGGTGGGTCAGGAGAATTGCTTGAACCCAGGAGGCAGAGATTGTGGTGAGCCAAGATCGTGCCATTGCACTCCAGCCTGGGCAACAAGAGCAAAACTCTGTCTCAAATAATAATAATAATAATAATAATAATAATAATAATAGATGGATGTTGAACCTTGTCAAGTGCTTTTTTGGCATCAAGTGATATAATCATATGGATTTTTTTCTTTAGACTGCTAATATGGTGGGTTACACTGATTGATTTTTCAATATTGAACCTACCTTGCATTCCCAGGATAAACCTCACTTGGTCATTGTATATTTTTTAATACATTGCTGAATTTAATTTGCTAAAATTTTTGTTGGGAAATTTTATGTCTAAGTTCATAAAAGATACTGGTCTATAGTGTTTTTTTTCTTCTATTTTCGTTGTATATCTTTGATATCAGTGTAATTCTGGCCCCATAAAGTGAGTTGGGAAGTAGGAAGTATTCCTTTCTCTTTTGTTTTCTGCAAGAGATTATATAGATTTGTTGTTCTTTCTTTCTTTTTTTTTTTTAAGATGGAGTCTCACTCTGTCACCCAGGCTAGTGTGCAGTGGCACGATCTTTGCTCAGTCTCCCAGGTTCAATCAATTCTCCTGCCCCAGCCTCCTGAGTTGCTGGGATTTACAGGTACCCGCCACTATGCCCAGCTAATTTTTGTATTTTTAGTAGAGGTGGGGTTTCACCATGTTGGCCAGGCTGGTGTCGAACTCCTGACCTCAAGTGATCCATCCTCCTCAGCCTTCCAAAGTGCTGGGATTGTAGGCATGAGCCATGGTGCCTGGTGATTTGTCATTATTTCTTATCTAAATATTTGGATAGAATTCTCCAGAGAAACTATCTGGGCCTGGATATTTCTTTTTTAGAGTATTTTAAACTAAAAATTCAATTTAAAAAAAGTAGATATAAGACTATCCAAATAACTTATTTTATTTTGAATGAATTTCGGCAGTTTGTGGTTTTTGAGGTATTGGTTCATTTCATCTGAGGTGGCTTTATACATGAAGAGTTATTTATAGTAGTCCCTATTTTCATTTTAATGTCTGTAGAGTCTAGTGATACCCTCTTTTTCATTCCTGATATTAGTAATTTCCTTATTCTTTCTCTTTTTTACTTTATAAATGTTGCTGGAGTTATCAATTTTATTGACCTTTTAAAAAAAAACTAGATTTTGGGCCGGGCATAGTGGCTCACGCCTGTAATCCTAGCACTTTGGGAGGCCGAGGCGGGCGGATTGCCTGATTTCAGGAGTTCGAGAACAGCCTGGGCAACACGGTGAAACCCCGTCTCTACTAAAATACAAAAAATTAGCTGGGCGTGGCAATGTGCGCCTGTAGTCCCAGCCACTGCACTCCACCCTGGGCGACAGAGCGAGACTCCGTCTCAAAAAAAAAAAAAAAAAAACAACAAACCTGGATTTTGGTTTCATTGAGTTTTGTCTATTTTTCTATTTTTGATTTTATTGATTTCTGCTATTTATTAATACTTGCCTTCTGCTTGCTTTGGATTTATTTTACTTTTCTTGTTTTTTTTTTTTTTTTGTTTTGTTTTTTTTGAGATGGAGTTTTGCTCTTGTTGTCCAGGCTGGAGTGCAATGGCACGATCTCATCTCACTGCAACCTCCGCTTCCCAGGTTCAAGCGATTCTCCTGCCTCAGCCTCCCAAGTAGCTGGGATTACAGGCATGCACCACCACGCCCAGCTAATTTTGTATTTTTAGTAGAGACGGGGTTTCTCCATGTTGGTCAGGCTGGTCTTGAACTCCCGACCCCAGGTGACCCACCCGCTTCGGCCTCCCAAAGTGCTGGGATTGCAGGCGTAAGCCACCCCACCCAGCCACTTTTCTAGTTTTTTAAGGAGAAACCTTAGACTATTAAGACTTTTTTCCTAATATAATCATTTATTTATTTTTATTTTTAAACAGGCTCTCACTCTGTTGCCCAGGCTGGAGTGTAATGACACAATCATGGCTCACTGCAACCTCAATCTTCCTGGGCTCAAGCAATCCTCCCACCTCAGCTTCCTGAGTAGCTGGGATACAGGCGTGCACCACCACGCCCAGCTAATTTTTGTATTTTCAGTAGAGTCTGGGTTTTACCATGTTGGCCGGGCTGGTCTCAAACTCCTGACCTCAAGTGATCCACCTGCCTTAGCTTGTCAAAGTGCTGGGATTATAGGCATGAGCCTGTAATGTGTCTGGGTGTGGTTTTATTTGTAAAAGGTGGAAGATTTATACCATCTAAAGAGAAACCAGAGTATGGTTTTATTTGTATTTATCTTACTTAGGGTTCTTGATCTTGTTTTTATAAGTTGATGGCTTTCACCAAATTTGAGAAATTTATTGCCATTATTCAAAATCTTTTGCTGCCTTATTTTGTTTCTCTTCTCTTCTGGACCCTTCAATAACATGTATGTTAAGTCACAGAATATTGTCTCACAGACTTCTTAGGTTCTATTTACTTTTCTTTAATCTTGATTCTCTTTTGTTTTCAGATTGAATAATTTCTATTGCTCTATAGTCAAACTCGCTGACTGTTTTGTCTGCCATTAAGCCCATTCAGTGAATTTTTTATTTCAATTATTATACCTTTAAGCCCTATAGAAATACTACTCAGTTCTTTTTATTTATTTTTTTGAGACAGGGTCTCACTCTGTCACCCAGGCTGGAGTGCAGTGACACAATTACAGCTTACTGCAGGCTCAACCTTCTGGGCTCAAGCAATCCTCTGGCTTCTGCTTCCCAAATAGGTGGGACACAGGTGCATGCCACCATGCTTGGCTAATCTTTGTAGTTTTTGTACATATTGCCCAGGCTAGTGTTCTTTTTTATAGTTTGTGTTTTTTTGCTTAGATTCCCAACTTTTGAATTTTGTATGCATACATTCTTTTAATTTTTTTTTTTTTTTTTTGAGACGGAGTCTCACTCTGTCGCCAGGCTGGAGTGCAGTGGTGCAATGTTGGCTCACTGCAACCTCTGCCTCCCAGGTTCAAGTGATTCTCCTGCCTCAGCCTCCCGAGTAGCTGGGACTACAGGCGCGTGCCACCACACCCAGCTAATTTTTTGTATTTTTGGTAGAGACGGGGTTTCACCATGTTGGCCAGGATGGTCTCGATCTCTTGACCTCGTGATCCGCCCACCTCGGCCTCCCAAAGTGCTGGGATTACAGGCGTGAGCCACTGCACCCAGCCATATTCTTTTAATTCTTTGGCCATATTTATAATGCCTGCTAAAGTTCTTGTCTGCTAATGAACCAACATTTGGGTCATCTCATAGTATTTTATTTCTTTATTTTTATTTATCTATTATTTTAATTTTTTAAGCAATATGGTCTTGCTATGTTGCCCAGCCTGGTCTGGAACTCCTGGCCTCAAGCAATCCACCTACCTTGGCTTCCCAACGTGCTGGGATTATAGGTATGAGCCACTGCGGCCAGCTGGTCTTAGTGTATTGACTACTTTTTTCTCTCGAGTGTGGATTATATTTTTCTGGTTTCTTTCTTTTCTTTTCTTTTCTTTTTTTGCATATCTAGTGGGTTTTTTTGTTTTGTTTTGTTTTGTTTTGAGATAGAATCTTGCTTTGTTACCCAGGCTTCTGGAGTGCAGTGGCGCAATCTCAGCTCACTGCAACCTCTGCCACCCGAGTTCAAGTGATTCCTCTGCCTCAGCCTCCCGAGTAGGTGGAATTGCAGGTGCCTGTCACCATGCCCGGCTAATTTTTGTATTTTTAGTAGAGATGAGGTTTTGCCATGTGGGCTAGGCTGGTCTCAAACACCCGACCTCAAGTGATCCTCCTGCCTTGTCCTCCCAAAGTTCTGGGATTACAGGTGTGAGCCACTGCACCTGGCCATATCTAGTGGTTTTAAGTTTGGATGCTGGACATCATGAATTATGCATGATGCAGTGATTCATTGTAGAGTCTCTGGATTCTGTTTGTTCTTCTAAAGAGTGATAGATAAATATATATATATACACTAATGTGTATATATACACATTTTATATATATATTTTAGTCAGGGTCTTGCTCTGTCGCCTAAGCTGGAGTGAAGTGGTGTGATCATACCTCACTATAACCTCAAGCTCTCAGGCTCAAGTGATCCTCTTGCCTCAGCCTCCCGAGTAGCTAGGACTACAGGTGTGCACCACCATGCTTGGCTAATTTTTAAACAATTATTTTAGAGATGAGGATCTTGCTGTGTTGCTCAGGCTGGTCTCAAACTCCTGGCCTAAAGTGATCCTTCCACCTCTGCCTCCCAAATAATTGGGATTACAGGCATGAACCACCTTGCCCAGCCTAAAGAGTTATTTTTATTTGAGCCATCCATTAACTTCACATTCTAAATCTACTGTGGTCAGCAGCAATCGAAATCTTATTAGTTATTTCAGCCTCCAGTGCTATTTTTTATTGGGTCCCCTGAGATCCTTTCCTCCTCATTCCACACCCCCCAGCATGTGTAGTTTATCAGTCACGCCAAACTGCACATGAAAGGATTTCACACTTTCACAATTTACACTCTGTTTCTCTGGCTTCTCTGATTGCCTCAAACTTTACCTCTAGCCAGTAAGTCTGTGGCTTCTGCTGCCCACACCATGTGGATTGTGGGTGTCCTCGGACAAAAAGCTGCAAAGCTGCAGATCTCATCAAGTGCAGTTTCTTTTTTTCCCCAAGACTAGTTTTTGTTTGTTTGTTTGGTTGTTTTTTTTTGTTTCTTTGTTTGTTTTTGAGACAGAATTTCACTCTTGTCACCCAGGCTGGAGGACAATGGTGTGATCTCGGCTCACTGCAACCTCTGCCTCTCAAGTTCAAGTGATTCTCCTGCCTCCAGGAGGCAGGAGATTACAGGCTCATGCCTGTAATCCCAGCACTTTGGGAGGCTGAGGTGGGCCGATCACTTGAACCCAGGAGTTTGAGACCAGCCTGGGCAACATGGCAAAACCCCATCTCTACAGAAAATACAAAAGCCAGATGTGGTGGCGCATGCCTGTGGTCCCAGCTACTTGGGAGACTGAGGTGGGAGGATTGCTTGAGCCCAGGAGGTGGAGGTTACAGTGAACCAAGATTGCACCACTGCGCTCCAGCCAGGGTGACAGGGTGAGACCCTGTCTCAAATAATAATAATAATAATAATAACAACAACAATAATAATACCTATTGTTCTGATTGCCAATCTTTATTGTTTATAATCTGTTTCATGTTTAGAGACTTTTAGAGGAGGCTGTAGAGTCTCCTACTGTCTTCTGCCTTACTGTTTAACCAATTCATGGTGAGGAAACTATTCTAACCTAATCTTTCTTGCTGCTAATGAACCAGCTCTTAATCTGTTTATTTTAATCAAGAATAGCATGGGAGCTGGGCATGGTGGCACTCACATGTAGTCCCAGCTACTCAGGAGGCTGAGGCAGGAGCATCACTTGAGCCCAATTTGAGGCCAGCCTGGGCAGCATAGCAAGACCTTGTCTCAAAAAATAAAAATAAAAAAAAAATAGCATAGGAAGGAACCCTTTGCTTTCCACAGTCTCATTTTGAACTGTCTTTTCTTCCAGCACTTAACCTCCGTAGAAACCACCCCAGAATCCACCACCCAACTCTCAATCTCCCCAAAGTCTCCGCCAACCCTGGCTGTGACCGCCAGCTCTGAGTACAGTGGCCCAGAGACGGACAGGGTGGTATCCTTTAAATGCAAGAAGCAGCAGACCCCTCCACACTTAACCCAGAAGAAAATGTTAAAATCTTTTCTGCCCACAAAATCCAAGAGCTTCTGGGAGAGTCCGAACACAAACTGGACTTTGCTAAAGAGTGACATGAACAAGCCACATTTGATATCCGAGCTACTCACCAAGCTTCAACTGAGTGGGAAGCTCTCCTTCTTCCCAGCTCACTACAACCCCAAGCTGGGGATGAATAACCTGTCACGTGAGTGCCAGTGTGTACAGGGATGTGCCAGGAGCTTAAAGGGGAGAGGGACCGATAGAACCAGTCCTAATCTTTGGGGAGCTCCCAGTCTTTGGAGGGGGGACAGCCCCTGTCTTCAGGGAAACCCCAGTCTGATGGTGGAGACACAGTCCATACCATTAGGAAGTCTCTAGTCTGATTGGGAAGACAAAAAAGATAAAAACAGATTGCTGTCCAGTTCCCTTCTTCACCACTTCCTGGTTCTCATTCACATGAGGCTCATTCAGCTGAGGCTGCACCAGTTACTGATGTTAAGTATGAAAAAATGGGGAAGAAAAACTATTTGGAGAAAAGGAGCAATGGCTGATTCTGGCTCAAAGAGCTTTGAATGGCAGTTACAGGCCATGGGACCCTACTGGGAGGTGGTCTTCACCAGGAATTTGTGCTGAATCCAGCAGCACAAATCGCTGATGCTTCTGACTTTGCCTTTCCAGAAAACCCCTCCCTGCCTGGGGAGTGCCACTCCCGCAGTGACAGCTCTGGCGAGAAGAGGCAGCTGGATGTGTCCTCCCTCCTCTTGCAGAGTCCTCAGAGCTATAATGTTACTCTGAGGGACCTGCTGGTGATTGCCACTCCAGCCCAACTGGATCCAAGGCCTTGTAGAAGCCACGCAAGTGCTATGAGGGACCCATGTATGCAGGATCAAGAAGCATACAGCCATTGCCTGATCTCTGGCCAAAAAGGATGTGAGAGGAGCTAGGTAGGCCCACACATATTCCCTTAATGAATTTGGTGCGTTGGCAGGTGCTCTGTGTTTTTCTGGAATGTTGGGTAGGTAGGAGGATGGATGGATTGATAAAGACATACAGGTAAGTAGACAATGAAGACTTAGTAAAAATGTGACCCTGGCTGGGTGCAGTGGCTCATGCCTATAATCCCAGCACTTTGGGAGGCCAAGGCAGGAGGATCCCTTGTGCCCAGGAGTTTGAGACCAGCCTGGGCAACATAAGGGAGACCCCATCTCTACAAAAAATTTAAAAATTAGCTGGGTGTGGTGGCACATGCCTGTGGTCCCAGCTACTTGAGAGGCTGAGGCGAGAAGATTACTTGATGCAAGGGGTTCAAGACTAGCCTGGGCAACATAGCAAGACCCTGTCTCTACAAACAATTTAAAAATTAGGCCGGGTGCAGTGGCTCATGCCTGTAATCCCAGCACTTTGGGAGGCCGAGGTGGGTGGATCACGAGGTCAGGAAATCGAGACCATTCTGGCTAACACAGTGGAACCCCGTCTCTACTAAAAATACAAAAAATTAGCTGGGCATGGTGGCACCCGCCTGTGGTCCCAGCCACTCGGGAGGCTGAGGCAGGAGAATTGCTTGAACCCGGGAGGGAGAGGTTGCAGTGAGCTGAGATTGTGCCACTGCACTCCAGCCTGGGTGACAGAGTGAGACTCCGTCTCAAAAAAATAATAATAATAATTAAAAAATTAGCTGGGTGTGGTGGAGCATGCCTATGGTCCTAGCTACTTGGGAGGCCAAGGTAGGAGGATTGATTGAGCCCAGAGCTGAAGGTTGCAGTGAGTCGGGATTGCACCACTGCACTCCAGCCTGGGTGACAGAGCAGCACTCTGTCTCCAAAAAAAAAAGTGACCCCCTTGCTATGTATTAATATATTTCTGGTAGAACTGATCTGCCCCCACTAGGCACTTTGCCTTGTCTTCCACTTATGGCTAAAATTGAGATAGTCATATATGGAGATCCCAGAAGTAGAACCATGTCAACCATAATGGGTTGATTTTCACATCCTTCAAGCTATGCCGCCTGGTCTAGGCCTAGATCACTTGCCCCAAAGGCTGGCCCTGTAATGGAGTGTGCTGAGGGGACAGAGCAACAGGACAGCAGAGACTGAGATGTGGAACCAAAGGCCTTTGAGAAGCTTTGGTTCCACCGTGCAAAAGGCCCCAGGAGATGGTAAGATGCCCTCCGTCTGAACTTCAGTGCTTCTGAGGGAAGGTCATATGTAAAAACTTCGGAGAACTCCACAACATAGAGCTGTGGAATTAAGGGATCTTTGCTGCTTGACTGTCTAAAGAAGAAGGCTAGAGATGTGAATCGTCTCCCTCCACCCTGCCACGCAAAGCTTACTGTGAGCAGATACTCTGACCTGGCCCCTTGTGACCAGTAGCTCACACTGCAGGAGGGCCTGCAAGGAAACATCCAGCCCATAGAGATCACCTTGGGTTCCTGTAAAAATGCATATTCCAGGGCCTTCTCCCAGAAATTCTGATTCAGTGGTCCTGGGTGGAGAGCCCAGGAATCTGCATTTTATGAAGCTCCTCTAGTTGATTCTGATAGTCCTCTCACCATGCTCAGAGAAGAGCTGGGCCTGATGTTTCCCCATTTCCCTGATGATGGGAATCATATGAGGGCCCTTGTTTAAGCCTGTAGTTTCTCAGGCCAAACCCCCTGGGAATTCTGGCATAAGAGGGCTGGGAAGGGGCCCTGGGAATTTGTCTTTTGAACAAGTCTTTTAAATATGGGTAATAGGTCAGGCACGGTGGCTCATGCCTGTAATCCCAGCACTTTGGGAGGCCGAGGTGGGCAGATCACTAGGTCAGGAGTTTGAGAACAGCCTAGCCAATATGGTGAAACCCCATCTCTACTAAAAATACAAAAAGTAGCCGGGCATGATGGCACGTGCCTGTAGTCCCAGCTACAGTTGTGGTGAGCCGAGATCACGCCACTGCGCTCCTGCCTGGGAGACAGAGCGAGACTCCATCTCAAAAACACAAAACAAAACAAAACAAAACAAAACAACAACAACAAAAACATACGGGTAATAAGTACTTGTCTTACATGTAGACCCAGGCCTGGGCAGAGGAGCCTGTTACAGCCAGCCCTGACCTGTGGGCCTGTTATTGGAGCAAAACTCTGATCCCTAAGGAGCTCCAACCCACTACCACTATCTTCAATTCTTGTGCCTCAGCCTCTTGAGTAGCTGGGGCTAAAGGCATGTGCCTCCATGCCCGGACAATTTTTGTATTTCTAGTAGATATAGGGTTTTGCCATGTTGGACAAGTTGTTCTCGAAATCCTGGCCTCAAGCAATTCACCCACCTCGGCCTCCCAAAATGCTAGGATTACAGATATGAGCCACCACACCCAGTCTGTTTCTACTATTTAAAAAAGGATGATGTAGCACATTACAATGAAAACTTGTATTCAGTAGGACTGTTAAATGAAATAATAATGATCAGAAGCCACACGAAGAAAGGGAAGAGATCATTATATGAAGAGGGTGTGATAAAGTGCTTCCTGCATTGACCGTTGAATTTAGCTCTGAACCTCTTAGCAGAAAAGGCCAGGCACAGCATCCTGTTTTGGTCCTTTTTGTCTGTCCAATCATACTAGAGAGTCTCTAGTGGCATGGACTATGTCTCTGCCATCAGATGGGGGTCTCCCTGAAGACAGGAACTTTATTCCTTCCCTCAAGATTGGGGGCTCCTCAAAGATTGGGACTGGTTCTGTTGGTTTCTCTCCCCACCCCCAAGCTCCAGGTACATCCCTGTGTACACTGGCCCTCACCCGCTTGGAGCTGTAGTGAGCTGGGAAACAGGGAGAACTTCCCCATCAGTTGAATCTTGGTGAATACCTCTGACATCAGATGCTGATTCTTCGTGTCACTTTTTAGCAACGTGGGCTAGATTCCCCAAGAAGCTCTGGTATTTTTTAGGCAGACAGGGTTTCAATATTTTCTCCTAGATGAGTAAAAATAAGTTTAGTAGTTCCTTAGGGAAGACTTCTTTCCCTGAAAGAGCAGTTTATCATGTGGCATCTTAGATCTTTTCTGCCATAATAAGCAATGGCTGAGGGCATGGCCATGTGTTAGTATTAGTCATGGTGCTGGGCATGGTGGCGAGTGCCTGTGGTCCCAGCTACTGGGGAGGCTGAGGCAGAAGGATTGCTTGAGTCCAGGAGTTCTGGGCTGTAATGCGCTACCCTGATCAAGTATCTGCACTAAGTTTGGCATCAGTATGGTGGCCTCCCAGGAGCTGGGGACCACCAGGTTGCCTAAGGAGGGGTAAACCAAGACAGAAATGGAGCAGGTCAAAACTCCCATGCTCATCAATAGTGGGATCACGCTGGTGAATATCCACTGCTCTCCAGCCTAGGCAACATAGCAAGACCCCATCTCTAAAAAAAGAAAAAATCAGGATGATAGATGGTGATAGTTACCCTTTTTTGCTAGCCGACTATAAAGGCGCCAGCACTCTTCTAGATAAATATTTTATCTAATTGAATTTCAATCACAGTTGTACACTTTATTTTTATTTTCTTTGGAGACAGTCTTGTTCTGTTGTCCAGGCTGGAGTGCAGTGGTAGGATCATGGCTCACTATAATCTCAAACTCCAGGGCTCAAACGATCCTCCTGCCTCAGCCTCCCATGTAGCTAGGACTACAGGTGCACATCATGATGTCCAGCTAATTTAAAAAGTATTTTTGTAGCACAGGGTCTCCCATGTTGCCCAGGCTCATCTTGAACTCCTGCCCTCAAACAATCCTCTTGCTTCAGCTTCCCAAAGCTCTGGGATTACAGACGTGAGTCATTGCACTTGGCCTTGAGCTTTAGAAAAGAAAAAAAAGCTGATACTCAAAGAGCATAAGGCTTAACATTCAGCAGGTCCCCCAGTTTTAATTGTCACAGCAAGGATTTGAGTCAGATGCTTCTGATTCTCAAGCCCCAAACTCTTGAAGCCATACTATCTGTCTGTTAAATGATACTTTTCATATTAGTCTTTAGTTAGAGCTGAGGTGACAATAAGTGGCTCTTCAGTGGAGGCATTTCTGCAGGTAGCAGATATGACAAAGACCAAGCAGAGCCTCCTAGAATACCGTATGGGGTCACCAGATCTCAGAACTGGCCCCCTGCTTTTAGGCCAAATAATGTCTTCTAAAAGTTCTCTCCAAACTAATCGGACCATAAAGGACTTACACATAAAAAAGCAGACTCCCAAAAGACTATATACAGCAGAATGTCCATTGGAATGCATGATATTAATGCATTGATTTGCAGACGGAGCAGAATGTGGTTTGAAAAGAGGGCTTCTGCACAATAAATAATGGTTGAAGGAAAGAAGGAAGAGCAAGCAGAGGCCTCAATGGAGGATCAGGGGTTTCTTTGGAAAGCGTAAGAGTAATAACACCTTCCACACATCAGGTTTACAGATCATATCTCATAGAATCCTCACATTGACAATGTGAGGTTGGCAAGGCAGACGTTATTACCTTATGCCCAGTTTGCAAGTGAAGAAACTCAAGGTTGAGGATGTTAAATGACTTGCCCAACCTCACACAAGTGATGGACTGGACAAACAGCTCTATGTTTCCTTCTCTACCATCTGGCCATGAACTTGGCACCCATCCTGACCCATGTGAGGAATGGCGCCCTGACACATTCCTGCATTTTTCTGCTTTAGTGGCTAGAATATCATTCTTCTTCCTCTGGACCCACTTTCACAGTGGGTTGGTCACTGAGTCCATGGTGCAGATCTGTATAAGAGTTGAATTCTAGGGGATAAACAACCTATTTTGTAGGATCTTCCTTTTTTTTTTGAGTCAGGTTCTCACTGTGTCATCCAGGCTGGAGTGCAGTGGCACTATCATGGCTCACTGCAGCCTCAACTTCCCAGGCTCAGGAGATTCTCCCACTTCTGCCTCCTGAGTAGCTGAGGTGACAGGTGCTTGTCACCATGCCTGGCTAACTTTCCTTTTCTTTTCTTTTTTCTTTTTGGAGTCTCCCTCCGTTGCCCAGGCTGGAGTGCAGTGGCGCGATCTCAGCTCACTGCAACCTCTGCTTCCCAGGTTCAAGCTATTCTCCTGCCTCAGCCTCCCGCTAGCTAACTTTTTCTTTCTGTTTTTTTGTTTGTTTGTTTGTTTTGTTTTGTTTTTAGAGACAGAGTCTTGCTCTGTCGCTCAGGCTGGAATGCAGTGGTGTGATCTTGGCTCACTGCTACTTTCACCTCCCAGGTTCAACTGATTCTCCTGCCTCAGCCTCCTGAGTAGCTGAGACTGCAGGTGTGCCACTGTTCCTGGCTAATGTTTGGATGTAGCTTTAGTAGAGATGGGGTTTCTCCATGTTGACGAGGCTGGTCTCAAATTCTTGACCTCAAGTGATCCACCTGCCTCAGCCTCCCAAAGAGCTGGGATTACAGGCATGAGCCACTGTGCCTGGCCTCATTTTGTAGGATTTTAAGGATGACTCATGGCTTGGTAAAGTGGGATGCCTGGCATCTTACTGAATCAATGGTACCTGCAATGATGGTGATGCTATTGCTGATGAGGATGATATTGTGCTGATGGTGATGAGCCCAGCGTGAACTGGCCCAAGACACACTTCCCACTGGTGTACTAAAAGCTTTGCATATATTGTCTCAGTCCTCGGGGCATTGTTGTTGTCTCTTTCCAAATGGGGAAACCAAGGCTGAGAGAGGTTGAGTAACTTGTCCAAGGGCATACAGCTTCTTAACCACTATAACATTCTCTCCAGCCAGCCATCTTGGCTGCTCTTAAATGATCCATATCCAATATTTCAGGCAAGAAGGCTACAGGAAGATGAATGTTGTGTAGGTAGAATGAGTTTCTGGTGACTACAGATATAAGTCACCTAAGCGTCTCTTGATCCACTAGATAGGAATGGTGATGATGAGTTCATTGACTTTAATATTCTGGAGGCCATTTTAAAGGAAAATCTAAAAAAAAAATTTTTTTTTTCCAGAATCAGACTGGATCTCTGCCACTTTTCCCTTCCTACCTCTTAACTTGCAGGAAACAATGTGTCTCTTCCGACAGTGTCTCCAGTGTTCACAGAATCAACTGAAGTTTTGTTTGCTCATCTAGATATACTGGTCTTCCATTAGTTCCTAGTAGCAGCAATGGGGCCAACAGCCCTGCCTCTGTTCCCTCCCAGTTAGCTTACAGTGCTACAGGACCATGATTTCTGGGGTTGGATTGGTGCTGCCCCAGGACACACTCCAGTTGCCGTACCAGTGGCACTTCTCTGGGTTCTTCACATGGCACCATCATCCAGAATACTCCCCCAGATAAAGCAACTTCGGGAGTAGTGTTTCAGAGAAGGACTCATGATTTCCAGGAGTCAAAAGCCCTCAGTCCACCAACAGAACTATGCCAGTTGGTCTTCGTCTCCAAGATAAAAGATGAGGTCAGGGATGGGCATGGTGCATAACTCTGAGCCCTGAGTGAGAGAACTGAGGCAGCTGCAACTTCACAAGGTCAAGGCCCGACCTCCGCCCATCCCCACCAGCCCAAAGACTTGCCACCTCAGTGCCCGAGCATCCTCTGGTGACCTCCCTCACCAGCCCAACTTAATCTCACCAGTGAAAACAGAGGTGAGGCGAGAGTACCCAGCCTGAAGATGCTTCTTCTATCAGCCTGCAGAAATGTTACACTTTCCCTTCAGGCATCCATTAATAAAAGAAATTGCCATGCTTACTGCCAGGAGGAGGAGCCTGATTTGGAGGGATAATGGGAAAGGAGGGTTGTGGGGAGACAGTTATCCTGAGTACCCCTCACTAAGAAAGCTCCAGGCTGGGCGCAGTGGCTCATGCATGTAATCCCAGCACTTTGGGAGGTTGAGGCAGGCAGATCACCCAAGGTCAGGAGATCAAGACCAGCTTGGCAAACATGGCGAAACCCCGTCTCTACTAAAAATACAAAAATTAGCCAGGCATGGTGGCGGGCATGGTAGCTAGTAGTCCTAGCTACTCAGGAAGCTGAGACAGGAGAATCGCTTGAACCTGGGAGGCAGAGGTTGCAGTGAGCTGAGATCGCGCCACTGCACTCCAGCCTGGGCAACAGAGTGAGACTCCGTCTAAAAAAAAAAGCTCCAAATACATTAAAAATAGGAAGCTTTGAAGACTTTCTTGGGACAAATGGTCTACAGTAAGCCCTGCCCTCCTTGCTAGGAGCCCAGAGCCTGACGTGGACGTTGCCCTGTCTGGGCAACTGACTCCACCAACTCTGCCCAGCACAGGGCCTGGCTAGACCGCAGGCATAACATCTTTCCTTATCTGCCAGCTCACTCTCTGCCCTTTCCAGGAATGTGATCCATTTTTGCTTCACTCACTCTTCCTGAGTCTGATCCCTGGTGAGACCTTTGGGGCATATGAGGCAGAGGTGGAAGAAGTAAGTTCTGAAGACAAGTGCTTGCTTCACAGTGTTGACCTGGCTTTGCCTTATGGATTTCCAATAGAACGAATTTCTGGCCTCAAGAATGTCAGGGGAACCTGGGATGCTTGAAGCCCACAGTACCCTTCAGGCAAAAGACCTTAATTATCCAAGATATTGAATGGAGACATTAGACTCAAATCATTTGTGTCCAGCTCTGAAACACACATATGTACACGTCATCCCCATGTCAGCCTGGTTTTCAAGGATCCCGGGATAGCGTTCTTTTCTTTTTAGTAAATAGTCAAGGCCCACCTGGATGGCAAAAGAAGCCAAGGCCTGGTTATCCCAGCAGACAAGTAAAAGCTTAATTGCCATCTCAACCTCCACAAGCCCATTCCTGACGCCATTCGGAAGGCTCAAAACAGACTGATGTGAGGCCACTTTTCCCATTGTTCTCATCAGGTTGTCAGAGATCATAGCCTGGCCCAAGCAAAAGATGTAAGACTTGCTGAAAAGGGGCTTCCTGGAATCTCTACATCTCTCCCCTTTTCTTCCTGGTCACGAGTTCCAGCCAGTCGAGATTCCTGAGCTGATAAAAAGGAAGTATCTTAATAAGACGATGCCAGAATTATTTGGCTGTCTGTGGGACATGTGGTGCCAGCACCTTTGCTCCTAGAGACAGGACATGCAATCTGTGCAGTTGCACAGGGTCCTGCACTTAGAAGAGCCCTGTATTTGCCACCATATTGAAATTCTGAATCATTTTTGAACAAGGAACTCTGCGTTTTCATTTTTTAGTGGACCTGCCAAATTTTGTAGCACATCCTGTCTAGAGGCTTTAACAGCTCAAGGTTATCCAACGAGAAGGCACAATATCAGGCTGCCTTCCCAGCCCCACCCACCTCCTGTCTGTTCACTCATAGGGCTGTGCAGAGCACAGTGCTTCTGTGAGACAGAAAAATGCTGTGGCAGTTCCTGCTCCCAAAGAGTGTGCAGTGGAGGAAGGCGGGTCCACAGATAACTAGCCTGAGTTAAGTGCCACTAAAAAAGAGTGTCAGTAGACGAGAAGGAAACACCCTCACACCTAGCTGGGAGGACCAAGTCCACTTCATTGGAGGAGGTGATATTTGAGGTGGCAGGAAAAGACAAATAGGATTTTATTATTTTTATTTTTTAAGATGGAGTGTCATTCTGTCGCCAGGGTGGAGTGCAGTGGCATGATCTCAGCTCACTGCAACCTCTGCCTCCTGGGTTCAAGCTATTCTCCTGCCTCAGCCTCCTGAGTAGCTGGGATTACAGGCGCCCGCCACCATGCCCAGCTAATTTTTGTATTTTTAGTAGAGACAGTTTTCACCATGTTGGCCAGGATGGTCTCGATTTCTTGACTTTGTGATCCTCCCACCTCAGCCTCCCAAAGTGCTGGGATTACAGGCGTGAGCCACCGCACCAGGCTGATAAATAGGATTTTAAAAGGTGGATATAAGATATGGACTGAGGTATAGAGGCCTGGAAGAAACTAAAAACCCTGAACATGATCAAGAGGTAAGGTCTAGGCTGGGCGTGGTGGCTCACGCTTGTAATCCCAGTACTTTGGGAGGCCGAGGTGGGTGAATCACCTGAGGTCAGGAGTTTGAGACCAGCTTGGCCAACATGGCAAAACCCCATCTCTACAAAAAATACAAAAATTAGCCAAGTGTGGTGGCACGCGCCTGTAATCCCAGCTACTCGGGAGGCTTAGGCAGGAGAATTGCTTGAACCCAGGAGACAGAGTTGGCAGTGATCCAAGATCATGCTGCTGCACTCCAGCCAGGGCAACAAGAGTGAAACTCCGTCTCAAAACAAAAACAAAAACAAAAACAAAAAAGTAAGGTCTAGTCCAGTTTGGCTGGATCAGAAAGGAAATTGGGAGATGAAGATGGAAAGATAGATTAAGAGACCATATTGGAAACCCAGTGACCCTTTGTTTATATTGCCATTATTGCACTCCTCATGATAATGAATTTGTGCAGCTGTCTGTCCACTGGAATGTACCATGTCTCTACATCTTTATATTCTCTGCTTTTAGTTTAGTACCTAGGACATAATAGGAATTCAGTAAATATTTGCTGAATGAATAAATATTGCAGAGGATCTAAACTGTTATCCTGGGTAGTGTTTACCTAATTCAGCAGGCAGTGGGAAACTGCTGAAGGTTTTTGAGTAGGAGATTTTATTTAGTGTTAGGAAGATGAATCTAGTAGTAGATGGTGGAGTGGCTTGGCAAGGGGAGGGACCCAAAGGTGGGAGAGGGCTTGGGAGTCTCATACAGTGGTCCAGGATTCAAGCCCTTGCAGCCTCTATCAGGATGGCTGGCTGGGGGAGAGAAAAGGAGGCAGATATACCTCAATAAGCTGGAAGAAAAAAAAAGAGGCAAGTGAGAAAAATATCGTAGAGCTGGGACTTAGCAGCTGACTGTGTGGCAGAGGATAAAGGAACAATAAAGAAGGCTTCAAAGGAACTGAGTCCGCTGAAAGAAATTGGGAACATTAGGAGAAGGAGCTTTGGGAGGATAGAGATCAAGGTATCTGTTCATAAAGCAGTTGGATGAACTCCTGTCCCCAGACAGATTTATGAAAGCAACACTGAAGGAAAAGTTTCCAAGTGCAAAAGTGACGTTTCTGAAGACCAAGTTGTTAAAAATAGCCATCTTGGATGGGGCAGGTTCTCTCATCTCCAGGCTCAGAGATATCTGGGCAATTGTAAAGACCTGTGGTTCTCCCTAGACTTTATTAGTCACTTTGGAGCAAGGGGGAGGTAAACTTGGATTTAAAAAGCTCTGCCTGGCCGAGCGCAGTGGCTCACACCTGTAATCCCAGCACTTTGGGAAGTCGAGGCAGGCGGATCACCTGAGGTTGGGAGTTCGAGACCAGCCTGACCAATATGGAGACACCCCATCTCTACTAAAAATACAAACTTAGCCGGGTGTGATGGCAGGCACCTGTAATCCCAGCTACTCGGGAGGCTGAGGCAGGAGAATCGCTTGAGGCAGAGGTTGCGGTGAGCCAAGATCGCGCCATTGCCCTCCAGCCTGGGCAACAAGAGTGAAACTCCATCTCAAAATAAATAAATAAATAAATAAATAAATAAATAAATAAATAAATAACTTAAATAAAATAAAAATAAAAAGCTGTGCCAGGGAGTTCTGATGCTTAGTCAGGTTTGGGAACCACTTGCCTGGCTTACCCCACACTGGATTAGGCCGCCTCAGACAGCATGGGTAACTCTTACTAGCCTTAAAAGGGTGACTTCAGGCCGAGTGTGTGGCTCACACCTGTAATTCCAGCACTTTGGGAGACTGAGGTGGGAGGATGCTCAAGGAGTTTGAGACTAGCTTAGGCAACATAGAGACTCCGTCTCTACCAAACAACAACAGCAACAAAATTTGCCAGGCATGGTGTTGCACACCTATAGTCCCAGCTACTCGGGAGACTGAGGTGGGAGGATTGCTTGAGCTCAGGAGGCTGAGGCTACAGTGAGCTATGATTGTGCCACTGCACTCCAGCCTGGGTGACAGAGGGAGACCCTGTTTTAAAAAAAAGTGAGTTTAGATTCCAGCTTTCCTTCCACCCTGGCAGAGAGTGTAAGCAAGGCAGACCGGCAGCTGTTGTAGGCTCCCTCCCCACACTCATCCTGTATGATTACATGAACTGAATGTAATCATTCACAACCCTTGCCTTTACAGCTGGCATGTCACTTAGCTTAATTACAGCATGCAGTGGTATTTCAATTCGAGGAATCTAAAAAAGCAATAAAATGAGTTTTGCAAATTGTTAGGAAGGCAATGAAGACCTTGAAACTGCAATTTACTAAGCATTGCTTTCAATTATTTTGCATTCTCCAGCCATGACTGTAAGTTATTCACTAGCAGCCTGGAAAGCCAAGCAGGTAGTGTGTCATGTGGAGGGGATTTCATGTCTTCTGAATGCACACTGTGCTGGGGAGGTGGCTGGAGGTTCTGGGAGTTGCCTTGGCTATGGGAGGGGATGTGATTATTCTGAGCACATGTTCTTCCCATCAGGCACCTGATAATCATGTTTCCTCCAAGACTCTCCTCCAAGACTCTCCAACCGTGGGCTCTGGCTGGTGTGGGGTGACCTTCAGCAAGGGGCTCCCTTCCCCTTTACTCCCGCTATCTACTACTGTCCTCAGAAAGCATGAGGAAAGAAGTGTGGAAAGCAAAGCAAGTCCTTTAAAGATCTAGGGTTAGTGCCTGTTTTTTCTGGCTCTCTGTCTCATTTCTTTTCCTGGCGTACTTCCTGATTCATCTTAGTCCTTGAGTATGTACTTCTTGGGGAGCCATTTGAAAGGGAAAGTCTGTGGCCTCTTTTCACCACCCTGCTTTCTCAAGCATAGGAGTCTTGTGACAATGATAATAAAATAGGACCCCATCCATCTGAGAAAGGGGAAGCAGCAGCAGCAGGAAGTCTCAGCCAGCATGATAAGCAGGAGCAGAATGCCAGCTGCCTTAGCAGCCATGCCAGGCGGGAGAGCAAACACCTAAATCCTGTTGGCAAAGCCAGCAAGACACCATCACGCTGTGGCCAAAGCAAACAGGAGCTGAGACAGGCCCACTGTAATGGATTCTCACTTCCTCCTGGATCTGGCAGAGGGTGAGACTAAGCCAGCTGAACCCACGTGACAGGGCATCAAGTAGCCATGGGGATGCTCATACCCATCCCTGGGCTGGGCCCAAGCTGGACCCTTGCCTTCTTTGCCACGGTCTCTTTTCTTTTCTTTTTTTCTCTTTTCCTTTCTTCCTCATTCTTTCTTTTTTTTTTTACGGGGTCTTGCTTTGTCACCCAGGCTGGAGTGCAGTGTCTAGATCATGGTTCACTGCAGCATTGACCTCCTGGGCTCAGTGATCCTCCCAACTCTCCCCACTGAGGAGCTGGGACTACAGGCATGCACCACCATGTCTGGCTAATTTTATTTTATTTTATTTTATTTTATTTTATTTTATTTTATTTTATTTTTAAGATATAGAGTCTCACTATGTTGCTGAGGCTGGTCTCAAACTCCTGGTCTCAAGGGATCTTCCTGCCTCAGCCTCCTAAAGCGCTAGTATTACAGGCATGATCCAAGCCACCTTGCCTGGCCCCACAGTCTCCTTTCAATTTGGTCCAGGCCAAGGAAAGGCTGATAATGAAAAACCATCGTCACATATATTATGTGGTTGATTCTTCACAGCAGTTCTGTGAGATCAATATTATCCTCATCTTATAGATGTGAACACTGAGGCTTGGGGATATCAAGGACACAGAGCCAGGCCTTAGTCTCAGGCCTCTGACTCAGTGTCTGCTGCCGATCTCATTTCCTCCACCCTTCCACCTCTCCACCCCAAACTCTCCATGTCAATTCCCACAGTCCCTTCATGGGCTGAGCTCCCACAGTCTAAATGGGACTTGAGTTCTTTTTTTTCCATTTCGTAGTTGAGAAGCAAAGACTCCAGAGTGGGGGTGGGGCTGGGGGTATTTTTTGTTTCTAAACCAGAAAACAGCTAGTTGACGTACTTGATTCTGTCTACCACACCCACCAACATGACTGGAGGTCCAGTGAGAAGTATATGTTTACAAATATTTTCAATCACTTTTCTATATCAGCAGCATCCCCCTCTGTTATTAAAACGTGAAAGATCTGAATCAAGACCTCTTGTTTTTAATGCCATAATTTGGTTGTGCTTGGACATAGCCTGAATAGACCCCCTTATGACCTGAAGCTTCTTGGTGTCTCTAGGGCCCAATGTACCATGGAAATTCATATCCCTCACCACCTAGTTTGGAAATTTATATTTATTAATGGAGAAATGCACAGTAGCTATATTCATATCTAAATGAAAGACTGGGCTTCTATTGAGAGAAGAAAAAGCGCTGTTGGATAGGACATTCCCTTCTGGTTCTCCATTTCCCAGCCGATTTGCTGATTATTGAAATGATTTCTCAATCGCTCTGTTGGAAGGGAAAGGACCGGAGAAGGAAAGAGGAACCGTTTATTGGGCTCAGAGCCAATTCACCGGTTCTTTCTTTTTTTTTTTTTTTTCCCCCTGGCCTTTTCATTTGCTCTGCTTCTAGGGACCCTAAAGGAAAATACCATTCAACAGAAGGGGCCGTGGAAACTGTAGGTAGATGGCGTGATTGGAATATCTCCTCCATTCCCCCATATCTGAAGTGGGTAGTTATAGGGCAGGTGGGGATTCTGCAGGAGAGAGCCAGGCCTGCGTGCGTGAGGCTGGCTTGGAGGTCCTGTTGGAGAAGGCGCGCTCGGGAAGGTTCTTCCTAGCGAATTTGCCTGAAATTGGAGATTAGGACGCCCAGAGAGGAAAACCATGCCCCGCCCACAGCCCAGTCCCGAGTTCTTGAGCCCCGAGCTCCTTGGCGGAAAAAGACCCCGGGTCGACGAGAAAAGTGCTTCCCCGACGCTGAGCCTTGCAGGCGGGGCTCACGCCCAGGCGCCGCCTACGCGCACCCTCCGCCGGAGGGCATCCCGGCTCCAGCGCAGAGCCCGAACCCGCACCGTGCCGCATGCAACGCAGGGCCAAAGGGCTTCGCTCCAGAGGGGTCGGAGAGAAATCCAGCAGAGGCTGGAAGAAGCAGGACCGGGGGTCTCAGTAGAAATGCTCAGGGCAGGGCTAGACCAGCCCGTTCCCTCTCGCTGTTCTGCTGGTTTTGCCCAAGCGGCTCCGGCTCTGAAGCCCCAAAGCCTCAGAGGTGAATTCGGTTCCAGAAGGAGCGTGGAATGGGGTTCCTCCGGTTCGGGCGTGTACGCGACATTGTTAACGTAGCGCGTATTATGTGCCAAGCACTGGGGCAAAGCGCTTTTACAAGCTTTATTATCCCCCAAACCACTTTATGAGGGGGATACGAGCCCCATTTACAGATGAGGAAACTGAACCCGAGAGAGTGTAAACCAGTATGTGTCCCAAGCAAGACTGGACGGGGCCGGTGACTCCACGGCCAAGCGAGATCTCTGTAGCCCTTCCCCGACCACAGTAGTTTGAACTTGAACTGCAGACACGGAATTCTAGTGTGGAGATCAGTGTGAAGCCACGGAGGGGAACAGCGCTTCGGGTTCCAGCGTGGTCACTTTCATTCCGTCACTGTTCCCATTAGGACTCCAGAGAAAGACTGGGAGGGAATGGTGGTTACGCCAATTTTACAGTGTAGGAAACAGGTTTATGTGCAGGTCATAGCTACTGCAGAGACAAGAGCCCATCCCGGGAAGGTCTTCTGATGTCCCAAACCCAGGAAGAGCTTTCAGCCAGGGCGTTCATCCTGAATTTTTCATGTGCCACGTAAATGGGGTGCTGAAACAGGCCCTGAGGAGTGTTGCTGCCACGGCACCTGGCCCTCCACAGAGCCCTTAGGTTTCCTGGTGTGGAGGACCACTGTGTGAACGACGAAAGGGAACTGAACTCTCCCTTCTTCCCTTCCTCCCTTCCTTCTTTGCTTCCTTCCTTCTGCTCACCGGCTGTGGAGAAGAGTGGGCTTGGGTGATTTTCCTGTGATTCACTTCCCAGTCATCCTAGTCACTCGGCTGAGACAGGGCAGAGGCCAAGTGTCCGAGGGTTTTTTTCTGGGACACGCGCAGTTTGGCCTTGGCAAAAATCCGAGAGGAAGATGAGGCAGGCGGGACATTATTTTGGTCACTAAGCACGGGGCTCTGCAGCGCTGGGCTCGCCACTGCATTGATTTAATTCCAGCATCAACTCTGCAGTTATTTTACCTATAAGGAGACTGTGTTCAGGGAGATGGAGACCGTTGCTTGGGCCTGAAGCTGCTGGGGAATGGGACTGGGGTCTAAGCCAGGTCTATGTAACCTCATAGCTTTGCCCTGCTCTGCCGGTGGCCCAAGAATGGAAATAAGAGTCAAAACAGCCTCCCTGCACACCAGCAACATTAAAAATGACAGCCACGAGATTCTTTCTTCTTTTTTTTATTTTCTTTTCGATGAGAGTCTCACTACATTGCCTAGGCTAGAACTCCTGGCCTCAATCGATGCTCCCACTTCCATCTACCAAAACGTCAGGATTACAGGCATAAGTAACCAAGCTCAGTCCAGTAACCATTTTCTTAAGGTTCAGTGACAAAGTCCCTCCCCAAGGAGTATGGATTTCCACTCTTGTGCTAGGGAAAGTTGAAGTATGTGCCTCTAACCCTTCACAGATGCCCACTTTCCCTTCAGAGAAACGTCCTTCAGGTGATTCTTAACAAACTGGAATCTGGAAGCTGTGCCCTCCAGCTTCCCCCGCCACCCAGCCCTTCCAGCTTCCCCGTCGTTTCCACAGTCGCATTCCCGAGGTCCGCGTGAGCCGTTCTTTAGCCAGACAGAAACTACGCCCCATGTGATTGATGCTTCTGCCTTGGCCTCAAGTAGGCAACGTGGCTGCCCGCTTGGAAGACCGCCCTGGTTTCCTGGCAGGAGAGAGGATTTCAGAGGTCTCCTCCACTCAGAATCCCTCCTTCCCCCTTCCCTCTCCCTGCCGCCCGCTCCTTTCTAGTCCCAACAGTTTCCAAAGCGCAGAGGATGTTTACCTGGACGGCCTGAGGTCACAAGCCTGATTCACCGCAGGCAGGCCCCCGAGCCTGCCCCCACCCGGCACCCCGGCTCTGCCAGGGCGAGGAGATCACGCTTGGAAACCCCACCCTGCCGGGCCAAGAAACACCCCCGCCACTCCCTAGACTCCCAGGCATCCCTACCGCGCCTAGGCCCTTCCTCCCAAAGGCGCTGGCCAGGCCCAGATGCGGGAAACCGTGGGAGAACCCGGAGGGGGCCCTGGGCGCTCTTCCCACCCGCCCCCCGTCCCATAACTGCCCCTCGCTGCCAAAGATTGAGGGTCGGGCTGAAGAGAGGGTAATGAGCTCCATTTCACCTCCGATTCATTTTAAAACTCGCGTGAACCAACCTGGGGCATTCCCTGACGAATGAACGGTTTTGGGTTTACTCCCAAACCGGGCTGAGAGACTCTCCTTCAGGCTTGGTGATGGAGGCCATAAGGCAGAGACAACTTGCTCCGTTTCATCAGCCAGGAGTTGGAAGTTCAGGGGATTTCCAAGTGAATCTCAGGATGAAGGGACGTTTGTCTTCTCCCTGTGTCCTCTAAGGATGTTCCCCTTCCCTTCAGAACCCTGAGGGGGTTAATGTTTCACCAGTCACTCCCTTCCTCCCTCTCCTGTCACCTGGGGGCTCCAAGACACACCCCAGCCCCTAACCCAGCCACTACCTTGTCCCAGGTTGGGTCAGTGAGGCGGGCTGTCCCCCAGGCAGCCCCTCCTCACCTGCACCGTCCCAGCCCCGGCTGGCGTCTGCCTGAGCTTGTTGCCTCGGCCCCCACCTGACCCCAACACACTGATAAGACCTCAGACTGCCAAACATCGTTAACTTCTTTGCCTTTCTAGACTTCTCAGCCTGTCCTTTTCCCGACCCCAGTCTGCAGGGTCGCCTGGAGGTGCGTCTGTGCTTTCCTAGGCAGTGGACTCCACCACACCACTGTTGTCTTTCGCCATACACTCCTCCACCCCAGCCCCCACCCTTCCTTCAGGCTTCTCGACTGCAGCAAACTTTCTGTGACACCCAGGTGGTCTAACAGTGTCCTCTCACCCTCTACCCCACCACAACTCACTTGCCTGCCTGGACACTGACTGCCTCAGAAGAGCTCCAGGAAACAGTAAAACTAAACAGAAAGAAAGGGGACATTGAGGACAGGTGCAGTGGCACCCACCAGGGCGGGCAGAAGGTCAACATGATTTCAGAAATTGAAGCTTAAAATCCTTCCCCGCTCTACCCTGAATATGAGGGGAAGAGGGAAGAACTGAGTTGTCCACTCAGACTGTTACTATTAAAACATATTCTCAGCTTCTTATTTCCCTTTGCTTTTAAAGATCTTGCCCACAAATGGGATCAGACTGATAGGAGACAGCATCTACACTGAAACAACCAGTTGATGAGAAGCATCAGGATGATTTTGGTTTCCCCCTGGTATCATGGAGTGTAGACAAAGCCCATGTGAGTTAAGGCCCCAGGTTTGCAGCCCATCTGTTCAGGGTGGAGGGAGCTGCCATTAGAAATCCGGTCTGTCTTGCTGCAGCTGCTTGCTTCGGGCACCCCCACTGCCACCACCGTGCAACACTAGCTCCACCCTTAGATTCTTCCCCAGCTCTTTCCCCACACTCTGGAAGACAAGCTGCAGACAGAGAAGCAGAGTGGAAGCATGGGGAATGGCATCCATGCACACCCAAGGGCACTGGTACCTGCAAAGGAGGGTGGAAATGTCTGCTGTGGAGATGGGAGCTCTTCCTTCCTGGAAGGACCACCTCCCTTTCTAGACAGGAGCAGACATCTTAAGCACAAGTGTTCAGTTTACACTAACTCAGGCAATTGTTTGGACAAATCATTTTCTCACCTGAAATAACCTGATAATGGGACCAAAAAGTTAAATGTTGTTCAGTCAGAAATAAGATAAAGCCCCTCAGGCCATAGCTGGCAGAAGTCTTTTGGCAAAATAATAATAATAAATCATTATCTGAATAATTTTTTTGTTTTTGTTTTTTGAGACAGACTCACTGTGTCATCCAGGCTGGAGTGCAGTGGGTGCTCACAGATGTGATCATAGCTCTGCAGCCTCCACCTCCTGGGTTTGAGCAATCCTCCCACCTCAGCCTCCCAAGTGGCTGGACTACATGCATGTGCCATCACCCCAGCTAATATTTTTTGTTTTGTTAGTCAGGCTGGTCTTAACTCCTGGCTTCAAGTGATCCTTCAGCCTCGGCCTCCCAAAGTGCTAGGATTACAGGCGTGAGCCACCGCACCAGGCCATAAATGATTTTTAAATAAAAACTTAAAAATTCAATTTACCAAATCCTGTACCCCATGTCCAATAATTCTGAGGGGGTAAAATTTAATAACAAAACATTGGGGGAAAGTCTACCTCTATTTCAAACTTTAAACGCTGTGGTGAGGCATTTGAGGCTGACTGAAGTCCCTTCCATCTTGGAAGCTGCTGGCAAGTTCCTAGACACAGAGCATGCTCAGGAAATGTGAGTGATTTCCTCTCCTGCATTAGGTAGACCAGGCTCGGAGCCATGGAACTCTGTAAGGCCGACTTCTCTCTTTGCCTTTCCTCTAAAAATCTGCCTTCATTTTTTGGCCGTTTCTTGTCTGTGCTCCAGGTAGGATAAATGGGCACAAACCATTCTGTCTTCCAAGTAATTCGTGGAAGTGGCTGGAATGCGGGATTGAGGCATAAACCCCGGCAAAATGCTGGCGATGGCGCCTTTTCACACCAGGGGAAATTCGGTGCGATTGAAAGGGCTGCTTTTGCGACCAAGACTGGTAATGCGGAGCCCCCACCTGGAGACTTTGGGGCGATTGGCTGAGCGCGGGGGTCCGGAGAAAGATGCGGTGCTTCTCCAGAGCACGAGAGTAGCCTCTGCGGCCCCTAGAATCGATCCCTTCGACCCCTGGCTTTCCTACCTGGCCCCCAACTCCTGCCCCGCCAGCCCTCCAGACCCAGCCTAGTCCTTACTGTCCCACTCCTAAGCAGCCGCCTGTCCTCCAAGGAACATACATAAGCTCATGGCGATCACTAGGTCCCAGGAGCTGGGAATGGGGACCAGCTGCTTTCTCTTAGTTCACTGGGAACTGGAGGCCAAGGCAATCGACACCCCTCTGCCTGACCGACACCCCTCTGCTTGGGAGGAAGGGGTAATGTCAACAAGCCAGGTGCCTGGAGGGGCTACAGCTTAGACCCTAGCTTACTTTCCTTCTAGTGGTTTTCCGTGAGGCTCAGGCATGGGAGGCTGATGACCTGCGGAGGGGAGTTTGCCCTAGGCTGAGGCTTAGAGCGAAAGAGGCTGCCGGGGGTCGGGGTGGGGATGCGAGGACTGAGGTCTTTGTTCTGCAGTGATCCAGCCTTTGCCATCCCGGCCCAATGTGGAACTTTTCCGTGTCTTCTAACCTTAAAGAGAGTCAGAGATGGCGAAGAAATGATTAAGAAACAAAACAAACCTCTCCTCATTTTTTTCAATAAGGTCGGAATTCCGTAAGAGAAAAAAATCTAAGCTGACAATAGTCGACATTCGGCATCCCCTCCATTTTGTCCTCCATCTCTAGGAAAAATTGTCTGGAAAATTCCAATAAGTATAGACGGAGAGACTTTACATTAGTCACGAGCATAACTTTTATTGACAAAACCAAACCGAAACACAATCTTACATTTTAGCAAAATACCATGAAAACAAATTATGAGAACAACGAAACACAAAATACGATAAAAACAAATTACGAGAACAATGAAAAACAACAGAAAATGGGAAAACATGAACAAAGTTTTCTGGAAAAGAACATACAAATTGCTTGTAATTCTGCAAATATGTTCAACCACTTCAAAATTTTAAAGTGCACAAGTCCTTTGAGATCATCCATTTCTAACAATATATCATACAGATATACTTGCATATACACAGAATAGTGTATATTGTGTGCACCACCAGAAAAAAGAAGAAAATAAAATTGGAAACAATCTAAATATTTCTCAATTGTCATCTAATTACATAAATTAAGATATATTCAGAAAACGAAATGGAACCATTATAAAGGAAGAGGCAGTAGTAAAGATATAAAATCGTCATTAAGTTGCACTAAGTTTTTAAAATAAAAGGCGAAATATAAAGCTCGGTATGTGGAATGTTGTCATTTGTCTTAAAAATTTTTATTTATATACATTTCTCTAAGGATACTATGGGAATCGTAGTTGCTTTTTGGAAGGGAAGCTGGGATAAGAGGTGAGAGGAAGACCTATTTTACTTTTTAATGTATGTCCCCAATGTAACTTTTGACTCTTTCCTTTAGCATACATTACCTATTTTTTCTTTTTCTTTATTTTATTAAAAAAAATAGAAACTGGGGTTCTCACTCTAATGCCCAGGCAGGTCTCTAACTCCTGGGCTCAAGAGATGCTCCCGTCTCAGCCTCCCAAAGTGCTGGGATTACAGTTGTAAGCCACTACACCGGCCCCTATTTTTTAAAGATAGATTAAAATCGGGAAATTATTTTAGTAGTGTTTGTTTTTAAATATGTAGGTAATAAAACTACTATGGATTTTAAATTAATTACATTTCTGCTTATTAAGGTCTGTTCTACATACTCGTTATCACAACTAAAAGGCAGAGTTTTCTCAGATAATTAAAACCAATAAAAATCAGACTGCCGACTTAATAATTCGTTTTTTAAAATAAAAACTTTTTTTCTGAGGCGAGCTTTCAGAGCTTAATTCAACAAGAATGATACCAGTTGCTTAAGCTGGTAGCCCGGGTTAAAAAAAAATTGTTGGCGGGGGGAATAGATACTAATTTCTTTTTAGCTTGCAGAGCAGCTCTATACAGCTGAGATCGACTGAAGAGTGAAGAGGAGAAATTATTTGCACCATTCACACCAAAAACTAAGCCAAACTTTAATGGTTTGTTTCCAAGTTGAAACCTGTTTGTTGTTGCTGGGCTTCCCGAGTTCTCCAGGTCTTTCCGACAGCGTAGATCTTCGGACCTTTTCGCCCTGGGACCCGGTGGAGCCCGCTTTAGGAGATCCTGTTTCGGCGGCGACTTGGCCGGCGGGAGTCAATGCGCGACACTGGGGCTGCTTCTGGGTGGACGCCTTTGGAGGAACCGAGGGGGCCCTGGGAATGGAGCATGGGCCTAGATGGCATTCACCATACCCCGATGGGAATAGATACTCCTGGAGGGCAATGCCTCCCTCTGCGCCCCTCTGCGCCCCGCTTCCGCCCGGGTAGTCGATGGGTGACCGAGCAGCCGGAGGAAGGAAGTGGGGAGACCCTCTCTCTCCAGACCCACACCCCCGACCGCTGGGCCCCGCTTCGGGCCATCTCGCCGGATTGGACTGCCTCGCGTGCATTACTCAAAACACAGTCAGCCCTCTGTGCCTGCGTCGGTTTTTGGGGATTTGGTGAGGAAGCCCGCGGGCCGAGAACTCTCAGCTCTCTCCACGGAGCTGGAGGCCCAGGAGAAACACGGGGCGGGAGCGGGGAGGCGGCTGGAGGCCCCTGTGGGTCCGCTGCTTCCCGCTGGACGGCGGCGCGGGCTCTCGGCGGCGCGGGCTCTTGATGTCCCTGGAGCGACCTGAGACAGACTCCAACCCACGCAGGAGAAACACGGGTCTTGGGTCTGGGCCCCTACCCACAAATTTGCCCGAATTCCTTTCCTCCCCGGACAATAGCCTCAGCTCTCTTCTGAGTCCTCCACAGTAAAAATATAGAGAAACGGAGACATGGAAGTATAAAGAGATATGCCTGAACCGGGTCAAGAAGGGAATCTTGGGGATGTTTTTGTAGTCAGCAGGAGCCTTGGCGACCCTGGAGGATCAATCGTGATGGGGAACAGGCAGATAAGGATGGCCCAAGGTGGGGGTGCGGGGCATCTATGCCAGGAGAGGAGTTGCAGGATGGACAGAGAGATCCCTCTCCCCCGGAGTCCCCAGAAGGAGCCCCGGGAAGGGGGACTCTGACTTGAGAACCAGTAAGCGAACTTCCCAGGCTTCTGGTGTCTCCTCAAAACGCAGCCTCTCAGAAGCCAAAATGATGCAAACATCGTGGAATTATAAAGCGACTGATTTACTCCCCCCCGGAACCAGCAAACCCTCCGCTTTCCTTCTTTCTCCATTTCACTGATGGCAGCATTTCACCTCCTCCACTCCCTTCCTGGGGATTCTGCTGTCCCTCATCAGTCCCTCCAAAGAAACTACTAAAAGAAGGAAAGACCACTGTCAGCCAAGCACGGCCCTTGGAATCTTGTTTCTCAATCCCCCATTCCACTCTCTTTCCCCTGGCGGGGGGCCCTCTGACTGATGTGGCTAAATGGAGGGGTGGGGGGTTGGGGCGGAGATTAGAATCTGAGTATTTGCCCAAATGCTTCAGCCTTCTTTGTTGTGAATATAGCTGTGGCTCTGTCACATCAAACAAGTAGAGATAACCAAGAATAAGACTAATGATGAAAATGAAAATAAAAATAAAAACTTCCCTATACAGGCTACCAAACACACGCACACCACACACACACACACACACACACACACACACACACAAACGTGTAGGCTGTCTGGGGCTTTAAAAATGTGGGTGGGTCTCTAGTCCTGATTCTGGGCCTATAACTTGATGAAAGAGATGAGATTAGAGCTGATAAAACTTCTGGATCACTCTAGATTGTTTTGTTTACAAGCAACAAACCAAAACACTTCCCTCTCAATATTCAATCGGTAGAGGTGAGTAATTGAGAGATTTTCCTGCACTGACAGGTCGATCAGCTCTTGGCCGGGAGAGAAGGGGCTGGGGTCTACTCTTAGCTAAGGGCAAGGGGACTTGACCAGCTCCTTACAGGAGCTAACAACTCAGGGAAAGTGAAAATTCCAGCCAATCAACTATTGTTTGGTCGAAGACAAGCCAAACAATGGCTCTGGCTGATTTCTCCCAGAATTGGCAGGGCTGGCTGGTTATTTTGTCATCCTAGAAAGCCAACCTAGCAGGTGCTGAGCCGAGCCAGGTATACCTGTGTTAAAACAAGTTCTGGATAATCCCAGCCTCCACTACCCTCCTATCCAGCTCTCTGGGACTTCCCATCAGCTCTGCTCTGCGTGCCCTGAAAGTCCCTGATTTCTTTAACTACAATTTTCATCCTTTTTCTTTTCCCTATGTGAGCTCCCATCTGTCCCTCTGTCCCTCTGCCTGTCTGTCACAGACTTCTTCCATTTCTCTGGAGTGAGGGTTCTCTGGATTCAATACCTCTGGTCTGGCAAAGGAATTAACCCATCTCTGGTTAACTGGCTCCTTCAAAGCCTGGATCAGCTCATCTGCGTGTAAGGACGCAGCTGCTGTTGCTCCGTCACTGTGTCTTTTTGCAGGTGGGTGCTTGTGGGCACTGTTTCGCATGGCACTGTTTCGGATGGCACTGTTTCAGATGCCTAGTGGGGCAGATAAAGTTGTCTTCATGGGGAAAGTGACCCTCCACGGCCTGCATTTATTAAATTCCCACATACTTTGAAACTACATCACATTTATTTCCTTCCTCCTGGAACTGAAAGTTCAAGTAGGTCAGAGAAAGGAAGAAAATTTTATTTTTTTTCAAAAGTTTAGAGTCCCTAGGCCTGCCCATGCATGAAAAAGAAATTCCAGGCTGAGACTCTAGCTGAGACACAGACTTTATCCACTGTTTGGAAGGCCCAGAGGAACTTCAGGGACCAGTCAGGACAGAGTTCCAGGGTCTGCAGGGAGCTGAGGGGGTATTTGGAATCTAGCCTCTCTTTTACCTAGAAAAAAAAATGTCTGGCTTCCAGGTCAAGAAAGGGAATTAAAGGAGGCAAAAGGGAAAAGAAAACCAGGAAGAAAAAAAGCTGGAGGCTTCCTCCGCTCAGAACTGGCTTAGTGCAGGGCCCCTAGCAGAGCCTTCCACTTCCAACCCAGGGGTCAGACAAAAACTGAGAGAAAATAAACCATCCCGTTCTTCCTTCAGTTTCTCCTTCCTTCCTTCGCCAAAAAAAATCAGATCTTACCCTCTTTTCTGGGGCAGGAACCCAGGTGCAATGCCAGAGTCTCCCTTTCCTTCTCTGGCTGAACTCTGGGTAGGGGGCTCACAGTCTCCCTTGGATCCCTTCCCCTCCCCCACCCAACCCCCTCCTCTGCATTGCCTGGGTCTGGAGAAGGCACCTGGCAAACAGGTGGAGCTATGTAGAGTAGCCAGATGCACTCCCTCACCATTTCCAGATCCTGTTTACATGAACAGACTCAGCCCCCAACCCTACCATCCCAAAATGGTTTCAAAAATGTAGACTCCCTAATGCTGCAGACCAAGAGGCTCTGCAGTGTTAATGGCTCTTTGCGGGAGACTCACACCCATTCTGAACAGAAGCCTGTTTTGAAGATATGGGGCCTGGAGTTTTTAAGTTACACAGAAGGGAATATAAATCCCAGACAAGAGCAATTCCACGCTGTACAGGAGAGACCTTGAGATGTGAGATGAACATGGATCGTGGGTGATAAAGACCAAATTTCAGAGGTCCTGGCAGTAGGAGGAGCTTCAGCTGCCAGGTTAGCTGTAGAAAAACTCAGCATCAATTTCTATTCTGCAATGAGCTGGCTTCACATATCCTTTGCAGATACTGCAAAACAAATGACTAAAATATATAAATGTATATGTGTGTATACACGTATACATATATCTTATATATATACTATACATATAAAAACACCAGATGTTCTAAGAAATAAACCTCATCAAATCAGCAGTTGAGAAAACAAGACCCAGTTTCTTAGTACCCCTAGCCAGCCAAGTGAGCTCTCTTTAAACTGAAGTCACCCTTACATTTTGCCCCAAGACCCTCAAAGGATAAATATAAGTTTTGTGTAAGTCTCTGGAGAGGATAGCTCGCAGCCAGTTACTTAGAATGGATTATGTGAGATTCAGTTTACGAGTGCACATTGCATTTCACACATGAGTCACCTTGAATAACCCAATAATTAATTAAAACCAGGTCCTGCAGGGGAGAATTTATTATATTCCCTGGCTTCTTACGAGCTAGGTGTAGTCTGGAAATGAAAAATGTGAGGCCTCTTCAATAACGTCTGCACTGCATTCTGCACTCACGGAGTCACCCTCTCACCAGGTCCCAGAGAACAAAGTTTTGGGCAAGAGAGACTTCAGCTTAGAAGGGTAAAGCAGGTTTATTGCAGCCTGGTTGGGGCCCCTTCAGCTTCTGTAACCAGATTGGTCAGTGTTTCTTGAAATTCCTCTTGGAGAGAAGTTGGGGATTTGAGTAGTTGGTGCACCAAAGCTAGGAGCCCCAGATTGGCCGGGCGCGGTAGCTCACACCTGTAATTCCAGCACTTTGGGAGGTGGAGGCAGGCAGATCACCTGAGATCAGGAGTTCCAGACCACCCTGGTCAACATGGTGAAACCCTACCTCTACTAAAAATACAAAAATTAGCCAGGCATGGAGTCACGCGCCTGTAATCCCAGCTACTCGGGAGGCTGAGGCAGGAGAATCGCTTGAACCTGGGAGGTGGAGGTTACAGTGAGCTGCCGTTGCACTCCAGCCTGGGCGACAGAGCAAGATTCCATCTAAAAAAAAAAAGTTAGGGGTGTGCGCACCGGGAGAGGGGGACTCAGGGCTGAGATAAAGCCAGGCTCCAGGCTCCTTGGTGGTTCCTGGGGAAGAGGAGTGGGCATCCTGGTACTCTTCCCCATGCTAGGATGTCACAGCTTCTCCAGTGGGTCACCATCCAGCCCAGGTTTCTTCCTAGCTTGAGGGATGTGGGGCGTGTTATGGCTTTTTATACACAAGAGAACAAGTTTGTCTGCTGGTCCCTCTTCCAACCAAAATCTTCACCTTCTCCTCAAATACCACCAACTGTGAGAAAAACAATACTTTGTTATGTAGGCATCACACTCTTTGTAGAATCTCAATTTCCCTCATCTTGATTGATTGTCTCCAAGCAGCCCTGTAAGGAAGTATGGGCAGAGAGGATCACTTCCATTTTACAAATGAGAAGACCGAGGGCTGCAGAGAGGAGATGGCCAGTCCAAGGACACACAGCTTGAGCACAAGCCAGAGCAGAGACAGCAGTTCAGGCTTTCCACCTCAGTGGTACCCTAAAGGCAGGAAGGAGTGAGAGATGGCAGAGCTAGACTGGCCACTCCACCTCTGAAACAGACCATGTTCTTTCTTTGGTTTCCTTGGGAAGCATTCAGGCCTCTGGGTGCATCCCCAAGGCAGGAAATGAACAGTCCTGCCTCTAGAGCAGCAATCTTGCCTTTAGATCTGGAGCTGTGTATCCAGTGTTTGAAACTTACATAATCCAAAGACCCACCAGAGGATCCCATTCTTGGCTGCCTCCAGTGAGAGAAGGAATGAGGTCTCTCACTCCAAGAGCAATGAGGGGACCAAAGGGAGTCAGAAAGTGACATAGTGGGTGGGCAGGGGAGGGCACTGCTTATCCCAGCTCTCCTTTCTTTGGCAGGGAGTGGAGGGAAGGATGTAGCTCTCCTGTCCATATCTGGCTGCCACAGCCAGAGGACAAGTGAGGAAGAAACCTGTAAGAATCAGTTGTTTGGTTCAACATAGAGCAGTCATCTTTTCTGAGGATGTCCAATACCTTTTGAGAACTGGGTTGGCCCAGGTTTTTAAATAAAGTAATGGCATGAAAAATGGATTGGGAGCAATTGTTATAGGTTATAAGACAGTTGAGAGACATCAAGCAAATGTAATGTATGAACTTTGTTTAGATCCTGACTTAAACTAACTGTAAAAAGACATTTTTGAGAAAACTTAGGAAATTCAAACATGGATAGTATTAAGGAATTATTCTCAATTTTGTCCTGTGTGACAATCACATAAAGGTTATATATAAAAAAAGCAAAAGAAGAGTGGCTTACGCCCATAATCCCAACACTTCAAAAGGCCAAGGTTGGAGGATCCCTTGAGGCCAGGAGTTTAGAGACCAGCCTGGGCAACAAGCGAGACCTTGTCTCTACAAAAAATAAAATAAAACTAGGCTGGGCGCAGTGGCTCATGCCTATAATCCCACCACTTTGGGAAGCCAAAGAGGCAGATCACTTGAACAAGGGAGTTTGAGACCCATCTGGGAACCCCCGTCTCGACCAAAAAAAAAAAAATGTACCCAGGCATGGTAGCACATGCCTGTAGTCCTGTAGTCCTAGGCGTGGGATCCCTTGAGCCCAGGAGTTCAAGGCTTCAGTGACACTGCACTCCTGCCTGGGTGACAGAGCAAGATCCATCTCTAAAAACAAAAAAAAATTTTTTTAAACCTGTTAAAGATTCAAACTGAAGAATTTTGGAACAAAAAAAAAGAAAAAAAAAGAAAAGAAGTCTGGGATTTGCTTTAAAATACTCCAGAAAGAAGGCTGAGCCCGGTGCTCATCATAACTTTGGGAGGCCAAGGTGGGTGGATCACGAGGTCAGGAGATGGAGACCATCCTGGCTAACAAGGTGAAACCCTGTCTCTACTAAAAATACAAAAAATTAGCCAGGTGTGGTGGTGGGCGCCTGTAGTCCCAGCTACTTGGGAGGCAGAGTGAGACTCTGTCTCAAAAAAACAAAACAAAACAAAACAAAACGAAACAAAAAACCTCCAGAAAGAAATGCAATAAGATGGGCTATGAGTTGATTATTGTTGAAGCTGAGTGATAGGTATGAGGGGTTGAATTACACTTTTTTGTTTACTTTTCTGTATCTGTAAAATTTGCCATTAGAAAACAAATCAATAGGCTGGGCACGGTGGCTCACACCTGTAATCCCAGCACTTTGGGAGGCTGTGGCGGGTGGATCACGAGGTCAGGGGTTCAAGACCAGCCTGACCAACATGGTGAAACCCTGTCTCTACTAAAAATACAAGAATTAGCCAGGCATGGTGATGTGTGCCTATAATCCCAACTACTCAGGAGGCTGAGGCAGGAGAATCGCTTGAACTCGGGAGGCGAAGGTTGCAGTGAGCCGAGATCACGCCACCACACTCCAGCCTGGGCAACAGAGCGAGACTCCGTCTCAAGAAAAAGAAAAGAATAAAGCAGTAGGCTCATGTCCTAAAAAACCACACATGTACACCAATGTTCACCCTCAATTTTAAAGGGTGAGGCTTTGAGAGCCACCCATAAAATCAAATTCAGAATCCTCAGTGCCCACCAAATACCCATTTTTTTCCCCCATAGAAGGGACAGGCTTGGAAGGTGTTTTGGCACCAGGTTGACCCAACCATGCTTGTTGACCCAAACATGACAGTTTTCTGCTGTCAGTGTGGGTAACAGAGCCATTAGAGGAGTTTGAGCCTCCCACAATTCAACTCTAGGTGAACATTTGCCAGGTATAGCTCCTTTGTTACTCATGTGGACTCAGCCTCCAAAGTAAAACAGGGTGGGAGGAATGGGGTGGGAGGAAGAGGACAGAAATTGGTTCCCACTTTTGTAGTTTTAGAAGTCATGGGGGGCACTGATAAAAAAGATGACAGTGTATTAAAGGGTTTTCTTCATTTTATTTCATTTTTTGAGACGGAGTCTCACTCTGTCACCCAAGCTGGAGTGCAGTGGCACGATCTTGGCTCACTGCAACCTCTGCCACCCGGGTTCAAGCAATTCTCCTGCCTTAGCCTCCCGAGTGGCTGGGACAACAGGCATATGCCACCACGCCCGGCTAATTTATTTATTTATTTATTTATTTTTGTAGAGATGGGGTTTCACCATGTTGGCCAGGCTGGACTTGAACTCCTGACCTCAAGGATCCACCTGCCTCGGCCTCCCAAAATGCTGAGATTATAGGCTTGAGCCACCACTCCCAGCCGGGTTTCTTTATTTTAGAGTTCATGTTTTGATTTTTCCAAATTCCTTAATTTTTCCCTTTTCCCTTTAATAATTTCCCAAATATCTTAAGTCTGTTTTTAGTATTAGTTTGAGATACTAATGAGATATAATGAAATTTATTTCCATTTTAAAATTTGTCATGGTCGGTTGCAGTGGCTCATGCCTGTCGTCCCAGCACTTTGGGAGGCTGAGGTGGAAGGGTCGCTTGAGCTCAGCAGTTTGAGACCAGCCTGGGTAACATGGCGAGACCTCGTCTCTATAAAAAATTTTAAAATTAGCTGGGCGTGGTGGTAAGTGCCTGTGGTCCCAGCTACTGAGGGGACTGAAGTGGGAGGATTGCTTGAGCTCGGGAGGTCGAGGCTGCAGTGAGTCGAGATCGCGCCAATGCACTCCAGGCTAGGTGAGGGAATGAGACCCTGTGTCAAAATAAAATAAAATAAAATAAAATAAAATAAAATAAAATAAAATAAAAATGTGTCAACGATTTGTGTTTGGAGAGGGAAGAGAAGTGAAAATATCAGAATCAGGATTTGGTGCCATAAAGCCTCGATTTGCCTCTAGAAGTTGGACAAATTATCTCCTAAACCTCAGCTTTCTTGTTTTCTTTTACTTTTTTGAGACTGGTTCTCCCTCTGTCTCCCTGGCTGGAGTGCAGCAGCGCAATCACGGCTCACTGCACCATCCAACTTCGGATTCAACAGAAATTCAGGGTTCAAGCCAGGCTGATCTGGAACTCCTGGGCTCAAGCGATCCGCCGGCCTTGGCCTCCCAAAGTGCTGGGACTGCAGGCGTGAGCCACCGTCCCGGCTCAGTTCTCTTATCTACAAAACGGAAGTAACAATTTCCCCCCACTCCTGCCCCGTTCTTTTGTTGTGCGGATTAAATAAAAGGCGTCTACAGGGTACTTAAAGTACCCTGCACTTCGAAGACTTTCCAAAGGGACTGCCCCAAGGACCCCTGGAGGGCTATGGGATTAGAGATGTAGGGGTCTGCGCGGCCCGAGGTGCTGGCCACAGTGGCGTCAGGGAGTGCAGCTTCTCAGTCCCGGATCAAGAAGGCGGCAGCTCTCCACCCGCCAACGCACTAAGCGGGTTTTCGCCTTGAGGTACGACCTGCGCTCAGGGTGAGGATCGGTGGAGGGCAGGTGCACCTACCAGCATAGAGGAGATCTTTGCGTGAGTAGGAGGAAGGGACTGCAAGAAGACTCCCCAGCTCTCTTGCTGCGCTGGCTGGACCGTTAAAGACCTGACCCGCGGGCCGCAGGGCGCTTTACCATCCAGGAGCTGGGGAGTAAACCCCGGCCGGTGAGGTGACTCAGTATTGGGATTACTGAAAAATCTGCCCGACCAGGTGTGTTTACACACGCAGAAGGAAGGAAAGAATGTCTCTGGGACAAAAAGGGGGAAAATTCTTTAGGCTGGCCTCTAGTCTTGATGAAGAGTTAGTGGGTTCCCCTTAATTCCTATGAATTCTCCCACCTGAGAGCGTCCCACCTTGCCCGCTTGACCTGCACGGATCTCGGGCAGTGCAAGGCCGGGGAGGATGGGCTGGTCGGCGTCAGTCTGTGCTTTCCCTCGTCCAAAGCTTGGCCTGCACTCCCAGGGCAGGTGATTCCCGAGGCTAGAAAAACCATGCAGATGGGGGTGGAGGATAAAGGGGCAAAGGAAGCAGAATCTACCGGTAGACTGGTGTGGGGGATTCCAATTCCAGGGCAGAGAGCACCCCTGCCCCCACAATCTCTATCTGCATCCCCCACCCAAGGCAGCTGGAGATCTGGGCTGGGTCTGGGCCGGACAGGTTATTGAGAGGGTGGAGGGCATGGAGAGACCAGGGTTTGCTTCCCATGGTTCTTCCCCAGCTCCCCAACCTGTCTCTGGGGCTAAGCACCATTTCTAGGGAAAGTTTCCAGGTTCACCTCGAAATTAAGAAACGGGGAGCCCTGGCCTTGCCTCACAGAGCTAGACCAGCAGTTTTTCAGCCTGGGAGGGGCTACCCTTGTGACCAAGCTTTGAGTCCTTAGGACTTAGTGGACATTGAGCTGGAACCAGAACAACATCCTGAATGTGTGAGCTTCCACATACACAAGTCCCGGACTGCCTGACTTTTTGGATTCTCCTGGGGCAGGCATGGAGAACAGTCAGGGCATCACCAGAAACTCTAAAACTGCATCCAGCTGCCATAGCTGTCTGCCTTTTGTATTCTTTATTTCTTCTCCTGCTCCCACTTCAGTAGCTCAGAGCTGCCTGGTACCACAGAACTGGCCATGGGTTGCCTGAGGTCATTTCTCTCTGAATTGGGCAAGACAGCAAACTTGCCAAGGCATCTGCCACCCAGCTACCCAAGTACAAAGCTTGCTAGCACTGCATGATCTCCAAGGATTCTCCTAACCCCAAACACCAACTGACTAGTTTGGGGAGCCAGGGAATTTGGAGCTCTCTGCTCTTTAAGAGAAGGGAAAGGTGGGGAGCTCTACATATCCCCTAAGCAGAGAGCCCTAATTAAGGATTTCATAGAAGGATTCTCCTTCCTTCCTTCTTTCCTTCCTTCCTTCTTTTCTTTTCTTTCTTTTTCTTTCTTTCTCTCTTTCTCTCTCTCCCTTTCTCTCTCTTCCTCTCTCTCTTTCTGTCTCTCTTTCTTTCCCTTCCTTCCTCTTTCTTTCTTTCTTTCTTTCTCTCTTTCTCTCTTTCGAAGGAGTCCCTCTCAGTTGCCCAGGCTGGAGTGCAGTGGCACCATCTTGGATCACTGCAACCTCCACCTCCTGGATTCAAGCGATTCTCGTGCCTCAGCCTCCCAAGTTGCTGAGATTACAGGCACCCACCACCACGCCTAGCTAATTCTTTGTATTTTTTAGTAGAGATGGAGTTTCACCAAGTTGGCCAGACTGGTCTTGAACTCCTGACCTCAGGTGATCCACCCGCCTCGGCCTCCCAAAGTGCTGGGATTACATGCTTGAGCCACTGCGCCCGGCCAGGAGGAAGCTTTTCTAAGCTTCTAAGCTTCCCCTGGTGTCAGTTTCAACACAGTAGCCTCCAGAATTGGAATCTCCTCTCAAATCCAAGCCCTACCTATGAGCAACATGAGGGGAGAGCAAAGATCTTCATTGTCTCTTCAGCAGTGGCTAGAGTCCCTTCCAATTATGAACAAAACCATAGACGTTACAGGGACCAAATAGAAAAAAAAAAAACCTCCGAGTAATTTTCCCTTTTCTTTTTTTTTTTCTTTTTCTTTCTTTTTTCTTTTCTTTTTCTTTTTCTTTTTTTTTTTGAGACAGGGTCTCACTCTGTCACCAAGGCTGGAGAGCAGTGGCACAGTCTCGGCTCACTGTAGCTTCAACCTCCCAGGTTCAAGTGATCCTCTCGCCTCAGCCTCCCAAGTAGCTGGGACTACAGGCGTGTGCCACCACACTGGGCTATTTTTTGTAGAGATGGGGTTTCGCCATGTTGCCCAGGCTGGTCTCGAAATCCTGAGTTCAAGTGATCCTCCCACCTCGGCCTTCCTAAGTGCATGATTTTACAATTTAAAGTGAAGAGCATTTTACTTTCCCTCTCAGAACTCTTAGAAAACCTCTGAAGGAGTAAAGGGAAAGAATGATCAGTTTAAGTTCAAGTGATTCAGAGCCAAGGCAGACTAAAAGCCCAGAGCTCTGTTCCAATCCCAAATCCCACTTTGATGAGGAGTCCTATGTGTATGGCCCGATATCACTTCTGGACTAGTAGGGTCAATGCAGACAGGCTGCAGACCATCAGCCAGACTTCTCCAGTCTCAGAAGGTGTCAGGATTTGGGGTAAATGGCTGGCCCAGAACCTTGAGGGCCTGGCTAACATGGACTTTCCCCAGGTTAGAGTCCTCAGGGCAGTAACTTGGAACTGCCCAATGCTCATCTCAAGCTGGGGCTGAGATTCAGAAAGGCAGATACTCTTGGAGCAGTGTTATTTTCAAGCCTTCATTGAGCCCCAAGAGGGTAGTCTTTTGTGGCACTCAGGAGTGGGAACCCATGAGCACCATGAATTGGATAGGACTTGGTAGGGATGAATTATGGACCATTTTTTTCCTCCACCTTGTGTGTCTGTGTGTGTGCGAAATGCCTGCCTTCTTCCTCTCCCAACTTTGTTTCTTGGAACAGAGATCTTAGTGGGAAGACAGGGGAAAGGCTTTTGCTGTAGGGATTGGGGTTGAGGGGACAGTGAGGAGGGAGGTAGGCCACAAGATGGTCACGTTCTGGGTTTTTGGAAGGATCCCAGGACTTTCATTAAGGTAAATGGGGGAATCAAAGTAAGAAATCAAATCTTTCAAACTGTACTTTCCCCTAGGCGTTAATGCTACAGCTCCACTTCAGGCCAAATAGGTGGGTTTAGGACTTGAGGGGCCAGGGCCTTGGTGCTGACATTCCTCTTGATTTAAGAAATGAAGACTCGATCTTTATCTCTGGCAGGGTCTACACTAGCAGTCCTGAGAGTAGCCAGCATTTTCCTAATAGTTATATCATCAACACCCACATTCCCTGAAAGGAAAAACAAAGTGGAGATGGTGGGAGAGCTTGAAGTGACTCAAATTGCTTTCTTCAATTTGCAGATAGGTTTTTTGATACATTCCTAATTCCTGAGTCCTATCCAGTATCCCAGGGGTTGGAACAAAGAAAGCCCAGTCTCCCATGACCCTGGAAGTCGTTGAAACCCCTAAAGACTCTAATTGTGGGTCCCCATTTGAGGATCCCATTCCTATTCCTTTACTTTCAAGTGTCTCTGTGCTGGGTGGCTGGAGGGATTTATAGGGAAAGTAGGGAGGAGGTGAACTCCCACACAGTTTGGTCCCCTTTAATGAGCCACTGCAGAATTTACACTGTGGGGCTGGCTGCTCCAACTGAGTCAGAACATGACAGTTGCCTCCACAGAGGCTGGGCTCCCTCAAAGCACTAATAACCGTGCCTGCACTAGACACGCATGAAAAATCCGTGGCAGCTTCCTGGACTCTTTCTTGTTCCTTCTACAGTTTTCTTCCCTCTCCTTCCGGTAAAGCTCCCTTCCCTCCTGCTGCCCGTCGTCACTCTTCTGTGCAAGGTGAACACTGGCAGGGATTCAAAGGTCCGCTGGTCCAGTCCTTCCCTCCTTACACAGTGCAGATAGGAAAACTGAGGCACAGAGAGGGCAACTGACTTGGTCCAGCACACTGAGCTAGAACAGAACCTTACATGAGACTCTGCATTGCTCTGCAGTGCAGCCACCTAGGACCAGACTTCCTAATGGTTGGGGTCTGATCTGGGCTGTTTCTCCGAATTGGGTAACTCCCCATTAAAGCCCAGGTTTGGAGAAGGGGGCTGGGGACTCTGGGGCCAGCCAGTCTCCCTACTCAGCACGTGTGATGCGTGATAGGCAAGAACAGCTGGCTTGTTCCCCTAGAGCTGCCGGACCAGAGGAAGGGAGACTCTTGGTCTGTGTTCAGTGACCCTCATATTTGACCCCCTTCCTCCCTTTCTCCTCCCTCCCTCCTCTTTGGACCCCACTCACAGTTCTCTGGGCTTGGCTAGGCCCTCCTCCGGTTTCTAGGCGGCGTCAGGGCGCGCAGCAGCTGCCGTGGCCGCCCTGTTGTTGGAGCAAGCCTCTCCCTTCAGCTGTCCATCCTTCGATTCCTCCTCAGATCCATTTGTCCCATGGTTTTGATAGCTGGCTCCCTCAGCCCTGGCCTCAGAGGCACTTAGGCTTATCCCGAGAGGGTTCTAATTCCTGAGGATGTCGCAGGGCTGACTGGGTTGGAGAAGGAAGGAGGAGGTGAGAGGGGCCTCCTCCTGACCAGCCATGCCTCCATCCTCTGAGCTCTTAGCTCTGGGATCCCTCTGTCAAGTTGTCCAAAAGATTTTCCTCTAAGGCCAGGAGAGGCCCCGCTTGACTTCGTTTCAGGGCGAAAGGCCGGAGTCACCCTTCATCTCCAGCGGGTGCTGTTCTAGCCTCAGGCAGAGCTCCAGGGCAGGGCTCCGCGAACCCACCAGCCACACTAGGCCGTCCTCCAGGCCGTCCCCTGCCAAGCGCAGGCTCCGGCCGCTGAGAGCTATAGCCCCGCAGGCCCTTTCCAGACTTCAGAGAAGAACAATGGAAAAACTGGGCGAGAGCGCTGCAAAGGAAAAACGTGTGTGGCGGGCGGAGGAAGGGAAGTAAAACGGAGATGAGAGAAAGAAAAAAGAAATAGAGAAGAGAGAGGAAAAAAAAGGAAGGAGGAAGGAAAAATGAGAAAACTGAAGAAGGAAAAATGAGGAAGAAAAAGCAAACAAAGAGAAAAATAGTGTAAGTGAGATGAAAGATAGGGAGAAAAGTACTAAAGGGAAAATGAAGATAGAGCAAGGGGTGGGTGGCGGAGCCAGAGAGTGAGCAATAACAAGAAAAGGAAAGAAAGAAATCAAGAAAGAACACACAAAAAGCAAGATAACTGAAATGGAAGGAAGCAAAGGCGGTGAGAAAAACACAAATATAAAAAGAAAAGAAGATACCAAGCCTAAGACAGAGGAGAGAAAATGCAGACGGAAGGAAAAGATGAAAAGAGGAAGGAAAGAAAAGAGCACACCTCAATTAGGCCATTTTCATAAAATCGAGAGGAGCCGGGCGACCCCAAGCAGTTCAGCCAGACCTGCGCGGCCGGCGGGACCGTGGAGCCAACCTTTCGGGAGAGGGGAGCGTCGCGCTGCAGAGAAATCCTCTCTATTCATCACCACCGACCTGACGGCCGCCATCGTCGCCGCCACAGAGTTTGCTCCAGTTGGGAGAACGAAGGCAGCGGGCGCTCACTTTACAAAAAAATAAAACGTAGTTTAGCAAATGCCCACTAGTGCGACGGGTGGGCGCCTCCCGCCCCCACCCCTCGTTGGCGGGTCCCTAGCCTGGGTGGGGGCGGGAGCTGACACCGAGGTGCCAAGTCCCCGTTGCCGGAACCCCCGGGGGCGCGGCGGCCGCGCTCAAAGGCCGGGCTGTAAAGGTCACAGGCTGTCTGTGGGGCCGAGCTGAATGGGCTCCTGGAGGTAAACAGACTCTTAACTTTCAACTTGGCCTTTACCTTCCTGGAGGTGTCTGGCGGGTATGTAAAGGAGCACGCTGAGGCTTTCAGCGCTTTTGGCTGGGTCAGTAAAGAAAGCTGGGGGAGGCTCCGGGCTCCCGGAGGGTCTGCCAGGAGGCTCCCAGCAGGACACAAAGGCATCTGTGGGGTTAGGGGAAGGCCAGGCTCAGCCCAGTCAGTCTGGAAGATCAGGACGCCTGGGTTGTGCAGGGACTTCCCCGCTGAACCCATGTAGAGCCCCAGGGAGGACTTGGAGGCTCTGAGCCTCAGTTTCCCGATGCGAGAACTATGTAGCTTACGCAGGGCTGAGGGGGCAAGTGAGAAGTGACTGACACTCTTTAGGGCAACTGTCCTTTTCAGGTAAAAGCAGGTTGCTTGTAATTCATTAGAAACAGAAACACATGGAGGAATACAAATAGAGCTCATATTTATTCAGATTGTGAAATGCTTTTATGTGCAAAATCTCATTATATCATCACAGTATGTGAGGAAAGAATTATTATCCATATTTTACAGATAAGGAGACTTAATCTTACTTTACCTGATGCCGGTTGAGATCTATGATAGGTCATGGGCAGATGCACACACATACCTATGTACAGGAAATAGGGGCACATACCCAAGTGTTAATAAATATGAGATCCAAAGCTGGGTGTGGTGGCTCATGCCTGTAATCCCAGCGCATTGGGAGGCCAAGACAGGGGGATCACTTGAGGCCAGGAGTTCGAAACCAGTCTGACCAACACAGCAAAACCCTGTCTCTACTAAAAATATAGAAAATTAGCTGGGCCATAGTGGCACACACCTGTAATCCCAGCTACTCAGGAGGCTGAGGCATGAGAATCACTTGAACCTGGGAGGCGGAGGTTGCAGTGAGCTGAGATTGTACAATTGCACTCCAGCCTGGGTGACAGAGTGAGACTCTGTCTCAAAATAAATGAAATGAAATGAAAGAAAAATGAGATCCAGAACTGTTCCCTGGGATCTAGCAGATGCTAAATAAATTGTAAAGCAAATAAAACAAGCACTATAGAATTTATTTGTATTGAAATGTATCCATTTACAGGAGGGTCTCCAGCACAGCTGGTGACCTTCACTCCCGCCAAGTTTAAGTTAACCATCTCTGCATTCCACAACACTGCAGTTACATGCACTTGGCTACTTATTTCAATGAACATGGATAAGAATGCTATACATCCAAAAGCACAGTTTCAGGAAGTGTTGCAATGAATTAAAAAAATTTTTGTTTTTAATTATTTTCCTTAACATTTGAGATATAGCTGATATGCAATAAAGTGCAGAAATACCAAGTGTATAGCTTGATGAATTTTCACAGTGAACAAAGTCTTGTAACTAGCAGACAGATTGAGATGGAGACTATTTCCAGCACCCCAGAAGGCTTCTTTATGTCCTTTTCCAGTCAGGAGACCTCTCCCCATGCCAATCTCTATTCTGACCTCTATCACTATACCATAATTTTGCTTGTCATTGAACTGCATAGAAATGTAGAAACTGAATCATACAAAAGTTACTCTTTTGTGTCTGGCTTCTTTCATCCACATATCTGTGATTCATCAATGTTGTGTGTAGTAGTGGTTTATTCTTTTTCAAATGGCTGTGTAGTACTTCATTGTATAATTATACTGTGCTTTCTTTATTCATGCTACTGCTGATAGACTTTTGGGTTGTTTCTAGTTTTGAGCTACTATATTTTGATTTCATTATGAGATGGGGTATCCCTATTATCCCTATTACCCCTGTTGCCCAGGCTGGTTTTTTTTTTTTTTTTTTTTTTTTTTTTTTTTTTTGAGATGGAGTCTTGCTCTGTCACCCAGGCTGGAGTGCAGTGGCACGATCTCGGCTCACTGCAAACTCTGCCTTCCAAATTCAAGCGATTCTCCTGCCTCAGCCTCCTGAGTAGCTGGGGTTATAGGTGTCCACCACCACAATTGGCTTTTTTTTTTTTTTTTTTTGTAGTTTTAGTATAGAGAGAGTTTCACCATGTTAGCCAGTCTGGTCTCGAACTCCTGACCTCAAGTGATCCACCTGCCTTGGCCTCCCAAAGTGCTGGGATTACAGACCTGAGCCACTGTGCCTGGCCCCAGGCTAGTCTTGAACACCGGGGCTCAAGCGATCTTCCCACCTCCACTAGGATTAGTAGCTAGGATTACAGGCGTGCGCTGCCATGGGTGGCTTTGAGCAACTACAGATAAAGCTGCTGTGGACCTACTAGTACATGACTTTTGATGGATATAAAGGTTCATTTCTGTTGGGTTTATGCCCAGGAATGGAATTGCTGGGTCATAGGGCATGACTATGACTATTATTATTTTTTAAATTTAGGGATCTATTAATGCCTCTACTGTACAAGGATGAATAAATGTGCATGTGTGGGTGTTTGCCTAGTGGAAACTAAAACTGTGGACATGCCCTACATATCTATCATCTACCAAGTAAAAATTGGTGAAAAATTCTTAGTCTTTAGGTAAAAGTCTGGATATTTCTGCAGTTCATAATTAGACAAGCAAGAAACTCTGGTGAGAAACTGGAAAGCACTGAAGAGACATCTCCTCCCTTTTCTTCCATATTGTTTTCAAATGCGATCTAGTGAAGATTTCGTGCTTGGTGTCTTCAATTATAGCAATGCTCATTAGGAGTGATGTACACTACTGCCTGTGGGCCCTTTCCCACAAAGTGGCTCAAGTTCAAGGTCAGGTTGGTGAGAGGCTATGATTGAGTCTGCCCAGAGTTTAGGGTAAGCCATTCCATATAATTGTCAAGACCCTCGTGTAGAATGGAAACATTCCTGTCTTCTCCAGAAAAACTGGGAGTTCTAGAAAAAGCAGACAGAAGGATTTGATTTGGGAGGGGTAGTAAAGGAAGCGGAAAACCTCTAAAGACAGATTTGTGAAACAAACCGTTTGATTCTTCTGAATTGCACTGCACATTAGGCCCCAACAGAGGGGCCTCAAGCAATTCTGCCAGTGGCTGGGGTTTCCCCTTCCATTCCCTTTTCCTTGTAAGGAAGTTTAAAGCTTGCAGGAGGCAGATAGGGGTCTTGGGCTTTCTGGGTACTCAGCTTGTGTGGGAGTATGCCAGTATCAGGGACAGTTTCCTGGGCCCCTTGCAGACCATAGGGAGAGGACTGCAGGGCAGGGAGACTGGCATCTCCACACAGGCGTCTGTATTCTTGGGGTCCAGAACTCCCGCAGCTGGTTTCTGGCAGTCAGCCAGGCTTGGCTTCCTCAGACTTCTTTAGATCCCAAAAAAGGGGGAAAGTGCCTCTCTTCTTTCTCTTTTCTGACTGACACTTCAGGATTTTACAAGATTTTGTCCCATCCGCTCTGTCAGCTTCTCTCTTTCCCTCTTTGTGTTGCTGTCCCTGAGTCTCATCTCTCCCTCTCCCCGTCCCTCCCTCAAGTCCTGTGGGTCTCCGTCCCTCCGTATGTCTTTACTTAAAGGGAAATCCAGACCCTTCCACAGGCCACTCTAGAGGCTCCATTTCCCCTTCAGGTCCGGAAGTGGAGTGTCCTGGGTTCCATCCAGATCGCATGTCTTCTACGTCTACGTTCGTGTCTCCCGCCTCTTCCCTCAGCCTCACCCGAATCAGGGCCTCCAGAGCATTCTGGGCAGTAGCGAGTCCCTGGGTAAGGGGCGTCCAGGGCACCTCCCTGGGGCCCGGAGCAGCTCATTCCAGGACATCTGGGACAGGAAGGGTACCGGGAATGAACTGGGGTGCTAGTACCCAGGACCCAAAGCCAGGGGCTGCCAGAAATACCTATTAACCCCCATTTCCCAGCCTCCTCTTACACAGGCGCATTCCCGGGTTCTCCTCTGAGGCCGGGAGCGGCCTCCCAGCCCCACCCCCGACTCCCCTTCCCCCCCAGGAGATGGACACTTTATAGAGAGAGCTTTTTATTCTCTCGTTAAACCTGTCAAAGCGCAGGAGACAGAAAGCTAGGGAGGGAGAGGAGGAGAAGGAGGTGGGGCCCGGCTCCTCGTCCCCTCTTCCTCCGCCCACCACGCCTCCCCTCCCCCCGGACGTGTAAATGAGACTCTGCAAACTGGAAAGCAGCGAAAGGACACCTCCTTCCTTTTCTCTCTTGTTGTTTTTAAGTGGAATGAGAGAGAGAGGAGTGGAGAGGGAAAAGAAGAGAGAGAGGGAGAAGAGAGAGAGGAGAGAAAGAGCGAGAGAGCGAGAGAGAGAGACAGAGACAGAGAGAGAGAGAGAGAGAGAGAGAGAGAGAAAGAGAGAGAGAGAGAGAGAGAATAAGCTGGGGTAAAGTATTTTCGCAGTTTCTGCCTTTAGGATTTTATTAGCTTCTCTCCCCCAGGCCGCAGCCAATCAGCGCGCGTGCCCGGGCCCCTGCGTCTCTTGCGTCAAGACGGCCGTGCTGAGCGAATGCAGGCGACTTGCGAGCTGGGAGCGATTTAAAACGCTTTGGATTCCCCCGGCCTGGGTGGGGAGAGCGAGCTGGGTGCCCCCTAGATTCCCCGCCCCCGCACCTCATGAGCCGACCCTCGGCTCCATGGAGCCCGGCAATTATGCCACCTTGGATGGAGCCAAGGATATCGAAGGCTTGCTGGGAGCGGGAGGGGGGCGGAATCTGGTCGCCCACTCCCCTCTGACCAGCCACCCAGCGGCGCCTACGCTGATGCCTGCTGTCAACTATGCCCCCTTGGATCTGCCAGGCTCGGCGGAGCCGCCAAAGCAATGCCACCCATGCCCTGGGGTGCCCCAGGGGACGTCCCCAGCTCCCGTGCCTTATGGTTACTTTGGAGGCGGGTACTACTCCTGCCGAGTGTCCCGGAGCTCGCTGAAACCCTGTGCCCAGGCAGCCACCCTGGCCGCGTACCCCGCGGAGACTCCCACGGCCGGGGAAGAGTACCCCAGCCGCCCCACTGAGTTTGCCTTCTATCCGGGATATCCGGGAACCTACCAGCCTATGGCCAGTTACCTGGACGTGTCTGTGGTGCAGACTCTGGGTGCTCCTGGAGAACCGCGACATGACTCCCTGTTGCCTGTGGACAGTTACCAGTCTTGGGCTCTCGCTGGTGGCTGGAACAGCCAGATGTGTTGCCAGGGAGAACAGAACCCACCAGGTCCCTTTTGGAAGGCAGCATTTGCAGGTACCTCTATTACCCTGGGTCCCCTTGTCTCTGAGCCTGGGGTTGTGGGTCCCAATGGCATTTCCCTGGGAGGAGGAGGAGGGAGACTTGGAGCTGGTGAGGATGAGCTTGGTGCTCCTCCCTTGGTTATTAGGACTCTGAAGGAGGTCTGAGTAGCTGGAGGGCCTGGATGGAGGTCAGTGTGAGGGGCCTGAGCTGGGTGCTATCTGAAGCCTGAAGGCCACCTCACTTCTCCAGGAGGCCCTGGGACCAGCCTTTCAACATGTCTGAGAGGTTTAGATCTCTTTGCTGTTGAGTGGGGATCAGGGTGTCCCTACCCAGCACAATTCCAAACTAATTCTACACAAAAGCTAAATAACTCTCAATTCGGTGCGTGGGGAGTGGGTGTGGGAGATGGGTAAAAAGGTATTGGATGTACTGTAGAGAATACAACCTCTCACTTTCTATTAGATGAGTTTTCCAATTTCCAAAGAAAAATTTAGGTTTCCTGCAGCCGTGACATATGTGTGTGCACTGGGATGGGTTAATGTGTGTGTGTGTGTGTGTATGCGCATGTATTGGGAGTGGGGGCAGAAACGTGTTTCCAGAATTTGCCTGTAGAATCTAAAAGAGTGGCCAAGAGTCTGGAAATGCATGAAGACTGGACGTATGTGATGGTGGGCAAAGGCCTGACTGTGTGTGGTGTGTGGGTATGTTTGCAGATTCGCGGGTGTGAGAGCAGTGATGGGTGAGGGTGGCCTTCAGGAGCCAAGGCTGAGCGGTGGTGAGAGAACAAGCCGGAAGCCAGGGTGCTGTCCTGGTATGCTTTGGAGGAACAGGATTGCACGTGCGCCTGTAGGGTGACCTGTGTGCACCTGTGAGATGACTTAGCTTGGGGCTTGCAAGGCCTGGGTCTGCATGGGTGGGTATCTGACCATGCCTTTTCCTCCCTCCCTTTCACGCCGCGCAGACTCCAGCGGGCAGCACCCTCCTGACGCCTGCGCCTTTCGTCGCGGCCGCAAGAAACGCATTCCGTACAGCAAGGGGCAGTTGCGGGAGCTGGAGCGGGAGTATGCGGCTAACAAGTTCATCACCAAGGACAAGAGGCGCAAGATCTCGGCAGCCACCAGCCTCTCGGAGCGCCAGATTACCATCTGGTTTCAGAACCGCCGGGTCAAAGAGAAGAAGGTTCTCGCCAAGGTGAAGAACAGCGCTACCCCTTAAGAGATCTCCTTGCCTGGGTGGGAGGAGCGAAAGTGGGGGTGTCCTGGGGAGACCAGGAACCTGCCAAGCCCAGGCTGGGGCCAAGGACTCTGCTGAGAGGCCCCTAGAGACAACACCCTTCCCAGGCCACTGGCTGCTGGACTGTTCCTCAGGAGCGGCCTGGGTACCCAGTATGTGCAGGGAGACGGAACCCCATGTGACAGCCCACTCCACCAGGGTTCCCAAAGAACCTGGCCCAGTCATAATCATTCATCCTGACAGTGGCAATAATCACGATAACCAGTACTAGCTGCCATGATCGTTAGCCTCATATTTTCTATCTAGAGCTCTGTAGAGCACTTTAGAAACCGCTTTCATGAATTGAGCTAATTATGAATAAATTTGGAAGGCGATCCCTTTGCAGGGAAGCTTTCTCTCAGACCCCCTTCCATTACACCTCTCACCCTGGTAACAGCAGGAAGACTGAGGAGAGGGGAACGGGCAGATTCGTTGTGTGGCTGTGATGTCCGTTTAGCATTTTTCTCAGCTGACAGCTGGGTAGGTGGACAATTGTAGAGGCTGTCTCTTCCTCCCTCCTTGTCCACCCCATAGGGTGTACCCACTGGTCTTGGAAGCACCCATCCTTAATACGATGATTTTTCTGTCGTGTGAAAATGAAGCCAGCAGGCTGCCCCTAGTCAGTCCTTCCTTCCAGAGAAAAAGAGATTTGAGAAAGTGCCTGGGTAATTCACCATTAATTTCCTCCCCCAAACTCTCTGAGTCTTCCCTTAATATTTCTGGTGGTTCTGACCAAAGCAGGTCATGGTTTGTTGAGCATTTGGGATCCCAGTGAAGTAGATGTTTGTAGCCTTGCATACTTAGCCCTTCCCAGGCACAAACGGAGTGGCAGAGTGGTGCCAACCCTGTTTTCCCAGTCCACGTAGACAGATTCACAGTGCGGAATTCTGGAAGCTGGAGACAGACGGGCTCTTTGCAGAGCCGGGACTCTGAGAGGGACATGAGGGCCTCTGCCTCTGTGTTCATTCTCTGATGTCCTGTACCTGGGCTCAGTGCCCGGTGGGACTCATCTCCTGGCCGCGCAGCAAAGCCAGCGGGTTCGTGCTGGTCCTTCCTGCACCTTAGGCTGGGGGTGGGGGGCCTGCCGGCGCATTCTCCACGATTGAGCGCACAGGCCTGAAGTCTGGACAACCCGCAGAACCGAAGCTCCGAGCAGCGGGTCGGTGGCGAGTAGTGGGGTCGGTGGCGAGCAGTTGGTGGTGGGCCGCGGCCGCCACTACCTCGAGGACATTTCCCTCCCGGAGCCAGCTCTCCTAGAAACCCCGCGGCGGCCGCCGCAGCCAAGTGTTTATGGCCCGCGGTCGGGTGGGATCCTAGCCCTGTCTCCTCTCCTGGGAAGGAGTGAGGGTGGGACGTGACTTAGACACCTACAAATCTATTTACCAAAGAGGAGCCCGGGACTGAGGGAAAAGGCCAAAGAGTGTGAGTGCATGCGGACTGGGGGTTCAGGGGAAGAGGACGAGGAGGAGGAAGATGAGGTCGATTTCCTGATTTAAAAAATCGTCCAAGCCCCGTGGTCCAGCTTAAGGTCCTCGGTTACATGCGCCGCTCAGAGCAGGTCACTTTCTGCCTTCCACGTCCTCCTTCAAGGAAGCCCCATGTGGGTAGCTTTCAATATCGCAGGTTCTTACTCCTCTGCCTCTATAAGCTCAAACCCACCAACGATCGGGCAAGTAAACCCCCTCCCTCGCCGACTTCGGAACTGGCGAGAGTTCAGCGCAGATGGGCCTGTGGGGAGGGGGCAAGATAGATGAGGGGGAGCGGCATGGTGCGGGGTGACCCCTTGGAGAGAGGAAAAAGGCCACAAGAGGGGCTGCCACCGCCACTAACGGAGATGGCCCTGGTAGAGACCTTTGGGGGTCTGGAACCTCTGGACTCCCCATGCTCTAACTCCCACACTCTGCTATCAGAAACTTAAACTTGAGGATTTTCTCTGTTTTTCACTCGCAATAAATTCAGAGCAAACAAAAGATGTGGAATCTTAGAGATTTATTCCACTGGTGTGTTAGGACCATTAAAAAGACGTGGGCGCCCCCTTCCGACAGAGGCTCACCACTCCAGGAGAACCTGCGGGCAGGCTTTCATCGTCCGCGGAGCTACAGGCTTCCAGCGGCCTGGGGCCTCGTGGGTACTGAGCTGCGTGTGGGGGTCCAGGACCCGATGTCGCCTGCCATTCGGCCAGGGCATCGGCAGATGTATTGGTCCAGCCCCCGAGAGACCCAGGAAGAAGGCAAGGAGGTTCGGTACGAGCCATCTCGAATGGAAGAAGAAGGCGGTCGGTCTGCGGGAGCCAGGCCGCAGAGCCATCCGCCTTCTGTCCATGTCTTCTTTATCTTCCTCGCCATAATAATTAGTGGTGTGGACCCCCCCACACACACTTTTTTTCGGATTTACTTGTATGGAACCTGTGCAAAAAATATTTAATTTCGTTTTGTATTAAACGCTTTCATTGGGAATCCCTTCCCAATTTTAGTCTCCCACCTATCCCTGGACGACCACATTGAAATCTCTCACTTATTTGTGTTTAAATCACAACAAAATCTACAAACCTATATTCGCCTGCAGATATTTATTTTTACATAAGGGCTATGTTAAGCTACAGGAGGAAATGTTTTGCTTACCATTCGGACAAACGTGTGAACACAATGTCACAATAGGTGAATCCAGACAATGAGCTCACAGACGAATAAACGCAGAGGCACACACATATACTCCGGAAAATAAGCAGGGCGCCTTTTCACTAACAAGGCGCAATTGTACCCTGAGCTGCCCTCCAGACCGTTCCCCTCCCTCAGAGCCAAACTCCCGCAGCGAATCTCTCAGCAAGCTACGAAATGGGATCACAGGGTCGCGTCTACGCGGGCTCCAGGCCCGAAATAATTTCTAACTCCAAAGCAAGTGGATTTTATTAGGCCTCCAGAAGCCGAATAAGGGAGTAGTGGCGCAATGCGTAGAAACTACCTCCGGAAGCTCTTTTTGAATCTCGGTTCCAGCACCCGCAACGCAGAGCGCGAACCTGAGGCTCCATCTTTCGGGTTTTACTCCGGCTGGCTAGCGCTTCCGGGAACCCTGCGAGGCCGCCGCCAGCCGAGAATCCGCCCCGCCTTCCCTGCAGGCGATCCCTACTCCAAATAGTAGTTCCCGGGCCGGAAGCTGGAAAGCCCTCGAAGCAGGAAAAAGCCTCATCCAGGCCCCCCAGTTCTCGGGAGCAGCTCCAGCTTTCCTTCCCCAACCTAGAGCAAACTTCTCTTCCCTGCAGCTCCCCTCCCCCCCTTCATTAAAGTTATATTGAAGGTGCTAAGTGCTGCACTCTAATTGGGTTTCCTTCAGGGGAGACCCTGTGCCCCCCGGCCCCAACCCGTCCTGTCTAATAGAAATCCCCGAGCTGCAACCGCGAATTAAATAGATGAACTCGTTACCGTAAACTTGCAATAAAGCCCGGAGGCGACTGCTGCGGAGGGGGCAAAAGAAGGTTTCGTTGTTTTTGAAATTTATACCATTCTCACCCTCCCGAACAGTCGCTCTCCAGGGAAGAGGGGAGAAAGCTCGGGAGCGGCCCCGGGCCTCTAGCCCAAAAGCAGGACACCCCGCCCCTCCCCCCAGGCACTGGCCTGGGCCTGAGACAGATTTAAAACATCCAATGAGGAACCGATGCCAGCCTTTCTTCCTCTCTCCCTACCAGTTAGTTCTGTGTAGAGGGGATGAGGGGGAGGGGACGAAGTGGTCGGGGGAGAGTGAGGGAAAGAATTCCACCATTACCTTCTCTCCTCCCCTAAACTGCCCCCGAACTGGGAGGTGCACAGGGGGCAGCAAAAGAGTTTAATCGCCCCTAGAATAATGCTGGCGCCCAGCCTGGGGGGAGGGTCAGGGACTTTGCCATTGAACTTGAAGTTCCAGGCTGGTGGTCTCCACCGCCCCCGCCCCCATTTTCCTAAAAGTTTTATGGGAAGAGGGAGGAAGGTGAGGGGAAGAGAGGACTTCTCTGGCCTTGGGAAAGAGGGAGGAAGCCAATCAGGGGAGGAAGGGCCACAGCAACCAGGAGGTCCAGGGAGATTCGGAGGTTTGCGGGGAGGCGAGGAGGCTGCTGGGAGGAGACACTCCAGCTTTCGCCCCTACTTGCAGCTATGAGGTGGGGAGCCACCAACCGCAGGCCTTCTTACTGAGCCCCGCCCCAGACTCTACAGGGAGAGGGGCACCCAGTGCTGTGCTCCCGTCCTTCCTCTCCTAGCCTAAGGCGTGCAAACAGAGCGCCACTGGGAGGCTGAAACCTTTAGGCCGATGCTTGCTTGCAAGGTCAGGCAAGCTGGATTCTGGTCCCCACCTTTGCAGAGAGAACAGCGATGTTGTGCGCCCATTTCTCAGATCAAGGACCGGCCCATCTTACTACCTCCAAGAGTGCTTTTCTCTCTAATAAGGTAAACTGATCGGTGGGCCAAGGGCGTTATCGACGGATCGCTCAGTATGGTAGCTGCATCAGGAGGCCCTGGGAGAGGGTCTCCCAGGAATTTGGGAGCCTTCAGAAGTTTTGGGAAACAAGGGAAGGGTGAGCAGCAGGCTTTCACCGATACCACCTGGCGGGAGCACCTACTCGCGGTTCCTGGAGAGACCGGCAGCCGCCCTGGGCAGAAAGGGACAAAGAAAATGTTTCGCAGCACGCGGGACCTGCAGGACCTAGGCGGGGGAGAGGCTTGGGAGTGGGAACTAGCACCCGCTGTAAGGTCTGCCATAAGACTTAATGTTTGTCTCCAATGGGATGGAGTCCTGGCATAAGCAAAATTAATATTGATAACGTTATTATTATTTAAAATTTGTAAATATTGTAAAATATTTTAGAAAACATCTACTTTGAAACATCTACTGGGCGAGACCAGGAGTGATGGCTCAGCCTGTAATTCTGGAATTTCGGGAGGCCGAGGCAGGAAGATTCCTTGAGCACAGGAGTTCCAGACCAGCCTGGGCAATGTAGCAAGACGCTGTCTCTATTTATACAATAAAATTTTTTTAAAAAAGGAAACTGGGTGAAAGTTAACTGTGATTATAACAATTTTTCTTTTTTAAACTAACTCATCCTTAAGGCAAAAGCTCTGGGCCTTAAAAAAATAAAAACGGGCCAGGCATAGTGGCTCATGGCTGTAATCCCAGCACTTTGGGAGGCTGAAGTGGGCAGATAACTTGAGGCCAAGAGTTTGAGATCAGCCTGGCCAACATAGTGAAAACTGTCTCTACTAAAAATACAACAATTAGCTGGGCATGGTGGCTCACACCTGTAATTCCAGCTACTCAAGAGGCTGAAGCACAAGAATTGCTCGAACCTGGGAGGTGGAGGTTGCAGTGAGCTGAGATTATGCCATTGCACTCCAGCCTATGTGACAGAGTGAGACTCTGTGACAAATAATAATAATAATAATAATTGCACCTTTTTCTCTGGGCCCCTGGCTTCCTTATTCCCTTTCCTGCACCCTCTCAGAAGCTCTGCCTTGCCAAGTGTGGGATCAATGCCACAGCAGGCATGTGTGCGCACAGGGGCTCTGGGTCCAGTACAGAAGCAGGCTGGGGACCACATGCTCACATCTTCAGCCAACCACTGATATTGCCAAGTCATTGGTCTTGGGGTGGGCACAGTAATCCACAAAAACACTCAGGACTCACCTAACTCTCTTCTCCCCACAGCTGGCTCCTTCCCTGCCAGTTCCCCCTCCCATAATGACAAAACCCACAATTGAGTGAGCACTTTATAACCTAAAGAAATTGAAACTAAGAGGGTAAGTTACTTGATCTGGGTCCCAAAACAGGAGCGCTTAACCTCTACCACCAACTGAAAAAATAGAAAGCCCAGGGACTCCTCTATTGTCAACATACCTCTCCCTGCAAGGCCCTTCAGACACTAACAAGCACCTGCTTCCATCCGGAGTCACCCAGCTGAGATCACACAGGTGCACCCAAACACCCTAGACCCAGCCCCTCCTCAGGCACTGGACAGATCTGCATATATGCAAACAGGGGATTAAACACGTGTGGACATTTTTGTCAACCAACTACTCATTAATTGAGTATGCAAAATCTTCCACTAGGGGTGGAAGACAGGAGGAAAGAGTTGGAAATATGCTCTCCCTTCCCACCAGGCCTGACTCCTATGCTGGTAAATCTTGGGTCTGCAGCTTCCCCATATGTGACCTGAGGCCAGAGGATTTTATTCCATGACCAAATGACTACAATCAGAACAAATGGGGAACAGGACGGGGAACAGGGAAAGAGAAAGATACACACACACACAGACAAGCAAGGCTTCTGGGAGTCTTCCCTGGAGAAGATGCTTGGAATATCAAATCCGGGAGGGAAGATGTGAACAAAACTCGGAGGAGGCCAGAAAATGCAGGTCGCGGTGGATAGAAGGACGGTGCGGATCCTTACTCCGGGTGAGCTAGAGCTGGCCAGGCAGAGAGCAGGGGCATCTCACAGGGTCCTGGACCCCCAGGCGAAGCCTGGGCAGTAATCAGACGTCCCCTTGCCCACTCAGAGGCTGATCGCCTTACCCTCATCCAGGCGGGCACACACCCGCACTACTCGCCAAACTCCGCAGACCCCAGGCTGAGGGCAGAGAGGCAGCTCTTGGTCTGCGGGGTCCGTACCCATCCTGTGGGCCCTCAGCTCCCCATCTCTAGGTGGGCCCAGCCCGTCGCCCCCGCCCGAGACCTGCGTCCAGCCTTTGTCATGTTGATGGCTGAAGCTCGCCGCACCTCCCATTCCAGGCAGGTTTTTGTCATTGAACTTGAGTCAGGCTATAAACATTCCTTCACCCCTCCGGAGCCAGGCCGAGACGCGGAGGGGTGGAGGGGAAGGGCGGAGGGGGCTGTGGAGCGACCCGAAACGCGAGAAACCGGGCCTCGCGCGGCTTTATCAAAGAGCTTCCAATCCTTGCCTTCCGGGGAACACCCGCCGGGCCTGCAGCTAAAAGCCGGATTCTTGAGGCCATCCGGCAAGTCAGGCCAATGTTTTGGTCGGGATCGACATGGTGTAACTTTTTCTGTTTTCCTCCTTGGCATTTCATGTTCGTTTACCTTATTCTAGGCAGTCTAATCCTTAATTTATTTTAATAATCAGGATAAACAGATGCGTACACAAACGAATACTAGCTAAGGCCGATGATTTATTAGAGAATGTTCGAGTCGGTCGTAACGAGGCCGTCGCCGCTCGGTTTTACAAGCGCCCCTCCCTCGGCGGGGTTATCCGGGGGGCTGTCGCCCGCCGCGCTATCCGATCCCTGGCTGCTACCAGGGCGGCTGCCGAGCCCCGCGGGTTTCCCAGCTGCCTTCCCAGGACCTGGAAACTTAAACTTCGCAAATGGGGCGTCTCCCTACTCGGTGGCGGAGGAAATAGCGGCCTGGAGAGCCATCCGACCCGGGAAACCGGCGCGTCTTTCCAGGCGACCCGCCGACTGCGGAGGCTGCGAGGAGCGGCCTGCTCAGACGGTAGTAGTGCTGCGTGTGCGTGTGTGTGTGTGTGTGTGTGTGTGTGTGTGTTTGTGTGCGAGCGCGTGCGAGTGTGTTTAAAGAATTCAGGATCCTGGAGCAAGGGAAGATCAAACACTCGATCTCCGGGTCTCTCCCTGGCTCGGTAACATCCAGTCGAAGGTGAACAGGGCGCGCCGGCGCGCGGGGAGGCGCAGGGGCCACTCCGTCTGGCGTGGGGCGCTTCGAGCGCAGGGCTTCCTTTCCAGCCGGGAGTCCCCCGCGGCTCAGCGACACCGGCTAATAAGATACCAAATCGGGCGAGACAACGAAAAGCTCCTGGCCTCCGTATTTGGGGCCAGAGACACCGCAGGGAGTCAGGTCCCCGCCGACAAATCGGAAGAGGCCTGCGGGAGTTAGCCAGATAATGCTCTCCCTGTCCTACCCGTCCCCACCAATTTGCCTTTTACCTGCCGCAGAGCTTGCTTGAACCAAAGGGGTTTGCGGTCTTCTCCTCCTCAACTTGCGATCCCCAGGCCTTCGCGGCCCGGGAAAGAATCCAGCCAACCCTTCTGCCTTTGTCTGACCTTCGGGGAAAAGAGGCGTGGGCGCCTGGGTCAAGTTCACGGACCTGGTCTGTGTCTTTTAGGACAAGCGGGGGCACCGTTCCCATTCTGACGAGGAGGGTTCTAAGCATTTGGGACAGTGTGGGGGCGAAAATGAAGCTGCGAGAAAGGACTTTCAATCTTAATCTGTTGCCCTAGTCTCACATCCCCTCCCCCTCCCGCAGCCCTGTAGAGGAGAAATAATTAGATCCGAAGGGAAGCCTTTGATTTGGAAAAATGCGAAGGTCTCATGGAATGAGCTTCCCAGAAATGGTCTTTGGCACTTGGGTAGTTTTGCGTTGAGTTCGGTGCCGGCGTTTATGAAAGTTAAGGATTTGCAGTATTCGGCACAGCGGTTTCTGTGGAATTCGATTCAGAGCAAACGAGATCACATCTACATTGCTTTCCAAAAAGCTTCAGACTCAACACATTGAAATAATTTTCCCCAACATCCTGGTTCCTACCCACCCCCCCCCCCTTTTTTTTTTTACAGGGCCTGATGCAAAATGATGTTCCTGCCCCTTAAAAAAAAAAAAAAAGAGCCTCAAAGTGGAAAAAAAAACTATCCCGATCGCAGCAAGTAGAACACGGGTCTTAAAACACAGAGCTACTTTTAAAACTTTTTTATAAACAGCCCCTTTTAAATTAAAAAAATTGTTTCAACGTGTATGTTTTATAATTTTTAACCACTGTTAATAGTTACTTTTTGTTCCCCTTCCCCTCAACCTAGTTATACACAACCTAATTTGGTTTGAAAACATACTGTACATTTTCTGTGTCCTAAGCAATTCCTCAAGTTATTGCAGTCTTCTAAGTGCTATTTTTAGATTGCATAATATGCAATGAAAGAAGTTGTCATAATTTAGAAAACGATTTCCCTAAAGTTAGTCTTTTAGGCTGTACCCATATTTAAAAAGAGGAGTTTCAGCTGGACACCGCAGCTGACCTATAATCTCAACACTTTGGGAGGACAAGATGGGAGGATTGCTTGTGGCCAGGAGTTCAAAACCACCGTGGGCAATATAGCCAGATTCCGTCTCTACAATTTTTTTTTTTTAATTAGCCAGGCATGGTGGCACTTGCCTGTAGTCCCAGCTACTCCGGAGGCAGAGGTAGGAAGATCGCCAGGGAGTTTCAGGCTGCAGTGAGCCTTGATCCTGCCATTGCACTCCAGCCTAGTCTACTCCAGCTTGGTCAACAGAGCAAGACCCTGTCTCTAGAAAATAAATAAATAAAATGAAGAATTTCTTTTCCTGATTAGAAAAGTACTCCAGCTTGGTCAACAGAGCAAGACCCTGTCTCTAGAAAACAAACAAATGAAAAGAAGAAATTTTTTTCTTGATTAGAAAAGTAACACATTCTTATTATTAAGAATTTCAAAATATAAAAATAATTATAAAGAAGGAAATAAAATTCACCCCATATACTACCACCCAAAGTTTACCAAGCTACTCTTTTGTTATATTTTCTTCAGTTATTTTTCCTTGCACATATGTACAATTTCAAAACTGAGATTCTGCAAGAATTTTTTTGTCTTGCCTTTTATTTAATGTTAGATTATGAACATTTCCCAGTGTTATTAAATATTCTTCAAAAGCTTGATTTTAATGATTGCATTTATTTATCTAAAAATCATTTCGATTTTTTGTTTCCATGTTTACTTTTAAAAATAATTCCTAAGAGTGAAATTGTTATGCCACTGAGTATGTTTGTTAGAGACATGAGAGTAGTATCCCCTGAAATAGAATGCTTCAAAAATTCTAGGTTAAAAATTCCCCCTTCTGAAATAGCCAGATGTGGTGCATACCTGTAGTCCTAGCTACTCAGGAGGCTGAAGTGGCAGGATTGCTTAAGCCCGGGAGTTCGAGGCTGCAATGAGCTTCTCTCTCTCTCTCTCTCTTTTGAGACAGGGTCTTGCTCTGTTGCCCAGGCTGGAGTGCAGTGGTGTGATCACTGTTCTCTGCAGCCTCAACCTCCCAGGCTCAAGTGATCCTCCCCCTCCCACCTCAGCCTCCCAGGTAGCTGAGACTACAGGTGTGCACCACCAAGCCCAGCTAATTTTTTGTATTTTTGGTAGAGATGGGGTTTTGCCATATTTCCCAGGCTGGTCTCGAACTCCTGGGCTCAAGTGATCCCCCTGCCTCGGCCTCCCAAAGTGCTAGGATTACAGGCATGAGCCATGAGGCCCAGCAGACACTGTGTCTTAAAAAAAAAAAAAAGTCCCCATTGTTAGAAGGAAATAAAAGGGGGCCTTTTAAGGTGCTCAAAATGTTCCGTGTTTTGATCAAGGTGGTGGTTATGTGCCTGTATACATGTGTAAAAATTCATTAAACTAAACATTCAAGATTTGTGTGTTTTACTTTTAAAATTTTAACACTGCTCTCCCACCCCCTGAAAGCCTGTGCCTGTTTACAAAGAAAAAGAGCAATGCAGGAAATAGGTGGAGGAAGCAAAGAAGGGGTGGGACCAACCCAAACTGGATTGATTCACCCCTTCCTAGGTTATTATCTTTGGTTCAGAGACTAAAATATTTACCAGAAGTAAATATTTGACAGTTAGTGATGATGGGTGGGTGGGGGCGAAGTGCTTGGCCCTTCTTCCCAACCCCAATGCTAGCCCTTGTTAGATAGAGAGGATTTTTTTCCTATTATTGTTGCACTCCTGTGGCATTGACCTTCTCTAATGAATAGAAGAGGGATAAAAACAGGGTAGAAAATATTTTAAAAGAGTTAAAATGAACAGATACACAGCTGACTCATCTAACAGTGTCATGTGAAATAGAAATGGGATTTTAAAATATAATAATAATTTTTTTTCAGAAATAGATTGATTTTTTATTTACTTTGTAACCTACTTTCAGTTAAAAATACAACAGGCAGAACTTGGGGATTGCAAGGACAACTGCTCTCGTAGGTGACAATAAGGACCTGGAGGGACTGGAGTGGAGTCTGGTGTCTGAGTCTGGTTTTATTGGCATTGTCACGTGAGGTCATTGGGGCTGCGTGCTGGCCAGAGCATATGGTTAATCCTTGGGATGCTGAGGAGAGGGGGAAAAAAACCCTTTATGCTATTGGGCACCAGAGTTACTTCCTGTTTGTGCTTCAGACAGGGAACTGCTACAACGGCTTCACACATTCATATTTAGTGGTGACTTCTTATTTTTTTACTGTCATTTTATTCCTTTTCACTTAAAATCAGGATAAAGTTGGATTTTTAATATTTTATAAAGAAAGACATGAGACACATTTTCGTGTCAAAAAAACCACTATGGATGTTTTACAAAACAGCTTTCCTTTTTCCAAGTATAACATATATACAATAAAGTGTATTAATCTTGTGTATAGCTTGAAGTTACCTATTTACCTAGATAAACACCATTCAGAATAAGATAGAAAACATTTCATTTCCTCTATCCCTGTGTGTTCCCTCCAGACCCTTTCCAGTATAATATTCCAGAGGTAACTGCCATTCTTTTTTGTTTTTGTTTTTGATACGGAGTCTCGCTCTGTCGCCCAGGCTGGAGTGTGGCTCACTGCAACCACTGCCTCCTGGGTTCAAACAATTCTCCTGACTCAGCCTCCTGAGTAGCTGGGATTACAGGCTTCCACCTGTAATGTAACCATGCCCAGCTAATTTTTCTATTTTTAGTAGAGACAGGGTTTCACCATGTTGGTCAGGCTGGTCTCGAACTCCTGACCCTAGGTGATCCACCTGCCTCGGCCTCCCAAAGTGCTGGGATTACAGGAATGAGCCACTGTGCCTGGCCGTAACTGCCGTTCTGATCAGTCTCAAATCCCCGCATCTATTGACATTGACTTGTTTTGACTGTTCTTGAACTTTTTATAAGTAGAATTACACAGTGTGTACTCTTTGGGGTCTGGGTTTCTTCCATTCAACAAAATGTCTGTGAGATTAATCTCCATGTTGTTGTGTGTATTGACAGTTTATTATTTTTAATTGCGTTCTGCTATTCCACTGTATGGATACACCGCAACTAGTTTATCCATTCATTTGTTGATGGACATTTGAGTTGTCTATATTTTTGTCTATTACAAATAAAGCTACTATCAATATTCTTGAACAAGTCTTTTGGTGAACAAATTGAATCACATTTCTTGTAGAATTTCTGGGTTATAGGGTAGGCACTATATATGTTTAATTTACTACCTCTGTGGTATTTTTAAAAGTTCATTATCCATATATCAGTCTCCAATCCCCACAAGCAAGTGGTCAGATTGAATAACATGATTGATTACATTTGCTTGGATTTCTCTCTCTCTCTTTTTTTTTTAGACGGAGTCTTATTGTGTCACCCAGGCCGGAGAGTGCAGTGGTGCAATCTCGGCCCACTGCAACCTCCGCAGTTTCAAGCGATTCTCTTGCCTCAGCCTCCCGAGTAGTGGTGATGTGTCACCACACCCAGCTAATTTTTGCTATTTTTAGTAGAGACAGGGTTTCCCCATGTTGGCCAGGCTGGTCTTGAACTCCTGGCCTCAAGTGATCCTCCCACCTTGGCCTCCCAAAGTGCTGGGATTACAGGTGTGAGCCACCACACCTGGCCTCTTTCTTTCTTTTCTTTCTTTCTTTCACTTTCCAATAAGTTTTATTATTAGTCAAGTCATGATTGAGGGTTCCAGGGTGGGGATCGCCATGTACCCAGGTCCCCTTTTACCACCCTGGGAGAAGGACGGAGGACAGAGGAAAGGTGGGGTGCAGCCAGTTCAAATCTTCCCAGGGAAATGTGGCTTCTGCCCAGTGGTCGTCCCAGGCTGAGATCCAGGATATGGGAATGAGGGACTTGTACACAGGCTGGTACCATTCACATACAAAGACATTGTCCCCTTTAGCAATCACTGCCTTCTCACAGAGGTGGAAGTCCAGGTAGTCCTGCAAGCAGTTCCTGGGCTGGTTCTGGTTGGGGAAGCTGCTGTCAAAAAGAGCGGTCTTGTAGTTCTTTTTTTTTTTTTTTTGAGAAGGAGTCTTGCTCTGTCTCCCAGGCTGGAGTGCAACGGCACGATCTCAGCTCACTGCAACCTCCGCCTTGTGGGTTCAAGCAATTCTCCCGCCTCGGCCTCCTGACTAGCTGGGACTAAAGGCACCTGCCATCATGCCTGGCTAATTTTTGTATTTTTGTAGAGATAGGGTTTCCCCAAGTTGGCCAGACTACTCTGGAACTCCTGACCTCCTGAGGTAATCAACCTGCCTCGGCCTCCCAAAGTGCTGGGATTACAGGTGTGAGCCACCGTGCCTGGCTGGTCTTATTCTTGATTTGGGTCTTTTTTTTTTTTTTTTTTTTTTTTTGAGACAGGGTCTCACTGTGTCACCCAGGCTGCAGTGCAGTGGTGTGATCTTGGCTCATTGTAGCCTCAACTTCCTGGGATCCAGTGATCCCACTGCCTCAGCTTCCCAAGTAGCTGGGATTATAGGCATGTGCCACCATGCCCAGCTAATTTTTGTATTTTTAGTAGAGATGGGGTTTCACCATGTTGGCCAGGCTGGTCTCGAACTCTGACTTCAGGCGATCTGCCTGCCTTGGCCTCCCAAAGTGCTGGGATTACAGGTGTGAGCCACTGTGCACTTAAAGACTCCCCTGATGCCTCAGCAAAGATGCCAGTGTCTGACAGAACTGCTTAAATTTCTATGATGAGCTTATTTTGCAGTCTTGATGGCCTGGATCCTTGGGACAGCAGAGATATGCGTTTGCTCACGGCAGACCATCAAGACTCATGGCTCTGGTCCTCTCTATGATCTCCCTCCACTGACCCCAGTCCTGGGGCACAGTCACACCTGCAAGTTATGCCCTTGTGGATCTCACCAAACTCCCCTAAATGCAAGCACAATGACCTGGGCAAAGAAGAGCTGTGACTGAGGTTAATGGTCAGGGTCAGCAGGGACCAGAGGCCAAAGGGTTAGTGTCAGAAGGTAGAAGCGATTCTCCTGAGTCCTGATTTGGAAGCTGAGTTATGCCTCAGGAAATTTATTGCCCCATGGTCTTTTAACAAGAAGCGATCTATCTTCCCGGGCAGAACTTCTATTACTGGTGACAGGTACCTGGAGCCAGCTTATTAAAAACCATCATTTCAAACCCCAAAGCGAAGGCCCCACAGTGTGTTGGAATAGAATGCTAATTTCTAGCTCCATATCATAATCTAGGACATGGGGAGAGTATTACGAGGCATTTTAAAATTCAAGAGGAAGGAAACTCAGTGCTATTTCTGCACTCTGGGAGCAGGGAGCATTAGGATCTTTATTTCACAGGTCACACTCCCCTATTCTAGCAGGTTAATACAACTCACAGGCTCTTACCTGCTGCCGTGGGCTGGCCCTGCCCTGGCCCAAGGTAGAACTTGCCTCATTGCTCAGTAGCTGTGGCAGAATAGAATGAGCGCTGGACTTCGAGCCAATGGGTTGGATTCAAGTCCTGCTGTGGTCTAGGGAAAAAGCCCTCTTACATTGGTATGAAACTTTTTCATTTTCCAAGTACCTGTGTACTTCACATCTTTCATCTCATGTATGGTGAGGTACAGGGAAAGGGAAAGAATGTCCATTTTACAGAAAGGGTAAATGGATATCTTTGAGCCAGTTCCTTCTTATTATTGGAGGTGAGAGGAGCCTCCCCTCACTGGCTTTTTTTTTTTCTTCTTTTTTTTTGAGACAGAGTCTCGCTCTGTCGCCCAGGCTGAAGTGAAGTGGTGTGATCTCAGCTCTCCACAACTTCCGCCTCCGGGGTTCAAGCGATTCTCTTGCCTCAGCCTCCTGAGTAGCTGGGATTACAGGTGCCCACCACCACACCTGGCTAACTTTTGTATTTTTAGTAGAGACAGGGTTTCACCATGTTGGCCAGGCTTGTCTCGAACCCCTGACCTCAGGTGATCCACCCGCGTTGGCCTCCCAAAGTGCTAGGATTACAGGCGTGAGCCACTGCGCCCGGCAGGGTTTTATTTTATTTTAATTTAACTTTATTTTATTTGAGATGGGGTATTGCTTGGTCACCCAGGCTGGCATACAGTGGCACAATCATCACTCAACTGCAACCTTGAACTCCCAGGCTCAAGCGATCCTCTCCCTCCACCTTTGGAGTAGCTGGGATTACAAGTGCATACCATCACGCTTGGCTAATTTTTTGTATTTTTTGTAGAGTTTCCCTATGTTGCCCAGGCTGGTCTCGAACTCCTGGGTTCAAGTGATCCACCAACCTCAGCCTTCTAAAGTGCTAGGATTACAGGCATGAGCCACTGCACCCGGCCCCCTTATTGCCTTTTGTCTCCAAATCTTTTCTGTGCAGCTTTGAGAGCAGCTCTGAGAAATTTGGATGGGTGGGAGAGGAGGCGTGGGGGAGACTGTTCCTGGAGCTCTCTCAGGGATGAGCCAGTTTTTCTGCCTCCTTAGAGCTTCTCTACCCATGTGGTCTTCCAGGGGACATTCCTGGCTGAATTATTCAAACTGTCAGTGAACTTTCTGTGTCATACAGGGCTGGGTGTGCTTAGGCACAGTAAAGGGGAGATCTAAGCAAATGATATGAACGGTCAGGTCAAGAATTGGCCACACAATTGAACGAAGTACATTTTTAGCATGTTGGTAGATATCCCATTGAAAATGCTTGGCATGGAAGCATGGGAATTGAGGAAACTGGTTAGAGATCCCCCTACGGAGTGAAGTTGAAGGATAATTTACAGCTGCATCAGAGCAACATATCTATGATTTTATGAGTTTTGGTTTCTATCTTAATGATCTGCATGCATTTGACATGGTTGTCATGGAATGTCAGATGTTTCACAATGTATGTGGATGATTTCATGTTTTTTGACAATTTATAGCAGTTAAATAAAACTGCCCTAAAAAGTTTTGTCCCTCTGGGAATTTGGGGAGCACATGCTGTGTTCCTCTTCCTGTCCCTCCTTACCCTGGCAGTCTACCTGATTATTTTCTTCTGCCTCTTCTCCCCTTTTTATAAAATATTTTAATAAAATATTTGGATAAGCAACACAAACTCATCTAAATTTCCAGTTGTTTTAATACCTCAGTAACCTGTAGGAAAATAGTGCCTGTGAGTCTAATTGAATTTTTCATCTAGCTGTTTGGTGCCATGTGGTCTGAGGCTTGGGAGAGCTGAAAACTTGGTTGTCAGGGGCCCTTGTGGAGTATGTGTACAGGTGACAAAACCAGTGTTGGGCTGGGCACAGTGCCTCATGCCTGTAATCCCGGCACTTTGGGAGGCAGAGGCAGGTGGATCACTTGAGGTCAGGAGTTGGCCATCAGTGTGGTCAACATGGTGGAACCCTGTCTGTACTGAAAATACAAAAATTAGCTGGGCTTGGTGGCACACACCTGTAATCCCAGTTACTCAGAAAGCTGAGGCAGGAGAATCACTTGAACCTGGGAGGCGGAAGTTGCAGTGTGCCTAAATCGCACCACTGCACTCCAGTCTGGGAGACAGAGTGAGATGCTATCTCAAAAAAAAAAAAAAAAAGGTAAAAAATAAAAACAAAAAAATAAAACCAGTGCTGCTTCATTCCCAGCTTGGCCCAAGGTGGGGCTCACTCGGCCTTAGAGGCGGAACTACTTTCTGGGCTTTGGACCTAAGAATCAGCTGTCTCCCTTCCTAACGCCCTTTCTCTGAAGAGTAAGCTGTGGCTCTAAAACAAAGGATTCCCCATTCACGTGTAAAGCTACAAGGGATTCCCCAGAGGAGTGGCTCCTTCAACCCAGGTGTGAGTAACCAGAGACTGTTGTTTCATTTCAGAAATGATTTAGATGATAGATGCGAGACCTTTCTCAATAAAAACATTTTATTTGTCCCCCAGAAGGTTTCCGTGGAAGCATCTCAATATGCCCCATATACTATTTTTACTCTGAATGTTTCCATGGCCCAGAATCATATTTGGCACAGCTGTTAGGTATAAGTGTGACTCTGGGCTGAGAGGTCTTCCTCCAACTTGGCAAGGGTTTTTCCAGTGGCTGGGCTGAGGGTGCCGTCTCTGCCACCTCAGCTCATTGAAGAGGCAGATGGGCCGGGCGCGGTGGCTCACGCCTGTAATCCCAGCACTTTGGGAGGCCAAGGCGGGTGGATCACCTGAGGTCTGGAGTTCGAGACCAGCCTGACCAACATGGAGGAACCCTGTCTCTACTAAAAATACAAAATTAGCCGGGGGTGGTGGTGTATGCCTATAATCCTAGCTACTCAGGAGGCTGAGGCAGGAGAATTCCTTGAACCCGGGAGGCAGAGGTTGTAGTGAGCTGAGATCACGCCACCGCACTCCAGCCTGGGCAACAACAGCAAAACTTCTCAATAAAACAAAAAACAAAACAAAACAAAAAACCCACAACAAAACAAAAAAATGAGGCAGATGAGGCTCACTCTGTAGTTTCTACCATACCTCAATCTATATCCTCAGCTCCCTAAAAGCAGAAAACTGCAGCACTGCAGGAGAATCTGGTCAGAAAGGCAAGTGGGAATGAAGCATTTCCTCCACTTGGCTTGAACCCCCTAAAGGGAGAACAGAGCCCAGTAATGATACATCATCAATTCCCAATTACCTGAAATAAAATGTTCTGCCCTGGACTTCTCTTGGCTTGGCTAATCTTTTTTCTTTTCTTTTCTTTTTTTTTTTTTTAAGAAATGGGGAGGGTCTCACTATGTTGCCCAGGCTAGACTTGAACTCCTGCACTCAAGCGATCCTCCTGCCTCAGCCTCTTGAGTAGCTGGGACTACAGGTGTGTACTATTGCACCCAGCCTTGGCCAGTCTTGATCCACACTGTTGACATCATGACTTTATCCTCTGGACCTGACTCTTCTGTTGTCCTCAGCCCTGCCGTGGTTGACTTCTTCTAACTGCAGGGAGCTAGAAGTCAGAGAAATATGTGAACTTCCTTTCTGTGCCATGATGTTCCAAAGAGGCACTGGGGCAAGACTGAGAGTTGTGGAACTCAGCAGACCCTCTTCAGTCAGCCTTCATGGTATGTTGTCTGGTAAACTGACTTCAGGATAGAAGGTATGGCACAAGCGCCTAACTGTTCATAGGTGCTGGACAAATGTTGATCAAATGAATAAATAAATGAGGAGTGAATAAATCAATATATTCCAAGGATGCCACCATATAGTTACAGAGTTACTACCCACTGAAGTTGCATTCCTAAGTGAAACTATAAATCATTTTTATAATAAAGTAAAAGTTTATCTGATGTGTAGTTGTCTTTCATTGGTAACCAAGAGAAAAGATTTATAGCATTTCATGAAATGCCTGTCCTACCACCCGCACCTTCTCTCCTTGGTCCTATATGTTATTTCTTTATCCCAAACACTTCACTGTTCCCTTCTCCAAAGCCTTCAGTATAAGGCCTGAGCTCTGCATCATGGCCCCCAGGGCCATATAAGATCAAATTCCAACCTGTCTTTTCAGGCTTAACACCTCACCCTGTGCAGTCCTTCATTGTGAGGTCTTCATGATGTTGCCTCATTTAATCCTTCTAATAATGCGGGAGATAATTTTTACCCCGTTTCACAGATGAAGAACTGACTAGCTAGTAGGAGGTAGAACCAGGACTTAAATCCAGGTGGTTGACCCCAGTTCTCTAAGTTTCCTACTGCACACACTGCCCCTCCAGCTGTATCCTTTCCCAACCCCCTGGGCTTCTGCCGTTCACTTCCTTGTATGTGCCAGAACTTTCTCACCTTGACATCTCTGACCACATGAAACCCTCCACTTCCCCAGCTCTGTGTGTGCAGAATCCCATCCATTCTGCGTAGTTCAGCTCAGACACCATCCCCACCATGAGTCCTCAAGGTTGGATTTAATCTCCCTCTTCTGTGCACTCATTGTTCCTTGATTTTACTTATTTTGTTTATTATTTTTTTGAGACAGGGTCTTGCTCTGTCACCCCAGACTGGAATGCAGTGGCACAAACCATGACTCACTGCAGCCTCAACATCCTGGGCTCAAGCAAACCTCCTACCTCAGCCTCCCATGTAGCTGGAACTACAGGCACACACCACCACACCATGCCCAGCTAATTTTTTATTTTTTGTAGAGACAGGGTCTCACTGTGTCGCCCAGGCTGGTCTCGATCTCCTGGACACAAGTGATCCTCCTGCTTCGGCCTCCCAAAGTGCTGGGATTACAGGGAGGAGCCACCATGCCTGGCCGACTTTACTTATTTAAAGACATTCAGCCCTCTATCGCATGGCTGAATGTAGATGAGCCTGTTGGGCTTTGTCACTAGACGGTCTTCAGATCCTTGAATACGGGGATTGTGATTGTGTCTTGTTCACCAGTGTATGTTCTGCAGTGCCCAGCAGGCACATAGCACATGGTAATCACTCCATAAACACCCATTAATAAAATCATGTTTTTATTATCAAGTGAAAAAAAAGTGCAGAATGGGATTATGGTAGTCTATCTTTTGTGTAGTAAGGGGGAAAATAGGAATATATTATCACAATAATTTTCATTTGCATAAAGACACTCTGGAAGGACACAGGAGAAACTAATCACAATGGTTTCCCCTAAGCACAACGGTGAGACCAGGAGAGGTGGAGACAGTGTGAGAGAAAGATCTTTTTACTTTATATATTTTTATAGTTTCTTAAAAGCATGTGAATGTATTTATTTTAAAAATAAAAAAGATAGCTGAAGTGGTTTAGACATCAGGGCTATTTTTGATGCTGTCCTGGACTTGTGACATGGCAATATCCACAAAATGTCATTAGCCTATCAACTTTATGGCAGGTGGCAGGGCTGCCCCTGCATAAGGTGATAAAACTCTGCTTGATATATGGAAGGCCAGGCAGGGGGTGGGAAGAGAGGGAGGGAGAGAAACAGAAGGGAAAGGTTGGGGTGAGAGAACAGAGTGAAATATGGGGAGAAATAAAGAGAAGCGAGAGACTGGAAAAAAGATGGAGACAAGAGAGGGAAAAAGGAGAAAATCAGATTTAAGAAGATCAAAAAAAGAAGACAGAATAAAAGAGAAAGCATGTACCTGAGAAAGGCTTGGAGGGAAACTCCAAAATCAGGTCACTTCCAAAAAAACTCACACACTGGGTGAGACAAGCCTAACCCACCAGAGGCCTGCTAGACTGTGAGATGAGGATGAGGCTCCACATTGAGGGAGCAGAGTGTCATCAAACACATGGTTCCAGCTGCCCTGCCGGATGTGGGGCAGGCCCTCCCCAGTACTGCCTCTACAGCATGAAGCAACAGAGAGAGGCAGGGTCCTCTGGGCTTCCATGGATCTTCTCAGGACCCAATCCCAATTTATCTTCGGGAGTTGATTTCCCAAGGGCAGGTACCCTTGGCAGCCTGAATCATGTGACCTCCGGGGATAGTGTAGTCCATTAGAAACACATCTGTCCTGCTACTGGTAGTGGGGGTGCTTGCCAGAAGACCACCCCTGGCTTCGAGTTCCTTCCTTAACAACTCTGGGGAGGTGTGGCTGGTACAGTCTTGGCTCCAGAATCTCCCTTCCTGGGTGGAGAGGGTTTTGAAAAGGAAGAGAGAGGGCTAGGGCAGGAGTTAAAGTTGGTGATGGGAGAAATCTGGCCTTAAGGATGGATGTTCAGTTCCAGAAAAGATGAGGCTCTCTGCTCCCCACTATGGACAGTTTCCATTCAATTGGCAGAACATCTGCAAAAGAGGAATTCAACAGCATCTTGTTAAAAGGGGTTTAAAAAAAAAGTTGCATTCTGACTTTTGCCCAGGATGCCCTCCCTAAATAAAACCAGCTAGAAAGTTCCCTTCTGTTACCCACCACCTGGGTGCCTGGCTTCTATCCCCTTCTTTTATATATTTCTCTCAGTGAAAGTCCTGTCCTCAGGCTACACACTGGACTTTGGGTGGAGGGGACATTTATTTCCTAGGGATTTTGAAGCCTTTCCACTCCTCCCTTTGGAGAGGACAGAGAGAGTTGCCTGGCTGCTAATGGGAGAATGGGGACCCCAAAATCCTCTGAAAGCAAGTAAGATCGTGTGTTCCTCCATTTAAATCTTATGCAGTTTATACCTCCTTGAGCTTTTAAGAATAACAGACACGAGTCTTCTACGACCGTACACTTCTCAGCTTCGTCTTTAGAGGCTTTGGTTCTTCTCTATGTGTGTCCTTACTGAGGTTGACTCCGCAGATTGTCTCCACTCTAGACCACTAGGATGCTGATCAGATTCATGTTTTATCTGATCTCTCCCTTGACCTCCAAGCTCTTATTTCCTGCAGTCCTGAAACTTCCTTTCACCCTTCCTGTCCTGCCCTTGGTCTCCTCGGAGGTCTGCTGGGGAGGTGCTCTCCTCTGAGGAAGGAAGGCTTCTCAATGGTTAAGATAACTTTTCTTTAAAGATATACCCGATCTGCCTTTGCGGACCCAGCTGTCAAGGGCTGCACCGTGCCTGGATATGAGCTGTATTTGCCGAGATGTAGCATGAAGGTGAGTTGGGGAGGATGTGGGGGCAGCGTGAGGAGGAAGCAGGAATGGAGGAGCAGGAGACTCTAGATGAACACCCTAGATTTGATTTCTGTCTCTGCCCCAGGCCTCTGACCAGTTGGATCCAACATCTGGATGTAAGCTGATAAAAAGAAATGAAAAAAGGAGCTCATAATCCAGACATTTGGTTTGCATGCCAGTGAACATCTGGACACCGGAAAATATCTGGTTTGGGAACTATGATTTTCAGTTTCCTTCAAATTTTTGGAAACCCGTAGTCATATTGGATTGCCTGAAGAACTTAAACACGTCTTTAACTCTTGAACATCTTTAGAGGATCATTATCAAGCTAATTCATACTTTTCAAGGCTTCACAGCAGGTAAAGGAAAAATCCACAGTCCAAGAGATTCAGATCACTGAGTGTGGCTGGGGAAGACATGATCTCTATTTACTTCAGAGGACAAAGAGAATTCTCTAGAGAGCATTCTTCCCCTTCTCTCCCCACCCCCACCACTCAGGATATGTATTGGAACAACCTCTCCTTTGTCCATCTGGCAAATGAAATCCCAGACAGACTGGTGCTTGGATACCATGGCGGCGATGAAGCCTGAGCTCGTTGACTTTAATAAGCTCTGCTTTATTGGCAATCCAGTAACCACCTAAGGAGCTGGTCCAGGAAATGAGGCAGGATCCAGGCCACTCTGGGCTCCGCGCAGCCTTCTTTTTCCAGGAAACTGCTTGTCTTGGCTTTGGAGTGGCTTTCCCAGCCCATCTCTGACCTGACGCAGAACATAATCATTAGCTCCCTTGCCCAAATCTTCGGTTCTGCTGTAACAGCATGATTCTTCTCCTCCTCTGGGAGGAGGCCATGGTGGGATAGAGATGACCTTGTCCAAATGGTCTTGGGAAGTTTGGGCCCAGCCGGAAGATGCTAAGAAGGTCTGACTCTGATGGGCAACATCTTCCGAAATGCCAGTTGAATGGCTCTGTAGAGGCCCGCAGCTTCTTAGTTCTCTCTCCTACTAATTCCTCTCAGAATCCTCAGAACAACCGATGACATTGTTATAATTTTTCTCATTTTGCAGGCAAAGAGACTGGGGCTCAGGGAAGTCACACACAATCGGCCTAAAGTCACGTAGCTATTTAGCACTAGAATTGGGGTCTGAACCCAGACTGCCTGATTTGAAGTCTTCTGCTCTCCATTCTACCCTGAGGTGCACAATATTCACTATAGAGACAGGACCAGCCTTCATGAGGCAGCAGTCAATACCTAAATGCGAGAGGAAAAAGAGAAGTGAGTTGGGGTAGTCATGGGAGGCTTTCATGAGGAGGTGCTACTTGGGCCTCAAAGGAAAAGCAGGATTTGGCTAGAGGAAGGGGAAGGCATTTCAGCCAGTGAATGGCATGAGCAAAAAATGTAGGCAAAAAGGGGCATGGCCAGTTCACAGCCCAACAGGAGAGTGGGTTGCCTAACTGGTATTCTCTTTTTTTATGCTTAATTGGTATTATTGCCTAATTGATATTCTTCTTTAATACTTGAGTTTTATTTGAAATGCTCCTTTTCTATAAAATCTTCTAAATATTTAACAAATAATTTGGAACTTTCGACAGCATTCTAAATATAAACTTTTAAATACTCCTTCTAAACAACAATATTCTTTCTAAAAATGAAAATGTGTATGAAATAGATTTTTTCCAAGCCAGAACAGATATTCCCTTGCTTGAAATGCTATTTCTTTTCAATTATTGGTATTCTGATTCCAAATAATAACCAGAAATGGGAGGAACTGAAAAATCCACAAATGGGCCCCATAGAAAAGAGTTGGCCTTTGGCTACATCTGGAGAGCTCCAACACCTGATTAAAACTATAACAGACACAGGATCTTTTCTTGCCCTGTATTTCTCCTTGATCTCTCTCACTTCAACACTAGCGGAGCCAGATGCAATACAGAAAATAAAGGGGAGCTGCCTGCAGTAGTCCCAGCTACTCATGAAGCTGAGGCAAGAGGATCGCTTGAGCCCAGGAGTTGAGTCTAGCCTGGGCAATGTAGCGAGACTCTAGCTCTAAAAATAAATAAAAAAGAAAAAGGGAGACAGGGGAGAAGAAAAGAGTAAGGAGGGGAAATAGCAAAGAAGCTAACCAAGACCCCCAAGAGCCCCTCTTTCTACCATAGATATAGATAGGCCCTGAGATAAGTCCAAGTTTGGGAGGGCAAAAGATTAGATTGGACAAGAGTTCAGAGGATTGATGTTAATACGAACAAACACACATGCACATATTTATAACTGAAAGGGATTGAAAAGGCTATGAATCTGCCTGAAATTTCATCTAGAAGAATGAAGCCACAGGCCCGATTGAAAGGGATAGTCGTGAGAAAGAATGAAATTGCTTTCTGCTTGCCCTCTTGTGAGTTTGGCTTGTTTAAAATCAGAGAGGCAGAGAATTCCACTCCAGGAATACAGAGGAGCTGTACTTCTCCCTATTCCTCCTCCTAAATACAGCTAAGAACTCTGGACATTGTCTATAAAACAGACATTAGAAGACTAGGAAAGATACAAAGATGGCAGACAGGCTATGGACCTGGGCTGAGGAAAACATGGTGGTGCATTCTCTCGATTTTATTACGGTGTCATATATCCAAGGCTTGGAGCAGCAACCTAGAAATGCCAATGGGTTCAGACGGGAGGAGAAGAATAAGAAGGAGAAAGAGGAGCCTGAAAAAAAGCCTGCTCTCACTAGACAAAGGACTAGGAAAGGGACAGCCCAGCAAGACAGAAAACTTTGAAGACAATAACAGTTCCGCGCCAATCAAACGCTACAGAAAAAAACTGGTCCCACTCACACCAGCAAAGGTTGAGGGAGAAGCTGAGACTTTCACGCTTTTGAAGGCGAAGCTGTAACAAGGCCCCCCGGCACCTCTACTGGGTGGTGTCAGAGGAGGCCATGTAGAGATCAGGGACTTTTATCCTTGCAGGCCTGTACCCATGTCCCTGGGTCCCACCCCCACCTCCTCAGTGTCAACCTGTGTCAGTGGAGACTACATCGGAAACCTACTCTTCACCTAGAAGCAACGAGATGTCCTTCTCCCTTTCCACTAGAGTAGAGACCTAGTAAAGAGGCAGGACTTTCACCATTACGTAGTAGTAACAAGCCTATCCCCACCATGATATCAGCAGAAACCATGTGGGGAGGCAGAACGCCCACCCCTGACCAGCAGTAATGAGAAACACCCACTCCTTGAAGTGTCAATGGAGGCCAAGTGGAGAAGCTGGACTTCTACCACCACTTGGCAATAAAGAAGTAACAGTCCCCCACCCTTCCTCTGTAGGAGCAGTTTCAGAGAAAACCAGCTAAGACTGAAGACTTAAATAAGATCCAGAGCCTATAAAATAATATGAGATATCTAGGTATCAACTGAAAATCACTCATGTTACCAAGAATCAGAAAAATCTCAAACTGATTTTAAAAAGACAATCAACAATACAAAGATACCAGATGTTAACATTATCTGACAAAGATTTTAAAGCAGCCATCAGAGAGATGCTTCAACAAATAATTAAGAACACATTTGAAACAAAGCAAAAAAAATAGAAAGTATTAGTAAAGAAACAGAAAATATAAAGAAGAGCTAAATGGAATGTTTAAACCTGAAAAACATAATAACCGAAGTAAAAAAACCTCAGTAAATGGACTAAACAGTAGAATGGAGGGGACAGAGGAAAGAACAAGTGAACCTGAAAATAGAATAATTAAAAATCACCCAATCTGAGAAACAGAGAGAAAACAGTTTGAAGAAAATGAAAAAAGCCACAGGGACCTGTGGAACTAGATGAAAAGATCTAAAATTCATGTCATCAGAATCCTGGAAGAAATGAGAAAGAGGGCACAGCTAAAAAAAGTACTCAAAAAGTAATGGCTGGCGGAGCGCAGTGGCTCACGCCTATAATCCCAGCACTTTGGGAGGCTGAGGTGGGTGGATCATTTGAGGTCAGGAGTTTGAGACCAGCCTAGCCAACATGGTGAAACCCCGTCTCTAATAAAAATGCAAAAATTAGCCAGGTGTGGTGGCAGGTGCCTGTAGTCCCAGTTGTTCAGGAAGCTGAGGCTGGAGAATCGCTTGAATCCAGGAGGCAGGGGTTGCAGTGAGCCGAGATCGCGCCATCGCACTCCAGTCTGGGTGGCAGAGCAAGGCACCATCTCAAAAAGAAAAAAAAAAAATAGAAAAAAGTAATGGCTTAAAACTCCCCAAATTTGGCAAAAAAGAGCCCCATTAGCCTACAGATTCAATAAGCTGAGTGAACAAGATAACACATCAAAACAGGATAAACTCAAGAAATACCAAGATATATTAAAGCCAAATTTCTAAATATTAAAGGCAGGCCGGGCATGATGGCTCATGTCTGTAATCCCAGTAATTTGGAAGGCTGAGGCAAGAGGATCATTTGAGTCCAGGAGTTCAAGACCAGTCTGGATAACAGTGAGACCCTGTTTCTATAAAATTTAAAACATTTTTTTAAAAAAAGTAAAGGCAAAGAAAACTCTTGAAAGCAGCAAGACGGAAATGAACCTTACCTGTAGAGAAAAATAATTCAAACAACAGCAAATTTTTTAAAAGAAACCATGGGGGTCAGAAGGAAATAGCCAATATTTTCAAGTGCTGAAAGAAAAAAAAAATAGTCAACCCAGAATTCTATTGCCTGTGAAATTATATTTCAGGAATAAAGGGTAAAGCACAATAAATTTCTCTAAAAAGAAAGAAAACAAACATCAGGAAGGGAGAAAGAACACAGTGAGCAAAGACATGGTTAAATATAAAACACTTTTCTTCTTCTTTTTTTTTATTATACTTTAAGTTTTGGGGTACATGTGCAGAATGTGCAGGTTTGTTACATAGGTATATACATGCCATGGTGATTTGCTGCACCCATCAACCCGTCATCTACATTAAGTATTTCTCCTAATGCTATCCCTCCCCCAGCCCCCCACCCCACAACAGACCCTGGTGTGTGATTGCCCCTCCCCATCCACGTATTCTCATTGTTCAAAAACACTTTTCTTCTTCTTCTTCCCCATCCCTTCCTTTCCCCTTCCGCCTCCTCCTCCTCCTCCCCCTTCCTCCTCCTTCTCTTCTTCCTCCTCCTCCTCCTCAATACAGGGTCTCACTCTGCCACCCAGACTAGAGGGCAGTGGCACAATCTTGGATCACTGCAACCTCCATCTCCCAGGTTCAAGCTATTCTCATGCCTCAGTCTCCTGAGTAGCTGGGATTACAGGTGCCCACCACCACACCTGGCTAATTTTTGTATTTTTAGTAGAGATGGGGTTTCACCATGTTAGGCAGGATGGTCTCGATCTCCTGACCTCGTGATCTGCCCGCCTCGGCCTCCCAAAGTGCTGGGATTACAGGTGTGAGCCACCATGCCCAGCCTCCTTTTCTTCTTTTTCTTTTCTTTTTTTTAGACTGAGTCTTGTTCTATCACCCAGGCTGGACTGCAGTGGCAGGATCTTGGCTCACTGCAACCTCTACCTCCCAAGTTCAAACGATCCTCGTGCCCCAGTCTCCTGAGTAGCTGGGACTATAGGCGCCCACCACCGTGCCTGGCTAATTTTTTTGTATTTTTAGTAGAGACGGGATTTTGCCATGTTGGCCAGGCTAGTCTTCAACTCCTGATCTCAAGTGGTCTGCCTGCCTTGGCCTCCCAAAGTGCAGGGATTACAGGCATGAGCCACCTCATCTGGCCTCCTTTTCTTCTTGAGTTTTCTTTCTTTCTTTTCTTTCTTTTTCTTTTCTTTTCTTCTTTTTTTTTTTTTTGAGACAGAGTCTCACTCTCTAGCCAGGCTGGAGTGCAGTGGTGTGATCTTGGCTCACTGCAACTCTGCCTCCCGGGTTCAAGTTATTCTCCTGCCTCAGCCTCCCAGGTAGCTGGGACCACAGGCGTGCGCCACCATGCCCAGCTGTTTTTGTATTTTAGTAGAGACGGGGTTTCACCATGTTGGCCAGGATGGTCTCGATCTCCTGACCTCGTGATCCACCCACCCTGGCCTCCCAAAGTGCTGGGACTACAGGCATGAGACACTGCACCTGGCCCCTTCTTGAGTTTTCTAAATTATTTTTGATAGTTGAAGCAAAAATTACAATACAGTCTGTTGTGGTTCTAAAAATATGCAGAGGAAATATTTAAGGCAATCATATTATAAATGGAGGCTGGCAAAGGGATGTAAAGAGAAGTAATATTTCTTTTTTTTTCTTTTTGAGGCAGGGTCTCAGTCTGTTGCCCAGGCTGGAGTGTAATGGCATGATAATGGCTCACTGCAGTCTCGACTTTCTAGACTTAAGTGATCCTCCCACCACAGCCTCCCAAGTAGCTGGGACTACAGGCACACCATCACAACCTGCTAATTTTTAAATTTTTTAGAGACTTGTTCTCGCTATGTTGCCCAGGCTAGTCTTGAACTCCTACGTCCAAAGGATCCTCCCACCTGGGCCTCCCAAAGTGCTAGAATCACAGGCGTGAGTCACCACGCCCAGCTTGGGAGGTAAGGTTTCTATATTTCACTTTAACTGGTAAAACCAGTACACTGTATTAAGCCATGTACATACAATGTAATACCTAGATAAGTCACTAAAAAAGTTACGTGTAGGCCAGGTTTGGTGGCTCATGTCTGTAATCCCAGTACTTTGAGAAGCCGAGGCGGGTGGATCATGTGAGGCCTGTAGTTTGAGCCCAGCCTGGCTAACATCTCTACTAAAAATACAAAAATTAGCCTGTCGTGGTGGTGCATGCCTATAATCCCAGCTACTTGAGTGGCTGAGGCATTAGAGTCACTTGAACCCAGGAGGCAGAAGCTGCAGTGAACTGAGATCATGCCATTGCACTCCAGCTTGGGCGACAGAGTGAGACTGCCTCTAAAAAAAAAAAAGTTACATGTAAAGAAATATCCCCAAATACTACAGATAAATAAAAAGATGATTCTAATGAAAATGTTCAAGTAGCCCACAGGAAGGCAGGGAAAAGAAAATAGAAAAATGAAAAGTGGGCCTGGCACGGTGGCTCCCGCCTATAATCCCAGAACTTTGGGAGGCCGAGGCAGGCAGATCACTTGAGCTCAGAAGTTCAAGACCAGCCTGGTCAACATTGAAACCACGTCTCTACTAAAAATACAAAAACTAGCCAGGTGTGGTGGCAGGTGCCTGTGATCCAGGCTACTCAGGAGGCTGAGGCACAAGAATCACTTGAACCCGGGAGGCGGAGGTTGCAGTGAGCCGAGATCATGCCACTGCGTTCCAGCCTGGGAAATAGACAAAGACTCCATCTCAGGAAAAAAAAAAGGAGAGAAAAACATAAAACAAAAAATAAAACAGCAGGCTTATTCCCTAACATATCAATAGTTATATTGAATGTAAATGGTCTAAATGCAAAAGATTGATATCTATTTAAAAGCAATTGATAGAGTGGATTAAAAAACATGACCTAACTAGATGTGGTGCATAAAGTCATTGTAAGTATAGCAATAAAGGTAGGTTGGAAGTAAAAAGATGAAAAAAGATAGGAAAGATAGGTTATGTAAACATTAAACAAAAGAAAGCAGGAGAGTAGCTATACATATATATATTGTGCATGTATATATGTCAGATAAAGTGGGCTTCAGAGCAAAGAAACTTTTCTAGAGACAGAGACATTGTACAATGATACAAGAGCCAATCTAGTGAGAAAACAAATCATCCTAAATGTGTATGCACCAAACAACAGAACTGCAGTCCATATGAAGCCAAAACTGATAGAACTGAAAGGAGAGATAGAAAAATCGGCAACTGGGGCTGAAGACTTCAATCCTCCTTTCTTAACAATTGATACGACAGCTAGACAGAAAATCAACAAGGATATAGAAGAGTTCAACAAAATCATCAACCAACAAGATCTAATGAATATTTATAGAACACTTCACCCAACAACAGCAAAATGTTCATTCTTTTCGACTACTCAGGTAACACATTTCAAAATAGACCATATCCTGGGCCATAAAACAAACAGATGTAAAACAACTGAATTAATACCAAGTGTGTTCTCTGACCACAATGGAATCAAACTAGAAATCAATAACAAAAAGATAACAGAAAAATTTCCAAATGCTTGGAAACTAAACAACACACTTCTAAGTACTCCATGGACGAAAAAGGGAAGTCTCAAGAGAAATTATATATGTGTATATATAAAATATTTTATATATACAATATTATATATACATCTATATATTGTATGTGTATATATAATACATGTATAAAAATACACATATATGTATATGTATTGCATGTATTATATATTATATAATAGTATAATACATAATATATACTACTACTATTATATAATAGTATAATATTATACTATTATAATATATTATACTATTATATAATACATATAAAAATATACATTTATATATTTATTCATTTTTAGAGATGGGCTCTCGCTCTGTTGCCTAGGCTGGAATGCAGTGGCGCTATCACAGCTCACTGCAGCCTCAACCTCCCGAGTAGCTAGGACTACAAGATCACACTACCACGCTTGGCTAATTTTTGGATTTTTTTGTAGAGATGGGGTCTCCCTGTGTTGCCCAGGTTGGTCTCCAACTCCTGCACTCATGTGATTCACCCGCCTCTGCCTCCCAAAGTGCTGATATTACAGGTGTGAGTCACTGCACCTGGCCAAGGGAAATTGTAAAATACACTGAAGCGAGTGAAATGAAAATATAATGTAACAAAATCTGTGGGACACAGATGAAGAAAATGTATAGCATTAAATGCACATATTAGGACAGTAGAGGCCCAGGTATGGTAACTCATGCCTGTAATCCTAGTATTTTGGGGGGCCAAGGTGGACAGATCGCTTGATCCCAGGAGTTCGAGAGCAGCCTGGGCAACATGGCGAAACTCCAGCTGTACAAAAACACACACACAAAAAAACAACAACAAACAAACAAACCCAAATACAAAAATTAGCCAGGTATGGTGGCGTGTCCCTGTGGTCTCAGTTACTCAGGAGGCTGAGGTGGGAGGATCACTTGAGCTGGGGAGATCAAGGCTACAGTGAGCTGAGATTGTGCCACTGCACTCCAGCCTGGGTGACAGAGCGAGATCCTGTGTCAAAAAGAAAGAAAGGAAAAAAGAAAATAAATGAAAAGTAGAAAAGTCTTTATCAAATCAATGATCTAAGCTCATACCTCAAGAACTTGGGAAAAATATAAATCCAAAGCCAACAGAAGGAAGGAAATAATAAGATAAGAGCAGGGCTGAGCATGGTGGCTCACACCTGTAATCCCAACACTCTGGGAGACCAAGGTGGCAGAATTGCTTGAGCTCAGGAGTTTGAGAGCAGCCTGGGCAACATAATGAGACCCTATTTCTGAAAAACGTTAAAAATTAAAAATTTACCTATCATGGTGGTACACAACTGTGGTTCCAGCTACTTGGGAGGCTAAGGTGGGAGGCTCAGTTGAGCTGAGGAGCTGGAAGCTGCAGTGAGCTATGATCATGCCACTGCACTCCAGCCTGGGCGGCAGAGAAAGACCCTGTCTCCAAAAAAAAAAAAAAAAAAAAGGCAGAAATCCATGAAATTGAAAATAAAAAAAGAAACAGAAAACTGAAAAGAAAAGGAGAAAACCAACGAAACAAGGAGCTAATTATTTGAAAAGATCAATAAATCTCTAGCAAGACTGACAAATTTTAAAAGAGGAGAAATACATTAGCAATGAAAGAAAAGATATCACATGGACCCTGTAGGCATCAAAAGGATAATAGGGAAACACCGTGGGACTTAATAATAGGGAAATAAAATGAAATAGAGAATTATGACCGGGCACGGTGGCTCATGCCTGTAATCCCAGCACTTTGGGAGGCAGAGGCTGGCGGATCACGAGGTCAGGAGATCAAGACCATCCTGGCTAACACGGTGAAACCCCGTCTCTACTAAAAATACAAAAAATTAGCCAGGCGTGGTGGCGGGCGTCTGTAGTCCTGGCTACTCGGGAGGCTGAGGCAGGAGAATGGCGTGAACCCGGGAGGCGGAGCTTGCAGTGAGCCAAGATGGCGCCGCTGCACTCCAGCCTGGGCGACAGAGCGAGACTCAAAAAAAAAAAAAAAAAAATGAAAGAAATAGAGAATTATGTTTGGAGGCCATTAGTCAGCCTCAGTAGACCTCCAAAGCGTTAATTAGGTCCTAATCCCTGGAACCTGTAAATATTACCTTATATGGAAAAAGAGCGTTTGTAGATGCGATTAAGGATTTTGAGATGAGATTATCCTAGTAGACCTTAAGTGCAATGACAAATGTCTTTATAAGAGAGTAACAGAGGGAGTTGTGGACAAAAGAGAAGGGAATGCAACCATGGAGGCAGAGATTGAAGCAATGTGGCCACAAGCCAAGGAATGTTGGTTGCCACCAGAAACTTGAAGAGGCAAAAAATGAATTCTTCTATAGAGCTTCTGAAAAGTGTGTGGTCCTGCCAATGCCTTGATTTGACCATTGATGCTGATTTTGAACTTCTGGCCTCCATAACTGTGAGAGAATAAATTTCTGTTGTTCAAGTTATTAAGTTGTGTTAATTTGTTGCAGCAGCCCCAAGAAATTAATATCCTCCAAAAAATCTCTACATGCATAAATTTGGCAACTTAAATAAAATAAACCAATTCCCCTCAAAACACAAACTACCTAACTCATCCAGTATGAGTTTATATGTGTAGAGGTTTTTTTTTTAGGGTATTAGTTTAAATTAGTTTAATTTTAGGGTATTAGTTTAATTTGAATAGCCCTATAACTATTAAGAAAATTGAATTTGTAATAAAACCATCCTCCCTCCCTCTCAATATTTCCTGATCCAGATGGTTTCACTGGAGAATTCTACCACTTAAAGAAGAATTTAATTCTTCACAATCTCTTCCAGAGAACAGAAGAGAGAAAATGTTTTCCAATTAATTTTATAAGGTTAATATTATCAAAACCAGATGAGGACAGTAGAACAAAAAGAAAACTATAGACCAATATCCTGCATGAATATACAAGCAAAAATCCTTAACAAAATAGTAGCAAATGGACTCCAGCAATATATAAAAAGAATTATACAGTTGCATTTCAGGGATGCAAGGCTGATTCAATATCCAAAAATTGATCAATGTAATCCACCATGTTAACAGTATAAAGAGGAAAATCCATATAGTCATAGCAATGATGAAGAAAAGACATTTGACGGAATTCAACACCCATTTAATAATTAAAAAAAAAAAAAAACCTGACTTGGTGTGATGTAATCCCAGCACTTTGGGAGGCTGAGGCCGGCAGATCACCAGAGGTCAGGAGTTCGAGACCAGCCTGACCAACATGGAGAAACACCATCTCTACTAAAAATGCAAAATTAGCCGGGTGTGGTGGCGCATGCCTGTAATCCCAGCTACTCAGGAGGCTGAGGCAGGAGAATCTCTTGAACCCATGAGGCAGAGGTTATAGTGAGTGAAGATCGTGCCATTGTACTCCAGCCTGGGCCACAAGAGCGAAATTTCGTCTCAAAAAACAAAAACCAAACAAACAAACAAAAACACCTGTAAGAAAAAATAGGAATAGAGGGGAATGTCCTTAACTTGATAAGCAGCAACTATGAAAAACCCACTAACATTATACTTAATGGTAAAAGACTGAATGCTTTGCCCCTAATAGTGGGAATAAAGCACCAATTTTATTCAACATAGTGCTGGTAGCTCTAGTCTGTGCAATAAGAGAAGGAAATAAAAGATTGGCAATGAAGAGGCAAAACTCTTCCTATTTGCAGATGACGTGATTATATATATAGAAAATCTCAAAGAGTCTACAAAAACAAACAAACAAACCCCCTAGAAATAAGTGAATTCAGGAATGTCACAGGATACAAGATAAACATGTAGGCTGGGTGTGGTGGCTCATGCCTATAGTCCCAGCACTTTGGGAAACTCCATCTCTACAAAAAAAAAAAAAGAAAAAACCCAAATACAAAAATTGGCCAGTTGTGGTGGCACATGTTTGTAATCCCAGCTACTTCAGAGGCTGAGGCAGGAGAATTGCTTGAGCCTGGGAGATCAAGGCTGCAAGAGCTGTGATTGTGCCACTGTACTTCAGCCTGCGTGACAGAGCGAGACCCTGTCTCAAAAAAAGAAAAAAAAAAAAAAGAAAACCTTTCAGAAAAAAAAATAGAAGAAAATCTTCAAGGTCTAGGACTAAGCAAACAGCTCTTAAAGTTGACACCAAAGTACAATCCATAAAAGGAAAATCGATAAATTAGACATTATCAAAACTTAAAACTTTTGTGAAATAATCTGTAAAAAGACAAAAAGATGAGCTAGAGAGGAGAAAATATTTGCAAACCATTTATCCAACAAAAGACTAGTAAATAGAATATTAAAGAACTCTAAAAATGCAACAATAAAAACACAAACAATCTAATTAGAAAATGGGCAAAAGACATGAAGAGAACATTTCACAAAAGTGGAAATACAGATGGCAAATAAGCACATGAAAGAGATTCAGTGTCATTGTCAATAGGGAAATGCAAAATAAAACCATAATGAGATATGGCTACACACCTATCAGAATGCTAACATTTTTAAAAGTGACAATACCAAATGTTGGTGAGGATGTGGAGAAACTAAGTCACTCACACATTGATGGTGGAAATGTAAAATGATACAGCCACTTTAGAAATGGTTTGGAAAATTTTGTATGTGTTTTGAGACAGGGTCTTTGTCGCCCAGGCTGGAGTGCAGTAGCGCAATCACCGCTCACTGCAACCTCTGCCTCCCAGGCTCAAGTGATCCTCCCACCCCAGCCTCCCAAGTAGCAAGGAACAACAGGCAGGCACCACCATGTGCAGCTAATTTTTTGTATGAGATGGGATTTTGCTATGTTGCCTAGGCTGGTCTTGAACTCCTGGGCTCAAGTGATCTGCCCACTTTGGCATCCCAAAGTGCTGGGATAATAGGTGTCAGCCACCATGCCCAGTCAGCAGTTTCTTAAAAAAACTAAACATGGAACTACCATATGGGCTCTTGGGAATTTATTCCAGAGAAATAAAAATTTATGTTCATAAAAAAGAATACATGAGTGTTTATAGTAAATCTATTCGTAATGGCCAAAAACTGGAAACAACTCAAATGTCCATCAATGGCTGAATGGTTAAACAAACTGTAGTACATCTGTACCATGGAATACTATATAGCAATAAAAAAGAATGAACTGTTGAACCATGCAACAAACTGGATGAATCTCCTGAGAATTATGCCGAGTGAAGAAAGTCAATCCCAAAAGGTTACATACTGCTTGATTCCATTATATATATAACACTCTTGAAAAAAAAATTATAGAAATGGAGAACAGATTAGTAGTTGCCAGGGGTTAAGCGGGGAGCAGGAGGCCAGGCACAGTGGCTCACACCTGTAATCCCAGCACTTGGGGAAGCCAAGGTGTGAGGACTGCTTGAGCCCAGGAGTTTGAGGTTAGCCTGGGCAACATAGGGAGACCCAACTCTAAAAATAATTTTTAGCCACGTCTACTGCGAGAATGAAGACCATTCTCAGCAATCAGACTGTCGACATTCCAGAAAATGTTGACATTACTCTGAAGGGATGCACAGTTATTGTGAAGGGCCCCAGAGGAACCCTGTGGAGGGACTTCAGTCACATCCATATAGAACTCAGTCTTCTTGGAAAGAAAAAACAGAGGCTCCAGGTTGACAAACGGTGGGGTAACAGAGAGGAACTGGCTGCCGTTCAGAATATTTGTAGTCATGTACAGAACACGATCAAGGGTGTTACACTGGGCCTCAGTTACAAGATGAGGTCTGTGTATGCTCACTTCCCCGTCAACACTGTTATCTAGGAGAATGGGTCTGTTGTTGAAATCCAAAATTTATTGGGTGAAAAATACATCCACGGGGTTCAGATGAGACCAGGTGTTGCTTGTTCAGTATCTCAAGCCCAGAAAGATGAATTCATCCTTGAAGGAAATGACATTGAGCTTGTTTCAAATTCAGCGGCTTTGATTCAGCAAGCCACAACAGTTAAAAACAAGGATATCAGGAAATTTTTGAACGGTATCTACGTCTCTGAAAAGGGAACTGTTCAGCAGGCTGATGAATAAGATTTGAGAGTTGTCCACCTACACAAACAAGATGCTGGATGATTCCTAAGACCTATTTGTGATATTTAAATGATACAATAAAAGACCTACTGATTTGGAAATAATAATAATAATAATTTCAAAAAATTAGGTGGGCATGGCGGCATGAGCCTGTGATCCCAGCTATACAGGAGGCTGAGGCAGGAGGATCGCCTGAGCCCAGGAGGTCAAGGCTGCCTTTAGCCATGATCGCACCACGTGATCACCAGCCTGGGTGACAGAATGATATCCTGTCTCAAAAAAAAAAAAAAGAAAGAAAGAAAAGAAAAGCAAGAAAGACAAACAAACAAAAGAGCAGGGAGCAGGAGCAGTAAGGAAATGGAGGAAATGCGGGCAGCTATAAAATGGAAACATGAGAGATCCTTATGGTGATGAAACTGTTCTATATCTTGACCTATCAGTGTCAGTATCCTGGTTGTGATATTGTGCTATTAGCCACGTCTACTGCGAGAATGAAGACCATTCTCAGCAATCAGACTGTTGACATTCCAGAAAATGTTAACATCACTCTGAAGGGATACACAGTTGTGAAGGGCCCCAGAGGAACCCTGTGGAGGGACTTCAATCACATCAATATAGAACTCAGTCTTCTTGGAGTTTTGCAACATGTTACCATTGGGAGAATGGCTATAGGGCACACTGGATCTCTGTACATGGGGTTTCTTTTTACAATTGCATGTGAACCTACAATTATCTCAAAATGAAAAGTTTAATTAAAAGACAAACCAGGGAAGCAGTTAATGACACGCATGCTGAGTGGTGGGATGAATAAACATGTGACAAAGCAAGTATTACAAATTGTCAAAGGAACAATGTAGGAGGTGGATATCGGATGTTTCCTGTAAAACTTTCAACTTTTCTGTATGTTGAAGTTTTTTCATAGTAAAATGTTTAAGAAATAAAAAAGAAGCCCAAATAGTGCAGGAGACTAAAGTAACCTGGAACTCCTGTTCCTCTAGGCCTCCTTTTACTTCTCAGCGGCTATCATTATTAATAATTTATTGTATACCTGTACAGACATTTTCTCTGAATTTGCAACCATGCTTAAAATCTTTTCTTAGGTTGGGCATGGTGGTTCACACCTGCAACCCCAGCACTTTGGGAGGCCGAGGTGGGTGAATCGCTTGAGGCCAGGAGTTTGAGACCAGCCTAGGCAACATGGCAAAACCCCATCTCTACAAGAAATACAAAAATTAGCTAGGCATGGTAGTGCAGAGCTGTGGTCCCAGCTACTTGGGAGGCTGAGGTGGGAGGATTGCTTGAGCTCAGTGGTTTGAGGCTTAGTGAGCTGAGATCAAGCCACTGCACTTCAGCCTGGGTGACAGAGTGAGACCCTGATTCAAACAAACAAACAAAAAAATATTTTCTTAAAACATCATATGATATTATACCTTCTGTTCTGCAAATTGTCTTTAATAACATGCTGAGGATACCTTTCTATGCAGTATGTAGAAACCTTGCTCTTTTAACTGCTATGTATATATTTTTTGGTGTCAATATGCCATTATTTATTTAACATTAAAGCTTCCTGCTAAACTTTTTCTCATAGAAATGATACATACACAAACACATAAAGTAGAATTCTTTATTTCTCCTACTCCTACCCCACTCCAAAAACGTAAGGGTATAGAGGTTGACAAGTGACCTAGGCCTAGCCAATCATATTCTATTGCCTGAAAGGAAAGATGGTCTTTTTATCTCAGATTGGGACAAAAAGGATGACATGAGCCTGGAGTTATGTGAAGCCAAAGGAAAGCAGAGCTGAGAAATGAAGGGAGGGAAAGAGGGTGAGAAGGAGAGAGGAAAGGACACAGAACCACTAAGGGCAAGCTAATGGGGTTGTCGAACCCTTGAATTCAATAGCACCTGAAGCTCCCTGAACGTTTCAGTTATGTCAGAAAACAAAGTCTATCCTTAATTCCTTTAACCTGCTTAGAGTTGCAACTCAGAACCCTGCCTAATATATAATAATATGTATTATATATGCAATCAAATATATGCACATATAGAAGAATATATTCTATTCTGTGTACCATCCCACTACCCAGCATTATTCAAGCTATCTGTAAACAAGATATTAAAATGGAAATTTCCAGCCAAGTATGGTGGTTCATGCCTGTAATCCCAGCACATTGGGAGGCCGAGGCGGTGGATCACCTAAGGTCAGGAGTTTGAGGCCAGCCTGGCCAACATGGTGAAACCCTGGTCTCTACTAAAAAATACAAAAATTAGCCAAGTGTGGTGGTGCATGCCTGTAGTCTCAGCTACTCGGGTGGCTGAGGCATGAAAATTGCTTGCAGTGAGCCAAGATCATGCCATTGCACTCCAGCCTGGGCGACAGAGCAAGACTTTGTCTCAAAAAATAAATAAATAGGCTGAGTGTGAGGGCTTACGCCTGTAATCTCAGCACTTTGAGAGGCCGAGGCAGATGGATCATCTGAGGTCAGGAGTTCGAGACCAGCCTGTCCAACATGGTGAAACCCTGTCTCTACTAAAAATATAAAAATTAGCCAGGCATGATGGCAGGCACCGGTAATCTCAGCTACTTGGGAGGCTGAGGCAGGAGAATCGCTTGAACCTGGGAGGTGGAGGTTTCAGTGAGTCAAGATCACGCCACTACACTCCAGCCTGGGCAACAGAGCGAGACTCTGTCTCAAAAATAAATAAATAAATACAATAAAAATAAATAAATAATAAAATGGAAATTTCCATTAAGCATTAATATACCTTAGTTGTAAAACAATGTGATGTGTGAAGTCACTATATGCAAACTTTCAAAAGAAATAACCTTAAGAATCTGTTATATGGGCCAGGTACAGTGGCTTATGCCTGTAATCCCAACACTTTGGGAGGCCAAGGCAGGAGGATTGCTTGAGTCCAGGAGTTCAAAACCAGCCTAGTCAACATCGAGAGACTTTGTCTCTCCCAAAAAAAAAAATCAGCTGGGCGTGGTGGCAAGCACCTGTAGTCCTAGCTACTGGGGAGGCTGAACTCAGGAATTTGAGGCTGCAGTGAGTCATGATCGCGCCACTGCACTCTAGGTTGGGTGACAAAGCGAGACCCTCCCTCAAAACAAACAAACAAACAAAAAACTGTTACATGACATTTGAACCTCCTCCCTTACCTCAAGAATATAAGTGGTCCTGAGTGGAGCTTTGTGAGGAGATTATCTATGGGAAGAGATAGTCCTGTGTTGTAAGCTCCCCTCCCAATGTTGGGGGGTACCAAACTCCCTGCCAGGAAGACTCAGGCAGAGGCACATTTTGTATGTCTGGGAGGATGTATGTTGCAGGCTAGGAAGCCACAAGGCAGATTGGAGTGGGACTGCCACCCCAGTCACAATGACTCTCTGACTGCTCCCCTTACCCACGGGTGACAGCCATTTTGAGCAGCGGGACCCTGTTCCTCTGGTCCCAGTTTGAATTAACTGGGACAGAATTCCTTCCTATAAAATGTATAATAGAGACAAAGAGGGGGAAAAAACCCCTCTTTGGGTAGCTGAATCCAGAATGTCGCATTCTTCCATTGAGATTTGGAGGGGGGAGGAGCTGGTCTGCAGAGACAGAAAAATGCATCAGACCTGAAGAAAAAAGAAGCAGAGATGAGAAGTCGATGACAACTTGTTCCATGAGAGGAGATCTGGATTGAATGCGTTCTATTTTCTTTTCATCAATTCCCCTTTTTTGTTCTAGCTATATATATGTATGTATATATGTGTGTGTGTGTATATATACATATGTGTATATATGTATGTGTGAGACCCTGTCTCAAAAATATATATATATACAGTCCCAGCCTGTAGTCCCAGCTCCTGGGGGAGGCTGAGCCCAGGAGTTCAAGGCTGCAGTGAGCTGTGTGTGTGTGTGTGTGTGTGTGTGTGTGTGTGTGTGTGTGTGTGTATATATATATATATATATAAATATGTATATATATAAATGTGTATATATAATATATAAATGTGCATATGTATAAATGCGTATATATATAAATTCATATATATATGAATTTCAAGGCTGCAGTGAGCCATGTGAGTGTATATATATATAAATGTGTATATATATAAAAATGTGTATTTATATATAACATATAATATATAAATGTGTATATATAAATGTGTATATATATATAAATTCATATAGATATGAATTTCAAGGCTACAGTGAGCCGTGTGTGTATATATATCTATAATATTTATATAATATATCTAAATATAAATGTATATATATAAATGTGTATATGTACATATGTATGTGTGAATACACACACATATATGTATTATTACGTACACACACACACACACACACACACACACACACACACACATATGGCTCACTGCAGCCTTGAACTCCTGGGCTCAGCCTCCGCCAGGAGGTGGGACTACAGGTTGGGACTGTATATATATATATTTTTGAGACAGGGTCTCACTCTGTCACCCAGGCTGGAGTGCAGTGGTGCAATCATAGCTCACTGCAGTCTCGACTTCCTGTGCTCAAGTGATCCTCCCACCTCAGCCTACCAAGCTGAAACTACATGTGCACGCTGTCAGGCCCAGCTAATTTTTTTGTATTTGTAGAGACGGGGCTTCTCCATGTTGCCCAGGCTGTTCTTGAACTCCTGGGTTCAAGCCATCTGCCCGCCTCAGCCTCCCACAGTGCTGGGATTACAGGCGTGAGCCACGACGCCTGGCTAAGCTATCTTGTTTTTCATACGATCCATGGGGTACATGTGAAATTTTATTACATGTATATAATACATAACAAAGAAGTCAGGGTTTTTAGGGTGTCCATCCTCCCAATACAATACATTTTTATTAACGGTAGTCACCTTACTCTGCTATCAAACATTGAATTTATGCCTTCTATCTAACTGTATGTTTGTACCCTTTAACCCACCTCTCTTCATCCTCCCCTCTGCCCCCAACTTGTTTAAGCTATCTTGAGTTGGTTTCTGGTGTTTCAACAAGATTCATAACTAATGCAACTGCTAACATTCCTCAATCATTTGTCAAATACCATTTGGCATATTCTGTTGTTCAATCATCTACTCTGCATCTACTCTCGGGTCTCCCTGAACTTCTCCACTCCGTCCATCCTCTTCCTCCTCCTCCACATTCGGGGACCCCTTCATAATTCAAGTCAGGCTTTCACATATGCTATCTGTGATCGTCCCAGGAATCCTGTGAGCTAGTTGTTGTTCCTATTTCAGTTCAACAGTCCTTTATCAAGTACCTACTAAGTGCCAGGAACCAAGCTGTAGAGTCCATTCTCCTGTTCTCCCATAGCACGAGTACACAATCCCTCTCTAAAATCTCTGGGGCTCAGCCAGGTGCGGTGGCTCATGCCTATAATCCCAGCACTTTGGGAGGCCAAGGCAGGTGGATCACCTGAGGTCAGGAGTTCGAGACCAGCCTGACCAACATGGTGAAACCCCATCTCTACTAAAAATACAAAAATTAGCCGGGCGTGTTGACGAGCACCTGTAATTCCAGCTACCCAGGAGGCTGAGGCAGGAGAATTGCTTGAACCCAGGAGGCAGAGGTTGCAGTGAGCCGAGATCGCGCCATTGCACTCCTGCCTGGGCGACAGAGAGAGACTCCATCTCAAAAATAAAATAAAATAAAATAAAATAAAATATCTGGGGCTGACGTACAGACTCACTCGAACATGCAGGCCTGGAGGCCCACATATCCATGCCTAATATATTTACGATATGTAAATCAAGTTAACAAGCTACTAAATAAGAACTGTCTTCTGAGTTGCGCATGGTGGCTCATGCCTATAATCTGAGCACTTTGAGGGGCTGAGACGGGATGATCACTTGAGCCCAGGAGTTCAAGAACAGCCTGGGCACCATAGTGAGACCCCCATCTCTTTGAAACTAAACAAACAAACAAATAAATAAATAAGAGCTGTGTTCTGTCCTATGTTGATAGATATAGCCAGGGTCAAATTTACAATTTTGGATAACTATATCTATCCCCTTTCTCTTTGCACACTCAATTCTATCCTTACCTTGAGTGGTCTCACGGGCACATGTGTGGACATTTTAGTTTGCACAACCAGCCTCTATCCATACCTGCTGCAAACAGCTGCTCTTTGGTTATGTCTTGGCCTTAAGAGTGCATATGACAGCGGTAACCCCCACCCCCCACCCATCCAGAGGGTAGACCAATTAAAGAGATCTGCACAGACTTTGGACCACTTGGGCAGCAAACTCCAGTGGCCCAGGTACCTGGGACATGATCTAGAGTTGGGGGGGCGGTGCTCAGGTGGTGAGAGGCCCTTCATTTTGCCTCACAGGCCTACCTAATCAGCAAGGGCTATCTAGAAGAAGGGCAAAGTAAGGCCCTCCAAAATGTGGGGTCCTCTTGCGTGGGTCTAAGATGAGCCCTGAAATTTAGAAGTGTTCAGTTTTCAGAGAGATATGCTGCACACACTGCATATTATTCATTCCCCCAGTGGGGTCTGGGGAGAGCTTGAGCAAATATGTTGGCACTTTTGCAACAAAATACATTAATATTCATTCTAAGTGAATGAAATAAAGACTATAAATAGTCTATAGATGTCTCTATAAATTCCTCATGTCATTTCAAGTCAGATTTTGCCACCACTTGAGTCTGTGCCAAACTTAAGAAAAAACTTTTGGCCGGCCTCATGCCTGTAATTCTAACATTTTGGGAGGCCAAAGCAGGACAATCGCTTGAGCCTGGGAGTTCAAGTCCAGCCTGGACCATATAGCAAGACCCCAGTCTCTATAAAAGTAAGAAAATTAGCTGGGCACAATGGCACACACCTGTAGCCCTAGCTGCTTGGGAGTCCGAGGTGGGAGAATCCCTTGAGCTTGGGAGGTTGAGGCTGCAGTGAGCCGTGATCATGCCACTGCACTCCAGCCTGGGTGACAGAGAAAGACCCTGTCTCAACAACAACAACAACAACAACAACACACACACACACACACACACACACACACACACACACACCTTTCCAATTTTCACAGCTTTTGAGATTTCAGAACTTGGAGATAAGGAGTTATGGAACTATAATAGAGTTGTAATATAGTCATTGCTGTTCAATTGATGACACATTTCTAGCCTTTCTTTCAACTAAGTGTAGCCATGTGGCTAAGCTCTCAGCAAGAGAATATGAGCAGAAGTCATGAGGGCTGCTTTGGGTCTGAACTTTTAGGCACCAGGCACGTATTTTCCCACAGTCTCTTCCCTCTTTCTCCAACCTGGAAGACCGATGTGCCTGCTATCCAGCTTCTGTCAAGCAGATGAGGACAGAGTCCTTACATTTGCAAAGCAACAATCTGGAAGGAACTAGAGTCTTCAGATGGCCATGTGGGGCAAGATCCTTACCAAACTGCACTATTCAACTCAGGACTGCTATGAGGGAGGGAAATGAACTTCTATTCTTCCTTAAGTCACTGTAATTTTTTTTGTAAAGATATGGTCTCAGTCTATTGCCTAGGCTGATTTTGAACTCCTGGGCTCAAGTGACCCTTCTGCCTTGGCCTCCCAAAGTGCTGGGATTACAGGTGTGAGCCACCATGCCTGGCAAGCCACTGTAGTTTTGAGCCTCCAGCCCACTTAGTCTTGAACTAATTAATATAAGAGACAAGTGCTGGGCATATTAAAGATGGAAAAGATACAGTCCTTACCTCCAAGGGATGATAAGCATATTTTAAGTAAGGAAAACCAACTCATATGTGGAGACTTCCAATTAAATGTGCTGCATGCTGATGTGGCCGCCATGGAAAAACGGGTCTACCTGAGGGCTTCAGGGAAAACTTCCTTGAAGAGATGGCAGCTCGGCTGGACTGTGAAGGTTCAAGAGAGGCTGGTCAGGTGAGAAAATGGAAAAGGGTATATTATGGGTTACATTTTGTCCCCCTCCAGCAAAAGACATGTTGAAGTCCTAAATCCCAGTACCTCAGAATGTGACCTTATTTAGAAATAGGGTCGTTGAAAATGTGATGGCTTATGCCTGTAATCCCAGCACTTTGGGAGGCTGAGACAGGAAGATCGCTTGAGTCCAGGAGTTCGAGACCAGCTTCAGCAACATTGTGCGACCCCGTCTCCACAAAAAATAAACAAAATTAGCAGGGCATGGTGACATGCATCTGTGGTCTCAGCTACTTGGGAAGTTGAGGTGAGAATATTGCTTGAGCCCAGGATGTTGAGGCTGCAGGGAACCTTAGCATACTGGAGTAGCGTGGGCTAGAATCCAATACAACTGGTGTCCTTTTTTGTTTTTTCTTTTTATTTTGAGACAGAGTCTTGCTCTGCCACCCAGGCTGGAGTGCAGTGGTACAATCATAGCTCACTGCAGCCTCTATCTCCAGGGCTCAAGTGATCCTTCTGCCTGTCTCCCAAGTAGTTGGGACTAATTTTTGTATTTTTGTGGAGAACAGGGACTTACTATGCTTCCCCGGCTGGTCTTGAACTCTTGGCCTCAATCCTCTTGCCTCAGCCTCCCAAAGTGCTGGGATTACAGATGTGAGTCATCATGCCTGGCTGGGCGTCCTTTTAAGATGAAGAAAATTTAGACACAGAGACAGACACACAGGGATAATGCCATGTGAAGACAGAGAGACACACAGACTCAGAGACGATGGCCACATGAAGATGATCACATGAGTTTGGAGTTTTGCTATACAAGTCAAGGAATGCCTGGGCCTACCAGGAACTGAAAGAGGCAAGGAAGGATCCTCCCCCTGGAAGTTCTGGAAGGGTCATGGTCCTGCCAACCCCTTGATTTCAGACTTCTAGCTTCCAGAACTGTAAGAGGATAAATTTCTGCTATTTTTAAGTCCTGCACTTTGTTACTTCAACCCTAGGAAATTAATACAGGGTGTATAACCACAGGCAGAGAGGTGAGAAACAACATGGTGTACTCAAAGAGATTATAGGCAACTCCGTATTTACAGCCTTAAGGTGCAAGGCAAGGCATGTCCTGCAATGAAGCTGGAGAGTGGAAAAAACCCACTCACTGCGTGTATGATATGTAATTTTTAAAAATAGGAATAAAAAATGCAAAGAAGAATGATCACCAAAATAACATGGTTCTCTCACGGTGGTAAAATTTTAGGCAAAGTTTACATTCTTTTTATTTTTTTCCTTATTAATTTTTAAAATGATCATGTCTTTTGTTGTTGCTTCTTTTGAGACAGGTCTCACCCTGTCACACAGGCTGGAGTGCTGTGGCAGGATCTCAGCTCACAGCAGCCTTGACCTCCCATGACTCAACCTATCCTCCCACCTCAGTCTTCCCAGTAGCTTGGACAACAGGTGTGTGACACCATGCCTGGCTAATTTTTAAATTTCTTGTAGAGATGAGATCTCACTATGTTGCTCAGGCTGGCCTCAAGCAGTCTTCCTGCCTCAGCCTCCCAAAGTGCTGGCATTATAAGCATGAGCCACCATACCTGGCTGAACATGTATTTTTAATATAATCAGAAAATAATCTATTTCATTTAGGAAAACAAAGGCAGATGGCTGCCAGCAGTGAGGACAGTAGATTAGGGGAGCATGACTAGAAGCAGAGAGACCAGCTAAGAAACTATTGCAGGCCAGGAGCAGTGGCTCACGCCTGTAATTCCAGCACTTTGGGAGGCCGAGGCGGGCAGATTGCTTGAGGTCAGGAGTTCGAGACCAGCCTGGCCAATATGGCGAAACCCTGTCTCTAATAAAAATACAAAAATTAGCTGGGCACTCCAGCCTGGGCAACATAGCAAGACTCTGTCAAAAAAAAAAAAGAAAGAAAAGAAAAAGAAAGAAAGAAAGAAGTTATTGCAATTGCAATGTTCCAGATCTATGAGGAGGGCCTGAGCTCAGAAAACAGAAGTAGCATGGACAAGAGAAATATTTAGAAAGTAGAATTAGAGAGACATGGTGATTAGCTAGAAGTATTGGGGTTCGTGATAGAGAGGGAGATTCCAGAATGATTCTCACATCTCTAGGTGGGGTGACTTGGTAGATGACAGCCCCTTCATGGGGGTTAGGAGAAGAGGAGATTCAGGTTTTCAGGGGAAGATTATGAGTTCAGGGGAAGATGGTGAAATACCTGTGGGGGTATCCAAGTAGCAATGTCCTCAGATGGCAACTCCACATGGTGGTCTGTCCAGCACTCCACTCTAGGCTTCCTCTGGTAAATTATCCTGCCCCTATTCATCTCCATGATTCTCGTGGTGGTTTGCTGTGTCCGTAGGACTCCACTTCCCTAGCTACAGCTAATTGGTCAAGGATGGATGCGTGACCCAAAGTTGGGTTTTGTTTGTTTGTTTTTTGAGACTGTCTCACTCTGTCATTCAGGCTGGAGTGCAGTGATGCGATCTCAGCTCACTGCAACCTCTGCCTCCTGGGTTCAAGTGATTCTCCTGCCTCAGCCTCCCAAGTAGCTGGGACTACAGGTGCTTGCCACCATGCCCAGCTAATTTTGTATTTTTTGTAGGGATGAGGTTTTGTCATATTGCCCAGGCTGGTCTCAAACTCCTGGCCTCAAGTGATCCTCCTGCCTTGGCCTCCCAAAGTGCCAAGATCACAGGCATAAGCCACTGCACCCGGCCCTTGTTTTCAAATTTAAAGAGTAGTAGAGAAGGCAGGACTGGTGACATAAACCTGGGAATCACCCCACGTGGGCAGCAGTTGGATTCACAAAAGGATGAGACTTTCCAACAAGAGCATATAAGAGGAGAAAAATAAAAGTCAGCATAGAACCTACCAAGGGTGCAGGAGAGAGCAGCAGAAGAACTCACAACCAAAATGAAAAGAATGTTCAGAGAAACTGGAGGAAACCAGGAGAGAGGAGAGAATACGTCCCCAGTTAGAGTGGAGGAAACTGGAGCTTGGAGGCAAAGCTAAGACGCTCACTGATCCAAGACTCAGATTCAGGTCTTTGCTCTTTGCATGGCACCACTGCCCATGGATTTTGATTTTACTGAGCTTCTATTTTCTTTAAATGGACTTCTAGGGAGAGAGTCTATATAGACAACTTGTTTTCATTTCCCAGTTTCCCTCTCCAAGCCTATGCCTGCTTTGAACTGAAGCCTGCCTCTACTCTGCCCTCCCGATGTTGCTGTCCTGTGGGTTCATGCATCTGCCTAGGATTTGATATTTTAGGCCTGTGTGCCTGATTAACACAGAGAAGAAGAGTAACAAGGTCCTCAAAAATGCTTTGGATAAGAACAAATTGATTATTGAAGCGGAGTGAGGGTGGACACGGGACTGAAGGTTGCTGAGGCCCCTAGAGCCACATGGGAGAGCATTCAGAACCACATGCCCATGACATTTTCTCAGAGCCATCAGTTTTTATCACATTTGTCATTTCCCCCCATCTTATTCTTAACGTCATAAGTCATGAAGATGAGTCATTAAGCTGGTTTACTCAATTTATCTTGTGAACATACTGATAAAAAGACTGTTATTGAATCCCCATGATTTAGAGGGTTGTAGGAGCTTCAGGGGATCCAATAAAACTCTTGAATTAAACTCAATAGTGGTCATGAGAACTAGTAATTAGCATCACTTGCCTGGTAATTGCACGGTTGGTATGAAAAATGACTCTGTGTTAGAATCCATCTTATAATGAAGGTAGGAGGTGTACACATGTTTACATTTCTTCATATTGCTTGTGCATCTACTATATATCAGGAATTATGTGAGCAACAGACTCAAGACAGGTGAGACCTCTTCCCTTCTGAAGCTTGTATTCTAGTGGGCTATTTTCATTTCATACCCCACTAACTAAGGATGTTTCTAATAATTGAAAATGCCTTTCCCTGCTTCCCCTGTTAGTAGGAGGGAAAGCTCACCCACCAGGATCCAGGCCAAACTGCCAGAAGAGAATAATATAAATTCCACATTTAAATTCTCACTACAGCCCTGCAAAGCAGGTTAACATGGTAGAAATGGATAGACCTGGGTTCAGAGGCTGGCTCTGCTACTTCCTGCTGCTTGTTCATCTCTCTGGGCCATAGTCTCCTCCTATTAAACCCTCGAGATGATAACACACACAGTATATGGCATATAAGTCCTTGGCATGTGGCATCATAGCCATTCCTATTGCCATTAGCTCATTTTTGAAGATGAGAAACTTAACACAGAGAGGTAAAGTGACTTGCCCAAGATCACACAGCTGGTAATTGGCAGAGCAGGAACTTGAACTCAAATCTTCTGACTCCGTGCCATGTCCTCTTTCCAGTCTCGCATCACTGTCTGGTATAAGGCCAGGAAGTAATTATCCATGTATCCAGGGATCTATGCTTCTGGAAGGGTGCAGGCCTGGTGACTTAGGAAGGACAGTATGGAGGTAGTGGTCGGGGGTGGGGAGAATATGAGGAGTCTCGATAGGCTAGAACCCAGTTAACGGCCAGGGGACAAGTCCAGACAGATTGGCAGGGGCAAGACCCAGCTAGAAGAACCAGATTCAGCCCCGGCCGCTGTCTGTTCACCTGCGGCCAAACACTGACCCCTGCCGGCCGCCCGAGGGAAGGCGGCGCCCGGCCCAGCTCCGGGAGTGCTGGGGGCGCTCGCGGCTGGAACTGGCGAGTGGACGCTCATCGAGCAGACAGGAGCCTAGGGGGCTGGTGGTCACAGCGCGTCCCTCTCCTGGAACCTCGAGACCTGGGTGCCTGCCTTGGCCACCAGGGTGACGTTGCATCGCCTCCTTCGCTCACTTGGCTTTTGACCAGAGCTGAGGGTTTTCCCTGCCCTGGGCCCCGACCCCGAGCATCTCCTGGGTTTCTCCTTGCCGCGCAGCCCCGCACCGTGTTTGAGACTTGAGGCTTGGCGCCTGCCCTTCCTGCCCCGTCTAGGGTGCCGGCCACCTGGAGCAGGCGGGGAGCGTCTCTAGGGCTGGATTCGAGCCTTGTGCGGGCCAGATGGACCAACTCTAGACCAAAGGCCACTTGCTGGGGCTGAGGAGACGCTGTGGCAGTGCCACCAAATACAGCTGCTTCTTGCCTCTCCTGGCTGCTCCCATCCAGATGGGTCCAGAAGGGTTGTCCCTGCAGAAGGCGCTCACTAAGGACTCTTTACCCCTTCCCTCCTTGTTCAGAACTGAGAGAGAGAGAGAGAGAGAGAGAGAGAGAGAGAGAGAGAGAGAGAGAGAGAGATGGGGGAGTTCTCTAGCATCTAGCATCCCACGCAGGGCTCAGCATTTTATTCTTTGAGATAAAAACAAGGCAGAGAGGCTTGTTAGCAATTCAAATATACTGATTTGGGGGGAAGATTTTTTTTTTTTAATTTCAATAATATTTAGAAAGTAACAACATGCTTTCAAGAGTAAGGATTGATGTCAGGTCCTTTATCTTATTCTCTCCAAATCAAGAATCTCCATTTGCAGTGGAAGAGATCTGACTCTTAAGTTTCCTGTGAAAAAGGAGGGAGGGAGGAGGGTGGAGAGGGTGAGTTGGCTGAGCTGACCACCGCTCAGGGTGAGAAGCCTGTAGCCAGTTGCCTGTAGAGTGAAGGTACTTGAGCCTGACAAGAGTAGGCAACTCTCATTTACATTGCATAAAGAACTTTCTAGTGCATCCTTGGGCCATCTGAACTTCAGTCTGACCCTTTGAGGTGGGCCTGGATGCTAGTGCTATTCTCAATTCCAGATTAGAAAGAGGGAACTTGAGGTCAGGCTTGATGGCTCACGCCTGTAATCCCAACAGTTTGGGAGGCCGAAGTGGGTGGATCACCTGAGGCCAGGAGTTCAAGATCAGCCTGGTCAACATTGCGAAACCCCATCTTTAGAAAAAACACAAAAATTAGCCAGGTATCATGACACATACCTGTGATCCCAGCTACTTGGGAGGCTGAGGCATGAGAATTGCTTGAACCCGGGAGGTGGAGGTTGCAGTAAGCTGAGATAATACCACTGCACTCCAGTTTGAGTGACAGAGGAAGACCCTGAAGAAGGAAGGAAGGAAGGAAGGAAGGGAGGAAGGAAGGAAGGAAGGAAGGAAGGAAAGCAGGCAGGCAGGCAAAAACCCATCTCTACTAAAAAAAAATTAGCTGGGCATGGTGGCGCATCCCTGTAGTCCCACCAGGGGCTGAGCAGGGAGGATCACTCGAGCCTGGAAGGTTGAGGCTGCAGTAAGCCCTGATTGTGCCACTGAACTCCAGCCTGGGCGACAAAGTAAGACTCTGTCTGAAAAAAAAAAAAAAAAAGTACATGATCATGATAGACCAATTGAAAAGTTTATGGTTTCAGGTTCCACATTGCAATTAACCTTTAAGAAACTATACTTGTCCAGTTTTGGTATGTAATCTAAGAAAAATATCCACAATTATTTGAAAAGGCTATTAAGATAGTCTTCCTTTTTTCAACCACGTATCTGTGTGAAGACAGACTTTTTTCATATATTTCAACCAAAACAACATATCTCAACACATTGAATGTAAGTAGAAGCAGGTAAGAGAATGCAGCTATCTTCTACTCAGCCAGACATTTGACAGCAAAAATGCAAAACAATGTCACTCTTCTCACTAATTCTTTTGTTTTGGAAAATACAATTATTTTTCAACTGTTATTTATGATAACATGTACAGCATATGGTTTATTAATGCTATTTTAAAGGAAATAATGCATATTTTTACAAATTTCTGTTTTACTTTCTAACATGGTAAATGTCAATGGATATTGAACATAAGCACACAAAAACAAAATACATAAACAAGAGCTTTTTGGGGCCCTCAGTAATTGTTAAGAGTCTAAAGGGGTTTTGAGACCAAAATGTTTGAGAACCATGGAGCTATCTATGAAGAAAATATCAACTTTTTTCTCTCTCTTTTTTTATTGAGCTATAATTCATATACTATAAAATTCACCATTTACAAATGTATGACTCAGTGTTTTTTAGCAGATTCACAAGGCGGTTCAACAATCACTACTATCCAATTCCAGAACCTGTGCCTGTGTGCAGTCATTTCTCATTACTCCCTACTTCTAGCCCCTGACAACCACAGATCTCAATGAATGTGCCTATCTGAACATTTAATATAAATGGAATCATATAATATATGGCCTTTTGTGACTGGCTTCTTTCACTTAGCATAGTGTTTACAAGGTTCATCCATGCTGTAGCTTGTATCAGTACTTCATTCCTTTTTATGGTAGAATAATATTCCACTGCATGAACAGACCACATTTTGTTTATCCACTCGTCGACTGATAAACACCTGGGTTGTTCCCTGATATGGTTTGGCTCTGTGTCCCCACCCAAACCTCACCTTGAATTGTATTAATCCCACATGTCAAGGGCGGGACCAGGTAGAGGTAATTGGATCATGGGGGTGGTTTCCCCCATGCTGTTCTCATGATAATGAGTGAGTCTCAGGAGATCTGATGGTTTTATAAGCATCTGGCATTTCCCCTGCTTGCACTCACTCCCGTCCTGCCACCCTGTGAAGAAGGTGCCTGTTTCTCCTTTGCTTCCTGCCATGATTGTAAGTTTCCAGAGGTCTCCCCAGCAATGCGGAACTGTGAGTCAATTAAAACCCTTTCCTTTATAAATTACCCAGTCTTAGGCAATTCTTTACAGCAGTGTGAGAATGGACTGATACATTTCCACCTTTTGGTCATTATAAATAATGCTGCTATGAGCATTCATGTATATGTATATGTATCTTTTTTTTTTTTTTTTTGAGACAGAATCTCATTTTATTGGCCAGGCTGGAGTGCAGTGGTACAATTTCGGCTCACTGCAACCTCCACCTCCTGGGTTCAAGCGATTCTCCCATCCTGGCTTCCTGAGTAGCTGGGATTACAGGTGTGCGCCACCACTTCCAGCTAATTTTTGTATTTTTAGTAGAGATAGGGTTTCACCATGTTGGCCAGGCTGGTCTCAAACTCCTGACCTCACGTGATCTGCCCGCCTTGGCCTCCCAAAGTGCTGGGATTACAGGCGTGAGCTACTGCATCCAGCTACACCTTTTTTTTTTTTTTTTTTGAGACAGAGTCTTGCTGTGTTACCCAGGCTGGAGTGCAATGGTATGATCATAGCTCACTGCAGCCTCCAACTCCTCTGCTCAAGCGATCCTCCCACCTCAGCCTCCCCAGTAGCTGGAATTATAGGCATACACCACCACATCCAGCTGATTTTTTATATTTTGTAGAGATAGGATCTCATTATGTTGCTCAGGCTGGTCTCAAATTCCTGGGCTCAAGGGATCCTCCTGCCTTGGCCTCCCCAAGTACTGGGTTTATAGGTGTGAGTCACTGCTCCTGGTCTCATGTACAAGTATATATAATGTTCTCAATTATTTTGGGTATATAGCTAGCAGTGGAATTTCTAGGTCTTACGGTAACTCTATATTGAACTTTTTGAAGACCTCCCAAACCATTTTCCACAGAGGCTGCACCTATTTATATTCCCACTAGTGATTTATGAGGGTTCCAATTTGTCTACATCCTTGCTAATACTAGTTATTGTCTTTTAAACTATAGCCATGCTAGTGGGTTTGAAAGTTTTGATTTGCATTTCCCTAATGGTTAATGATACTGAGTATCTTTTTTTTTTTTTTTTTTTTGATATGGAGTTTTGCTCTTGTTGCCCAGGCTGGAGTGTAGTGGTGCGATCTTGGCTCATTGCAACCTCCACCATCCAGGTTCAAGCAGTTCTCTTGCCTCAGCCTCCTGAGTAGCTGGGATTACAGACATCTGCCACCACACCTGGCTAATTTTTGTATTTTTAGTGGAGGCGAGGTGCCACCATGTTGGCCAGGCTGGTCTCAAACTCTTGACCTCAGGTGATCCACCTGCCTTGGCCTCCCAAAGTGCTAGGATTATAGGCATGAGCCACCATGCCTGGCTGATGCTGACTATCTTTTCATGTGCTTCTTGGCATTTGTATATCTTCTTTGGAGAAATGCTTATTCCAGTCATTTGCCCAAATTTAAATTGGGTTATTTGTCTTTTTATTATTAAATTACAAGAGTTCTTATAGGCTGGATGAGGTGGCTCACTCTAATCCCAACACTTTGGATGGCAGAGGTGGGAGTATCGCTTGAGGCCAAGAGTTCAAGACCATCCTGGGCAACATAGTGAGAGCTCGTCTATAAAAAAAATTTTTTTTAGTTATCCAGGCATGGTGGTGCACACCTACAGTCCCAGCTACTCGGGAGACTGAGGTGACAGGATTGCTTGAGCCCACGAGGTGGAAGCTGCAGTGAGCTATGATGATGCCACTGCACTTTAGGCTGGATGACAGAGCAAGACTCTGTCTCAACAACAACAGAAAAACAGCTCTTCTATCTTCTGGATACAAGATCCTTTCCAGATCTATGATTTGCAAAAATTTTCTCCCATTCCGTGATTTATCTTTTAACTTTGATAGGGCCTTGACACTCAAATTTTTAATTTTGATGAAGTCTAATTGATTTATTTTTTCTTCAGTTGATTGTGCTTTTGGTGTTGTATGTAAGAAACCATTGCTTAATCCAAGGTCATAGAGGTTTACACCTATGTTTTTTCTAAGAGTTTTATAGTTTTAGTTCTTATCTTTAGGTCTTTGATTCGTTTTGAGTTAATTTTTGTAGACAATAAAAGATAGGAGTCCAAATTCATTCTTTTGCATGTGGCTATCCAGATGTCCCAGCACTATTTGTGGGGAAAAAAACTTATTTCCTTATTTAATTGTCTTGATACCTTGACCGTAAACATACAGGTTTATTTCTGGACTCTCAATTCTATTCCATTGATGTACATGTTGATCCTTATGCCAGTACCACATTGTTTTCATTACTGTAGCTTTTGAACTTGGAAAGTGTAAGTTCTCCAACTTTTTTTTTTTTTTTTTTTTGAGACAAGGTCTTGCTCTTTTGCCTAGGCTGGAGTGCAGTGGTGCTATCTTGGCTCACTGCAGCCTCAACCTCCCTGGGCTCAGGTGATCCTCCCACCTCAGCCTCCTGAGTAGCTGGGACCACAGGCGAGCACCACCACACCAGGCTAATTTTTGTATTTTTTTCGTAGAAACTTTTTTTTTTGTAGAAATTTTTTGTATTTTTACCATGTTGCCCAGGCTGGTATTGAACTCTTGGGCTCAAGCAATCCACACGCCTTGGCCTCCCAAAATGCTGGGATTACAAGCATGAGCCACCGCACTGGGCCAAGTTCTCCAACTTTGTTCTTTTTCAAGATTGTTGTGGCTGGATAATATCAACTTTAACATTAACCTTTTTTTCATGCCAGGTGATGAGTACATGGGTGTTTGTTGTATCATTCTCTTCACTTTTCAGTACTAACAATGTATTAATAGAAAGGATGACATCTAGGTGTATAGCAATTAAATGACTTAAATGAGTTAATAAATGTAAAACACAGAAAACTATCTGGCCCCCTCCATACTGTTAGTTGCTGTTGTTGTTATTCTTTTAAGTGAAAATTTTTAAAAGCATCTTTTGCTGCTAGACTATCTGGGTTCAAATACTGGTCCTGTCACTCCCTAATGGTGTGATCTTGGGCCAGTTATCAAACCTTACCAAGTTCTAATCTGTAGAATGTGGATAATAGCCTTAGTCTCAGAGAGTTGTTGTGGGGATTAAATGAGATAAAGACACAATTAAATCAGATAATGGAGATCATAGGAGATGCTTGAACCCAGTAGGTGCTAACCTATTATTTGCCTTCCTACAAGTCTGCAGGGAGCGATCAACTTAGTGAAAAGCCTAGAAATCATTCCACAGGAAGGACATGAAAAAAATGGAGCATGAAGCTGTTTTTAAATATCCAAAAGCCGGATGTGGAAGATCTTTTCTGTGTACCCCAGAGAGTGCCAGGGCTCCTGAATTTCAGGAAGCCATTCTGGCCAATCCTCCCCAGCCCCCACTCTTCTGGGAGCGCCCTTAATGGTCTGTGGTCATCGTGCCAGCACTTGCCAATTTGTAATTATAATTATTTAGGTCTCAGACGCCTCCATCGGTTGGTCCCATTCCATAAATATTTACAAAGCGCTCACTGTCTGCCAGACACTATGTGTGCTAGACCCTGGGGCTCATGGGTGAATGAGACACTGCTGGAATCCTCCAAGTCACAGTCCGGCAGAACGCCAATTGGTGAAAGTTTGAAGGAGCCACATTTCTGCTCCATATAGCCTCTTGCAGTCTCCTCCTACTTCCGTAAAAAGCCTTTAGTTTCAGAACCAAGGCAGCAGCCAGTTCTCCCCAGTAAATTACCAGACCCAAAGAGAGAGTTTCAGAACCGGCAGTCGAAGCGCTTCCTGGCAGAGGTCCCGGGCCTGGAAACACTCGGCTTTCTGAGCGAGGAGCACCCTCTAGTGTCTGTCCACGGTAAGGCGGGTCCAACGTAAAACCTTTCAAAGATCCCTATTTATTGCAAAGAATTTCTTTCCTTATTTGAGCGCTGCTCATGGCTAAGCTGCTTTCAGGTCTCCGCTGTAAGACAACAACATTGACAGTTTAAAAAATAATAAATAGGTCGGGCGCGGTGGCTCACGCCTGTAATCCCAGCACTGTGGGAGGCCGAGGCGGGCGGATCACGAGGTCAGGAGATCGAGACCAACCTGGCTAACACGGTGAAACCCCATCTCTACTAAAAATACAAAAAATTAGCCGGGAGTGGTGGCAGGCGCCTGTAGTCCCAGCTACTCGGGAGGCTGAGTCAGGAGAATGGCGTGAACCAGGGAGGCGGAGCTTGCAGTGAGCCACTGCACTCCAGCCTGGGCGACAGAGCAAGACTCCGTCACTAAATACATAGTTAAATAAATAAATAAATAAATAAATAAATAAATAAATAAAAATAGTTGCCAACATCTTTTGAGCACTTACTATGTGCCAGGCCTTGTGTTAATTTGTCTTACATGGCTTACCCAGAGGCAGTTACTATTAAGATGATGATGTCCCAGATATTGATAAAGAAACTGAGGCAGGTGGGGCAGCCAGCTCAAGCGGTCAGACTCCATAACCATGCGCTTAATTTTTTGGTTTACTGTCAAAGAGAAGCAACAACCATGGGCAATACCAAGATAGTTCTAGTCAAATTTCTCCTGATTATTTGGGAGAACTGTAATTTAACTAAATCCAGCAGATTTATGTCAAAATATCAAATATGGAATGATGATGAGCCTTTCTCATGTTCATACTGAAGGGAATAGAAAGAAAAAAATCTAGACTAGGGTTTTCAAACTGTGGGTTGAACTTATTGATGAGTTGGATAAACAATTTAGTGGATTTTTACTAGCACTATAGAAATTGAAATAGCCGGGCGAGGTGGCTCATGTCTGCAATCCCGGTACTTTGGGAGGAGGCCAAGGTGGGCAGATTGCTTGAGCTCAAGAGCTCAAGACCAGCCTGGGCAACATGGCGAAACCCCATCCCTACAAAAACAACAACAACAAAAAATTAGCTGGGCATGGTGGTGTGTGCCTGTAGTCCCAGCTACTTGGGGGGCAGAGGTGGAAGGACTGCTTGAGCCCAGGAAGTTGAGGCTTCAGTAAGCCGTGTTTGCACCAGTGCACTCCAGCTTGGGTGAAAGAGAATGACCATGAAAAAAAAGAAAAAGAAAAAGAAAGAAACAGAGAGAGAAAGAAGAAGGAAAGAAAGAAAGAAAAAGAAGAAAGAAAGAAACTGAAATACACTCATGTGCCATTTAACAAGAGGGAAACATTCTGAGAAATGCATTGCTAGGCGACTTTATCATTGTGATAACATCAGAGTATACTTACACAAACCTAGATGGTATAACCCACTAGACACCTAAGTTATATGGTGTAGCCTGTCGCTCCTAGGCTACAGACTCATCCAGCATGATGAGTACTGTATACTGAATGCTGTAGGCAACTGTAACACAGTGGTGTTTGTGTATCTAAACATAGAAATGGTACAGTGAAAATACGGTATTATAATCTTTTTTATCTTTAAGATGGAGTTTTGCTCTTGTTGCCCAGCCTGGAGTGCAATGGCAGGGTCTAGGCTCACTGCAACTTCCGCCTCCCGGGTTCAAGTGATTCTCTTGCCTCAGCCTCCCGAGTAGCTGGGATGACAGGCGCACGCTACCAAGCCCAGCTAATTTTTGTATTTTTAGTAGAGACAGGGTTTCTCCACGTTGACCAGGCTGGTCTTGAACTCCTGACCTCAGGTTATCCGCCTGCCTAGGCCTCCCAAAGTGCTGGGATTACAGGCGTGAGCCACTGTGCCTGGCCTGGTATTATAATCTTATAGGATGACTACCATATATGTGGTTCATTGTTGACCCAAACATTGTTATGTATCACATGACAGCATAACAAATCAGGACTATATGAGCATGCATAACGAGGCAGTACATATTCTCCTGCCCCACCCGCCTCTCTCTGTCTCTCTTCACGCACACATGATGCATGATATATATTTAAGTGACTCAAATCTTCCATCCAGAAACCTTTCGGGAGGGTTCCACCTGGCAGCCCACTCCTATCCTGAGGTTACTGACTGCTTTAGGCAGTTTGAGCTGCCATAGCAAAAGCACCCTAGACTGGGCAGCTTAAACCACAAACACTTCTCAGAGTTCTAGAGGCTGAGAAGGACAAGGTGAAGGCGCTGGCAGATTTGGTGTCTGGTGAAGCCTGCTTCCTGGGTCGTAGATGGTCATCTTCTCAGTATCCTCACATGGCAGATGGGTGAGGGAGCCCTCTGGAGTCTCTTTTATGAAGGCTCTAATCCCATTCATGAAGGCTCATGACCTAATTACCTCTCAAAGGCCTCACCTCCAAATACCATCACATTGGAGATTCTATTTCAACATATACATTTTGGAGAGAGATAAATGTTCGGTCTACAACATTGATGAAGCACTATATCGCTTGCATCTTGTCTTTCAGCCAGGGCAAGAACAAGCTTTCCCACCCAGCACAGTGCTGTGGAAGTGTGGATGCTTTGCTGATTGGGTTGGAGGCATGCTGAGCCCCTGTCCTGTCACTCTCCTGTGCCCCAGCAGCTCCCCAGTTGCTCCACTGATCCACCATCATTTCTCCATAATTCTGTATGCACTAGTTCTCCACACATATATGAGCCTTTACTTATCGTTTAATATCCACTTGACCAGGTGAAATTATCATGATGAATGTGAAATATTCATAAAATGATAAAAAAAGTGATTATGTGCTTTTTTCTGTGGTGAGGTTCTGTAGCTTAGGTAAGATTCTCAAAGGAGTCTGTGACCCCCAAAGTATTAAGAATTAACCACTACAGGCCGGGCGCAGTGGCTCGCACCTGTAATCCCAGCACTTTGGGAGGCCAAGGCAGGCAGATCACAAGGTCAGGAGATCGAGACCATCATGGCTATCACAGTGAAACCCCGTCTCTACCAAAAATACAAAAAAAATTAGCTGGGCATGGTGGCGGGCGCCTATAGTCCCAGCTGCTGGGGAAGCTGAGGCAGGAGAATGGTGAACCCGGGAGGCGGAACTTGCAGTGAGCCGAGATCGTGCCACTGCACTCCAGCCTGGGCGACAGAGTGAGACTCTGTCTCAAAAAAAAAAAAAAAAAAAAAAAAGAATTAACCACTCCATTTGTCTGGAAGCCCCACAGGGCCAGGATCTATTTCTCTTATTCATCTGTTATTTCTCTGTCATGTGTTTCGAGCTGACAAACACAGTAGATACTCGAACACCGCTAGTCCCTAAACACTTCTGCCGTCACAACCTTTATTCAAGTCACTATTTGTCCACCTTGACTACAACAGCAGCTTCCTAAATGGTCTCTATTTCTGCCGTTGCCCCCTAGAAACCATTATTCATACAGCAATGTGATCTTTAAAATCAGATCATGTCACTCTCTTGCTTAAAACCTTTCAGTGACCTCCCGTTACACTTGGAATAAAATCCAAACTTCTCACTCTGACATCCCAGGCCCGGCATCATCTGGGTTCTACCTGGCTCTCCAATCTCATCCTACACCACTCTCCTCTCTTCCTCTGCTCTGGTCACATCTAGCCTGCTTCCTCTTCCTCCAATGTCCCAAGCTCTTTCTTCCCTGGCTTGGTAAAAGATTCTTGGGAAAACCTTCCAGAGACGAAATCATCTTCAAACCAATTAAATATACACTTAAGTAGGTGAAGCCTGTGAATTTTAAATATAAAGCTAGATACATCTAGGCTGGGCGCGGTGGCTCATGCCTGTAATCCTAGTACTTTGGGAGGCCAAGACAGGTGGATTACTTAAGGTCAGAAGTTCAAAACCAGCCTGGCCAACATGGTGAAACCCTGTCCCTACTAAAAATATGAAAAATTAGCCGGGTATGGTGGTGCCCGCCTGTAATCCCAGTTACTCGGGAGGCTAAGGCAGGAGAATTGCTTGAACTCAGGAGGCGGAGGTTGCAGTAGCCAAGATCATGCCACTGCACTCCAGCCTGGGCAACAGAGCTAGACTCTGTCTCAAAAAATATATATATAGTAATAATAAAGCTAGATATATCTGAAAGTTTGAATTATAGAGCCATTTCAGTACTTCATTTGAAATGTTAAGTACATGGTTGGATTTTAGCCATGTATTTTATTTTATTTATTTATTTATTTATTTATTTTGAGACAGAGTCTCACTCTGCTGCCCAGGCTAGAGTGCAGTGGTGCGATCTCGGCTCACTGCAAGCTCCACTTCCTAGGTTCAAGTGATTCTTGTGCCTCAGCCTCCGGAGTAGCTAGGACTACAGGTGCACACCACCATGCCTGGCTCATTTTTGTATTTTTAGTAGAGACGGGGTTTCACCATGTTGCCCAGACTGGTCTGGAACTCCTGGCCTCAAGCAATCCACCTGCCTTGGCCTCCCAAAGTGTTAGGATTACAGGCGTGAGCTACTGCACCTGGCCTAGCCATGTATTTTAAAGGGATCACTGTGGGACTTCCACTTCTGCACATGAAGGATAAACTGTTGTAGAGATGGCTTCCCCCACCACACACACCCAAAATTAGTAAATTAAACAAAATATATGAAACAACTGTTTTCACACATTAGACAGCAGGCAATGCAAGACTAAGATCTCTGAGAAAAGAAAAATAAGTTCAGCCTCACCAGAGCCCCAGCTTACTACGTGGAGACAGTGAAGAGAGTGCTACATGGAGTACCCAAACAGAGCCCCGTGGTCTCACTGAGTTTAGGAGACAGGGTTTAGAGTTCAAGGACATGAAGACAGCTAGAATTTGTGGGAGAGAGTGCTGGAGAAGCAAGAGCTGCATGGGGAGAGACAGAGAGAAAGCGACAAAGCCTCATAGACCATTAGAGATTCCCTCAAGTCTTTGGGGACTGATCTACACAGGTGTGGGGTGAAATTCCAGAAGGTTGGAAAAAGTAAAACCAGAAAGCAGGAGGCCGAACAAGTGTTGGAGTTTACACAGGGCTAGGCATAGTTTGTGTTTCCATCAACCAGAGTAAAGAGACCTCATAACACACAGGTATTGGGTAGAGTCTTCAGAAGGATAGAGACTTAGTGGGGCTAAATTATTAATATCTCTGGAGTAGAGGCCAACCTGGGCTTTTCCTAACAAAACTTAATAGCAAGACTTAAAAGAAGAAAACAAATCACAAGTAACTAATTATATGCCAGGACAAAGTTCAGCACTCTGTTTTTTTGTTTGAGTGTTTGTTTTTTCTGTTTTGTTTTGTTTTGAAACAGAGTCTCACTCTGTCGCCCAAGTTGGAGTGCAGTGGCATGATCTCGGCTCACTGCAACCTCTGCTTCCCAAGTAGCTGGGACCACAGACATGAGCCACCATGCCCAGCTAATTTTTGTATTTTTCTCTAGTACTCTTTAAAAGAATATAACAATGTCTTGCACCCAACAACCCAAAATACACAATATTCAGCATCCAATAAAAAATTGCCAGGTAGTCAAATAAATAGGAAAAAATTACCCATAACCAGTAGATAACTAAAGCAATAGAAACAGACCACAATATTCAGAGATGATGAAATTAGTAGGTGAGGACCTTAAAATAGCCATTATAAATCTCATAAATTATGCCCAAGGATATAAAGAAAAACATAAATATGATGAAGAGAGAAAAGAAATATATTTTTAAAGGACCCAAAATGGAACTTCAAGAGATGAAAAGTTTATGATCTAAAAATGAAAGATGCACAGGAGGAATTAACAGCAGATTATACACTGCAGAAGCACTGCATAAGAAAAGATTGGTGAACTTGAAAATATAGCAATAAAAACTATTGAAAATAAAGCACAGAAAATCCACAAAAATAACAGAGCACCAATGTCTTATAAGATAATATCAAAACCAAGACACATCATAATCAAATTATTGAAAAGGTTGGCTGGGCGTGTGGCTCATGCCTGTAATCCCAGCATTTTGGGAGGCCGAAGTAGGTGGATCACTTGAGAACAGGAATTCAAGAGCAGAGCAGCCCGGCCAACATAGCAAAACCTTGTCTCTACTAAAAATACAAAAAGTAGTCAGGCGTAGTGGTGCACGCCTGCAGTCCCAGCTACTGGGGAGGCTGAGGCAGGAGAATTGCTTGAACCTGGGAGGCGGAGGTTGAAGTGAGCTAAGATTGCACCACTGCACTGCACTCCAGCTTGGGCAACAGAGTGAGACTCTGTCTAAAAAAAATAAGTAAGTAAAAATAAATAAAATAGGCTGGGCATGGTAGCCCATGCCTCTAATTTCAGCACTGTAGGAGGCCGAGGCAGGCGGATTACATCAGGTCAGGAGTTTGAGACCAGCCTGGCCAACATGGCAAAACCCCATCTCCATTAAAAATACAAAAATTAGGCTGGGTGAGGTGGCTCACGCCTGTAATGCCAGCACTTTGGGAGGCTGAGGTGGGTGGATCATTTGAGGTCAGGAGTTCGAGACCAGCTTGGCCAACATAGTGAAACCCCTTCTCTACTAAAAATACACAGATTAGCCGGGCGTGGTGGCGCAGGTGCCTATAATCCCACCTACTCGGGAAGCTAAGGCTGGAGAATCGCTTGAACCGTGGAGGTTGCAGTGAGCTGAGATTGCACCATTGCACTCCAATCTGGGTGACAAGAATGAAACTCTGTCTAAAAAAAAAATACAAAAATTACCCAAGCATGGTGGCACATGCCTGTAATCCCAGCTACTCGGGAGGCTGAGACAGGAAAATTGCTTGAACTCAGGAGGTGGAGGTTGCAGTGAGCCAAGATCACACCACTGCACTCCAGCCTGGGCAACAGAATGAGATTCCATCTAAAAATAAATAAATAAATAAATAAATAAATAAATAGAAAAATTAATAAGGAAAATCTTAGAGTACCTAGAGAAAAATGAACACATTACCTAGAAGGGCAAAGAAGACAAATACAGTGGACTTCTTGTCACAAACTATGTACACCGGAAGATAATGGAATAACATCTTTAAAGTACTAAAATAAAAACTATTAACTTAAAATTTTTTCCATCTTTAAACTATGAACATGAGACACCTATTAGCATCCTGTACCTCATAATGTCATGAACTGAGACAGGTAAACATCACTTCTGTGGTTTTCATGCCAAAATGTATGCTTACGTTTAGTCATGAGAGACATGAAACTCAAATTGAGACGAGTTTTACAAAATAATTGACCAGTGTAATAAATTAGTTGATTCCATGATGTTCAACTGCTGAGTTTTCAAGCCCCCACCCCCACTCCTCCTTTCCCTTTTATCCAAAACCTGGGCAAGCCAATAATAAAGGCAGAAGCTGGGCGTGGTGGCTCACGCCTATAATCCCAGCACTTTGGGAGGCCAAGGTTGACGGATCACTTGAGGCCTGGAGTTTGAGACCAGCTTGGCCAACATGGCAAAACCCTATCTCTACTGAAAATACAAAATTAGCTGGGCATGGTGGCGCATGCCAGTAATCCCAGCAACTTGGGAGGCTGAGGCACGAGAATTGCTTGAATTTGGGAGGCAGAGGTTGCAATGAACCGAGATTGCACCACTGCACTCCAGCCTGGGCAGCAGGGTGAGACTCTGTCTCCAAAATAATAATAATGATAAGAATAATAATGCCAGGGTACTCTCCTCCCTTAATGCCAGGGTACTCTCCTCCCTTGCACCAGTAGGGAAATTCAAACCACAAAACCCTGGCCTGTGCATCAGAACTCTCACCCCAGCTTTACTCCCTAACAGTAAAACCCAGGGCCACTTGCATCTCCTTGTTCTCAAGCTGTTTTTAGGCCTTCTTAAGAGCCTGCCCTGTTCTGCACAGAAAACCTCATTACACGAGTAATAAGCTTTTTCAAACCCTCTGTATGTGTGTATGTGGCATCACCAATCTTGATGTCTAAACCAAATCTGGGGTAGAGATTTGATCCCTTCCTCTGTGGGGCAATCACAAGACAACTGGCACAGGGAACAGCGTACCTTAGATGATAGCCACCCACCATCAGGGGTCTCTCTCCTCTCACTTTGGCTTGCTATTGATTCTGCTGCCTATTGGCAAGCTTACACTTCGAGCTGTGCTGCTTTGTTCCACATTTGCTGAGGACTACTAAATCTCTGTTACAGATGTAACTGACCTGAATTGAAAGTTTCTATAATTGGCATTTTGAGACAGAAATATGAAATTGAGGATGTCCTTAAAGTGGCCCTAAAATGTGAGCCCCGTCTGGACCTATCTGTGCATCTTAGATTGAATTGTATGTCTTGATTCTGGCATAAACCATCGCCGATCCTAGGCTCAAGGGCATGACACTTATTATTTTGTGACTGTTGGTTGTATGTCCCAACCAGGCATTAGCCTATGTTCTATAGAGTGTGCAGGAGAAAGGCTGATACTCTGTGCAACATACAGGGCCATCTGGTGGTTGCTCCGGTGAGGAAGCGCAGTCACCAGGATTAAAGATAAAAACACTCAATAGCACTCCATGCCATGAACCCTTATAAAAACTAGGCCAGAATGCCTTACTCCATCTCTCTTAAAGGGTCAGAGGACACCACCATCACCCTACCAGATAACTATAAAACAGACCCAGAAAGAAGCTGGGTTTGATTAAGTGCTGCACCTTATCAAACTGTCAAGGGATTCATTCAAATCCAACTCAAGGCTGGGTGCAGTGGTTCATGCCTGTAATCTTAATGCTTTGGGAGGCTGAGGTGGGAGAATTGCTGGAGTCTAGGAGTTCAAGATCAGCCTGGGAAACATAGTAAGACCTCGTCTAGGCCGGGCATGGTGGCTCATGCCTGTAATCCCAGCACTTTGGGAGGCCGAGGCGGGCGGATCACGAGGTCAAGAGATTGAGACCATGCTGGCCAACATGGTGAAACCTCATCTCTACTAAAAACATAAAAATTAGCTGAGTGTGGTGGTGCGTGCCTGTAGTCCCAGCTACTCGAGAGGCTGAGGCAGGAGAATCGCTTGAACCTGGGAGATGGAGGTTGCAGTGAGCTGAGATTGCGCCACTGTACTCCAGCCTGGCAACAGAGCGTGACTCTGTCAAAAAAACAAACAAACAAATAAAACCTCATCTATACAAAAAATTTTAAAATTAGCCAGGTATGGTGACATGTACCTGTAGTCCCAGCTACTTGGGGGGCTGAGGTGAGAAGATTGCTGGAGTTTGAGGCTGCAGTGAGCCATGATTGTGCCACTGCACTCCAGCCTGGGTGACAGAGTAAGACCTTGTCATTAAAAAAATCCAGGGGTTGGGTGCAGTAGTCATGCCTGTACCTGTAATCCCAACACTTGGGGGGCTGAGGTGGGCAGATCACTTGAGGTCAGCAGTTTGAGACCAGCCTGGCCAACATGGCAAAACCCCATCTCTACCAAAAATACAAAAATTAGCCAGAGGTGGGGGCGTGTAGTCCCAGCTACTGGGGAGGCTGAGGCGTGAGAATCACTTGAACCTAGTAGCAGAGGTTGGACTGAGCTGGGATTGTGCCTCTGCACTCCAGCCTGGGCAACAGAGTAAGACCCTGTCTCAAAAAAAAAAAAAAAAATCCACTAGCCTGGGCACCACAGCAAAACCCCATCTCTACAAAAAATGCAAAAATCAGCTGGGTGTGGTGTTGGGTGCCTATAGTCCCAGCTACTCTGGAGGATGAGGTGGTAGGATCACTTGAGCTGATGAGTTTGAGGCTGCAGTGAGCCAACATCACACCATTGCACTCCAACCTGGGAGACAGAGCGAGACTGCCAAAAAATAAAAAATAAAAAATAAATAAAAATCCAACTTAAGTCTACAGTCCCTAAATCAAATAAAATAACAATTGCCATGAAAGTGGCTGCCATAAGGCCAGGTGCAGTGGCTCACGCCTTGTAATCTCAGCACTTTGGGAGTCCAAGGCAGGCAGATCACGAGGTCAGGAGATCTAGATAATCCTGGCTAACACAGTGAAACCCCGTCTCTACTAAAAGTAAAAAAAATTGGCCTGGCATCGTAGCGGGCCCCTGTAGTCCCACCTACTCGGGAGGCTGAGGCAGGAGAATGGCGTGAACCCGGGAGGCGGAGCTTGCAGTAAGCTGAGATCGCACCACTGCACTCCAGCCTGGGCTACAGAGCGAGACTCCGTCTCAAAAAAAAAAAAAAAAGAAAAAAAAAAGAAAATGGCTGTCATGAAAGTGGCCCCTAACCCTGAGGGTACTGATTTGGGACTCTCCAGAAGAAGAAACGTAAATATGAGCAGAGAAGAGAAGCTCCCTCCCCCTGAAGTACATCCAGTAACTCCCCCCAGACACACACACACACACACACACACACACAACTTAACAGAGGTTCATGATTTAACCCAGTTGCAAATCTTAAATTTACTCTAAAAACTATACAATAAAAAGATATTTAAAGAAGGAAGGGAGGGTCTTGTTGGCTTTTGCACTTGTACAACATAAGTTCTAAATTAACTTTAGGCCAGGCGTGGTGGCTCATGCCTATAATCCCAACACTTTGGGAGGCCAAGGCAGGTGGATTACCTGAGGTCAGGAGTTCGAGACCAGCCTGGCCAATATGGTGAAACTCCATCTCTACTAAAAAATACAAAACTAGGCTGGGCGCGGTGGCTCATGCCTGTAATAAAAGCTCTTTGGGATGCCGAGGCAGGCAGATCACGAGGTCAGGAGATCGAGACCAGCCTGGATAACACACAAAAAAATTAGCCAGGTGTGGTGGCACGCGCCTGTAGTCCCAGCTACTCTGGAGGCTGAGGCAGGAGAATCGCTTGAACCCAGGAGGCAGATGTTGCAGTGAGCCGAGATCATGGCACTGCACTCCAGCCTGGGCGACAGAGCGAGACTCTGTCTCAAAAAAAAAAAAAAAAAAAAAAAAAAAAAGAAAAGAAGAAGAAGAACTATTGATTTGCCTAAATTCCCCATATTCATAGTGCCTGTTGCCCTAAAATATTCCACAATGGACATGTACTCTGGCCTAGTGAGTACTAAACAAAAACAAAATTAAGTTTTTGGCAATTACAACTGGCTTAACAAAATGAGAACCTGAGCCTTTATCATAACCTATTAAAACTGTTCACACAGATAAAACTAGGTATCCTGAGAGTGACTCTGTATAAAAAATAAATAAATAAAATGTACTAGGACCTTTTCGAGACAGGGTCTCACTCTGTGGCCCAGGCTGGAGTGCAGTGGTGCAATCTCAGCTCACTGCAGCTTCCCCTTCCCAGGTTCAGGTGATCCTGCCACCTCAGCCTCCCTAGTAGCTAGGACTACAGGCACACGCCACTTGTTTCGGCTAATTTTTGTATTTTTGTTTGTAGAGATGGGTTTTTTCCCATGTTTTCCAGGCTGGTCTCAAACTCCTGGACTCATGCAATCCACATGCCTCAGCCTCCCAAAGTGCTAGGATTACAGATGTGAGCCACCGCACCTAGCCATAAGCTCAAAACCCATTATATAAGACCTATTTAGAGAAGGGTGATTGTCCCCAGTTTTTCTCCACTCCAAATTGTCCTGGTCTTAAACCTAGAATGAATGAAGGATGCCTGATGGTGGATTACCACAATCATAATGCTGCAGTTCCACTTAAGAGTTCCTGGCACTCCTGAAACCCTTGAAATCTTTAGGCTAATATGTGTCTTTTGCATGCTAATGAAATGATTAGCTGGGAGTGCTAGATAGCTTCAAGATGGGGGCTGATGATCAGAAAGACCAAGGCATTAAAAGTTTGGAACTTTCAGGCTCATCTCAGACCTATGGGGCGGGGAGAGGGCTGGAGATTGAATCAGTCACCAATGGCCAATAATTTAATCAATCATGCCTAGGTAATTAAACCTCCATAAGTCCCTTCTACCCTACAGGGTTCTGTAAACACGTGGAGGTCCCGGGAGAGTGAAGCACTCAGGGCATGGAAACTCTGGGGGTACCCTCCTCCACCCCCGCTCAATACCCTTCCCTGGGCATCTCTTCCATCTGGCTGTTCCTGAATTGCATCCTTTATAATAAGCCAGTAAATGTAAGTAAAGTATTTTCCCGAGTTCTGTGAGCTATTCCAGTAAATTATGGAAACTGAGGAGGGGGTCATGAGAACACCCGATTTTTAACTGGCCAGTCAGAAGTACAGGAGGCCTGGGACTTGTGACTGGTCTCTAAAGATGGGGCAATCTCGTGGGAACTGATGTGAACTCCAGGTAGATAGTGTCAGAATGAAACTGAATTGCTGGACACCCAGTTGGTTTTCAGAGAGTTGGAGAATTGGTTGGTGTATTAGGTCGTTTTCAGGCTGCTGATAAAGATATACCCGAGACTGGGAAGAAAAGAGGTATAATGGACTTACAATTCCAAATGGCTGGGGAGGCCTCACGATCATGGCAGAAGGCAAGGAGGAACAAATCACATCTTACATGGATGGCAGCAGGCAAGAGAAAGAGAGCTTGTGCAGGGAAACTCCCGTTTTTAAAACCATCAGATCTTGTGAGACTTATCCACTATCATGAGAATAGCACAGGAAAGACCCACCCTCATGTTTCAATTACTTCCCACTGGGTTCCTCCCACGACATGTAGGAATTGTGGGAGTTACAATTCAAGATGAGATTTGGGTGGGAACACAGTCAAACCATATCAGTTGGTATAGGGGAAAAAACCCATACATTTAGTGTCAGAAGTGTTGTGAGTAAAAAACAGGCCAGCTTCTATACTACTAAAATTACTGCCTCCCTCCAATCAGCAACTGGCAAATACTTTGCTATCATATATTTGGGCTAATATGTTCTCTTAAGTTCCCGTTTCAGCCAGCTTGTCTTTACCATTGCATGGACACAATATACTAACTACCCATGGGACCCCCAACAGACCTGCCATTGCACACGATCTTTGCAAACAAAAACCTTAACTGCATCCAACTCTCTCCAGAAACACAAGTATGATGTTAGATATATGACATCCTTCTCAGAGGAAATTAATTTTTTAAAAAGACAGGGTCTTGAGGCCGGGCGCGGTGGCTCACGCCTGTAATCCCAGCACTTTGGGAGGCCGAGGTGGGTGGATCATGAGGTCAAGAGATCGAGACCATCCTGGCCAACATGGTGAAACCCCGTCTCTACTAAAAATACAAAAAAAATAGCCGGATGTGGCGGCAGGTGCCTGTAGTCCCAGCTACTCGGGAGGCTGAGGCAGGAGAATGGCATGAACCCAGGAGGCTGAGCTTGCAGTGATCCGAGATCACGCCACTGCACTCCAGCCTGGGCAACAGTGTGAGACTCTGTCTCGAAAAAAAAAAATAAATAAATAAATAAATAATAAAAATAAAAAGACAGGATCTTATGATGTTGCCCAGGCTGGAGTGCAGTAGCTATTCACAAGTACAGTCATAGCACACTGCAGCCTCAAACTCCTGGGCTCAAACGATCCTCCCCTCTCAGCCTCCTGAAGTAGTTGGGTGCAGTGGAAATTCATTTGATACACTAATTTAACGCATACAAACATTCAAAAGGCAGCTCATGAAAAAGGATGGGTCATTTCTTCCACACAAAGTACAAGGTACAAGCACAAGTATACCTCAGTAAAATTTCTGGGTATTACTTAGTAAATTGAGAGCTGTTTATCCTTGACATTTCTGACATTGTCAAGAAATCTCTATTGACCCTCTTAGCACCCACAATGCTAAAAGCCCAGTATCTTTTAGAACTCTGGGGGTTCTGAAGCAACATGTTCCTCCTTTGCAAATTTTAATTAAGACATTTTTGGTTTTTTTTTTTGAGTCAGAATCTCCCTCTGCCACCAAGGCTGGACTGCAGTGGCATGATCTTGGCTCACTGCAACCTCTGCTTCTCAGGTTCAAGTGATCCTCCTGCCTCAGCCTCCCAAGAAGCTGGGATAACACGCACCCACCACCACGCTCAGCTAATTTTTTTGTATTTTTTTAGTAGAAACGGGGTTTCAGCATGTTGGCCAGGCTGGTCTCGAACTCCTGACCTCAAGTTATCCACCCGCTTTGGCCTCCCAAAGTGCTGGGATTACAGGTGTGAACCACTGCACCCGGCCCTACTTAAGCCCATTTTTGCTGTTCCTTACAAATTGGTTCACCTGAATGGGGTCCACTAAAACAAAAGGCTTAAAACCTGTTCAAATTGCAAAAGGACAGACCCTACTGTTAGTGCTCCCCAGAAATTCCTTCACTGTAGAGGCTTTAGCAACCTCCTCTCATACTTCCAGAGACTGTTAGTGCTCCCCAGAAATTCCTTCACTGTAGAGGCTTTAGCAACCTCCTCTCATACTTCCAGAGTCTTTGGTTCACTTATGATGGCCATAAATAGTCTGTGGGTTTCCGATGCAAGAAATCGCCTTCCTCAGCCTGATGCTATACATTATTAGAGTGACAATAGCTGACTGCATACTGGACTCTTCCAAAAAAGGAGGCTCTTACAGGCCTTGAGACCATGACACACTAGCTGCCCGCTATGCCTTGGGCCATGGAAGGCACACCCCCAAAGCTTGGCATGGCTATTGAGGCTTCCTTGCTAAAATGAAAATAGTATCTACAGTATGGAGCCAAATCTGGGTCCTGTAGCATATCCTGCCTGCAGGAGGCCATGGGCTCCCCTGTCCTCAGTTTCTGGCCAGACACCACAGTGCTGAAGGAGGTCATTCCTCTCTCAGACCCCTTGGCTTCTTGGGGATCCCTTTGGGATCAACTGAGTGAACAGCAAAGGGAATTCACATACTTTAAAAATGGCAGTGCTACCGTCACAACTGATTCTATTTGTGTTTTCCATCCCTTAACAGACATCCCTGATAAAAGACAGGACCCAAGGGTCCACACAATTTGCCAAACTTCAAGCAGTCATCTTAGCAACAAAGGATGCCCTGCCCAATAAGCAACCCCATCTTAACATTTTTCAGACCCTTAGGCCATTGCCAATTACCTGGCTATCTGGTCTGACTAATGGCAACAACAGTTCTTTATCCAAGGTCATCCTCTTTGGGGTAAAGAACTCTGGAAATGTCTTGCTTGAAGATACCCAGAAATATAAATCAAGGTCAGATATATCTCTGCACATACTCAAGCCACAATACAAGGCCTCACCAAGATACTCCTTATCCCCTTCAGAGTTCCATACATTCTTGAGAGTGACCGAGGCATTCATTTCACTTCTCAAAATACATAACATTAGGCTCTTTAATAAGAAGGCATTGAACAGAAATTTTATCCCCCTTACTGGCCTCAGGCTGCAGGCCTCATAGAGTACCATCACAGCATACTTAAACAGGTTTAAATTTAATTTAAAAAAACAGGATACATTTCAGTAATCCATTAAACATCAGGGGTGAATTGTAACAGAATCCAATTCCATATTTGATGTTTGACCACTGACAGCTTTGAAGCCCCACAACTCCTCCTTAATCTTTTGCCCTCCATTTGGTAGACAAAAAAGCCTAGGTGTTTCCTCCCTTGGCTCCAGCAGGGAAGTTCAAACACTGGCCTGTGCATGGGAAAACCATGCCCTATCCCCAGCCCTTAACCTCAATAAGACCCAAGGCAACTTGCCCCTCCCTTGTTCTCAAGCCATTTTGGGGCCTTTTGGGGAGCCTGTTGTGCTCTGCCCAGAATGCCTCATGCCCTCTTTGTGTATATGTGGCATCATCAGTCTCCACATTCAAACCACATTTGGGTAGAGTTGCTGATCTTTGCTCTGCAGGGCAACCACAAACAACCAGCACAAGTGTCAAGAAAGGAAGCCTGAGGAACTATCCCAGATTAAAGGAGACTAAGAAGAAAAGACAATTAAAGGCAATAAGCAACCCTAGATTGAATACTGGTCAAGAAAAGGGGCAATAGTAGGACAATGGACAAAACTGGAATAAGGTCTCCAGGTGAGCTAATAGTATTGTATCAATGTCAATCTTTTAGTTTGGATGGTAGTTTTGTGGATGTTACCGTATGAAGAAATTGGGAAATAGGTTTATGGAAATTTTTTGGGCAATTTTGTAATTCTTCATAAGTATAATATTATTGCAAATTATAAAGTTTTAAAATGTTTTACCTTTAAATGACTATTTCAGACAAAAGCTAAAAGAAACTGTCGCCAGCATACCTGCAGTATACAAATGTTAAATATGCATATAAATATAAAACACCTTATTTCATTTTAATATATTTAAAAGACAATTTACTATTTAAGCAAAACATAATAGCAATGTACTGCAGGGCTCATAGCTACAGATAAATTATATGTCAGCAATAGCCACAAAAGAGAAGGAAATAGAAGTATACTATTGTATCACCATACATGAGGTAATATTCTTTTTATTTTATTTTTAATTTTTTTAGAGACAAGCTCTTTCTCTGTAGCCCAGGCTGGAGAGCAGTGATGTGATCGCAGCTCACTGCAGCCTCGAACTTCAGGGCTCAAGCAATCCTCCCCACTTAGCCTCCTGAGTAGCTGGGACTATAGGCACACAGCACTACGCCCAGCTAAGTGATATAATATTCTTTGCAGATAGACCGTGATAAGTTAAAGATGCAAATTATAAATCTCAAATGTGATGGTTAATTTTATGTGTCAACTTGACTAGGCCATGGGGTGCCAGATATTCAGTTAAACATTATTCTGGGTACGTCTACAAGGGTGTTTCTGCATGACATTATTTGAATCAATAGACTGAGTAAAGCACATTGCCCTCCCTAATATGGGTGGACCACATCCAATCGATTGAAGAACTGACAAGAACAAAAAGGCGCTCCTGCCAGTAGTGGAAGGCTCTCCCTGCCTGAATGTTTTTGAGCTGGAACACTGATCTTCTCCAGCCTTTAGACACAGATTCAGACTGGAGTTATGCCACTGATGCTCCTGGGTCCCCAGCTTGTCAACTGCAGATCTTGGGACTTCTCAGCCTCCATAATCATGCAAGCCAATTCCTTATAGTAAATCCTCCTCTGTCTGTCTATCTATCTATCTATCTATCTACCTATCTATCTCCTATAGGTTTTGTTTTTCTGGAAAAATCTGACTAATACATTAAAATAACAGTAACCACTAAAAATTAAAACAAAAAAGTAGGGTTAATAAGCCAACAGTTAGTTGAAATGAAAGAAATCCTGACCAGGCCCAGTGACTCACACCTGTAATTCCAGCACTTTGGGAGGCCGAGGCTGGCAGATCACCTGAGGTCAGGAGTTCGAGACCAGCCTGGCCAACATGGTGAAACCCCATCCCTACTAAAAATACAAAAATTAGCCGGGCATGGTGGCATGCGCCTGTAATCCCAGCTGCTCCAGAGGCTGAGACAGGAGAATCGCTTGAACCCAGGAGGCGGAGGTTTCAGTGAGCCAAGATTGTGCCATTGCACTCTAGCCTGGGGAACAAGAATGAAACTCCGTCTCAAAAACAAAACAACAACAACAAAAAGAAATCTTAAAACATATTCAATCTAAAAAAAGGCAGAAAAAGAGGAAAAGGGGAACAAATAACAGATAGTATAAATAAAAAACAGATAGCAAGATGGTAGATTTCAACTTAACCAAGTCAATAGGTTTAAATATCAATATAAGAGTAGAGATTGTCAGACTGAATAAAAACACAAGACTCGCCTGTAGTCCTAGCTACTCAGGAGGCTGAGGCTGGAGAACCGCATGAACCCGGGAGGCGGAGCTTGCAGTGAGCCGAGATTGCACCACTGTACTCCAGCCTGGGTGACAGAGCAAGACTCCATCTCAAAAACAAACAAACAAACAAACAAACACAAGACTCAACCATATTCTGCCCACAATAAATCGCTTTTAAATATAGAGACACAGATAGATCAACAATAAAAGGATAAAAATTCCCATTCACATCAAAAAAAAGTTTGAGTGACTATATTAATATGATATATATATATATTTTTTTGAGACAGGATCTCTGTTGCCCAGGTTGGAGTGCAGTGGTGGTGATCATGGCTCACTGCAACCTTCACCTCCCAGGTTCAAGAGATTCTTGTGCCTCAGCCTCCTCAGAGGCTGGGATTACAGGCACACGCCACCACGCCCGGTTATTTTTTTATTTTTATTTTTATTTTTTGAGACAGAGTCTCGCTCTATTGCTGGAGTGCAATGGTGCCATCTCGGCTCACTGCAACCTCTGCCTCCTGGGTTCATGCAATTCTCCTGCCTCAGTCTCCAGAGTAGCTGGGATTACAGGCATGCACCACCACACCAGGCTAATTTTTGTATTTTTAGTAGAGATGAGGTTTCACCATGTTGGCCAGGCTGGTCTCAAACTGCTGACCTCAAGTGATCCACCCGCCTCGGCCTCCTAAACTGCTGTGATTACAGGTGTGAGCCACCGCGTCTGGCATAATTTGTATACTTTAGTAGAGGTGGGGTTTTGCCATGTTGGCCAGTCTGTCTCAAACTCCTGGACTCAAAAGATCTGCCCACCTCGGCCTCCCAAAGTGCTGGGATTACAGGCATGAGCCACCACGCTGGCCATATATATATATATATATATATATATATATATATATATATATACACACACACACACACACACACACACACACATATACATACTAGTATATATATACATATATAGAATATAGATACATAATCTATTGTATATATATTCTAGTATATATATGTATATATATATATATATATATATATATATATTAGAAAATAAGTTACGCTTTAGAACAAGGACTATAGCCATGGACAAAGAAGAGCATTACATAATGACAAAGGGGTCATTTCACTAAGAAAATATATCAATCCTAAATGTGGTACATACCTAATAATAGAGCTTCAAAAATACATGAAGCACCAAAAATGATAGCATTGAAAGGAGAAATCCACAAATTATAGTTGGATATTTCAACATTCTTCACTTGGTAACTGATAGAAGAAGTAAAAAGAAAATCAGTAAGTATACAGAAGATTTGAACAACATCAAATACTTTGACCTTATCGATCTTTACAGATATTCCACTCAGCAATAGCGGAGTCCACATTCTTTTCAAGTGTACATGGAACATTCACCAAAATAGACCATAATCTGAGCCATAAATTAATTCTCAATAAATTGAGAAGGATTGAAATTATATAAATTATGTTCCCTGACCAGAACAGAAGTAAACTGAAAATCAATAACAACAATAGCCAAAACATCTGGAAATGAAACAACACAAACTTAACCCGTAGATCAAATAAGAAAGCATGAAGAAAATTAGAAAATATTTTGAACTAAAGGAAATTGAACAATACCACATGTCACAAAGTGTAAATGCAGTTAAGGAAGTGCTCACAGGGACATTATAGCATCAAATACTTACATTAGAAGAGAAGAAAGGTCTGGCAGCAACACTTTAAGCTTGCACCTTAAGAAGTTAGAAAAAAATAAAAGAGCAAATTAAACCCAAAGTAAGCAGAAGGAAGGAAATAATATAGATGAGTGAAAATTACTGAAATAGAAAATGTGTAAACAATACAGAAAATGAAACCAGCCAGTTTTAAGAACAGCCAGTTTTTTAAAAGGCAGACTGATCAAGAAAAAAAGAAAAAACACAAATTACCATTATCAGGAATGAATGAACATCACTACAGATCATATAGACATTAAAAAGAAGATACTAAGGAAATATTAGGAACAACTATATGCAAATAAACTCAACACTATGGAATACATTAACAAATTTATTGAAAAACACAAACTACCAAAGCTTTCCCAAGAAGAAATATATAATCTGAATAGTCTTATGTATGAAAAGAAATTGAATTTTTTTTTTTTTTTTGAGACGGAGTTTTGCTCTTGTTGCCCAGGCTGTAGTGCAACGGCGCGATCTTGGCTCACAGCAACCTCTGCCTCCCTGGTTCAAGTGATTCTCCTGCCTCAGCCTCCCGAGTAGCTGGGATTACAAGCATGTGCCACCACGCCCGGCTAATTTTGTATTTTTAGTAGAGACAGTGTTTCTCCATGTTGGTCAAGGTGGTCTCAAACTCCAGACCTCGGGTGATCCACCTGCCTTGGCCTCCCAAAGTGCTGGGATTACAGGCGTGAGCCACTGTGCCCGGCAAGAAATTGAATTTGTATCAGAACTCTTCCCACAGCTGTGCATGGAGGCTCATGCCTGTAATCCCAGTGCTTTTTTAAATAAGCCAGGAGTGGTGGCACACGCCTGTAGTCCCAGATACTTGGGAGGCTGAGGCGGGAGGATCACTTGAGCCCAGAAGTTCAAGGCTGCAGTGAGCTATGATTGTGCCACTGTACTCTGGCCTAGGTGACAGAGAGAGACCCTATCTTAAAAAAAAAAAAAAAAAAAAGGCCAGGCCCAGTGGCTCAAGCCTGTAATCCCAGCGCTTTGGGAGGCCGAGGTGGGCGGATCACGAGGTCAGGAGATCGAGACCATCCTGGCTAACACGGTGAAACCCCGTCTCTACTAAAAATACAAAAAATTAGCCAGGCGTAGTGGTGGGTGCCTGTAGTCCCAGCTACTCGGGAGGCTGAGGGAGGAGAATGGCGTGAACCCAGGAGGCGGAGGTTGCAGTGAGCCGAGATTGCGCCACTGCACTCCAGCCTGGGCAACAGAGCGAGACTCTGTCTCGAAAAAAAGAAAAGAAAAAAAGCCAAAGAACAAAAAACTACAGTGAGCCATCACCTCACACCCATTAGGATAGACACTATCAAAAAACAAAACAAAACAAAACAAAAATTAACAGGTGCTGACAAGGATGTGGAGTAATTTGTACGCTGTGCTCTGTTGGTGGGACTGTAAAATGGTGCAGCCACTACGGAAAACAGTATGCAGATTCCTCAGAAAAATTAAAAATAGGATTACCATATGACTCAGCAATACTACTTCATTTATTTATTTATTTATTTATTTATTTATTTATTTATTTATTTTGAGATGGAGTTCTGCTCTTGTTGCCCAGGTTGGAGTGCAATGGTGCGATCTTGGCTCACTGCAACCACCGCCTCCCAGGTTCAAGTGACTCTCCTGCCTCAGCCTTCCGAGTAGCTGGGATTACAGGTACCCGCCATCATGCCCGGCTAATTTTGTGTTTTTAGTAGAGATGGGGTTTCACCATGTTGGTCAGGCTGGTCTCGAACTCCTAACCTCAGGTGATCCACCTGCCTCGGCCTCACAAAGTGCTGGGATTACAGGCATGAGCCACTGCACCTGGCCAATACTACTTCTTAATATATACCCAAAAGGACTGAGAGCAAGAGAGAGCTTGAGGAGATACTTGCACACCCATATTCATTGCAGCACTGTTCACAACAGCTAAGAGGTGGGAGCAAACTAAACGGCCATCAATGGATGAATGGATAAGCAAAATGTAGTATATAAATATAATGGAATATTACTTAGCCTTTAAAAATAAAGAAATCCTGTCACATGCTACAGTGTGGGTGAAACTTGAAGACATGCAAAGTGAAACAAATCAGTCAGAAAAAGACAAATACAGTATGATTCCACTTATATGAGGTATCTAAAGTATTCAAACTTATAGAAACAAAGTAAAATGATAATTGCCAGGTGCTGGGGAAAGAGGGGAATGGGGGGGCGGTTTTTACTCAGTGGGTATTGAGTCCCGTTTTGAAAGATGGAAATATTCTAGAGATCTGTGGCACAACAGTGTGAATGTGCTTAACATACTGAATTGTACACTTAAACAAGGTTAAGATGGTAAAATTTATTATATGTTTTTACCACAATTTTTTAAATGTACAAAAAAAAAAAAAAAAAACAACTCCGAAAAGCAAACAAGCAAAAAACCTCATTGCAAGATTACCACAAACCCACCAGAATGAAGAGAGACAGTGTCAGGTGTTGGTAGGGATATGCAGTAACTGGATCCTGAGTCCTCTCTGTCATTTTTTTTTTTTGTAAAGCTTACTTCTCTATGGATCTCACACATTACTAGTGGGAGTGTAAACTGGTCAACCACTTTGGAAAACTGTCATTATTTAACAAACAAACATTTTCCTACTCTGTTATCCAGCATTTCCACTCCTGGGTCTCCAAGTCCAGGCATCCATCAAAAGACACAGATGTAATGTTCATAACAGCTTTTTCATTATAGCTCCAAACTGAAAATAACCCTTAAGTCCACCAAGAGCCAAACAGGTTAAATACATTGTAATATATTCATACAACTAATATGACACAATGATAAAATGAATGAACTGCTGCCATATACAACACCATGGATGAGTCCCACACAAGTAATACTGAGCAGATGAAGCCAGACAAAAGAATACATACTTATGTTTATATGAAGTTGAAGGATTAGACAAAACTAATCTATGGTGATAGAAAGCCAAATAATTGTTAGGGGGTATGGAGGGATTGACCAGAGAGCTATTGATTGGTAGGAGTTACAATGGGGCCTTCTGGTAAGCCGGAAACATCTTGATCTAGGTGGTGGTTACACAGATGGGATCTATGCAAAAATATATTGAGCCAGAGGTTTAATATTAGGTTCTATAATACTATATATCAACAAAAAGTGAAGAAAAAGTAGAAAAATAGACCCAAATAGAAAAAATTCTGGGGCCGGGCATGGTGGCTCACGCCTGTAATCCCAGCACTTTGGGAGGCTGAGGCGGGCGGATGACCTGAGGTAGGGAGTTCGAGACCAGCCTGACGAACTGGAGAAACCCCATCTCTACTAAAAATACAAAATTAGCTGGGCGTTGGCCGGGTGCAGTGGCTCATGCCTGTAATCTCAGCACTTTGGGAGGCTGAGGCGGGCGGATCACCTGAGGTCGGGAGTTCGAGACCAGCCTGACCAACATGGAGAAACCCCGTCTCTATTAAAAATACAAAAAATTAGCTGCGCATGGTGGCACATGCCTGTAATCCCAGCTACTAGGGAGGCTGAGGCAGGAGAACCCGGGAGGCAGAGGTTGCGGTGAGCTGGGATTGTGCCATTGCACTCCAGCCTGGGCAACAAGAGCGAAACTCTGTCTCAGAAAAAACAAACAAACAAAAAAACAAAAACAAAACAAAACAAAAACATTTTGGAAGCAAAATTTAGTTTTGTCATATTTCTATATTCATGTTTACGTGGATATAGAATAAAATTCCCATTTGGATGCATTTTTCTCTCAGCGGTTCAAGCTCAACAGAACCTGCAAATGAGAGGAGGCTGCAGAAGCAAAGCATAAGAAGACATATCATGGCTAGGAGCCGTGGCTCACACCTCTAATCCCAGCACTTTGGGAGGCTGAGGCAAGCGGATCACCTGACGTCAGGAGCCGAGACCAGCCTGGCCAACATGGTGAAAACCCGTCTCTACTAAAACTACACAAATTAGCTGGGCGTGGTGGCACACACCTGTGGTCCCAGCTACTCGGGAGGCTGAAGTGGGAGAATCGCTTGAACTCAAGAGGCGGAGGTTGCAGTGAGCCGAGATTGCACCATTGCACTCCAGCCTGGGTGACAGATCAAGACTTCATCTCAAAAAAGAAGACACATCAATCCTAAATCTAAATGTGGTACACACCTAGGAAGACACATCAACCTTAAATGTACACACCTAATAACAGAGCTTCAAAAATATATGAAGCACCGAAAATGATAGAATTGAAAGGAGAAATGGACAAATCCACAATTATAGTAAGATATTTCAACAGTTCTCACTTGGTAAAATCACTTGTAAAATCACTCTGCCCATTTTACAGAGGAAAAACTGAGGCCTAAAAGGAGAAGGGGTGGGGGCTGAAGTCAGTGGCAGAGCCAGGCTTAGGACACAGAGCTCAGGCACACCTCTACATGCCCCCTGGACAACCACCTGCAGGAAGGGACTGGATTGTGAGGGGGTGTCCCCAGTCCCATGCAGGTTGAGGAGGAAGCAGGGTCTCAGGGCTGAGGTCAGGGAGGGGGGGCACTCCTTAGAGACCAGACAGCCAGGAATGCCACTGTTTGTCGTAGTTTCACTGATTTTAAGGAGGTTAAACCTCTATTTGGGTCTCAGAAATAAAGAGAAGAGCCTGCAATTCCAGGATAGCACGCTAACGAAGGGCCAAAACGCAAAGGCGTCCTGAGGGCTAAGATGGAAAGTGAAACTTTCAAGCTCCTTCTCTAACCTTGGCCAAGGTCGTTCCCTCTGGGTTCATAGAATAGGGAGGAACCCATGTAAGGCACAGGGAACAGAAGAAAGGAGGCAGGTAGAGGGACAACCTTCAGCCTGGTGCAGCCATCCCGGTCGAACAACCCCAGGCAGGAGCCGCTCGGTGGCCGAGGATGGCGGGAAGTCGCTGGGCTGCGGCTGGGGCGGGAGGTGGGCGGAGGAGGGTCCGGCGCTCTCTTTCTCCGGATTCGGAGCCCTAAGTGTGGATCAGTCGCCTCCCGCCCAGGGTGTGAGCGCCCCCTCCCCTTCTCAGCCTCCTTCGGCCTCGCCCCTCCCTCTCACATTTCCAACTCCCAAGGATAACTTGTCGCTCGCTTCAGACGCCCATGGCTTCTTTCAGCCCCTGGGACTCAGCTTTCTCCTCTACCTCTTTTGTCTATTTGTGCATTTGATGTTTCTCTGGGCGCGCCCTTGGATCTGCTTCTCTCTTGCCTTTTATATTCTCATATTCTCATATTCTCTCTCTCTCTCTCTCTCTCTCTCTCTCTCTCCCTCCCTCCCTCCCTCCCTCTCTCCCTCCCTCTCTCCCTCTCTGCCTCTCTCCCTCTCTCTCTCTTCTCTCTCTCTCTCTCTTCTCTCTCTCTTCTCTCTCTCTCTGCTCTCTCCGGCCATCTGGGCGCTGCTCCTCCGCGCCTCTGGCCTCCCCGCGGCGCGCCAGGCCCATCTCCTCACCAGCCGCTCTGGGATCCGACGGCGCCGTGGGTGGGGGCAGGTGAGACGGCCGAGCCCCGCCCGGGCGGAGGCAGGAAGCGCTCTCGCCTATCCCCCTCCCGGACCCTGTCCTCGCCCGCCACTCACCGGCGCCAGGGGAACGCAGGAGCGTGAGCCCCTTCGCGCCCCCAGCGCCGTCGGCGTCGCTGCCCCAGACACAGACACTGCCTCGAGAGGCCTCACAGAGGCGGGGGCAGAAGGCGGCGACCCAGAGCCGCCACATCCCCCGCCTTGGGCGCCGTCACAGTCCCCAGACGCCCTGGACTCCTGCAGTCTACGAAGACGCGCGGGGGACGGCGTGGTTCCGAGAGGTAGGTGAGGAGGCGGGCGCAGCCCTTCCTCTCGCAGCTGGGGACTGCGGCGTGAAAGGCCCCTCTCCAAGCTGGGCAGCCCCGTGGCCCGAGCTTTCAGGACCAACCGCCCGTGGCAGGCGTGGGCTTCCCGGGGCCACCGGCTTAACCTTGATCTCCAGACCGAGGCAGCTTCCCGGGTAGGGCCTCGGGGCGCACCCGAAAACGCCTTGGCCTCCCTGTCCGCTGGCACCCGACCCTACCTCTCCAACAGGTGTGTGTGTGGGGAAAGGGGGTCGCCTCCCCTCGTTCTACCGGAAACCCTGGCTCCCCAGAGCCGAGTGCTCAGTGCCCCGCCCAGCCTGAGGCCCTGCGTCCTGGGCCTCCTGCTCACAACCCCGGATTCCAGGCGGATGCCGTGAGAGAGGCAAGGGCCAGACGCCCTGAGCAGCCTTGGGGGTGAGGAATCGCTTGGGATGGAAGAAGGGCCACTTTTCCTAACGGAAATTAGGAATTGGCCTGGAACTCTTGGTCTAGACAGAAGCCCCCAGCTCCCCAAGGTGCAGAATCAGCTCTCCCGCGCGCTGTCTCTCTAGCTGCCTCCTGGCGTGGAGGGGGCAGAATACTTGGGGGAGTCTCTTGCTTTGGCTTTTGGGGGCCTCATAGGTTTTCTTCCCCTCTGGACTGTGAGCAGCCTCCTGCCTGAGAGAGCGTGTATCTGAATCTAAGGAATGCCAGGAGACGCCATCTTATTTGAAACCCACACTCACAAAAACGGGGCATGTGCATTTTTGTGGAGGGACCTGTTGTTTATGGGAGTGGGCAGAGGGCATCCAAAGGATTTCAAACTGTATGGACTGACTCATGGGTCAATACAAAAATTATTCGCCTTTGAAAAGGCATGTAAAGAAAAGCAAGCATAAAGGGGTGTGCATCGTGCATCGTGGGTATTGTGGAGTCTGAGAGGAATTAGTAACTCGCCGGAGTCGGCTAGGAATCTTATATGACAGCAACTGTGCCTCTCGGAGTAGTCAAGCACCGTTTAAAGATTGAGGATTTATACAGACATGCGAAAGAGATGTGAAATTATGTGCTCCCAACTGTGCTCAATAATAAAGGCAGTAGAAGGGAAATTCATATTTTCATCTATATGCCTCCCCCCTCGCAAAGTAGAACATTGCATGGTATATTTCACATAGTCCACATACCAGAGGCGGAATGTGCAACTGACTGCCCAGGACTGTGCTTTCCAGTACAAATGGAAGCACAAAGATGCCTAATGGAGAAGAGTTAAGTGAAAGTTCTCTTTTCTCAGTGCACTTCCCTAACCCTTTGAGGAAGCAAGTCTGGGGGGCCTTTCCTGATAGGATCTTCCCTCCAAATCCCTTTTGGAGCTGGAGCTCCTCTCTTTCCCTAAAGTCTGGCGCACTTGGCTCCAAGTCCCCATTTCTCCAGTCCAGAAGGGATGAAGCCTCCTCCACCCCAAACATATAGCCTTTGGCTCGCTGGGAGGAGAATTGCTCACCTTCTGCGGTGGTTTAGAACACCACCCTACACAGGGATACACATACACAGTGCCCCAGAGGAAATGCAAAGAAAGGTTTTGCTAGTCCAAGCAAGGTGTTGTGGGAGACCTCAGAGACCCTTAGAAAGAGCCTCACTCCCCACACTGCAACTTGAAAGACCCAGGACATCCCTCCCACCCCCAGGACAGACAGGGTTCTCACCAGCTGGGAACGCACAGAGCCCGTGACAACAGGAGGATCTGTTGGGCTGGGAACTTCACATCCCACCCACCCTGCCTCCAACTTCTTTTTTTTTCTGGCCAGATTAAAAGTCAAGCTTAAAGTGCTGTTGGGTTAGAGAGTTTCATTGTTTTAGTCTATTGGTTTCTCTCCCTCATTTTCTTCTCCCTCATCTCCCTTTTACTCCCAGGTTTTGCCCATTTTTTTTCTCTCTCTCCACACAGAAAATCTGTGAATTTTCTGGGCTTGAACGGAAGGAATGAGGAGGGAAAGGAGGGAATATTTGACCTATCCAGGCAGCACTCAGAGCTGTAATTGACACCAAGTCATCCTAGTAGACCTTGTCCTCACAGGCTTAGAGGATATTTGATTCCAGAATCCCCCACCAGCACCCCAAGATCCAGTGGTACCTCCTTCCTCCTTGGGGCTTCTATAGTTTTCAAAAATGGGAGAAATCAAAAATGCCATCATTATTCCAGTGACCGGGTGTGGAGGGAGTCTGCAGTTTGGCCAGAGGCCTGGTCTCAGAGAAAGGAGTCCTGAGGGCTGGGGGGTTGGGGCAAGGCCTAGGGCCAACTTGGTTCTGACCTTGCCTGCCAGTAGAGAATCTTGGGCTCTTCACCAAGTAAAGGCAAGATCAAGGGACTGGAGGTCTGAGTCCCTCTCTTGCCTAACTGCCCCAAGGGCCCCAGAAACTACTCTGGGCCAAAAATCAGTAATAGTTGAAAGAAAGAAACAAATACTGAAAACACCCAGATTTATAATCTGCTTAGACACCCAAACTCATCCTTAAAGCAGTAAATAAAATTTATCTCCTTGACTGCCTTGCAACTTTCTACTCAGTTTGGCAATGTGTAGATGGGGTCAGCTTGAGTTTCAGAGCTTGGGGGTCCAGCACTAAATGTCTAGAGAGCTAGATCTGGGGCCTCTCACCCCCTTTCCTCATATACCTCCTCTTGCTTCCTTCCCCTCCCAGGGCTTCTCAGAAAGTGACAGCTGACTTCCTTTTAGAACTGTGAAATCCCACAATTTCAGAGGATTTCAAATTCCTTGAACTTCAGGTTGAGAGCTATTTGGATTAATCAGAGAAGTTTGTGTCTGGAAAATGATGCCAGATTTAGCCAGAAAACTGAAAGACCAAATGCTTTACTTTTTTTTTCCTTTGTCTGATCTCAGTGCTTATCAGGTCAACCTTCACCTTTAAAAACACCCTGGTGGCAGTATTTCTTTGCCATCACTGTCTGTAAAGCAAAGGGCAAGCATCTCAGGGCTTTTAGTTGGGCCGGGAATTCAAATGTCTCCTTTCTCAAGAAGATGCCAAAGTGGCCACCCTCAGCCCACTTTCCGTCCTTACCTCCTCTGCCCTTTCCCCAGCTGTAGTTATAGGAATAATGGCCTTTAACTTGCAGAGATCATTAAGGCCAAAGCCCTCACTCCTTCCCATCTCTCCTCTTGGGGCCGTCTGAGTCGCTTCCTCCACGACCCTCCTCTTTTGAAGCACTCCCTAGTACTGTTAAAGGCCGAATTTGGGCTGGAGCGAAGATGGGGGCTCAGTCCAAAATAACCTAGATATTAAGTAATAGTAATGATTTTTTTAAAAGGTAACTATGAACTCTCAAGCCTCGACCACCCAGTAAAGTTCCTCCTTAAATTGTTGCCGGCCCTGGGTGCAGACACGCAAGGACTGGCCAGAACGCGAGAAACTTCTTCAAGGAGAGAGAAGTCAGGGCCCAAATTCCTCATGCTTTAAAGCAGTATAAGAGGAGAGAGTCCAAATTTTTACTCGTTAAACCTCCTCTTACCTCTTCCTCAGGTCTGTTCACTCCTTGGTCCAGGGACCGGAGCTCCTGGGCTTCGAGGTGAACCAGAGGGAACGTGGCTCCCCGCAGCAACCTTTTTGCTTCAGGGCTCCTCCTGGGGGCTGAGTGGTCCCCTTTGCTTTGCTATTCCCGCTGCGGCTCCTGGGGGGACAGCTCCGTGGGACCAGGTCTCTCAGGGGGTGGAGGGTCGCCGAAGTCGTGACCAGGAGTTGGAGACCGCTGCGTCCCTCCGCTGCGGACCTGCCTGGGACTGCGTGGAATGGACCAAGTCCTCCGTCTAGGATTCCCTAGTGCTCGACGGCGCGCACTCCGCAGTGCTCCGCTGGAGATCTGCACCTGTGTCCCGGGGCTGGGCGCAGAGTGAAGATCTCCGTGCACGCTGCTGACCGGCTCGGCGACTGCCTCCCTGCTGTGAGCAGGAGAACAGGAAGTCTGCCCGACAGGGAGGTGGCCGGGCGGGAGCGGCAGAGTCGGCGTTGAGAGGAGGGTCAGCTGCACCTCGGGATTCCGCGCGCCTTCAACTCCCTCTTGCGGACAGCCCAGCCGCGGGTTGGCGCCGCAGTGATGGAACCTGGGGAGGGCCTAGCTTAGAGTCCCAGCAGTCCAGAGGAGGGGACCAGAGCAGAGGATTAGGAACGGGGCTTTCATATCCAGCCTAGGCGCCCAGAAGCGGCACTTAAGGGGCGAAGGGAGGCCGCAATTACAAAGGTGCGCCCTCCGACGCCTCAACGTCAAGGGCCTGTAGATTCACAACCTCCTCTGTCGGGGATGGGGGAAGATGAGGTGGGATAGGGAGGCTATGTCCAGCCACCAGCGCAGGGAGTGGCTCTAAACGCTGACCCAACGCCTCGCCCCAAGCGGGATCTTGGCGCGCAGATAGACCGAGCCCGTGGTGGGGCGCCATGCCGGGCTCCCTCGCCCTTACCGAGTGAGCATCTTCTTCCCAATTTGCTGCTCAGAGAGGGAGTGGGTCCTAGTCTCTGGATCTCAGCGCTCACGACTACCTCGCTGCTCCTAACGAACGGTTCATCTGCTCTCTCCTGGCCGCCTGCGCCAGCGCCGCTCACCCACTTTTCCAGCCCTGGATCTCCTCTCCCCGGATGCGTCCTTCCTTCCCACAATTAACAAATGATCTAGCGAAACCCCGCCAGGTCCCCGGCAGAGAAGCACCTCCATCCGCCCTAACCAACCAATTAATCAGATCATTAAGGAGCCTGAGGAGTTGTAATTGGGTGGTTTGGGACGAGGGGGCGCTGAGGAGGTCATTAACCTCCCCGTAAAGATGGGGAACGGAGACGCGCCTGGCCGCCTCTGCCGCCCCTGCCGCCCCTGCCGCCCCTGTGGGCTCTTCTTAGCACGCGGGTTTTGGCCACTCCACCTGCCTGCTGCGCTCCAGTTCCCGCCTCCAGTCCAGCTATTTCACTTCTCTCTTTGTCATTCTCCGTCTTTTCTCTGGCAACCGTCCAGGGCCCCTTTCTTTGTGCCTACTTCTGTCTACCTGTCCAGCTGCCTCTTGCACCCTTTCTGTGGCCCAGCGGCCAAGAAAACTCAAAGGTCATGGCTGTTGGCCCCCGCTGATGATCTCTGGGCTCCCGGGTCTCAGACAATTCCTCAGGGCTGGCTAGAAATGGTGGGAGCTGGAGATTTGGACACTATACCCATTCCCCAAGAGAAGGGCATTTGCAAAGGGGAAGTGTTTCCTGAAACGTTCAATTCTCTTTCGGTATGAGATAGCTTTGGACAAGGTGACAAATGGCGGAAGGTCCAGGCCCCAGTGGATAAAAGCTCCATATTAATTTAATTAGAGACACAGAGACCTTGCATACTCCTTGTCTGCACAGGCAAATATGGAGGAGGTAGTGATTGGGTGTTGTGGCCTGACTGGTCTCAGTCTAAGAGTCCCCAGCACCTGTGACCTGGTTCCTGGTGTTCCAAGAAGTCCAGGTGACAGTATCTGTTCAACCTTGTGGAACAATAAATTGTTTGTCCTTTTAATTTGTCTTGTCAGATCCCCAAGTATATTACAATGCCTCCCTCTGCATTACATTTTTGGTTGGTTGTGTAAGAATGGTGGATGAGAGGTTCTTAACATTTTGGGGCCACTCCCTGATATGATAATTTAAATTTTGATGAACAATATTGATTCCCCTCTACCCAGAAAAAAAATGTGCGTATGTAGTACTCACCAAATCCCACAATTTCAGAGAGTTTCAGACTCCTCAGACACCAAGTTAACAACTACAATTTGGATAGATCAAAGGAGCTGGTGTCTGGGAAATGCCGAGGCCAAATATAGTCAGTTTACGTAGGTCTTCACCCTTTCTCTTGGCTGACATCTCCATTTTGCCAGGCCAGCCTTCACCTGTAAAAACACTCCGGTGGCAGTGTCCTCTCCCCACCATTACCTGTAGGGTCTGGGCTCCCAGTGGGAGTCAGTCTTTCCTTCCCAGCAGCTGGGAGCCTGAGAACGTGGGAAGAGCTTTGCTGGGGAAAGCTGATCTTAGACTGGCCAGCAGTTGGACCAGCAATGGAAGGAAATCAGGCTTAAGCAGCTTCCCAGGGACTAAAAACCATACCAGAACTCCTGGAAGGGAAGACTATCTGGAAACAGCCTCCTAACTAAAGCTGCCTATAAGTCAAGCAAATGGGGACTGGGCAATAGAATGTTCCTTTGTGTCCCTTATTGACTCACTTATTCCATTTCCTCAGGGACCCAGCTCTACTTGGGGCTGATTTAGCCAAGGTTAGAGGCTGGGGAATACCAAATGCTGAACTTAAAGGGGAAGGATTTGCTCCCTAATATTTTAGTAATCTTGTTTGTAAGAGATAAACAGCATGTGACCCCTGACTATCCTGGGGGACCTCCTAATTACGCCCAGCCTCTTGTGTTGTGGCCTGTTTAGACACAGAGTGTAAAGAAGGACTTAGCTCTTCTTTCCCGGCCTATTAAGTTTCCTGGCCATCTCCCCACATGTGTGAATTGACCAAGCTAGATCTCCCAGGAGAAAAATCAGGCTTCTTTGGGGTCTGGGAAGTAAAAAGAAACTTCCTTTTTCAAGGACTATGTTAAGACAAATTAGGAGAACTGGAAATTATCTGGCTAATTGTACCCTCCCCCTCCATACATACTTACACTCCAAACCCAAGCCCTCCTGGCTGCTCCTCAATTGTCTATACATTTCAAACAAATGTGACTTGGCACAGGAAAGACTCCAACTCATTTCTAGTTGCCCCTCTCTGTGCTGCACAACCACCACCCACCTGCCCAGCAGTTCGAGGCTGTGACAAGAAGCCAATGGTTGGCTAATAGTATTCAGACCCCTGCCTGAAAATACAAAGAAAAAAATAAACAATTCTCTTCTTGGGACAGCTTAAACTGGATAATCTTGGCTGTGAAAACCTGACCTAAATGCTTTTAATCAGAGCAGAAGAAATATATGCTCATTTGCTCCCTACTTTACTAATTAAAGAAAGCTAATTGGTGTTCTCAGAAACTTCCAACTGAGGGTCAGGAGCCTCTAGCCATCTCTTTGCCTGCCCCACCCCTCCCTGCACTGGGCCATCTGCACCATGGAGTTGGCCTTTTTCTGATAGACAATTAGAAGGGGGTGCTCCCGACCTTCTGGCTCCGCCCCTGCACTAGGACTTGGCCCTGAAAAGGCAGTGCTGCTATTGGCCAGAAGTTCTTGCCCAGCAGGCTTGTCTTCCTTCTTGTGTCCTGGACTTGTTTCTAGGAGCCAAGACCTCTTGCTGGCTGCCACATCGGCACTGCCAACCGGTGGGGTGCAGCCCTGCTGAAGCCCCAGAGCTCAGCCCAGTGCTGGGCACATAGTAGGCGCTCAGGAAATGATTGCTGAATGTGGAATGAAAGTCCCCAGCAGGCAAAAGGCTGTGACTTCTGTTAGTGGGGTGGTGGTCCTCTGGGGCGAGTGTATGGAGAACTTCAAGGCCTCCTCCTGGCTGCCCAGGAAGTAGGTAAGACCTGATTTTTGTCAAGCGTTTCTTAGATGTTTTGTTTAATTCCAGCTTCGTGGCCCCCTATTTCTTGTCTACCCATTTTCTAAGGCAGGACCGTGCTCACCACAGCAAAGGGAAATAACTCCTTGAAAAGCCAAAGGAATACAAGCCACCACTTCTCAGACCTTTCCCCTATGAGATCCAGATACTACAGGCTAAAGGGAGTTTGAACCTGAAATGAGCCAGATAATTGCCCCAATTCTCTGTACCTTATTGAAGAGGTAGTTACAGGCCAAGGGGTCCAAGGGGCCTCACTTTTATAGACATTGCTCTAAGTCAAAAGAATACATTATACATATACAGCTGAGACACACACCCTCCGTCCTAGGCTGGCTCTCTGTGAACAAAGCAGGTTTCCTCCTTGCCACTCACCCCCACCCCCCATACCACTTTCCCCCTCCTCTTTTCTCTTCGTCCTCCTCCTTATTATTAATAGTTACTATTTACTAAATGCTGCCTGTGCACCTGGTATTGTGCTAAATGCTAGACACATAGTACATCATAGTACATTAATTAATCCTTACATCAACTTTAAGAGTTAAGACACCAGATTTTACAGATGCAGATACTAAGAGTTACTTTTCAAGCATGAAGCACGTGTGTGTGTGTGTGTATGTGTGTATGTGAGAGAGAGAGAGAGAGATACAGGCAGATCTGAGTGCTCAAGTGTTATAAAGATAGAAATAAAGAAAATTGAGAATGCGGAGATCTTAAAGTTTTGAAATATAGATGCTTTAAAAGGATGCAGATAATTCCTCCTGCCCTAAAGTGAACAAAGAAGTGAGGCAATTAACTGGCTAATTCCAAGACCCAAATGCTTTCCCTTGAAATGGGCAGATAATGAGGCTGACAGTATGTTCGCAGTTGAATTCGCCTGATGTTGCTCCATTTTTTTCCCTAACTTTAGCGAATCCGTTGGGCAATCACAGTGAGATGCACAGACGTCACCCCAGACGTGCACATATTCACACACACACTCACACACAGGAATGCTGACACATACAGACCCGACTTTATTCTGCCTCTACAGTCTTTTATGACTCAGCCTCCAGAATGAAAATAGGGGTTGGAGCGAAATAATGTGTCCGAGGGTGCAGCTGCTCCAGATGTGCGCTGGGTAATTAGGCATCCTCAAGAGCTCCTGCCCGGCTGGGAAATGCACCTCTTGTGGGACTGTAGACCCCAGCAGGCGCCCCATCATAGTCTGCCCCATAGTAGGTGCCTGTCCTTTGCTGCCTGGTCCCAGCAGCCCGTCCCTCCTCTTGTTGCCTTCCTCCTCCGCAGGTGATTCTCTGGCTCCTCTGTTTTAGGAATAACTTTGCAGAAATGTCTCTCAGAGGGCTCTGCAGTATAAAATGGCATCTCTGCCACAGGGGAAGGGGAAGAGGGACCCTGGTTTCTCCTATCCTGCTCTTCCTAGGCCCTGGACGTTTCTGAGGGGCTCATTCCAGAACAAGACCTCTCTTTCCTTGCTCCACAAGAATTTAACAAAGAGGCCCTATTTGGGCCAAGAAGGAGAGTGGCCTGACTGGCCCTAACCCCCCTCGTTTGGGGGCTGTGGAGCAGTCCTGCTGCTGGCAGCTTCTCTTAGTTGTTGAGTCTCTTTCACAAAGCATTCACACTTCACAACTTCCCTTTCCAGTAGGTCTTCATCTGGGCACCTCGGGGCCTAAGGCACTTGGCCAGGGTCATGCAGCTAGGGACGTCATAAGTGAGGAGTTGGCATTTCTTGGAAGAGGGGGCTGGATTTGCCCTGGCTTTGAATCCTGTACTGGCTGTCCCTATATCCGCCTCTAGTTTTCTTATGGGCCTCCCCAAATTTGAAACCCAAGAAACGCCAAACTTCCAACATAGAAAACACCAAAAAGCTGCCTTTCTGGAGATGAATTTTGCTTACAAGAAAGACACGTTTGGAGGGGGTGAATGGTCGTGGTAATTTGGGGTAAAGAACATTCCACTTGGAATAGAGGGCTCCTCCTCCAGCCCTGCTTCACCACTTTTAATAGCTGCTCCGATCTTGGGCTAATCACTTAATTCCTTCGGACCTCAGTGTCTTCTTTTGCAAGCTGGGGGAGGGGTTTAAAGATGCTGGCGCTGCCCTCTAGCCGGCTGCTGGGGACATCAAAGGAGATTCGGGCTGTGGAAGGCTCCCTAGCGTCGGAGATGGAGTTAGGAGGTAAGGGCCAGGGGGTGGGAGCGGATGGGGCCTTGATTAGCTGTGGATTTCTGTCCCAGCGCACTCATTTAACCGTGTTTCTCTTGGTTGGCAGAGGGCGCCAAAGGCGACGTGCCGGCCGCCAGCTCCAGGCCGAGCCCCGAGCGCCTGCAGGAACACGCCCCTTCACCCGGCGCGGGACGCAGAGCTGCGAGAGAATCTTGTTCAGCGCGGACTCAACGCCAGGGCGCCGCCTAGAGGTTGGTCTCTGTCTCGGCCTCACCCGCCGGGAGACCACAGAGCTGCTTCCCCAGCCGCCCGCCGCCAGAAATTGGAAAAAAAAAAAAAAAAAAAAAAAAAATCCAGCTGGGGTCTAGGAACTCGGCTTCTGGCACCTCTGAATTCTCCGAGACTGTCTCCTCCCTCCCCGCCTGTAATGAACCCTGTGAAGGGAGACAGGCCAGGAAGTCCCAGAAATATTTATTCTTGTGACTCTCACAAAATGGAAAAGGGTCTCAATTTTTGTTTCTTTAAGGAACTTGTGTTCTGCGTCTGTGTCTACACTGCCTCCTCTCACCAACCAAATTGTCTAGCCCCCCTCCAGTTACGCTAGAACTCTGCTTTATCTTCAAGGAAGAAAGGGAGTGGGGAGAAGTTACCTCTAAACCCTCCAGCATGGCCATCAATTTTCTGAATAATTTGGAGGTCAACATGCTTTTGGAAAAGTGTTTGGAAAACGTTTGGGGGTGAAAAGAAATGTTGCCTAACTGGCCTTTACTCACGGAGTGACCATCATCTCAGCTAGTTAGTGTATGAGCGGCACCAGCACCCCGGCCATGGGTGTCTGTGCTGAGCCTCTGAAAGTTGACTTATCCTTTGGGGAGCCCTCGGAAAGACACAGCTGGTATCTATGGGAATGGCTTTGGGGTGTCCTTTGGCACCATACAGATAATTTTGTTTTTTTAATTGGAATCCATGGCCTGGGTTCTTGGGATGGGGGTAGGGGGAAGCCACAAAGCCCCTGGAAATGTATGCAAAACATATGGGTGTGCAGGTGCATCATCCTAAGGCTATGGCCTCTTCAGTTTTTCCAAAGAGTCTAAGACTATAAAAGGTTTCCATCTCCTTTTCTCAGCCAGGGAGCCACAGAGACCCAGGCCAGCAGTAGGCTGGGAGCCAGCACACCGGCCCCCACCAGGTGCCCGGTAGGGGATGGGTAATAACACTCTTGAATGGTCTGGAAACTGCTGGCCCCTCAGTCCTGCCGTCCTCCCAGAGGGAAATCCTAATAGAAGAAGTGACAGCCAGTAGCTGCCATCTCAGTATTTTGAATGAAAATATAACATGATAAAGAGCAAATGAGGGAGGCTGGAGGGGCCTCCCCATGCAAATACTGGAATATGAATGTTGGCCAGAAATAAGATACTTCCTGCCCTCCAGCTGTTAAAGAGCTCCCCAATTCCTCCCTTTTGGTGCTAGGAAGGGGCCAGAGGGCACTGCCCCCAGACCACCACCCACCTCTGGAGAGCTGGGGCCGAGTGGGACTGCCTGCAGCAGAGTTAACCCTTCAGAAAATTCAAAACCTATACTGCCTAGTATTTTCCCTGCCCGTTTATTTTTTAATCAGATTTTTAAAATATCCAGCAGCACTTTGGTGCCTTTTCTTGGGGTTGGGGAGTGGGGTTATCTATGTGTGTATCTATGGGAAGGTGGGTGCCTTCAGTGCACTAAACCCCCTCTTGGGCCTGCAGCTGGACCTCACTCCTGTACCTGAACACTCTGCCTGAGCCTGAGCTAATCTTAGCCATCCATTGTGTCTCAAAACTGTTTTGGAGGTGAATAACTGTGAGGCAGGATGGAGAACCTTTTGCTCTCCCATCCAGAAGGGCACCTAACCAGGCCCCTGGAGCAGACAAAAGGAGCAGGAAGTCAATCACTTCGATCCCAGTTCTCTGAAGCCCAAGAAGAAAACGGATTTTCCTTCGTTTTGGTTCGGAGGCCTAGTAGAGAATTTGGATTCCACCAAGTTCTCTTTTTTCAAAAAAAGTAAACGGTCCAGAGCAGACAAAAACTGTGGAAACTTGAGGCCTGGGTAGTAGTGGTTTTGTTTGATTTTGAGGCTTTAAAGAGATAAGGAGACGGTGGTGGAGCTCCGCCACGCCGCGTGGCTCTCACTTCCACGCCGAGGAAGACCGACCGGCCCCTAGGTTTATCCTCTGGGAGCCCCCGGCCCAATCAGCCCCCTTCAGGCCTTGGGAGTCACCCCGAGTCTTATCTTCTGTCCCCTTCCAGCAAGTACCCGGCAATAAACGGGCAGGGCTGGGCAAAGGTCTGGCCGCTAGAAACGGAAAAGGAAAGAGAAAAGTAAAGTTAAACAAAAAACAAAAACAAAAAACCCTTGGGTCGGGCGCGGTGGCTTACGCCTGTAATCCCAGCACTTTGGGAGGCCGAGGAGGGTGGATCACGAGGTCAGGAGTTCAAGATCAGCTTGGCCAATATTGTGAAACCCCGTCTCTACTAAAAATACAAAAATTAGCCGGGCGTGGTGGCGGGCGCCTGTAGTTCCAGCTACTCGGGAGGCTGAGGCAGGAGAATCGCTTGAACCGGGAGGCGGAGGTTGCAGTGAGCCGAGATCGCGCCACTGCACTCCAGCCTGGGTGACACAGCAGGACTCTGTCAAAAAAAAAGAAAAAAGAAAAAACCCGCTTTCAGCGGAAAGATGCAAAAAATGGAGGCCACCGGGCGTGGTTGGGAGAGCCTGGGCTTTCGCAAGGAAGCGCCAGGGAGCCCAGTTCTGCTCTAGCGAGAAGCAGGGAGCCTCATCCCAAGCCCGGCGGGCCGAGCCGATCATAGGGTCTGCGCGGGGCTCTGTGGATTTTCCGTGTAGGCGGCGGCTTCCAGTCTCTGCCGGGCGCGGGCTGGGTCAGCGCCGACTCCTCCGAGAGAAGAGCGCGCCTGGCGGCCGGTTCGGCGGAGGCCAAGTCCCGGGGGCTGGGGCTGCTTCTCTCCACGCGGACAAAGTGTGCGGGCAAAGAAAGGGGCCGAGGCGGGTGCTTCTGCCGCTCGTAAATTTGTTTCCCCTTCCTTTTAATCCGCCCCCGGACGTCTTTCTTTTCAGGACAGGAGGGGATGTAAACCGTTTGAAGTTCATCAACACGGTGAAGTTTTATTGTATTTCCGGTCCCCAAGATTTATACCCGGGAGGGGGAGCGGGCGGCCAGGTGGACTCCCTCGCTACCTCGGACTTCCCTGCCGGACACGTGGCCACTCGGACCCTCGCTTCTGGGCGAGGGCGGGAGGGAGCCTGGACTGGGCCGCGGCCGCTGGCTCCGCACCTTCCGACGGCCGCGCACTGCCGGCACCGCCGCCGCCCAGGTAAGTCCGCCGCCGCCCTCGGCCTGCACAGCTGCGTTTTTGCGATGGGTGCGGGTGTGAGCGTGAGCACCTGTGAGCAGGCGGGTGTCTGGAGAGGCAGAGGTGAGGAGCGGGCACGTTAGGGGGCCAAGGACCCAGACCGAAGGTCAGGAAGGAGGAAGCAAATTTGTTCTCTGTGTCCCAATCCCAGTCCTTAGCCTCTCAGTCCTTATTCTGCGAAGATTCGGAATGAATTGTCTTACCTGGGGCAGCTCGGCCTCTGCAGAGCCAGGGCCCTGGGACATTTTGGGCAGGGTGCCTTCACAGCAACTGTTCAGATCAACCGGCTTTCCCCTCCAAATCCCATTCTTCCTCTGTTTGTTCCCTAGAATTCCCGAAACTTTCTGACACTCTGCTTTTCCACCTTTCTCTCTGTCACTTTCTTTCTCAGCACTCTTTTGTCTCACTCTCCTGTCTGAGCCCCAATCTCAAAGCTGGGGGGTGTGTAGGACTTGAAGATCTGGCCTCTCAGAGCTACACTGGGAGGCTGGGTGACCTGGAATACAGGGGCTAGCAGGGTGCTGAGTATAGATGCACCTTCGTATCTGTTTGAAGTTGAGAATTCTTTTTATCTGTGGAGACCTCCAGCTGGGCTGAGAGGCAGAGACTGAGCAGGTATATCAAAGAGGCCCTGCCCAGGCTTGTGCCTGTGTCTAGGGTCTTCTTCTCTGGCCAGGGCTCCTGGAAGGCAGCAAATGTCTCTGGAATCTGAGCTATCAGGACCGGCTCCAAAATGGTTTTACCTAGAGTCCTGGGTTCAGTTCTTCCGATGTGTTGTTTAGTAGCAACTGGGTTCTTCTGTTGGGGAAGAGGTGGAGCAAAATGAAGTTAAGCCGCTTTTTGGCCCACAAAAAAATGGCCACAGGGTTTGCCCCCAGTGAGCTCTTGACCTAGAGCTTGAATTGGAACTGCTGAGTGAATTAGGTAGTTTCATGTTGTTGGGCCTGGGTTTCTGAACACAACAACATTAAACCACCCGATTCACGGCAGTTACTGCTCCTTGCTTAGCTGGAGGAGTTGGGGGAGGGGAGCAGAATCAGGACTGGAAGATCAACCTTGCAAAATGGGGAAGAGGTTTGAGGTCCTTCATCCAGGAGCAACAAGGATGTTCCCCCAGAGAAGAGATCTGGGAAGTGTCTTCCCACTTCTGAATGTTTTTTTGTGTGTGTGTTAGGAGGGGAAGGGGGATGAGGAGCAGTCAACTCTCCCGAGGCACCTCCCTGGCCCTGTTGGGCTGTTCAGCCCAACCCAAAGATGGCAGTCAGAGCTCCAACTTCCAGCCTTAGGGTCTCTGAGCTCTCAACTACATCCAGAACTTTCCAGAGAAACTCTCCCCAACTTCACAAATATTTGATTTCAAAAGAAATGCAGGGGGTTCTTGAGGTTTTTGTAACTCTTTGCGGGCTGGTGCTCCACCTCAGCAGGAAGCTTCAGGTCCTTGAAGAGGGCTCAGTAGGTCTCATTCTGAAAGGCAAACACTGAGAGCTCTTGCAATCTCAGCCTAAAGCCCTCAGGGTCCTGTCGAAGGCCCCCTATGGGACCAGACCTACAGAAGTAGGTCCGAAAAGTCCTTCCTTTCCTAATCCCTCAGTTGACTTTTTCCTCCCCACCCACCCCAGTGGCCAAAGGCTTCCCACTGGCCTTGGGCTGGGCTGGGGGTACACATAGGTCCTGAGTGCCACCTCCTTGGAGAGGGGCCTGACTTGCAAGCTAATGGGGAGCCCAGGTTGTTGGACAATTCAACCCCGACTGATGCAGTGACAAGGGATGAAACCAGGGGTTGGGCAGGGCAAGACTCTGATACCCTCTCTGACCTCGGTCCTCTTAAGGCTGTTGGCCCTGTGCCCAGGAAAGGAATAACTAGAAGTGCTGGTGGAAGAAGGGGGACTTTCCAAAGCATAAGCTAACTTTTGTTCCCAAACCTTCCCCCTGCTGCTTGAGGCAGAGGAAATGTGCAAAGGGGCCCGGGAAAGAGGCCCGACCGGATGGGGCTTCGGCGCCAGGCTGACTTGGAGGGCCAGGGGGTCTCTGAACAAGGGGCTTCTGCTAGAGCAGAGGGGCATTAGGGAGACCCACCCCTAGCCTAGGGGAAATGGAGCCTTCAACCCACTGTCCTGATAAGCAAAGGCTAACAACTCTGTCCCTTGACAGTTTCTCATCCTCTGGTCTGGGTGGAGATGGCCTGGCGCGTCCCTGCGGCCTTATCTCACTTCTCCCTGGGCCTCTCACAAACCTGCCCAGTCACTCAGAGCCTGACTGTCTTCCATCCCTGGTGTCCCTTGGCCACCCCCTCCCAGGAAAAGTGCTGTAAAAAGAAAAAAGGAGAATGTTAGAGAGAAAGGAGGAAATAAAGTCTTTGGAAAGCAGAGTTTTACAACAGCCACAGGTTTTATGGAAGCAATTTCGTAATAACCTTCTACCTGCTCGCCTCCTTTCCGCCTGCCTGCCGCCCACCCCGTTTGGCCTCCTGGATGCCCCCTCCCAAGGAGTCAGCCACCCCCATCGCCTTGGATATCCTTGATGGCTGAGAGTTGGTAAGAAGATTCCTGAGGTGGGCTTGGGCCACTGACCTCTCAGTCCTTCCTTTCACCTCTGACATCCTGGGAGGGAGGTTTGGCAGAAGATTTCATTACTTCACAATTAAGATCCCCACTTGGGGGGTGTGGAAGCACCGAGATTTGAACCTGAGTATGCAGATTCGATGTGATACCTGTTTTGGAGGCCGTTTTGCATAAAGGGTAAGGATTTTGCGATCTTGTGTCCTTTCCCACTGGGGCAAGTGTCCTCATGCCTCACTCTTTCCCAGAGTGGGTCTGGACTGTGATCTTGAGTCTGAAGAAATACCTCTGGTGCTTGGAGACATAGATTTGGGGACTTTTCTAATTTTGTTGTACACAGCAGTGCTTTTGCTTGACCTCCACAGTCACTTTCACACTCGGCTCATCTCTGTCCACCTCTGCTTCATAATTCTGTGAGACACATGTGCTTATAAGTAACTGTGCCTCCACCCCCGCGCTCATCGCTGTCATGAAATAGGCATCACACAATGCACACCGTCCCTGCGGTCTTGGGTAAGAAACACAGTAAAGGATTTTATGGTCAAACAAAGAAGTCACAAAATTTCATAACCTCTTCTGGGCCACTTTGAAGCATTTATTTTACCTTCCAGAGAAACATTTTGGAAAGAAGTTGTCGTAGAATCAACGTAGTGTTAAGTCATATGCACTTGTTTGAGGATACGCTGTATATTTTGCTTGAATATCAAGTCAAGGGACAGATTTTCAAGTGCGACATCTGAATTAGCTAATATTTTATAGCCATAATTCAAGTACACAAATACCCAAGCTTTTGCCTTTTCCATAGGTGTGTGATGGTTATAAAAATGTACACACAACCTTTTGGGTAACTGATCTTCTTACACGAGCAGAATCAGAAACCTCCATCACTCACAGAGGTTATGCATGCATCCACATATGCACGATTAGATCCTGCATACACGAACGCCCAAGCACAGCAAGTTTCATAGTTGGGCAGATTTATTTATTACATATTCTATATACAGTATAGAGCAGAGTGCATTTGCACACTGGGTTCCCCATACAGAAATATTGATTTGAAATATACATATAGGACACACACATCTATTTACATTAAACACGCGTAAATTTCAGCTAAGCTTATTAATTAAAAACAAACTATTTTTCCCCATTCTCACTTATTGTTTTTCTTTCTTCTCCCATTTCCTTCCCTTCCTCTAGATTTTCTCTCTCTTCTTACTGACAAGGACCCTTCCAAAAGTCACCCCCACAGCATAGGCACTCACCGGCTGGTCGGCCTCTGCTCTTCAAACCTCGGCCTCACTGTTGGCTGCTCTGGGCCCCAGTGTGGCCAGGAGCTGCGCTTTTTTCCCTGCTTGCCCTTCTCCAAGCTACCAGCTACTGGCCCCAGCTGTGTTCAGGCGAGGCTCCAGTGCAGGGAATGGCAAAAGGCTGCAAGGGAAGGCAGGGTTTTCCTTCTTTCTGTTTAGGATTGGGGGTGGGGTATGGAGCAGTTTTGCTCTCTTAGGATAAGGTGACCCCCACTGAAGCAACCCCTTTACTAAGTGTCTTTGGAAGCTGGGCTCCAGGAGCCACAATCCTGTTTGCTATCCTCCTTCATGGTGGGTACCATTGTCTGGGGAGAAAACAAGGCTTTTTTGGTGGGAGGGAGTCCACAGTCTCTCAGCTGACCCTTTAATCATTTGCCTGAGCTGGAGTTGAACTCCAGTTTGGGGCAGCAGTGCTTTCCAGAAAGCTTGGCTGGGGTGGGACTCCTTGCTTGGTGCATTTACCTGGACGGCAAAGAGCTGGGATGCAGACTACAGGGCTTAGGGGCCAGTTCATTCTCTTTCCTCTGGAGTCATTGCTCCCTGAGAAGACCAAGACCTCCAAAACCTGTCATTTTAAAATTGTCTCCACTCTCCAGCTTCTTCATGAGCAAAGGCTAAGTTCCGATCTCAGAAAAGAGGCCTAAGTCCCCTTCTCACCCAGCACTCAGGAGCCACCAGGGAATAAAGGGCAACTCCTCAGACAGACAGCAACCCACAAACCCAAATCTTGTCTGCTGGGAGAACTCACCCTTGTAGAGCACAAGCCATCAGCCCAAGTGTTCTTCTTCCTCTAACTTCTTCCCTAAACTGAGTGGTCCTCTTGACTCCTCTCTTGTTGCAGAGAGGCAGCTGCAAAGTCAGGGCAGGAGAGGGAAGGGGAACCAGGAAGACGGCAGTCAGAGCGCAGTGCCTGCTTTGCTTGGGTCTTAAGGACAGCCCAGCGCTGTGACTTTTCAATAAATAAAAAAACCCCAGTCCGTAGTAAACATGTCCTTTTAGGCCCTAATTTATATACTACAGAAATCATATACTCAGCCCACCATGCTTCATAACACCATTATTTATGGCGGGGGAGGGAATCTTTTTTCCTGAAGAGTGTATTTATGACAGGTAAAGCCAACAGCAGACTTCATAGGGCTGGCAAATTGAGAACAGGTGCTTTGCCTTAACTGTGATTCATTCGCTCAGTGCCCAGCTTTTTCGCTGGTGAGTCCGGGGAGCTCCCTCGACTTTCCCAAGCGTCCAACCTCTGCTTGGAAGAATTTGCATCGGATTTTTGTTTCCCCACTTGGGTCCTATGGAAAAGGCAGACCTTCATGCTGTTTGGTTACGGATCTGCCGGGCTGTCACCCTCGGAGAGCAGGGGTGGGAAAGGAGGGGGCCAGATGGGCGCCGGCATTGATCTTTAAAAAATCATTTTGAAATCGCCATAATGTGAAGAAATATGGCGCTTCACCCTCGTATTTCACGTGTAATGACACGAGATGGCTTCATTTGGAAAGACAAGCGGGTGGGAGTGTGTGCCTGTGTGGGAGGTGATCCGCAGCCTTCTACAAGGCAGAGGGGTAGGTGGCCAAAAAGATACGGACTCAAGTTAGAGTGGCCCCTCTTTTGCTAAAAGGACCGGACTGAGGGCAGCCTGCCTTATTAGGACTCAGAGTCAGAGAGTTGCCGAGAAATCCACCCCAATCTACCCCTGAGCCTAACCAGAGGAGAACTGGGTCTGTCCAGGGGTCACACCTCCCCAAGTGCCAGGAGAGGCGACTGCAACCAGGGCAGAAGCTGAGGAGCAGGGGCTGGGAGAGGAGCGAGGAAGCCAGTCGGTGGGCCCCGGGGGAGTCCCTGTGCAGGGCCACAGAATAGATATATATAAAAAGGGCTATTTGGAAGCTCCAATGAAGGGGTCTGCAGGGGGTAAGGCAGTGAGGGGAAGAGACTGACCATGGGCTCGCTGTCCACACTGGCCCCTATATCGGTGTTTGGAAATCTCCAGAGCAGGAGCCTCAGGTGAGAGGAGTAGTACAGGAGGGCTGAAAACTCAGCCCAGGCTCCTTCCTCTTTGGATGGAAGGGGAGATAACTTGGGACCCCTTCCCTTGCTGACTGGGGATCCTTTCCCAGGCCTCTGCTCTGGTCACACCTCAGGAAAGTGGCCTTAACCCTTTCTCCTATTTAGCTCCCTCATCAGGGCAAATTTAGGGGCCTGGGTGGTTATTCAGTGGAGAAAAGGAGAAATGGCTTCCCTCACCCCCACCCCCCACGTCACCACCACCATCTTAAATCCATCCTTCTGGCCAGAGTCAGAGAAAGGCCCAATAAATGTAAAGGCGCTCTGGTTCCTTGTATTAAACTCTTTCCTAGGCTCACGTTTCCGGGACCTGATGGATCCCTTTAACCTCAAGTAGTTTCTAATTTCAGGACAGATAGTGGATTCTTGGACACTCAGTCGTTTTATTCACCTCTCTCCTCCTCCCTCAGCTACTGAGGGGCCCAGGGAAGCTCGCAGTCATGTAAATCTCTACAAAGAGTGCAAGGAGAGCCCCCTCCAAAGCGGACAACGTCCTAAAATCCCCAACTTTTCCCCTCATCATTTTACTTCATCTCCTGTGGATTGCTGCTGCTGTTGTTGTTTAATAAACATCTTTTGTCAAGGGGAAAGAGAAGAGGAAATGAGGGCCTGCGGGGTGGAGGTGTGTGTGGGGGGACAGGAGCACCTCCTCTTCCAGTATCCTCTCGGGCCTCTATGGCTTCTCCCCGGGCTGGGGCTCTCTCCCTCCCTCCGCCCTTGCTCTCCCTCCCTCCCCGACCCGCCTGGGGAGAGGGCTCTACAGCCTGCGTCCCTCCCAAGGCAGCCCGCCGCTTCCCTCCGCCTCTCCTCCGCCCCCGCCGCCCCATGTTGAGAACTGCCCCCCTTCCTGCAGCGGGAGGGGGGGACCGGGCGGCCGGTAGCTGGGGCTGAGGTTACGTGGCCGCCGGAGCCCTGACGTGATAGCACATTGCATCAGCATAAAACAATCCATCCTCGATATGGAGTGCGGTGCGGACGGATGACAGCGAGAGCGCAGCCCCCTCGCCCGATTGATTTATGTCGGAGCTGACGCTTTATCAGGCAGTCGGAAAAACTTTGACCAATCATTTTGCAAGGAGAGCTGAGACGGGCTGCTCCACTGTACTTTGTTGGCTGAGAAGTTGAGCAGGGGGTGGGGGTGGGAGGGTGGGGGGCTGGGGGGGTCGCGTCCGAAAGCCCTCACACCGGTCCGGGTGCCACCTCTCCCTGCTTGGGCGCCGCCGCGCGAGCGCTTCCCTTCCCCCTGCAAGCGCCCGGATAATGTCTGAGAATGTCCATTTCTGGGACGCTTAGCAGCTATTATGTCGACTCGATCATAAGTCACGAGAGTGAGGACGCGCCTCCAGCCAAGTTTCCTTCTGGCCAGTACGCGAGCTCGCGGCAGCCGGGCCACGCGGAGCACCTGGAGTTCCCCTCGTGCAGCTTCCAGCCCAAAGCGCCGGTGTTCGGCGCCTCCTGGGCGCCGCTGAGCCCGCACGCGTCCGGGAGCCTGCCGTCCGTCTACCACCCTTACATCCAGCCCCAGGGCGTCCCGCCGGCCGAGAGCAGGTACCTCCGCACCTGGCTGGAGCCGGCGCCGCGCGGCGAAGCGGCCCCGGGGCAGGGCCAGGCGGCGGTGAAGGCGGAGCCGCTGCTGGGCGCGCCTGGGGAGCTGCTCAAACAGGGCACGCCCGAGTACAGTTTGGAAACTTCGGCGGGCAGGGAGGCCGTGCTGTCTAATCAAAGACCCGGCTACGGGGACAATAAAATTTGCGAAGGAAGCGAGGACAAAGAGAGGCCGGATCAAAGTAAGTTATAAAAAGTGAGGAAATACCCAGGCCGAAGGCCAGGAGGGGGGCGGGGAGGGGAAAGGCAATAAACTGCGGACAATGTGAAGGGAAACTGCGGCGGTGGCCGGAGAGCGGGCCGGGAGGAGGAGGGGAGAGGAAGGAAAGACGGAGGGAAGGGGAAAGCTGCGTGCTCTAGAAGGGGAGACTGAGGCCGCCAGAGGAGCGCTGCCCCCACTTCTCCAAGTCCTGCGGGGAACAGGGGCTCGGGGATCGACTTGCAGCTCTCTCGGCCCTCTTTCCCCCTCTCTCCCGGAGGCCCCAGCTGAAAGCCCGGCCAGAGACCGGCGACGGCCGGGAGAGGAGCTGGCGGGGGCCGGGGCCAGCGGCCAGCGAGGCCGAGAGCCGGCGAGGGCAAGGGCCGGAGCGCACTGGGCTGCCCGGGGCCGTGCGGCTGGCAGAGCTCCCCGCGCCACGCGCAGACCGTAAAAGCCGGCCAAGGGGAAGGGGGAGGGAGCTCATTAGGATTTTATTTGCGATGCAACAGCTTGGCGGAGGATTGTTCCTAGCAGATCTCGCGCTGTAGCCGCGCAGAGTCCGCAACCGGCGACAGGAGGGGCGGGGGAAGCCCAGGACGCGGTGACTGAGCCCCCTCCCCGGATGCGCCGGCCCCTCCCCGGGAGCCTTCCCTCCGGTGGCCCCTCTCCTCCTCGGCGTCCTCGCAGGGGCTACCGCTTCCTTTTCTGCGGTCCCCCGCTGCTCTCTGCGGGGCTCCCGAGCCCCAGCCCGGGCTGTCCGCCTCTTGGGGAGTCGGGGAATCGCTTCCGAATATCGGGGCATCTCGAAGGGACCCCGGGGAGAGGAGGGGTGGGGGGAAGAGAGAGTTGCAGAGAGGCGGAGAACTTTACCCTTTGTGGGTAGTTTCCCGTCACCTCCCACTCCTCAAAAGCACCCCGGCCAGAACGCCAAGTCTGGCTGATTTTCAGGAGGTGCTACTAGATGAGAAGAGAGGGTTCTCCTATTATTTATTTTTAAGGTTGAGAAGGGCTCATCGGTGAGGGAACTCAGCCTCAAACAATGACTCGCAGGCTGGTGGATCAGGTCCTCGTTTCTTACTCTTTTTGGGAAGTAGGGATGTTTTAGTCTCTCCTTGCCCTGCTAGATTTCCCATTGACGGAGTGGCCCCAGGGCCCTTTAGAGCATCCTTGCCTGCTGGAGAGTAAAGAGCAGCCCCATTCCTTGCAGGGTCCTGTCACCTCCAACCTGCCAGGTGGAATCCTAAGAGCTGGCATTTAGGGAACACATTCTTCCCCAACCCTCCCCGCACACTCCCAAACAGATCCCCCACCCTAAACCCCCAAATTCTGCCTGAAAAGCCCATTATGGCAAGGCAGCCATTTGGCTAGGATCAATTATTAACAGTTTTTTCCCTCTTTCATATTTAATGCGGCTGCGGGTCCCATCCCAGGCAATCACATTAAGGAAATAGCGCTGCAAATTGGTAAGACACGGTACTTAGTGTAGGATGAACCAAATTTTTTATATAAAAAAATCCAGTGTTTTTCACTTGGGGAGAAGGAAGCTAGTAGCTGGTGGCTGTTATTTTTAATTGGCTTAGCTTTATTTGGCAACTTTTTTGAGTTCCAGAGTAGGGGGAGAGAAGGTAAGAAGAGAAGCCTGTATATATTTTTGTTTCCTCTCTTCCACTCGGTTACCCTCTTCTCCCCTCCAGCCCCCACATAGGATCAATTAAGGCTAGGTGTGCTGTGAAGGGCTTCCTTTTACCTCCACATCACCCCTGGCTCCCCACCTTGGGACTGGAGCAATTTTATTCCCTAATTTCCCTGCACTTGCGTTAACCAAACTGTGAGCTGAGCAGGAGCTGAAAAGGAGAGAGACTATTGCAACCATAAGTTATCTGTGAGCCCCCAGTGCTCCCCTGTCCATAAGCTGGAGTTGATAAATGGTTGCAATTGCATTGCGTGTGAATTGGAGTGTGCTGGCTGTTTGTGGCTCTAAGTGCAGACCCATATTCGTGGTGTGTGGTGGTGGCAGGGGGGGAGATTTCTACGCAGACACACATGCCTGCTGCCATGTGGTCTAGAGACACAAGCTTGTTTGTGATCAAGGCAGGGGATATTGGGACTGGACTGAAGGGCTGAGAGGTCTCTTGGGGTGAAGTGACACCCCAAATGCAGTGACTGAACAGACATCTCACTTCCCCACCCAACTCCTCCTCTCACCTCCTAGAGCCAGGACCCTTCAGGTCAGCCACCCACCCCTAGTCAGCCTGGGAGTGCTGCTGGTGGGACTTCAACCATGCTGAACTCTGACCTGAGTCCTAAGCAGTTTGGACCCAAGTAGAGAAAAATTGAGAGGGAACTTGATGTAGGCAGAGCTTTGGAAGTGCTGAGGAAGCCTGGGCCCACGTTTGGCTCCATCCTTTCCACACAGCCTCTCACCTGGAGGTGTCTATAGCAATGGCTGGCCCATCTGTGACACCCTTCCTGGGAGCTTGAAGACCCAGGTGGCCTCTTCTCCAGTGCAAGATGGGGAGTGGAGACCAAGGGAGTGCCCTCTTGATCTGGGGCCCTTCACCCCCTTCCTTTCTTTGATTCTATCGCTGCTTCTCTTTCAGCCAACCCCTCCGCCAACTGGCTGCACGCTCGCTCTTCCCGGAAAAAGCGCTGTCCCTACACCAAATACCAGACGCTGGAGCTAGAGAAGGAGTTTCTGTTCAATATGTACCTCACCAGGGACCGTAGGCACGAAGTGGCCAGACTCCTCAATCTGAGTGAGAGACAAGTCAAAATCTGGTTTCAGAACCGGCGGATGAAAATGAAGAAAATGAATAAGGAGCAGGGCAAAGAGTAAAGATTAAAGATTACCCCCAGTCCTCCCTAGCTCTTCCCCATCTCACTCTTAGTTATGTGACGACTGCAAAGCCAGTGCTGTCTGGGATGTATTCAAGTGAATGGGGAAGGGAGTCTCTCTTCCAAGTCCTTTATCTGCACCTAGAACCTCCCTCCTTTCCTTTGCCCTTACCTGTCTCTCTCTTCTCTCTAGGTGTCAGGAGAAAGTTTTGTTGATTTAGAAGATAGAAATAGTTGGTTCCTAAGAATGTGATGGGCCACAAGGAAAGAGAGACCCCAGTCAAGCTCCTAGTATGCCCTGTAATTTTTCTGGGAAGTCCTAGCCCCTCACTTCCAGCTTGCCTGTTTCTTCTCTACACCCACCCAAAAGTCACCCAGGGACACTCCAACTCTACACAGCTCAGCAGACATCCACACACAGTAATGGGGTGAGCTCACAACCACCATTCAGTCAAGTGAGGTGACACTCCAGTTGCAGACCATCGCACACCAAATTTGGCAAAACAGCCCTCAGACTGTCAGGCAAGCCCGGGTTCTACCCCTAATGCAAATACCCACCAGGGAGATGTCTAGAGGCAGACTCCTGAGTGAGGTGTTGCAGCCCAAAGGCTGCAGCATTGCCATACCATTCCCATGGAGTTGCCAACTATTCTCAGGCCAAGGGCCATGGGGAAGATGGAGCAAACCTAGCCCCCAAGCCGGTGGGCTAGAAAGTACAAGAAAAGGCAGCACGTGGTTTTATGAAGCTATCTTAGGTGGAGCTACTCCCCACCTCCCACCAACATATACATTTTGTTGCAGGAAATGTTTAATTCCGCATGATGTTTCCCTCTCCTTCCAACAAAAGAAGGTCAAACTGTGGGTCGTAGAGCCTTGACAATGTTGTCCTCCTGTTCATCTGTGCACCACTTGACAGACTGTAGCTTCTCTTGCTCTCGACCGGCCCTGCATTCTTCCGCACCCTCCCTAGCTCTGAAATCAACTCTCTTCGGTCGTATCCACCTTGCACCCGCAAGTCAAGCCGCCCCTTGTAGAAAAATCCCTCCACCTTCCGTTCCCCGCTAGGTCAACCCCACTGTAGACAGGAAAGCCAGGCCAGGAGAGTCCGAATGAGAATTTATTGTGAATCGATTCCCAAGCTCCCTTCCGGGACAAGTGGTCTGGGACAGGGAGGAGCAACGGCCCCAGCGCGCAACGCTCTGCGCGTTCCTCCGAATCCCGTCGGCTTCTCGACCCACGCAGAGAAGCCCCGGGCTTGGCGGCTCTAGCCCCAGCGCCAAAGGAGACCCGCCCCAGGGCCGGGCTTGGCCTCCTGCTTCATGGGCCTGGATGCAGATCTGCGTGGCTGGTGCGTGCGCGCGCTTCTGGGAAACAGTCCCGCGTGCAAAGGAAAGGGGCAAAATGGCACCTAAGCATCAGATGGAAGCTTACTCTCTGCTTCCGTTCCTCCCCCTGCTCCCCTACTTCTCAGTCCCCTTCAATTTGTAGACTCTTGCTCCTGCTTCTCCTGATCCTGCAAGGGGACATTCCAGTAGAAGTTTTTTGCTTTGTCGGTGGCTGTCGTGAAATTGTGCTTGTGTTTCGTGATTTCTTTGGGGGTGATTGTCTCGCTTGTTTTCAGTTGTCGATTATATGGGAGGGTTCTGGGTGGGAGTGGGGAGGGCGAGGGGCCTAGAGCTCTAATTGTTTGTTTTGGAAGAAAAAAAGAAAAAGAACAAAAAATATATATCACTCTAGAAAATAAATCTCTCCTGTGTCTTATTCTGTGTTGGCTCTCTGGGCCTGACCATAGGTAGAGATCCCAGTTGTCGGGAGAAAGGCTTGGAAAAAAAAAGATTGCTGAGTCCAGGAGGTTTCTCCTTACACCCTGCAGGGCAAGGTCCCCTGCAGAGCTCTCTAGAGGTGGAGCTGAGAGCCAGTCCCAGACCCCAGGTCCCAAGACTACTGGTTAAACTGATCAAGAGCCTTCCAACAGGAGAACTGGAAAACGAGCGGGGAGGGAAGGAAATGTGGGTTGTTTGGAGAGGGCACAGGGTCTGGGGAGCAATGAGGTCCTGAAACCTCCTCATTGACTAGAGAATAGGAGGGAAGGTAGGTCTTCCTGCACCTCCTGGGGGTAGCTCTCCTCCCTCAGCCACTGAGAATGTCACCTTAGTTTGGCCGCTTTAAAATATGATGCAAGGGAGGAACACAGTAATTTCCCTCTGTTCTTCCCTGCAGTAGGGTGCCTAGGTCTAGACAGAGGCCTCCAGAGGGCTGGAATCTCTTTCCTTCCATTCAAAGGGAGCCAACGCCTTAGGGTTCTCGGCCCCCACCTGGGGTTGGAGGCTCCAGTTTGAGCCACAGGGTAGCAGCCTTGGTCTGAGGTGGGCTGGGTTGGTAGGGGCTGAGCCCTGGGTAAGCACCTCTGCAAAGGGTGGAGAGGTCATTGAGTGTGAAGCAGAAATGTCTCAGTAGAAAAATTCACCTCCCAAAAGGACCCCAGAATTAAACTCAGTTTCAAGAGGCACATTTTTGTCCCTCTCAGACTGAGGGATTTCGCCAGAGCCTCTTATGAAGATCGCAGTTCTCGGCAGCCTGCGCTTCTCATCCAGGCCTTGGGATTCCGCTTCGGCGGGCCGGCGCTCCCGAGCCCGCCTACCTCAGGAGCCTCTCCCCAACCCAAGCCGGCAACACTGCGGCCCGCGGAGACCCTGCGAGTTGGGGTAGAGTTGGGAACGAAGCATGGCCCGAATGAAGGGAGACTGCAAGTGAAAAGGCCAGGCCTACCCTCCTCCAACGAAAGGACGAACTGATCCAAGAGACGGCGGGAGGCAGGAGAAAGCGGAGCTCCGCATCAGGCAGGCCCGGACAGGCACCCTCCAAAGAGGGTTTCATTAGGGATGCAAAATGAATCTGGCTTTACAGCTGGTGTAGACCAGGCTCCTGCCCCATCCTGGGCTACCCAGGCCCAGCCGGTGCTGACAGCAAAGACAGAAGGTCGGTTTCTGCCTAAAGCAAACGCTCAGCGAGGCTGGAACAGAGGGGAGTGCTGCGTGGTAGGGGCGAGGGCGCTTGGAGGGGCCTCTGCCTGCAGCGTCTGGGTCCCCAGCCCAGGGCTGCTTCTTTAAAGACAAACAAAGGCGAAGATGCGGAGGCTCGGAAGCCGGAGATGGGGAAATCAGTTGTCATAAAAGAGAGATTCAGAGAGGGACACCGCCAGAGTGCGAGGCAGAGAGAAGCCGGGAGAGGAATTCAATGCCGTGTGCGCAGCAATAAAATAATATGACCGCTATAAAAGTTTATAGCGTATAAATTTCTGAAGGTTAAGAAACTAAACAGCAGCAAAGCAAACAGCGAGGGGAAACTTTCCGGAGCTGAGAGAGCCGCAGCTGGGCCGGGGCTCCCGGCCTGGCGGGGGAATGGGTGGGCCCCGCTCCGGCAGCCTTCACCCTCACCCGCACAGAACACGGGGCTCCGGGCTTCCGGGGCGGGGGGTGGCAGGGGGCAGAGAGGGAGAAGAGAGAAGCCGGGAAAGAACACTTTGTTGTCGCAAATGCTTCAGAAATTGCAACTGGGGCTCTTGTCTTTGTTCTTCACACCCCCTCCAGAATCAGGCGTCGGAAACGAGGAGCCTCCTGCGCGCGCGCGCACACACACACACACACACACACACACACACACACACACACACACACTCAGGTCCGGCGGGGCCAGACGTCTGGGCGCGGGCAGCCTCTTGATTCTTTTACAGTCTCATCCTATCCTCTCAGGCCTCCTCTCCCCCGACAAAAAGCCCAACTGTTTCTCCTCAGAATTTGAAACAATCGCGTGGAGTTTGAAAACTGCTCGGTCCCCCTTTTTACAGGCCATAAAGGGCGCACTGCTTTGCGGTCTCCGCTAGAAATTAGGGGCAGGGGTGGGAGGTGTACGTAGAAAGAAAAAAGCTTAGGGCTTCTTTTTTTTCCTCCCCTCTGTTGTGTTTTTTTTCTATTTTTTAGCTTATCTACACAATTTCATGAACCGTTTCCTGATTCCGATGCCCACTCCCTATCCCTCCCCTTTTACTGCTAGTTATGAAAGTTTCTCCTGCTGGCCACCTCTGCGGCTGCTCTCCCAGAAAACTGGTGGAGCCGGTGGCTGCGGCGCCTTTTCGCAGAGCAGCCGCTAGATGGCACCCTTGCTCCATGTGAAACTCCCTGGAGCGGCAGCTGCGGATGTCTGCTCCCGGCACCGCGCCTTGGTCGGCCCTGAATCCAGGAACTGAGTGCTACCAAAAGTCATGAATAATTTGTACCTAATAAAAAAAATAGGGCTCGTTATGGCCTTACCCCCATTTTATAGATTTCAGTTATAGTAGTGTTCCCCCATCTCCTCAAATGGTCAATTTTCTGAATTTTCCCCAAGAGGAGGGCTCAGTGATTCTCACCCAGTTGCTGTGTTCGGTGGGGCAACAAATGCGTGAAAACGGGGAATAATAGTAATAATAGGAATAATGGGTCCAAATCCAAAAGGAGAATTGATTCGAAACAACGAGATTTTCCGTGAAAGGAGGCGAAAGGAATGTCCCTGGATGCGGGTCAGCAGGTCAGGTGAGAGGGGCTAGCCGGCAAAAGAAGGTAGGATGGAGAGGAAGCTGCCCATCGGCTGGAGAGAAAATCACGTAAGCCAGCCCGAGACCCCCCAGTTTGTGTGTGTGGGGGAATGGAGCCATAGCTTTTGTGGGGATTCGGAGATGCCCAAAGCCGGCAGGGCGGCTTCGCACGGGCGCAAGCTCTGGAGCCTTTGTATGAGTCCAGGGCTGGGCTGGGCTCGCGCAGGGCGACCTAGGCACGGGGCAGGGGCTCCCCAGGGCAGCAGGGTGCGGGAAGGCTCGGATGTGGTCTCTGGATGCTTTGCGCGCTCCCAAAGAATGCGCGTTTTCCCATGGGCGCGAAGGCGGGCGCGGCGTCAGGACGCAGGAGCTCTGTTCTCCCTGGGTTCCTGGGCTTCCAGGTGAGAGGTGCGGCTTCAGTGCGCCTTGGCCCTGGCCGCAGGCAAACCTGGGGGCGCCGGTCCTTTCCTCATTGAGCAGCTGGAGGTCTGGACTCCGGGCACTTTCGTTCTGAGACCCGCACCCTGGTTGTTCACAGCCCCTTGCATTCCAAATCTCCTGTGTCCTCCCGGCCCCGCCGGATCCCTGCCTTCCATCCGACAAACCTGCGCCAGCAATAGATACTCCCACCCCCTCAAAATCACCCCAGCTGCAGCCTCTCCTCTCCCCCACCAGGACTTAGTGCAAGGAGGTAAGCGGAGTTTCTCCTCAACTTGAGTTTCTCTAATAAATCTGCGCTCCGCTGGGTGTTTATAAATTGTCTCCTCGCTCTTTCGTTTTTTTTTTTTTTTTTTCCTATAACAGAAACATTTTCCTTCCATCAGGAATTTCTGGCACGGTGTAGAGATGATTTAGAACAAGCCATTGAATTTGTACCTCGCCGGTGAGTTTTCAAATAATGACCATAAAATCCTCTGCACTTGATAAAAATGTTTGCTTCGGCAACAATTTAACTCGGCCCTCCGTTGCCTCACGGTCCCCTCAGCCACGCGCTGAAAATTCAAAGCCCTGGTTCTCTCCATTCCTCCTCTTTTCCTTTATCTCTCTCCCGCTTCTAGCCCCTCTCTCATTCTCTAGGTTCACTTTTGAAGAACCAAATGACCTCACTGGTAAGGTTCCCTTTGGAAAAGTGATAGTTTCATTTTTACAAATGTTGGGGTGTATGGGGTCCCCAAAAGGTGCCCGTCAAAAAAACAAACCACTGTTTCCTGAATAAACAATGGATTGAATATATTTGTAAAGCCTCCACTTTTGTTGCTCAAAATTTTCTTTCTGTCTCTCATTCCTCTCCCTTGCCAATCTACTGCTACAGGAGGCTACTGGTTCTGACCCTCAGACTGGGGCCTTCTAAAGCCTGGCCACCACCATCGTGAAGCCGGGTAGGCAGGGAACGCAGTGGCCACAGAGTGTGGCACCCAGTCAGCTTGTTCCAGCTTTCCGTGTTCAGACCTCTGGTTCCCAGGTCTGCAGGGAGAGCCAGGTTTAACTACAGGCTCCCCAAGGCGAAAGGAGAGAAAATGGGAGACTCAGCAACCTTGCTTTATCTGAATTCCACACCCAAGTCAGTTTAGGTGGTGACAGTGGCTCAAAAGGTCTTGGGGACACTGAGGACTAATAGATGCCCTCCCAACACATACTCTGCAGGCACTGCCTAGGGTGGCTGAGAGCATAGGACAGCGGACACGAAGGCCAGGTGCCAGGGCCTGATACCCAACCTTCTTTCCTTTTGATGCAGTGATGGGCTCAGTGGTCCCCTCTCACCCTTAGGCACTGCAGAAGGTGTGGGGGTCGGCCTGGGAAGGTTGGGAGCTATTAATAATTGGGCTTGGCTACTGGGTCCCAAGGCCTGGGTGCAAGTGTCGGGTAGCCCATTGGGGCTTCATCCCTCTGATGGCATCAGGCCCTCTCCCTTCATGCAAAGTCTGCCCTCAAAAGTGCTGATGGGCTGAAGGGCCTTCAGGAGACCCCCTTTTCAGCAAGCAGAGAGTGCACAAACCTGCAGAATCGGCAGTGGCAGCTCGAACTTTGCTCTGTGCTTCAACCACTGCTCATTAACCAGAAAGTTTCTTCTTCCCTCCCGTTCCCTCCTCAAGATCTCCCAGATCCCTGTTTCACAGAAAATTTTTGCTTATTTGTTTAATGAGAGGAAGTTTTGTGACTGGCCAGGGCAGGGCAGAGAGGGCAGGGCAGAGAAGGGACCTTTTGGGGGCTCCAGAGAAGGGGTGGGGGCAGGTGCTTGCCAGGACGGAAGGAGGTGAAAATCTCAGAAAAGTCACCGTTTGTGCCAAAAAAAAATCCCCATAATCATTCTCATTTCGGCTTCGTCACCCCCACCGTGCTGCAATCGGGCGGCGGGGGCGATCGAAGCTGCAGTTTTATAGCTGTAGAGGAAAGAACTCGTAAAATGCTAACAGCTTTTATGCGCTGCGGCATAAACAACAACAGACTCCGGCTTTATTGCGTTTTATAGTTTCTTAAAGAGTTTACAGCCGTTTTTTGGGGGGCCGGTTATCCAGCCAATTCCCTCCACACGATAGTTAAACCTTTATCAATAATAAGGAAATTGATCATTAAAGCTTTAAATATGACTACCTCGTTTGTTTGAAAATACGTTTAGGAGAGGAAGCTGTATGATTTGATAACTTGTATTAAAATACCAATTACATTTATAGGACCTTTTAAAACTCGGCGCAATTAAACCGTGTTCTTTTACATTTTTCCGAAGCGACCCTGACATTTAGAAAGACTCCAATTGCCTCGTTAAAATCGCGAAATTAACAGCGTGCCTACGCCTGGCGCGTTGTGTATGTGTGTGTGCGTGTTTTTTTCCGTGACTCCCCCACATCAGTCTTTGGGGGTGGTCTGCGAAGGTATTTGATTTGTTGTGAGGCGAGAGATATCTCATTAATGTAGGTAGTTAAACAGATTTAATCCGTATTCATTCTCTCTCACCCCCTCTCCCTCTCCCCCTCTCTCTCCCCCTCTCCCCCTCTCTCTCCCTGGGTGTTTTTTTCTTCCCCTCCTTTTTTTTTTTCCGCTCTCTCCTCACTCCCTGGCGCTCTCTCGCTCTAGCTCTCTCTCTCGCTCGCTCTCTCTCGCTCTCACCCTCGCTCTGCGTTCTGTCCGGGAGGAGTACGAAGAAGCCAATAGGATGCGGGGTCTCTAATGGATGCAAATGATCATGAAAAGACAGTGCAAAATATGAAACAACTCATTTGCAGGGAAGTAAATCACCGAAAACTGTTTATGAACTGGCATCCCTTCTTCGAAATGTAAAGCGAGGACCTCTTTAAGTGGTGGTATATTTTTGTTTGGGGGGTGGGGGGTGGGGGGAGGGCGAGCGAGCCGCGGCTGCCATGCAAGCTTAGACTTTTGGAGGCTTCTCTGTCCTTTTCTATTCCTGGAAACCACAAAAAGTGTGTCGGCTTCGAGATCTTCTTCGCCTTTTCTTTCTTTTCTTTTTTTCCCTCCTCTCTTTCCCTCTCCTTTCCTGGCGAGGGTGACTAGGAGCCGGCGAATCCGCGTTTTTTTCTCTCTCTCCCTCCCTTTCCCCCTCCCCACCCCCTCCCCAACAGCCCCCAACTATAGCCTCCGCCGCCGCCGCCGCCTCAAAATTCAATAAAATGAGCTCTTATTTCGTCAACTCACTGTTCTCCAAATACAAAACCGGGGAGTCCCTGCGCCCCAATTATTATGACTGCGGCTTCGCCCAGGACCTGGGCGGCCGACCCACCGTGGTGTACGGTCCCAGCAGCGGCGGCAGCTTCCAGCACCCGTCGCAAATCCAGGAGTTCTACCACGGGCCGTCGTCGCTGTCCACGGCTCCCTACCAGCAGAACCCGTGCGCCGTGGCGTGCCACGGGGACCCCGGCAATTTCTACGGCTACGACCCGCTGCAACGCCAGAGCCTATTCGGTGCGCAGGATCCAGACCTGGTGCAGTACGCAGACTGCAAGCTTGCCGCCGCCAGCGGCCTGGGCGAGGAGGCCGAGGGCTCCGAGCAGAGCCCGTCGCCCACACAGCTCTTCCCCTGGATGCGCCCGCAAGGTGAGCTCGCCTCGGGGCCGACAAGGGCAGGAGGGGGCCGGAAGGGCCCAAGGCCTGGCAGGCCGGGGCGCATTTCCTCCAGCTTCTGGAAGACTTGCCGGCTCCGTTCCGATCGCCTGCCGCTTTTCCCCTTTCTTTCTTATCTTTCTTTCTTCTTTCTTTTTTCTTTCCCTTGAAGGGGGTCGCTTAGAAACATTTCCTGAATCTATAAACCCCTCATCCTGCCTTACTTTTCTTCTTCTTCTCCTCCTTTTTTTCCCCTTTTACTGTTTTATGGGGGGTAGTGAAGAGAGGGTGGTGGGAGTGGGGGCGCTCAACTTTTGCACTTCTCAATTGCTTTATAGTTTAATTACCCTGAAGAAACTTTTCTTCTGGGGCAGAGGCTCTGGGGGCTTTTCAAGGTGGGTCCATTCGTCCCCACCCGGCTTTTTTATTCTTATTTTCCCCCCTCCTTCACATCCTTCCTCCTAAAGTTTATGGCACTTCTAATAGATCTGAACCACCTCCTACACAACTCTGGTGCTGGTTACCGGGGGAGGGGGCTCCCCTTTCTGGCTCCCTTAGATTCACTTGTGTCTAATCCCCCTCGCCCCTCCTCCTCCGCCGACCGCGGCCTTCTTGCGCCCCCCCCGCCCCCGCACGGGGTAGAAGGTCCCCTGCCCTTATTATAATGGTCTCCCAGGCTCGTTCACGAATCTTCCAACCTTCTCCGTCCCTGCCCCCTCCCCCACCCTCCCCTCCCCTCTGTCTCGCCCTTTCCCCCATTCCCAGCAGCCGCCGGACGCAGGCGAGGCCGACAGACCTACAGCCGCTACCAGACCCTGGAGCTGGAGAAGGAGTTCCTATTTAATCCCTATCTGACTCGTAAGCGGCGAATCGAGGTATCGCACGCCCTGGGACTGACAGAGAGACAGGTCAAAATCTGGTTCCAGAACCGGAGGATGAAGTGGAAAAAAGAGAACAACAAAGACAAGTTCCCCAGCAGCAAATGCGAGCAGGAGGAGCTGGAGAAACAGAAGCTGGAGCGGGCCCCAGAGGCGGCGGACGAGGGCGACGCGCAGAAGGGCGACAAGAAGTAGGCTTCAGCTGGGACTGCCAGGGCCGCGGCCGCCCGCACGTCCGCGGGTCCCGGCCGCGCCGCCGCCGCGCGCCCCTGCCCGAGAGAGCTCTGGCCCCGCTAGCGGGGCCAGGAGCCGGGCCTCCCACCGCAGCGTCCCCCGCCGCGCCAGTCCCCGCTAGTGGTAGTATCTCGTAATAGCTTCTGTGTGTGAGCTACCGTGGATCTCCTTCCCTTCTCTTGGGGGCCGGGGGGAAAGAAAAGGATTTAAGCAAAGGCTCCCTCGCCCTGTGAGGGCGAGCGGCAAAGGCCCGGCTGAGCCCCCCATGCCCCTCCCCTCCCCGTGTAAAAAGCCTCCTTGTGCAATTGTCTTTTTTTTCCTTTGAACGTGCTTCTTTGTAATGACCAAGGTACCGATTTCTGCTAAGTTCTCCCAACAACATGAAACTGCCTATTCACGCCGTAATTCTTTCTGTCTCCCTTCTCTCTCTCTCTCTCGCTCGCTCGCTCTCGCTCTCGCTCTCTCTCGCTGCGTCCTCATTTCCCCTCCCAATCCTCTCTCCCCTCTGCAACCCCCCAGCTCGCTGGCTTTCTCTCTGGCTTCTCTCTTTTCCTCCTCCACCCACCCCCTTTGGTTTGACAATTTTGTCTTAAGTGTTTCTCAAAAGAGGTTACTTTAGTTAGCATGCGCGCTGTGGGCAATTGTTACAAGTGTTCTTAGGTTTACTGTGAAGAGAATGTATTCTGTATCCGTGAATTGCTTTATGGGGGGGAGGGAGGGCTAATTATATATTTTGTTGTTCCTCTATACTTTGTTCTGTTGTCTGCGCCTGAAAAGGGCGGAAGAGTTACAATAAAGTTTACAAGCGAGAACCCGAGACTGGCCCGGCCAGCGCTCCTCATTTGCTCCCGGGTGCCTTGCAGAGCCGGTGGGGAGCCTGTCACCGGGCTCCTGCGCCTGCTGAGGCTAGGCTGCAGAGAGGAGGGGGCGGGGGCTGGAGGCAGGTGGTGCGAGTCCCTCGGCCCAGGGGCGCTGGGGGTGAGGGAGGCGGCTGAGCCTGATTGGAGGAGAGAAAAACGAGGGAGGGGAGCCAAGAGAAACCCCCTCCTCTCGCGTTCCGAGGCTGCCCGGCCAGGGAGGCCAGGGCGCCCAGGCCACGCTGGAGACCTGCGGCTGGGCTGGTGGCTGTGTCCCCCGCCACCTCCCTCTTTGTTTTGCTGTGTGTCCTCCCAAGATGTGTGTCGGGAGGTGGGGTGGGGGGCAGGCATAAAGGTGGAGTGCAGGCCTGCTGAGCATACTTTTTTTCCCTCGGACTGTTGTTGTTGGGGGAGCAGGAGGAGAAGGGAGACCGCTCTTCCCTGCCTCTCCCTCTCAGGGACTTGGCCACCTTCGCTCTGTTCTGAGGCCATGGCTCTCTGCCTTCCTTCCTTCGCTGCCTCTGCTTCTCTGGTAGTCACGCTCCACTGAGGCATCCGCCTCCGGGAACCGGGAGAGCAGCGCGCCCGGGCCAACCTCCACCCTTCCTTTCTCTCCCCACCCTCCCAACCCCCTTTTTCTTTTACTTTCAAACCTTTTTTTTTCTTTTTCTTTCTTTCTTTCTTTTTTTTTTTGCCACCAGAAACGGCAGCGTCCAAGGCCCGTGGGCTGGATCCTGTGCCCTAGGAGCACCTAGGAAGACTTGCTCCATCTCCGCCCGCATATCTGGGGCACCAAGAGAGACAGAGTCGTGAGCCAGGCTCGCCTCATTCCTCGTCTTGGGAGAACCGGACCAACTTCCCCAAAAGGCCTTGCCGTGCAGAATTGGCCTGGTTTAATAAAGAACAGACCTGCCCCAAGCACCCACCCACCCAGTTGCGTGCATTCAATCCCTGCGTTTGTCTCTCGCTCGGTAACGGGCTGAAGAGGATGGGTGGAGGGTGACACGGATCGCCCCGAGGTTATTTATTTTCCCTTCCACTCAATCTCTTCCTCCCCAAATCTCGCCTGCAAGCGGCCTCCAGCCCGCGGGAGTCGGCAGCGGCCCTTGAGCCCCCAGCCCCAATCCACAGGGCTCGGCTTTCCCATTCATTATTGATCATATTTTATAAATCCAACGCCACACAATTTTTTCCACATTACCGGGAGCCGTGGGGAGACGGCCCGGCCATTGGCGGAGGGGACGTCACGTGGGCGGGGTCACGTGGTCCGGAGAGGAAAAAGGGGGTCCTTTTTGGTGTAAATCTGGACTCTAATTCTGTAATATATCAAGGAATCTCGTAAAACCGACACTAAAACGTCCCTGCCTACAAATCATCCGGCCAAATTATGAGTTCATTGTATTATGCGAATACTTTATTTTCTAAATATCCAGCCTCAAGTTCGGTTTTCGCTACCGGAGCCTTCCCAGAACAAACTTCTTGTGCGTTTGCTTCCAACCCCCAGCGCCCGGGCTATGGAGCGGGTTCGGGCGCTTCCTTCGCCGCCTCGATGCAGGGCTTGTACCCCGGCGGGGGGGGCATGGCGGGCCAGAGCGCGGCCGGCGTCTACGCGGCCGGCTATGGGCTCGAGCCGAGTTCCTTCAACATGCACTGCGCGCCCTTTGAGCAGAACCTCTCCGGGGTGTGTCCCGGCGACTCCGCCAAGGCGGCGGGCGCCAAGGAGCAGAGGGACTCGGACTTGGCGGCCGAGAGTAACTTCCGGATCTACCCCTGGATGCGAAGCTCAGGTAACGCCGCGCACCGAGCTGTCCTGAGCCCCAGGGGCCGGGGCACATTACCCTGAAGGCGCCTCCTTCCCGGCTGGGCGCCCCTTTCCGCGTCCAGAGTGCTCCCAGCCGGAGGTCGGCCCTGGAAGGCTGCACCCACTGGGCCGCGACCCAGCAGGCCATCCCCGCCCCCATATTTGCTCGGTGCTCTCAGGCTCGCTCTGCTTCCCGGCGGATCTCTCTTCGCCGGCACCACGGCGCTGCGAGCCCCCAGCCCGCCCCCACCCTTCCTCTCGGCCTTTTAGCTTTAAATATTTATCAGCAGCGCCGGCACGGGCTGGAGACGAGGCCGTTTGTCTTGCGGAGGAAGGCCGGTGTTTGCAGAGAATAGCCATTAGGGTCTCCCCCTTCTCCCCCCTTCCCAGCTAAGGATCTCAGCCCTGGGTGTGTCCCCCTGCCCCACTCGGATAAGGTATGGGGGAGGGGGCCATAGCGCTAAGCAATTCTCCCCTCCCCCTTCCTCTCCAGCCAACCCCGCTCCCCCATTATTCCCATCAGGACAATTAGAGGTGGGCTCTAGAGGCCTGGCGGGAGGAGAAAAGGACCCAGCCAGGGACACAGAGCTAGAGAGGCAGGTGGAGGGAGGGGGCTGAGGCCAAAGGAGATGATCCTCCTGATCCCAGTGAACCTGGGTGGGGGAGTGGAACAGGAGAACTAGAAAGGGGCAGAGGCTTCATGGGAGTGCAGCTGGCTTCCTGAGGTGCTCTTCCTAGGGCTCCTAGGAACCCCTAAAGAACTGGCCAAGTTTGGAGGTGTCATTCCAGATAAGTGACCCTTTTCTTGGGGGAGGGGCTAGGACTCTCTGGAGCCAATTCAAAAATTAGAGAGTGCAGTTCACCTAGCCAGCTGCTGCAGAACCCCAAGAGGCTGAGGTTCCATGGGGTCCCTGCCGAGTCTGACCCAGACATCCTTTTCTGCACTGTTCCAAAGCAGACGAACTTAGGGGCTAGCCCCAAAGTCCAGAAGACCCAAGACTCATGGTCAGAGGCACCCAACCCAGCAATGGTCAGGGGCCAGAAGCAGCCCAGCTCTCATACCATCAGTATTAGTGGTTATAGGTCCCATTACCTGCTCCATAGTTTAACTGCCTTTCCAGTTGATTTATCAAAGCCCCATTTTTTCTGCTCATCAGCATTTCAGCTTGGCTTTTATCTGACTTGAAACTAGGGCCCCTAGCCCCTCCTCCCTTGTCTCCTTCCCAGGAGGGCTGACATCAGCACCTCTTTAAAGTCTCCTCAGGTTCTGGTCCTAATGCAGAAGTTCCCCTCTACCCTTCAGTCCCCACCACCCAGATACTCCATGTTCCATCCTATCCCAGGCTGCTGTCTCTCCTTTTCCCCTGTGCATTCCTGGAGGCCCAAGGATTGCTTTAGAGAGCTGGGCTGTCTAGGCAAGCAGGCAAGCAGGACAGCCTGGCCCTGGCTGAAGCTTAGCCACTCACTGGAAAAGAATCATCAGAGGGTCACTGCTGTCAGACCAACTCTTTGCTCCAAGGAAATCTGCAAATTCTTACCTTCTCATTCCACAACATGCTGGGGATGAGTTGGGGGGACTGGGCCTTTGAGGCCCCTTTGTCTCCTTTTCTTCTTGGGAAACGTTCTTAAGCTAGGCCTGGCGCCCCACTCCAGGGTCACTTGCATGGTTTCTCTTGGTCTCTACTGGAAAGACCATCAGATCAGCATTCAGAAAAGGGGGTTTAGGGTCCTTGACCCCAGAGAGTGAAAGGAGGATTAACCTCCCCTCATCCCACTTGCACCCCTTAGGTGCAGAGCCTTTAAGAGCCAGCAGATTACTTTCCTGGGTTCAGAAGCTCCAGGCTAAAAAAGACTTCTTGGATGAAAAATGGGAATGTTTGCTTTGAGAAGCCTGTAGAAAGTTCAGCAATTAGGGGAGTTTGCAGCTGGAGTAAGGGCTGGGGTATGAAAAGCCAGAATTTGGTTTAGTGGGAAAATGGGCTTCTTTGCCCATCGCCCATTGACTTCAAATCACATACACGGTATAAGAGGGAGGTGGCCACTCTCTTGGCGTTTCCTTTTTTTTTTTTTTTTTTTTTTTTGAGACGGAGTCTCACTTTGTCGCCCAGACTGGAGTGCAGTGGCGCAATCTCGGCTCACTGCAAGCTCTGCCTCCCGGGTTCACGCCATTCTTCTGCCTCAGCCTCCTGAGTAGTTGGGACTACAGGCGCCCGCCACCACGCCCAGCTAATTTTTTTGTATTTTTAGTAGAGACGGGGTTTCACTGTGTTAGCCAGGTTGGTCTCGATCTCCTGACCTCGTGATCCGCCCGCCTCGGTCTCCCAAAGTGCTGGGATTACAGGTTTGAGCCCACCGCGCCCGGCCGGCGTTTTCTTTACTCACTGATTTTCCTCTGAATACTGTGTGCAGGAACTGACCGCAAACGAGGCCGCCAGACCTACACCCGCTACCAGACCCTGGAGCTGGAGAAAGAATTTCACTACAATCGCTACCTGACGCGGCGGCGGCGCATCGAGATCGCGCACACGCTCTGCCTCACGGAAAGACAGATCAAGATTTGGTTTCAGAACCGGCGCATGAAGTGGAAAAAGGAGAACAAGACCGCGGGCCCGGGGACCACCGGCCAAGACAGGGCTGAAGCAGAGGAGGAAGAGGAAGAGTGAGGGATGGAGAAAGGGCAGAGGAAGAGACATGAGAAAGGGAGAGGAAGAGAAGCCCAGCTCTGGGAACTGAATCAGGAAACTCAAATCGAATAGGGAAGTAAAAAAACAAAACAAAAAACAAAAAAAACAAAAAAAAAACCCTATTTAAATGAAAGGAGTTTAAAAACATTTTTTAAGGAGGGAGAAAGGAGAAATTTTGGTTTTTCAACACTGAAAAAATACTACCTATAGGAAAGTCTGTCAGGTTTGGTTTTTTTGTACAATATGAAAAGGATATTATCTACCTGTTCTGTAGCTTTCTGGAATTTACCTCCCCTTTTCTATGTTGCTATTGTAAGGTCTTTGTAAAATCTTGCAGTTTTGTAAGCCCTCTTTAATGCTGTCTTTGTGGACTGTGGGTCTGGACTAACCCTGTGGTTGCCTGCCCTCCTGAGCCTCCGCCTTCCCAGCAGCGGCACCAAGGGGCCTTAGGGAGCCCCAAAACCTACCACTCGCGTGTTCCCCAAGCGCCTGGCTGCTGCTTCTTGCTTCCCGTCCCCCAGCCCCATGCTCCCTTTTACATTCTGTGTGTATCTAAAGGATGGAAAAATAAAACGCAATTAAAAATAAACAGATGCCCTATTTTCTGTGTCTTCCTAAAGCTGGGAAGGGGTTCAGGGTTAGAGATGAGTGGGCATCCCAGAGCTCCTTGGCTCTGACTTCTGATGCAGCTTCATTTCTGTGCTGAGTTTGTTCTTTTTCTTGGTGCCTCCTGCTCTGGGGGGCTGCCAAGTAGTGAACCCCGATATTGCACTCATGCATTCCCTTTACACCCTTTTACACCCATTGACATACATGATGCACACAGTCACATGTGTTTACAGGCTGACATCAAACATACACACTGTCACAGTCACAAAGAGACACTCATACCCATATGTTAACAAACATACAGGCATTCACGTAATACCAGCTTCACGCCCAGAACATAGGCATTCATGTTCACACACGCTCACAAGTAAACACACATTCACACTCACAGACACATTGATACCAACGTACATTCACACATTGGCTTATAAACACAGATTCACATTTGCCCCCAAGTAAACGCACTCAGAAGCCCACATGCTTAGTCACACAAGCTCACAAAACAACAAAACAAAAACCTCACAGTTTCACAAACCCGCGTCCTCATTCAGGCCTGGAAACCAAGCTGCGGGATCTGGATCTGGGCTGCAGCCCAGGCACAAAGACGGAGCTGAAATCCAAGCTGCTAGGCCCCACATGAAGGAAGAGCGGAAGGAAAGGGAAAATGAACACCCAAATTCACTCTGGCTTCTTGGGTGGCGTTGCGTAGAGGCCAGGCCTGGGAGTAGAGGCCTCTTAGTCGGCGCAGAGCAGCCTCCAACTAGGGCGCTCACGGCTTCCTGCTCGCACGGCAAACATTTTCGCCAAGAGCTATTCCTATATTTTATTTCGATTTATTTTACTTTCTTTGTCTTAATTTATCTCGTTCTAAATTGATACAGACGACCCAAATAAAACTTTAAAATAGGGGGTGGGGAAGGGAATGAGTCCGGGAGCAAGATCCTAAGAGGTGCGAGTTTACCAGGCCGGTGTGGCCGCATCCCGGCCGCTCTCGGAGCCTGACCACGCCACGCCCGGGGCTTCCTCCGAGCCTCTCTTCCCGCTCTCTGCGCCGCCGCCGGCAGCCTGGAACCTTCTCCGCTGCACAGAGAGAGAGGGGGGAAAATGTTGGGGGAGGTTATTTCGTTTCCAGAATTCGGGCATTGGTAGGTCAACTTGAAATACGGGGTTATTTCAGGGGACCTGAAAAACCTGGGCTGAATTTTTATTTTATTTTTTGCTTCCAAACATCCGCTGATTGCAGGACCAAAACTTGGAGGATGGTGTCTATGCGGCTAGACCCGCTGAATTGATTTTTAGCATTTATTCGATTATAAACTCTGGATTGTTTAAATTTAAACAGACTTTGGATAGAAAGAGGGAAGAGGGTTGGTTTTAGGATAATCTGTTGAATTTGAATTTGTATGTAAAATGCTTTTAAACCTGCAGTTTCCCCCATTAATGACCACGTAACGCCCTGGAGAGCGCATGGAGCTGTCATAGGAAACCTGGACTTGCCTGCATTTGGGCGGGAGAAGCCAGGATCCGGCTTTACCCTCCCCCAGTTTCTGGGTTCCGGAGGCGAGAATCAGGTTGTCAGACTATCTGCCTTGGCCCCCATCCAGGCCACTTTTCCTCCTGGGGCAAAAACTAAGCCCTAGGGAATCTAAGGCCCCCACGCCTGCAATGCTGCAAGCCTCACAGGTGGGGGTCCTGCTGTCTACAGGGCTAGGAATGAGGGGGCCAGTTCAGAGGGGGAGAGGGGACACTGAAGCTTTCATTTTGCCCTTATGCAGGTGGCAACTCTAGACACCGTTTCCTGCTCCTGCCTCACCCCAAAATTGTCTCAGAACAGTCCCTATGCAGAGGATTTGGGGTAGACCTTTACTAGAAGAGGGAGCAGAGCTCCTGTGGAGAGTGGGGAGGTTCGGAAAAGAACCCCCTTCCCAGCTGTACCGTTATGGCTTTTGCACTCTGATTTCCTGCCCCCCCAAATCTCACCCCTTCTCAGATTGGGGTTTCCCCAAAAAGAGAGAAGGAGAAGAAAAGAAGATGGCGACTGAGAAAAGGGTTGCTGGTGGAGCAGCCATGAAGAAATGCAATAAATTCCTTGTTGTTTTATGAAAATTTACAACTTTGTGATAGAAGTTTATGAGTGGTTGAATCCAGCGATTGGCCGGCGCCGGTCATGTGGCCGGGCGATCGTGAACATGAACTTTTTATCATTTCCCTGGTGGTTATAATGCAGCATTCTTTTGGACACCACACCTAGGTCGGAGCACTGTCGTCCTTCAGGGCTCCAGCCTCTTGATATTTTTGTACTTCAGTATCAGCTCGATAGAGCAAAAGAGAGAGAGGACGAGAGAGGGGGGTGAGGAGAAAAGAGAGAGAGCGCGAGAGGGAGAGGGAGAGAAGGAGGGGTGGGAATTACACAAAGAGAGAACCAAAAATAATTTTGATTCCTAAGTTAATTTGCTCACTGATCTGGGATTTTAGTCACCATGGAGGGTAAATGGACAATCTGCCCAGGACTGCAGCCCGATACTATTTTTCAAAGCCAGAACTTACTCCATTTTCTATGCAAATGTCAGAAAAATGAAACACCCTCTCTCCCAAGTCAGAGAAGGGGAAGCAACGGCTCTCACGTTGGGACAATATTATCTGGAAGCTGAAGAAGAAACTGAATACTCCTTCCTTCCTCCCCACCCATTCCTTTAAATCCGGAGGGGGAAAAAATCCCAAGGTCTGCAAAGGTAAGGGAGATTCTACAATTTTCTTCTTGTTCTTTTGCATCGCTTTTGTAGGGTGGGGGTGGGGCTTGGGTTTTTCTCCCTCCTCCCCCGTTCCAAGACGGGGCTGAACCCCACCTCTGGGCGCTGCAGGGAGAAGCTTCCCAGGAAATTCAGTGGTGGAGATATGGGTGGCTGCTTCCTGGAGGGGGAGCCAAGGCAGGGAAAGCGGGAAGAGGAATCAAAAGAGGGCCAGGAGACCAGCTCTAAGTCGCCTTTTTAAGCTTGGAGGAGAGACTCAAGCAAGGGGGGTGCGAAAGAGAGGATGGGGGGTATCTGGGCTTCAGTGGCACCCAAAGAAGCCAGTGGTTCTGGCCTCCGCGGGCTTGCCCCTCCCCCTCCTGCCATCCCTCCCTTGTCTCGGCCTCTGGCTATTGCCCCAGCGCAGTTCTCTTGCCTGGTGCGGATATCGCTGGGTTCCCGGCAGCACTGGCATGTGAGGCGGTGGCGCTAAGGGACGTCCTGGTTTCTATAGGGCCTGGAATCTCCGCCGAGGCCGGCGAGGGAGAGGAAACGGCTAGAGAAACACAGAAAAGACAATTTACAGAGAAATGTTTACTATCTCCCTTCGGAGACATTTTTGAAATTAAAGGGCTGTGGGTGGAAACACCAAAAATGAGGGAGACTCCCCCCTCACCAGGAAGCCTGCCCGAGAATGCCCAAGTATCTCGCCACTCCCGCAGGAGGGAGCCTCGCTCTACAGGGAGACAGTTTTGTGGTTTTAATGCGGTAGGTTACAGCTGTTGGTTTCTGCGTGATACTGATTCTATTACTTGCGTTGTATTGGTATGGGATGTGTGGATTTCGGTGGAGGAAAAAATTGCCATGTGTGTGTCTGATATGATAACATTTCAAACTTTCCTGGGTCCAGACATGGTGATTGTGAAGAAGCTGTTAAGTGCCTTTTTGTTTTAGGCTTGTAAATAAAAATAAAAGAGAAAGAAATGAAAGAAGAAAATAAAAAGAAAATCCAATTATGGGACCTAGCGGCGTCTAAACTGAAAAGCTAACTGGCACTGAGCTCAGACAGTCCCGTCCCTCGGGTGTCCAATTTTATCCCTCAGTCAGGCCTTCTAGGGGGTGGGGAGGGCGGAGAACATTGGGCAGGTGACAGAGATTCCTAAAGTAGCTCGTGGGGTGGAAGTAGGTGCCAGCCTTGAGGCAAGGACTTAAAAATGGGGTAAGGGAGCTTCTGGGGAAGCTTCCAGCCAAGAGATAAGTGATGTTGGCTGTGGAGGGCAGGAGAAATTGTGATTTTTAGTCTGGTTTGCACGAACATGTGATTGCTTTTCTCTTTCTTAAGACCAGATGCAGGACATTCAGCCTCGGGCCTCTGGTTGCCCCGGAGTTACAGGGTCTGGGGCGTTTTGGAAGTGGGGATATATTTATTATCTCAGTCCTAAGCTAGGAGAGGGACGACGCTGCCACTTGTGGCGCGGAAGAGGCGGCTCTGTGGCCCCAGGTAGATGCCCTAGGTTCAGGCCCGGCCTGGGCGCCTGGAGGGACCGCTGGGCTTCGTAGCTAGAGTTCTCCGCCAGCACCCACGGCACTCGGGGACTATTCTCAAGGGAAAAATTTCCCAAACCCACCCATACTAAAGGTCTTTTTCTCCTGTAGTCTTGGAGGGTTATAAATCCTCCCTTAGACAGTTCGCTGTGACCCAAATTATGCGGTCTGCTGCCATCTACCGTCCGTTCGGAGACACGCGGCTTCGGCGCCGCAAGCCCCGCGACACTGTCCAGAGGTGCCCGACGCCTGGAGCCCCGGCCTCGCAGGGTCCACGGGATTCGGGGGATTTCGGGCCCACACCGACGCTCTCAGCTAGATCTTGGTTCCCCGGTGTGAGTTAGAGAACAGAAGTCTCTCCTCCACCCATCATCCCCAATTTCCCACTGCCCCCGTCCCCGCCCATCCTAGCCCCAAACCTGGCGGCTGGCAAGGGAAGCGGCTTCCTCTAGGGCATATATAAAAAGGTCTAATTCTGCTTCCAGCGGGCAGGGGCCCTGAATCAAAGGGTGGAGGGATCAGAGCCGACACCCCCACCGCCATCCCCACCCCCACCCCACCAAGGCGCGGGAGAGGATGAGGCCGCTTGAGACATCCGAAGCCAAGGCTGTTCAAGGTTTATTTGGTTTTCTTCTCAGCCAAGGGAGGGGACCCGCAGGGCAGGCGCCGGCCCCGTCAGTTCCACTCGGTTGTCAAAAGACAAACCGGGTCTGTGTTCTCCTGGTTGGTTAGTGGGTTTTGCCAGCTCCTTGGTTGGTGGGTCCGTGGTGAAGGAATTGAACCGAATTTTCTGGAAACTGTTGATGTCTGCAAGTGAGTGCCGATCCCCTCCTCCATTCTCGATCTTTTCAAGCGAAGTCTACCTAAATATGATTTGGGAAAAATTTGGTAGTGGGACTGGGGCCAAATCCTTAAGGAACCACACCGTCGTAATTTCCGTTCCTGTTGGACCCTCCACACCGGCTTAACTCGACCTCCTTCCCAAGAGGGGGTGGCCAGGGCTAGGCTATGCGCCTCTGCTGCAGCGTTTGAATATTGGCCCCTGTCTCACGGGTTACTGATTAGCTTGGGCTTTCAAGCCGTAGGAGGAAGCTCTGGCAGTTCCTTTAAAGGTGCTGTGGTCCCCGTTCCTGGGTGGGGGTGGGGTTCCAGGAAATTGCCTGCGGTGCCAGGCAAACCAAGGTGTTGCCAGAGTCTGGCCGAGGGCTAGAGGAGCTGACGAGGTTAAGGGGCCTGGTGGTGCTGGGGACAAACACTGTGGCTGCAGCCCTCACCCTCTTTCGGCGCCTCTGGAGCAGCTCTTTATAGCTTTCCTGCGGCGAGGTGACTTTCTGGTGGCTATAAGGCCCGACTCAAGGAGCTGCTCTATAGGAGGCCCTGAGGGAGCCAGCCCTAGAAGGTCCTTGGCCCCTCTGAGATTTTGCTTTTGGGCAATCCAAAGGACATGTAGAGAAGTCAAGCTGGTACATGGTATTGAAACACTTCAGGGCCCTCAGGTTGTCCCCTGGACCTGCGGGTAGGAAACCGGGAGAGTGGGTTCAGCACTACTGCTCACTCCCCTAAAGATCAAAGAGGATGCCGCTCCTTTGCATAATGAAAATGAAGTCTTTGTACTTTGATTTGGAGGGGCCGATTTTAGGGCAAAGTGTCTCATCTAAACAGCCTCCCTCAACCTATGGGAGTGATCACTCAGTACCCCTGGGAACATTTATTTATGTTCCCCAAACCCAGAGAAACAGAGTCCAGGACGAGAATTGAGTTGAAATATTTTCATCCCACCCCACCCCAGCCAAAGTTGGGGGTGGTGGGAGAAGGTGCTCATCACCTCAAAGAGCTGAGGGAGAGGGCTTTATAGCTTAGAGGAAATTGGAAGCCTGGACAATGTCTCAGCACCCTCCCACACACACCACACCACACCACACACACACACACACACACACACACACGCAAATATCCCTCCTGAGGTTACCTATCAAGAATTTTACTCCCGAACTGAACACAACTTAGGAAACATTTTCCTGGGAGCTGGAATGTGTTAGCTTGCCCACAGGACTGCAGACTCACAGCATAGAAAATTACAATTATAAATCCTGCCTGTGGGGTATCTGTACAATCCCTCTGTTATGTACTCAAGAATTGGTACACACTTCTATCCATCTCTCTGAACACACACTTCCTCATTGAGGCAGGGAGAGACACCCCAGACTGGCGGATGGCTGAGCCCGCTGTGTATTTACATATTCCCCCAAGGAGACAGACAGAGGGCGGTGGACCGAACCACAGACAGATTCGTAGGGATCTGGCTCCAGAAAGGAGTCGGTCTCTGGCCTGCCCTGCCCGCCTGCTCTTTTTCCCAAACAAACGGATCAGACGAATAAACGCTCATAAATACCTCTGGGCTTAGATAAGAGCGATGAGGCGCTATTTTCTTTCATGCCCGACTCCAGGCGCCCAGGCCCGCCTGTAGTGGCTCCATCTCCAGACAAGCAACCTGCAGAGGTGAGGTTAATTTGGGGGCTGTGACTCTAAAGATAAGGCAATTATTTCCCTGCTTCTGACACAGGGAAATGCTCCCTTCCTCACCAGATCTTATTTTGTTCAGACTTCACTGAGAAAACCACACTATTTAGTGCTAGGATGGAGACATTGTGGGCAGGGAGGAGGCAGGGAAGGCTGAGGCCCAGGGCTCAGCCTCAGCAGTAGGCAGGGAGGTGCATGCAGGTACTCTCTCCCACTTTTCTCCCCCTGTTCAAATGGCCCCTAGTCCTCTCTAGAAGCAAGCCCAGCCATACCTAGATATGGAATATTTATCCTTCTTCATTATCAGGGGGTTTAAATTTGTTTTCTTAAATGCTTATCAAACACTCCCACAGAGTCAGGTTAGGAAGTAATTGGAGGCCATCTAGGGATGGCTATTTTGCCATTAAGGTACAGCCAAGAAGTTGCCCTGAGTTTAGAGAGCCTTGGAGACCACGTTGCAACCAAATAAGTTCCCACCCTTGGTGATCCAAGCTCAGTCCCCTGCCACCTTCCCTAGTGTCTTGTACCATCTTCAGTGGGCAGAACTTGGCCAGAAAAAGGAGCCCAAAGGAAGGACAAGGCAGAGGAGGGTCAGCCTGGCCTGACATCTGACTTTGTTCCATGCCCTGGCCCCTTCTTGTCCCCAGGTGTGAAGGTTGTCACCCTTCACTACTTGGCCTGTGTATGTATATTAGAATGTTGGGAATGCACTGTGGCCCTGTCTCCCAGCCTGGGCTCAATGCTTATTTTCCTTGGATGAAAGAGCCAGAGACATACATTCTCTGACACACCTAAATTTGTAAGGCGGCAAAGCTGATGATACAAACACGGGGTGTGGGAGGGAATTGTAGCGATGCTGAGATACAGACAGAAGGGAGAGGGGATGCTGGCTGATGGCTGGAAGCAGCCTGCTGAGTCCCCAAGAGAACGCAAACGACCTTCTCTCCCTATCAAACTAAAGCAAAAACCAAGTCTTGGGAAAGAATTAATTTTAAAAAGAACTGGCAGCTCCTACAGAGACTTAGAAGAGGAGTGAGGATGCATTTCTTCCCAGTGGTCTCTGACTGCCTCAACTATCAGGAGGGTTCAAAGCCCACAACTGGAAGAAGAATGATTTCTTCCTTGTGCCCAGATTTACTGGGACATCCCTGATTCCTGAAAATCCTATAGCCCAGGCTATTCTTAAGTCTTTTGGGATTGTAGAGGGTACTGGAGTGAGGGTTGCAGGCAGGATAGGGATCAGACAAATAAAGCCACCTAGGCTGAGGGATACCCCTCACTCCTTCACTCCATATCACCAAGTGAGGAGAGGGCTAGTCCCTTTCCCCAGTGCCCCTTCCCCTGCCAAGGGTGAGCAGCTGCATACTAGAACCAGGCAGAATGTTTTGGGCAGCCACCCTCGTCGCCGCCTTCCAAGAAGCTCCTAGTCTAGCCACAGAGTCAGAAGGGGAAGCTTGGGCTCAGTCCCTCCTGCCAGCTCCTCCTCTTCTGGGTCTTCTAGGCAGTGGGATCTGGCCTGCCCCCTCAGACCAGAAGGGTTGTGGAGAAGCAGGAACAATAAGCCGAGGCTTGGAGGAGACAGAGCAGATCTGATAAACAGGAAAAACGATGTTCAAAACCTGGGGAGGAGGGTGTTTCTTCTTTGCTTATCTTAGCGGAGAACTCTTCTCACCTTCTACCGACACAAAACCCTAGAAACAAACCTTCTTTAGTTCTCTCTCAAGGCGATTCGGAGACATTTACCCAACCCTCCCCGGAGAGAAGGGGTCGAAGCAACGCAGGGGTTAACTTTTCTGAAAACACAATTAACTTTTTCCAATCCTGCGTGGGGTGGGGGAGAGACATATTTATTTAATCACCCGGGAGTGGGGTGGTCTCAATCTAAACGTTCCCTCCTCCCTCAAAGGCACTGAGCCTGTTTCACAGATCCTACGTAGGTGGAACAGGACGCGTTGTGTTGTTGGGGGGAGAGAGGAGAAAGGCGAAGGAGAAGGAGGAAAAAAAAAAAGGTTGATAGGTTTGTGCGCGGGTCCCTCGTGCGGGCTGCGCTCCTCCTGGGTGCTATTTGACAATTCCTGCCTCTGCCATTGGTCAGTGTTGGATCAGATGGTTGTATTTCCTTCTGGCCCTCACTGGCACCTCGCCATCCCCCCTCAGCTAAAACCCAATCTCGGATATACTACTAATAGGCGCGGCGCTCGGACTATAAAACACAACAAATCATAAACCCGGCGGAGCAGCAGCGGCCGCGCGCGCCTCCCCTCCCAATGAGTTCCTATTTCGTGAACTCCACCTTCCCCGTCACTCTGGCCAGCGGGCAGGAGTCCTTCCTGGGCCAGCTACCGCTCTATTCGTCGGGCTATGCGGACCCGCTGAGACATTACCCCGCGCCCTACGGGCCAGGGCCGGGCCAGGACAAGGGCTTTGCCACTTCCTCCTATTACCCGCCGGCGGGCGGTGGCTACGGCCGAGCGGCGCCCTGCGACTACGGGCCGGCGCCGGCCTTCTACCGCGAGAAAGAGTCGGCCTGCGCACTCTCCGGCGCCGACGAGCAGCCCCCGTTCCACCCCGAGCCGCGGAAGTCGGACTGCGCGCAGGACAAGAGCGTGTTCGGCGAGACAGAAGAGCAGAAGTGCTCCACTCCGGTCTACCCGTGGATGCAGCGGATGAATTCGTGCAACAGTGAGTGAGACTTCCCGTCGCCGTCGCCCCGGCTCCCCTGGGCGCCCACCCCGGGACACAGAACTAGTGAGCGCCCCCTGCCCCAATCTCCCACAGGGTGCTGGGTGGGCATCTCAGTTAGGAGATAGAAGAAGATTGGGCGCCGGCCGGGGGTCTCTCGCTGTGTCCCCTATTAGGCAGGAGTTACAAAGTTTGCAAAGTCCCAGCCGCACTGGGAGCCATGGGGAGCAAGTGTGCTCTCCTGGGGCGCCTGGCCAGAGCCGGGGTTCCAGGACAGGGAAGGGAGCAGGAGCCTGCAGTCACTGGCTTGGCTTTACTTTGAGCCCCCAACCCCCCTCTCCCAGCCCTGGTAGGGTTCCCCAACCAAAGACGGCTCCATTAAAAACGGAGTGCGTCATGCAAGGGGGTAGGGGGTGACGCTGAAGAGAAAGAGTTGAGTCTGTCTGGGACTGTGTTTCCCTGTGGGTGGGGAGCTGGGGCAAGATGAGGCACCAGGAAAGGGGTGGTAGTCAGAGGAGGGAGGAGGAATAAGGGGAAGGAAGAGAGAGGGAGCAGGCGGAGCGAGAGAGGGAGAAACAGGCGCGGGGTCTCAGGTTGGATTATTTGTTGGCCTTAAGTCCCAACTGATGTCCATTAGCCGGACTCGAAAGTGAGGAGCCGTTAATGTGGACTATGGATCGATCTACGTCATTACGGATTAACGGCCTGGATTTATCATTGGGTTGGGGGGATGACGGGGGGTGGGAACAAGATGGATGGAAAGGGAGGGAAAGACAAGATGCAACTAGGAAGAGACACACCTGACCAGCCCCTCCCCCCAGGCTCAGGTGGGAGTTCAAACTGCTCCTCCCCTCCCCCATCTAGAGTCTAGACAGACGGCACAGGCCTAGGAGACTAGGAGGGAATCTGGAGGGGGCGCTGGAGGAGTGCGAAACGGGGGAAGGGAGCCGGCAGAATAGAGGGCATCCCGGTACTGGCTGGAGTCTGTGTTCGAGGGTCGACTAGGGGAGGGGGTCCTGGGCCCGGTGACCGCAGGCCTCAGCATCTCCACTCTGCGTAACAGGTTCCTCCTTTGGGCCCAGCGGCCGGCGAGGCCGCCAGACATACACACGTTACCAGACGCTGGAGCTGGAGAAGGAGTTTCACTACAATCGCTACCTGACGCGGCGGCGGCGCATCGAGATCGCGCACGCCCTGTGCCTGACGGAGAGGCAGATCAAGATATGGTTCCAGAACCGACGCATGAAGTGGAAAAAGGAGAGCAAACTGCTCAGCGCGTCTCAGCTCAGTGCCGAGGAGGAGGAAGAAAAACAGGCCGAGTGAAGGTGCTGGAAAGGGAGGGAGGACGCGAGGGGAAAGGCCTGTGGGGAGCCGAGGGCGTCAGAGAGACCCGGGAAGGAAGGCTCTCGGGTGGGGGAGCCAGGAGACCTGCTCTCCGGCGCAGACAGGCGGGGCCCAGCGCTCTCCTGGACGCCCCCGCCCGCACAGCTCCCGGCGGGTGCTCTGAGGCCTCACTACTCGAGCCCACCCAGCATCCCGCGCGCCCTTCCTTCCCGAGGAACTCGCCTCAGCCTGATCAGGCTTCCTGGTGAGAACTGAGGAGCGGACTCACTTGATGTTTCCTGGAAGCAGAGCAAAATGCTCTTGTCCCTGTCGCGTCTCATTTTGTCCATGTCCCCCGTGCACGGTTCAATGGTAGATTCGCTGTCCCCTCAGCGGGGGCCTTGAAGACTCCCTGATCCCAGACCTGTCGTCTCTCCCACCCCCTCCCCAAAGCCACTGGAAGGAGCACATACTACCTAGAAGTAAGAAGAGGAGCCTCAGAAGAAAACAAAGTTCTATTTTATTAATTTTCTATGTGTTGTGTTTGTAGTCTTGTCTTAGCTCTGGACGTGAAATACTTCGATGATGATGATGATGATGATGATGATAATAATAATAATAATAACAACAACAACAACAATAATAAAGATGTGAAAACTCGACGCTCGGTCACCTCCAATCCTCCCCTGCCATTTTTTCCTCTCTCCTCAACCCCCAGCCTCTCCATCTTTCCTGAGCCAGAATTCTTCAGCAAAGGCGAGAGCCCTGGCCCGCCGAAGCGAGCCCTGTTCGACTGGGAAGTTACAGCTGAGATAAAGGCTGGAGCGATCAGTCCTGCCCAGGCCCCAGCGCTGCGTTTCCCTGGTGCTGAGGCTCACAGCCGCTTCTCCCCGTGCAGACTTGGGGGATGGAGAGGTGCTGTGTCCCTCTCATTCTCTAGCCTTTCCTCGTGTATACACAGCACTAAGGGAGCCACTGAGGCCCCTAAAGCTCTCTGGCGGAGACGGAGCCATAGTCTGGGGGCCTCTGCAGCGCTTTTCTGTCCTCACCTTCGCAGCGACCCCTGGTCTTTGGCCCGTCCACATGGCCAGGTTTTTTCGCCAGCCTTGGCCCTCCGCTCCTGGCCTGTGGCTCTGGAGACTGAAAAATGGGGCCACTGGGTATCTCTCACCCTGCAGCTGAAGGCTCCAGGTGCCCCTTCCCACCTCAAGTAGCAGATCAGCCTCAAGTAGGAGATCAGCCTCAAGTAGGGGAATGTAAAGCCACCAGCCAGGCACAGGCCGAAGGCCACAACTTTCCCTTGCTCCTTGGAGACCCCAGGGCAGGAGGCCAGGTGATGGGGCTTTTAGTGTCATCCTCTCAACCCAGAATGGCTCATTCTCTCTCTGCTTGCACCGGCACCCAGAAGGCAAGCTGCGGTCACTGTTTTCCTTTATTCCTCCGCCCTCTCGCTTCCTTTCTTATTTTTAAAGAAAATAGTCCCCTCCTAATAGGAGACCAGCTGCGGCGGTCTCTGGCCGCCCAGCGTGCTCAGCAAAGCATGCGGGTCCTTGGAACCCCTTTTCCGGGAAGGCGGCTGCCACCAGGCAAATTCTCAAACTGCCTAGCTGCGAGTGAGGGACCTGTAGTGGGGCCTCCGAATGCAATAGCCGAGGAGGAGGGGAAGGGATCCCGCTTTACAAACTCTCAGACACATGTTACTACTCAAACTAAGCAGCAGACGCGGTGGCCGCTGCAGTCTTTTCGGCAACTAGGCCGCTTAGCCCCAGCTGTGCTCGGTTTCTGGGGTCCCTGTCCTGCTCTGTCACTCCCCACGCCTGGGCTAAGGACCACCAAGGAGGTCCGGAAGGGGATTTCGAACTTCCAAGTGGCCCAGGAGAAGTGAACGCTTCTCCTTCTTTTTCAAGCCTCCCGCCCAGCCCTGCCGGCTCGGCCTGGGCGCTGTGGACCGGTAACAGCAGTTCCACCAGGATGCAGGCCGGACTAAGCTCCTGGGGAAAACCCGTTGCAATAATTGTTTTTCACACACAACTTCCAACCCTTCCCCCATTTCCGCCTCCAATTCGGAGACTTGCAAAGCCCAAGAAAGGGAAAAGCAACTCTATCTTTGATCTTCTCATCCAAAGTTAAAATAATAACGACAATGATGATGTAGGGAGAAAGAACCAAATAGAGAGGCTAACCCCACCCACAAGAAAGTGGGTAAAAAGCCCAACCCCTGCTCTAAAAGGCTCAACCCTGTGGCTGAGCCTTGGCCGGGTTTCTTTCTCTCCCGGCGACTGCAGGGAGCCTGCAGGGAGCCAGCAGGGAGGCAGCCGCCCGCCGCCATGGCGGTCTCACGCCCGCGCTCCCGTCGGTCGCCGGGAGGTGGCGCGCTCTGCTCAGAGGCCAAAGCCAACCTTCTCTCTGTTTCTCCCCCTTCTCCTTTTTTCCCCCTCTCTCGGAGGCTCGCATTGAATCGGCCCTAACGATTCTCGGATCGTCATTATTTGTAACCATAGAGCATGAATTACCTCTTGAGGTCATCAGCGAGAATTTACGACTGGTCAACAAAAGCACGTGATTCCCTAACGCCCCCCACCCCCCTTCCAACCCCCCCCCCATATTTGGCCGCATACATAGCAAAACGAAGTACAGTGCATCGCTATAATTCATTAATACATCATAAATCGTGAAGCACAGGGTTATAACGACCACGATCCACAAATCAAGCCCTCCAAAATCACCCAAATGAGCTCGTACTTTGTAAACTCCTTCTCGGGGCGTTATCCAAATGGCCCGGACTATCAGTTGCTAAATTATGGCAGTGGCAGCTCTCTGAGCGGCTCTTACAGGGATCCCGCTGCCATGCACACCGGCTCTTACGGCTACAATTACAATGGGATGGACCTCAGCGTCAACCGCTCCTCGGCCTCCTCCAGCCACTTTGGGGCGGTGGGCGAGAGCTCGCGCGCCTTCCCCGCGCCCGCCCAGGAGCCCCGCTTCAGGCAAGCGGCTTCGAGCTGCTCCCTGTCCTCGCCCGAGTCCCTGCCCTGCACCAACGGCGACAGCCACGGCGCCAAGCCCTCTGCTTCGTCCCCCTCCGACCAGGCGACCTCAGCCAGCTCCAGCGCCAATTTCACCGAAATAGACGAGGCCAGCGCGTCCTCGGAGCCTGAGGAAGCGGCAAGCCAGCTAAGCAGCCCCAGCCTAGCTCGGGCGCAGCCAGAGCCCATGGCCACCTCCACAGCCGCGCCCGAGGGGCAGACTCCGCAAATATTCCCCTGGATGAGGAAGCTTCACATCAGCCATGGTAATTCTCTCTCTCTTTTTTGTCTTCTCGGCTTTCCTTCTCTGCGTTTTGGGGTGGGATCGGGGGGACAAGGAGAGCTTGGCTTTACCCTAAATATAGATTCATTTTTCTAAGGGGGAGAAGTATCTAAGAGGGGCCTCATAGCTTCGTAGACAGAGCCAAAAAGGGTCTCTCTGTTAAGAGGGGGGTATTTTTAATAATTTGTTTCCAGCTTCGGCTTAGGTTTTTATTAGCGCAGCTGAACCAGCTTTAGGATAAAGGATGGGGTTCATATAATGTGGGGAAGGGTCCTGCTTACCCCTGAAATTTTGAGACTGTCGCTAGCAAAGAAGGGGTGAACAGTAAAAGGAGCTTTCCGGGGCAAAAGTGCAACCGCTCTCCTCCCTCCCGGGGCGAGCGGCCGCCTGAGCCCAGCCAAGGGTGAGGCACTAGGAGCGAGCAAGAGACAAAGCCGGGCGCACTGGCTGCCTGCAGAAGTGGGGGATGCAGTAGAAAGGGGTGCAGAAATCGAGCTTGAATGTGGGCATCTGGAGTAGAGAGGATTGGAGCTGTGGTGAGCTGGGTGCCGGGACGCCTGGGTCCTGCTCCCCCGCCCCCTCCCACCCAGTGCCCCCTCCCTTAACCGGAATAATGTTGCCTTGCGGCTTTCCTCTATCTGCTCCAGATATGACCGGGCCGGACGGGAAAAGGGCCCGGACCGCGTATACCCGCTACCAGACCCTGGAGCTGGAAAAGGAGTTCCACTTCAACCGCTACCTGACCCGGCGACGGCGCATCGAGATCGCCCACGCACTCTGCCTGTCCGAGCGCCAGATCAAGATCTGGTTCCAGAACCGGCGCATGAAGTGGAAGAAGGACAACAAATTGAAAAGTATGAGCCTGGCTACAGCTGGCAGCGCCTTCCAGCCCTGAGCCCGCCCAGAGGAGCCCAGCGGCCCAAGAGCCCGTGCCACCCCCAGCCCTGGCCCCTCCAATCCTCCCCGCTCTGCCGCCGCCCGCTGGGGACCGGTTCCCACAAGCCTGCCTCGCCTTGTGTTACGATATTTCGTTTGGTCTTAGGTCTTCCTGTGGCTCCCTCTCTCCTGGACTGGTTATCTTGTTATTATTGTTAATAATAATTATTATTATTATTTTCCTTCCATGCTCCCAACTCCCTTCTGCTTGTCCCAAATCCGCCAGTGTTTCTGAATGTTTGTGTCTGTGGTTGCAGTCTTTCCCCCAGGAAAAAAAAAAAAAGAAATTCGCATGTTTAATGTGAACTCTCCCCTCCCCATCTGTGTTCTAACTTATTTATAAAAAGATGATCGCTGTATTTTGAGTTTCAGCTGGAAACTTCTGTAAGGGGCAGCAGTTGAGGTGGGGTAGTGCCGCAGTGGGGTCAAGCTGAGCTGGCTTCGGAGATGGAGTCCCTTTTCATTCTCCTCCTCCTCCCTCCTCACTCCCTAGGCCCAAGTCTCCTAGGGGCTTGGTCCTAGGGTGGGAAGGGGCTAGGGAGGACCAAAGGGATGGTATTGAGAAGAGAGAAAGAAGATAGTGAGATTTAAGTTCCTGCTGCCTGGGTAGGCCCCACAAGGCCTGGTCTGGGAGTATACGGAAACAAAAATGATCCTCAGTGCAAAATGTCTTGTGTATTTCTCTGTGAATCCATGGGTCTGGCTAGAGGGCCCAAAGCTTGTAAATATGGGGATAGTCTGGGTCAGACCCATCTCTCCCTTACCCATCTTGCTTCCAAGACCATTTGTAGTGAGCGAGTGGATGCTGTGCTACGTGTGAAATCTGTCTTTGCGGGGCCTGTCTCAGTGATTCGCTTTTGGTATTTGTTTGTAGCTTTCCTGGAAGTCAAATAAATGTTTCCCCCACTCCATTGCCCTTCCACTTGTCTTTTCTCCGAGGGGTCTGCCTCTCCCATCCCGGGCACACCCTGCACCATTCTCAATAGATCTGGGGTGCAGGGAAGAAAAAGTAGGCTGCTCCCCAACAACTCTTCTCAGCCATGTAAGTCACTGGCTTGGTCAACAGTGCTTGGGCCAGGGAACAGACCTTCATGCCTGGGGGACTCCAAGGCCCAGAAACCCCATGTGGGGCTGGGGCAGAGGAAAGGCTGAGCTAGACTTCATCCTGGTCTTCCACTAGCTGGCCAAGGAAGCCTCTGGAAAACTCTTCTGGGAAAGTAATTTGGGCCTAAGTCCTCAGCAGGAGGCTCCTGGCCTTTTGGGAGTGGTAGAGGCCTGCCCAGCCCCCTGTCTCCTACTCCAAGTCCCAATTCAGCTCTGCCACCAACTAAAGCAAAAAAAAAAAAAAAAAAAATTCAGCTGGATTTCAAAGGATTTCTCTCACCCTCAGCCTTCCCTACCCTTATCAAGGGCTCCTTCTCTCCAAGGGCCCAACTGATCTTCCCTCTTGATTAGGAGTTAGGGTCCTTTCAGAAAGACCCCTGGTTCCCTTTCAGCCTGGCCCAGGGCTAGGGCCCAGTCTACCTCCATCCAAGTCAGCCTCCACCCTGAGCACAAGAGTCAAGTCTGGACACTTACCCGGTCAATCCCTTCCAGCTTGGCCCAACTTCTTACTGGACTTGGAGGGAGGGGGAGCTGGTGAGGAGGAAGCCGAGGGTCGTGGAGGCTCTACTTGGCCCTCCTTTCCCTTCACCCCTTGACTTTGTCTCCCTTTGTCGATAGCAAACTATCCCAAAAGTCGCTATGACATTTAGATGTCAAATGGATAGGGGTTTTATCTCGAAGTTAGATCGTAAAAATCGCCGAGAAGTCAGACAGATACCCCTCACTGGCTCGAGAAAGTCACGTGAGGTCCATAAAGTTAGTTTTATGGTTTTGGGGAGTTGACACCGCGCAGTATATTTCACATTCTCCAGAATGTTAAGTGACACTTTAACTGCTCGCTGTGGTGGGGAAGGGGGCAGAGGTAGGTGAGCACTCTCCCAGCCTGGAGCAGCCGGACCAGCCCAGAAGGCAGCGGCGGCCCAGGCCAGCATTCCCGCAGTAAGTCGCTTTCAGCTTTCGCTTTTACCCCTTGCAATTCTGGGGCCTGGGACTGGGGGAAGAAAACTTGTTTCCACCTGGGGCTGTGGGGTGATGTAGGGGAAATTTAGCCTGTTTTATGCACCCAGTTCTAAGGGACTGGGTGCCTGAAATGAGTGCTCTCAGTTTCTTAAGGCCTCATCGGTCGGGGGTGCCTGATTTTTACCAACAGGAGTGTCTGACTTTGTGGGGAAAAGGGTTTGTGTGGGGGATCCATGCTCCCTCAGTGCCAGCGGAAATTTAGGGACCAGGAAGGAGGGGTGTATATTGCTGAAAGAAGGGGCCATTGGTGGGGGCCACTTCACTGCTGGATATCTTCAGACAACTATCCCCCCATCCTCCGGAAAGAAACTTTATGACATTCATTTGTCGGAGGTGTGTGGGGGTGCACCGCTGGGCACTTTTATCTGGATACATCTGAGCTGAGAAAAAGCACCGGGTAGGCGGCTGCTGTGGGCTACCTTGCCCTGGGGTGATCTCTGGCTTTCCGATCTTTGAAGCCCATAAAAAGAGGTCCCTCCGGTTATCTTTGGCTTCATCAGGCTTCTCTGGGATGGGGAGCACAGCGCTGCTTTTGCCTCCACCTTCAGCCTGTTGGTCTCAAGCTAATCTTTCTCCTTGGCTCGAAGTAGGATCCTGAAGTCAGACTAGGGAGCAGACAGAGAGGGCAATTCCCCCAATTCAAAACCTAATTCCTGAACCAGGAGTGGGGGAAGGGAAGAGCTTCTTCTCTTGCCTAGAGGTGTTAGGTGTTTAAGTAGAACTCTGGCAAGCCCTCCTCAAATAAAATCAGCTCAAGAATACAAATCCCTCAACTGTCGGGAGGAAATAGATTCAGGAGCTGGAAGAGAAAATAGGAAAGGTGCTCTTTTTTCCTCTCTTTTTCCCTCTTCTTTTCTGGGCACACCCTCAAAGTCCCCTTTGTTTTGTAGAACCATAAACCAGAGAGACTTCAGGATTTGATCCCCAGGGGTTCTGTTATTTTCTAGGGAAAAGTCACCCTTCTAAAAGTCAGAGGCTTCTTCCCCACCAAATTGACCCCCCTCCAATTTAACACCCGTGGGGCTAACTACCCTGTCACTCCTACTTTCACCAGCCTGCCATCCCTTGATTCAGCTCACCAACTGCCATAGGTAGTTTCTGGGATTGGATATGTGGCACCTCGAGGGGCTTCTGATCTTTGGGACAAGGATGGGGTCATAAGACTCCCTTTTTCTCATTAAGGGACATTGGAGTTCTCCCCCTGTCCTCTTTCTCCTGAAGCCACTTTCTATTCCCTGAGCTCTCTATCCACTGCCCAAGCCTGACTTACAGGAAATCCTTAACAGGCTTTAAGAGCAGAGTCACCCTGGTTTGAAGACATATCATCCCAAGAATGATGAGGGCATTTGTATCCCTTAGAAAGGAGACACAGGTCATCTCCCAAAGGATCCCCAGCACCACTGAAAATATAAAGAAGTGCTGGAGGCACAGCTTCCACAGTCTTCCACTCTACAAGGCAACGGAGTTGACAGACATGCAGACAAAGAGCTCTGCAAGGGAGAGTCTGACCTGGGTCTCCAGGGGAACCCCATTCCTATTGTGCCCCTGGCCTCACTCTAATATACTTCCCTTTCTGAAAGCCCTTCTGGAAGCTAGAACCCCAGATAGTAAGGCCTGCTCCTGAAAAATTGTTTCTTTGCCCCCTCTCATGTCAGTTCTGTAGGCTCTAACATCTACTAGGCATATCTGGTCGGATTTTCCAGGATGGCAAAGAGCAAATTGGGGTGCCCACTTCCACCTCAGTGAACAAACTCTTGAAGGGTCTCCTCCAGCTCTAAGCAGGTCCTGGAGAAGATGCCCTAGGCTGGGCTTTCCTCTTCTCCACTTCAGGCTCCCTGAGCTGAACCCCAGTCCTGTCTGAACCCCAGTCAGGACAAGCTGCGGGAGGCAATGAGAGGTGTGAAGGGATTTCTGATGCCAAGAACTCTCTCCTCTGCCCCAGACCTCTGTCCTCTCCTCCTGCCCTCCCAGGCTGTCTCCCTCTAAGAGAGCTGCTCTACTCTCTCCAGGGCTTTGCTCTCCCTCCTCTCCCACCTGCTTTCTCTCCCTGCCAGTCCAGGCTTCAACCTCTTGAGCTATAAGCCAAGCCGGTACCCTCTGGCCAAATCTTCAACCTGGGGCAGGCCCCAGGAGGTGACAGCTGGAGATTAAGGCTGCAGTTTCTCTTTTCCCTCTGAGGCCAGCCTGGCCACCACTCGGTGGACAATTCAATTTTGATTTTTTTTGTTTTGTTTTATTTGGTTATTTGTTTTGTTTTGTTTCTCTGAGGCCAATGGGTGGGAGGAAGTATAAAGAAGTGTAAACAGGAAAGCCAGCTGGGCCTGGAGTTCCAAGTGCCCATATTTCATCAGCTTCCTCTCCATAACTGTGGCAGGGACACTTAACCCTTCCCTGGCTGTGAGAAGTTATTCTCTGAGGGCTGGTGAGCAGAATGGGAAGATCTAAGAGGCAGCTCCTTTCCTTGCCTGGTTCCTTTATCCCTGGGAATTGCAGGCCAAGGATTCTGAGCAATGGAGAAGACAGAAGCTCAGCACAACCCCCCCAAACTCAGTCCCTTCCCAGGGCTAGTCTCCCCAGCATGGACTTCTCAGCTTGGGGGACCAACCTGGTCAATCTCGGAAGACAGGGCTAGCAAGAATGAGCTCCCCTCTTTTAAGGGAGGGGATACTGGTAACCCTCCCCATTTTTGGAGTTTTTCAGAGTAATCGGATTTTGAGGCTGAGATCTGCCCACAGTGAGACTTATTGATTGCTGCAGCGCTGTTACACATCCATATTAATTAACACCGCCTGGAAACGGAGCTGTTTGGGGAGGGGAAGGGAAAAACGGGGGCCCCTTAAGCAGAATGGATATTTCTCCCTAAGGGACTCTGAGGTTGAGATTGGAGGGCCCTCTGCACATGAATCCTGTGGCCCTCCCCAGGCTTGAAGCCCCTGGAGTTCTCAGCAAGGGCAAAAATGACTTAGTCTCTACAGTCAACTCCACACACAAGTCTCATGGTGGTAATGGTTGGCGGGGTGGGGGATTAAATACCCCTCAGGTCGTTCCTGCAGGCCCCACCCCACTCTTCCTTGTCTCTGGTGGGTTTCCCCAGCCCTCTAATGCTCTGTCTCCAGCAGAGGTTAGTGAGCATCCTTTCTAGAGGGGTTAACCTCCCCCCTCACCTTCCTTTCGACTTCTCAAAGGTAGAGGCTTATGACGGTTTTCGAATTTGGTTTGTTTTATTTTGCTTTAGCGTCCCGTTGTTGTTGGTAGTGATGGTCTTATGGCCTTCTCCTTTCTCCTATCCCTCCCTCCAAAAAGTGATTAAAATCTGTTAAAGGATTTAATTAAGAGAGTTAAATGAAAAGGAAGGAGGCGCAAATGAGTTGGGGGAAAAAACCCACACCAAAGCTATTCTCAACGATTAAATCGCCATTTTAACAATATAATGGAGTTTGCATCCTGAAAGGGGAAATCAACGCTCATATCTCATCAATAATTCATAGAGTCCGGGATCATGCAGAGGTCAGCAGACGGGGGCAGCAGCGCCGGCCTACGTGGGGCTCCGAGCCGCTGCAGCATACATTACGCGCCGCCGGCCACACCGCCGCAGCCACCTCCGCCTCTGTAGACCGGGGGTGGGGGCACGCCGGCAGGTTTAGGCGGATCTTTCGTTCTTTCTTTTGGCGAATTTACTGATTGCAGGCTCCAAGAGGAAGAGGGGAAATTTGGGAGCCTGGAGAGTATTGGACTTCGGGCAATTCGGGAACCTGTCGGATCCCAAAAAGCACCTTGTCCCCAAGTTTTAACGTTTCTCTTCCCTCTCTTCTTATTCCTTTTCTCAGTGATTTAGGCGTCTCCTCTCTTGTCTCTTCTCCCCCTAAAGTTCCTCTTGGAGAGAAAAATGCACTCTCTGCAGTATCCTCTAGCTTCTCCTCCCCGGAAACAGTTCCCAGTCTGCGAGGCCGCCCTCTGGACTGCCTCTCCCCTAGTGGATCCGGGCTGAGCCTTGCGGCTTCGGAGCACAGCGGCTGGTTTTGGTCGCAACGATCCCTGGATCCCTGACCTCGGAGCCCGGTGGGGTAGGGCTGAATGCATCTAGGGAGGAAAGGTACCTCGCAGGCCCCAGACCATTTTGCCTTACCAAAAGATGACCCAGGCCAGTTGGAAAGGTGGGGAGTCAGGACGGAAAGGCACACCTAGGGGAGAAGTGGAGGGAAAGTGCCAGCCTGTGTGGGGCGTCGCCTCTTGAGGGATTTGGAGGCATGATAGAGGATACCCTATTTCGGGGCTCCTGCAGGCTTGTCCTTAGGTGCATGCATCTCTCTAATTCGTTTTCTTTTCTGTTTTCTGAATCCCAAGGGATCCCAAGGAGGGAGAAAGGAAATCCTTCCCAGGGAGAGGTGGGGGTCTGGGAGGCGATATTTGGGCGGAAGGGAAACCGAAAGCGCACGGGTTGTCCGCACCGCCGCTGCTCTGGACCAGAGGCAGAGGCTGTAACATCCCGGAGCTGCCAGTAGAGTCCGCCTTAGACCAAGTTCACAGCCAGGCTGGGGCCTCTGAGGCGTCAGCGAGCGGCCGCGCAAGGTGGCCCCGGGCCCCCCCGCATCGTTGGGACACTGAACTCTCCCTCTAGCCCTGTGAGCACAGCGGCCCCTTCTGCTCCCGAGGAGCCCCTGCTCCAAGCTCTCTCCACCCTTCACCCCAGAAATGCCCTTCTCCAGGTCAGCCCATTCTACTGCTCGCCATAGGTCTCCTCATCCGGCAACCTCGGCCCCACTCGGGTGTCAAAAATGAAGAAGGGTGGGTGGTCAAAAGCCCTTCCAGGCATCCCAATAGAAGAGACCGCTGAAAATGCGGGAGGTGGGTTCCGCGTCTTTTTCCAAGGAGTTATTTAATAGTCAAAAGACTCCTCTTGCCCAGGTCTAAGGCTCTGGGGTAGTAGGGACATTGGCGAAGGGGGGAGGGGTAAGGAAAGCGTTTTGCCCTGGGGTTTCTGCGGCCGGCGCGTAGCAGAATGAGACCCTGGGTGGTGAGGCCAGTGTTATTGCCGGAGGGGTCGCAAAGTTGGAGGGTCAAAAGTTTACACCATGCGTGAGTGGGAGCGGCGGAGGCGACTAGCGGCGGGGGCGGGGTGGGGCGGTGGGGGAGGGGGCTGTATGTGTGTGAAGACGGACGAGGGAGCCTGGGATGCTGGAGGTAAGGAAGACTTGTGGGTTGCAGAAGTGGGGGAGCAGAAATGGGCAGCGAAGAGGCAGATATCTGGGGAAGGGAAACTGAGGAAGGAAAAATCCCTTCTCCAAAAAGGGCGAGACTGGTGGTGGTGGTGGTGAGTTGTAGAAAAGACAGCGCTTAAGGGTGTGGTGAACCCTCTGAGCAATTTTCTCTTCCAAAGATAATCTTTGAGTCACCATATTAAATTTAATTAAAACCTTCCTAGCCACACACATTTTAGAAATTCAATTAAATTACCCCCACGTCTTTGTAGGACTTCTGGCAGGGCCAAAGAATACTTCCAATGTGAAGGTTTGATTTTCACCAACATCAACTCACTCTGCTTGCCCTAAAGGGGTCAAACTACTGGCTCTTTCAATCCTCCACCCCTGGGAGAGGCAGGCCTGTTTTCAAGAACCCTTAACCCCCAGGCTGTGTCAGGAAGGTGGGGTCCATGAGCATGGGCCAACACTGGAGCCTTTCCAAACTCTCATTCCTCTCTCCAAATTGCTCCAGTTTAAGAACTTGCCTACTGAAAGATTAGCTTGTTAATTCTCTCACTCTCTCCCAAGCCTCCATTTGTGTGTTCATCTTGACTCCTTCTCTTCCTATTTGGATGAGGGAGGAGAAATGCAAAGGAAAAATACCAAATGGCCTCACGGAGATCTTTTTTACGGGAGTTGAAACAGACAACCTGAAATGAACTTTGAATCCATACATTAAACTTAGCTCATGAGCAAATGCCTAGAGAGACTCAGTAATTATAACACTGGGGCATATGTCTATTTTGGGTCTTTAAATGACTGTTGTATTATGAGATGTCATTATCTGCTCTTCCAAGCATTTACTATAGGAGGTACACTGTGGGCGTTTTTCCTTCCAGGATGGAGATAACCTGAGAGTTTCTGTAAAGATGCCTTTTGAAACATGGCCAGAAGAGACAAAGGTTTAATATCAAATTTCAAATAGATTTAACCCAGGGTTTTGACTAAACCAATTGGGTGAAGGTCCCTATTTCTGCTTAGTCCTTAGGTGAGTTTCTCTGCAGTGTCAGGCCAGGAAGGAATTCCTGGAGTCCTGAAGAGACAGATGTCAAAGCCTGAACTGAAGAATCCATCTCCTTCTGTTCCAGCACAGAACGTTAGCAAATTTAGGTATAGACTGGAGCAGCCCAAGGTCCTGGGCTAGAAGGACCAGGATGGGGAAGAAGTGGCCTCTGCCATTCTGGACCAAGCTGGGTGCCTTGGGGAGTTCTTTCTTGACCTCTCCGTACTAGGAGGATACCACCCTACCAACTAGGCTGGAGCCCTGTTTCAGTCTGTAGACTTGAATTGGGAGGAAAGGGAGTCACCTGACCCACCTCTGCAGGACCCTAGGAAGCTGGAGAAAGGGAGAAGTGTGTTGTAGGCAATCCACCAGATTCTAATCCTGGAGAGACAAACCCAAGAAAATCTCACTATTTTAAATGCCTTCTTGATCTGCTCCTGAACCTCCTTGTGTGGGTGATGGGGGTAGGCAAAAGTGTTACTGTATTGATGAGAACGATTCTTCGGGGGGAGGGGGAAGCTATTGTTTTGTATTTAAAGGACAGTTAAAGCTCTGAAAGTTATGTCGCCGGCTTTGACCAGCCCAGCCCAGCACCTCTCTCAGGGTTCTATCTTCCCCAAACCTGCTGGGTTGTGTGGACCAAAATCTTGGCCCCAAGAGGTGGAGTGGTCATTTCTAGGCCCTGGAGCTTCCAAAGCTTTTGTAGAAATGAGGATATCTCTGACACTTGGGGGAGCAAATAAAGCAGATGGAGTGTGCAATGGGGTGGGGATCCGGGCCCTGGCCATACAGGCATTTAGGGGTAAGGTTCAGGGAAGGGGCCTCTTGCTCAGGCCTGCTCTCTGGGGCCCAGGTGCCCAAAGCCATGCTTTCAGTTTTCCCCGTGCCAGCCTCATTCTCAGGCCTCAAAAGGATCCCACATGAAACCCCACACTCTCTCTGGAACCCGAGCTGACAAAATATGGGAATGATGGAAAATCAAAACAGGGGCGTGGCCGACTGACTCCTATCCGAATGGGACTTTTTTCGGGTGGGGGTTGGATGAAGAGAAGAGAAGGCTCTGGCGAAAAGTCGAGCTGGAGAGGATGAGCTGAATCAAATTTCTGCTCTGTCATTTTTTTCCCAAGTAATGACCTACGCAAAATTCAATATGACCCAGCGAACTGCGCGAGCATATTATAGTAACTGCCTGCTCGTGGGGGAGGCTGGGAGAGAGGTGAACCGCAGGTCACGGCGTCTAAAAATTATTAAAATGTTTGAGAGCCTCGTGACGCGCCTAGCTGTTTAACAAAGACTGCCAAAGTATGAGATTAACACGAAAACTTGCGCTTCCAAAACAAAAACACACCAAAAAAAAAAGTCACGTTCCGGCTTCTGAGGGAGCCCGTGGCTGTGTCCGCCGCCGCGGTCCGGTTTTCCGGACACACAATAGTGGACAGGAGAGAGCTCAGCTGTTGCCCGGCGCGTCCGCGGGCGGCTCGGCGGCCGGCGGGGCTGGGGAGCCTCCCGGTGAGTACCCTCGCCCGCGCCCCCTCTGGGCCTTTCTCTCCTCCGCGCCGCCGCCGCCGGTGCGCAGGCCGGCTGGGGACTCGCCTCCGCTCGGGCCTTCGGTTTCGCTCCCTCGCTGAGTCCCTTCTCCCCGCCAACAAAAGGTGATGATTCCTAGCGGACTGGGCACGCCTGGACGGCGGAGGGTGGCTGGGAGGGGCGAGGTCACGCTAGCAACCTGTGGCTGCCAGGAGAAGGCGGCTGGGAAGCCACGGAAAGACCCGGGAGCGCAGGGGAGGTGGCTCAGCTCGCGCGCAGCCCCTGCTCTTATTTTACTATTATGCGTGTTGCTGTTCGTATCCTTCTGGGCGGTGAAGGGGAGAGGCAGCCTCCCGCTCCGGTGAAACCCGTCCTGGGAGTCGCCCATAAACCCTGTTCTCCATCTCAGGCGGCTGGAGGGGTGAGGGGGGTGCGGCGCCTTGGTGGGATTGGCAGGTGGTGACTTCCAGGGCGCAGAGGAGAAAAATCTCTGCTCTTGGGCGCCAGGATCAAGGATACCCAAACCCGCGGTGGCTCTGCCGCCTGTTCCTCTCTCTTGGGGTGCTGGGGCACCTGGGCCGCATCCCTTGTGAAGTGTAGAGCAGCAGAGAGGCCCGGCCGCCGGCCCAGCGGCCCTCCCAAACTTCCGAAATGCCGACGGGTTGGACGGGTTTCCGAGAGCTGGCGAGTTGAGAAGGACAGGAGGTATGGGGTGGGGGAGGGGCCTGGACCGTTGGAGTGGGTCCTGGAGACCCTAAGTGGCCTATGACAAGATTTGGAAAGGTCCCTGGTTGACGCTAGGGAGCTGGTGGGGATCCTAGCAGCGCATTTTGTCTGTGGGCCCTGGGCCAGACTCTAGTCTCCCTGAGTGCCCAGATGGGGGTCTGAGATTACCTATTGGACCCTCTCTTGGCAAAGACAACCATAGTGTGATAGTTTGCTTTTTTCTCCCAAATATGTGTGAGTTCAGCCTGTCTGGGAGAATGTTGATGTTAGAAATCAGGCCCAGAGGCCAACATTGGCAATTCCTAGATTTAAGATTAAAAGAAAATCAGAGGGTCTCTGGACCTAGTTGTGGGCAGGTGGGAACTCTCCTCCTACCCACCTGCAAGGTCCCAGGACTGGGCATAGGCAGAGATCTCTGGAGTGTTGCAGTTAGAGGGTTGTTTTTGTGTTGTTCCTGTATTTGTTAATGAAATTGATATTATTTTGACTTCCTCACTAAAGATGCAAGTATTTCTCAGACCTAGGGAGTTGAGTAGGGAGTCTGGGTGGGGTGGAGGCTTTTTCTATGCACATTTTCCCTTACTCTGTCACAGCTTTCACAGTCTCAGTTCCCTCCAGCCCAATCCCCAGACTCTCAGCTTAGTAAATTCACGGCTTCTGGGAGCTTCAGAAAGTTGGTTCGTAAACCCCAGATGCCCATTTTGGCCCTACCACCAGCAACCCAAGCAGGTGGCTAGGCGAGTTCATATGTGTTTAGAAGGAAAGGACCCGTCTGGGGCTAGGAAGGTGGGGAAATGGGGTTCCTCCCCACACCTCCCCGGGATAGACCCTCTCTCCTGGCTCCCAGGATGTGTGAGAGGCTGGGAGGGGCCCTATATCATCTGGCTGCATCTTTTATGGTTCCTCATTGCCCTTCATTCGGAAATGAAACGCCTTTGATCTTTTCTCAGGTTGTAAACGGAATTGCCCGTCATTAAATATCCGGGGCCCCATCTGCTTGGTCTCCCAGCATTTTTCTTTACAGCTGTTTCTCTCTCTTTTTACCACTGAATTTTTCCAAAAGGACTTTTATTACACCACCTTCACACCCAGCCGCCTCTTCCTCCTCCCTTCGCTGAGAGGCGCTTTGGAAAATATCTAGATATTCGTTTGATCACAAACTAAAGGCTTGGAGGGGCACGGAGGAGCCGATTGGGGTTTTGTTTTTTCTAAAAAAAAAAAAAAAAAAAAAGTCCTGGGGGGAGGGGAGGGGCGCGAAGGCACCCAGAAAGGCCTGAATCTGACTTCGTGGCAGCCTCAGAATGACCCTTCCTCCTTTTGTGCTTAGCTAATGTTTACATCTCATAATTCATGCGCCACCGAGAGTTGCGCGGCGGCGGCGGAGGCAAGGTTCTCGTCCCTTTGCGAACTGGCTACTTGAAATTCTAATAGAAGAGGAGAATTGAAAACCTTGTAATCCCAAGAACAGACTCGCACTGCCTTTTTCTGTTCCCAGAGCTCAAAACTAGAACAAAACGAAATAAAACCAAAGCACTCAAACCACACCCCAAACGAAGAAGGCGCGGAAAGTAGGAGAACTGGAAAATTTCTGGGCCAAGAAGATCTGTCTGTCTTCTGTATATACCCTGTAGATCCGAATTTGTGTAAGGAATTTTGTGGTCACAAATTCGTATCTAGGGGAATATGTAGTTGACATAAACACTCCGCTCTTATTTTTCCAGAAGAAAAAAATATATATATATGTATATGTAGTATTTTTCTGAATGAGGACAGTCTGGTGACTGGCCACACGAAGACTCCTTCCTCTTTATTCCTCTATCTTTTCCTCCTTCAACTGGTTAGAGATGGAGAAATCATCTACCTGAACTCTCCCCACGCCTGCCCCTGGGAGCCTTGGTCCCTTTTCACATCTCTTTAAGAGGTTAATGTTATTGTTGTTGAAGTTTTAAATTTATCTTCTCGTCCCAAACGCACCCATTTTCTATTCTGGGCTCAGGGAGGCTTTATTGGAAATTGCGAAAAAAAATGACTTGTCTTCAGTGTGCGAAGAAGGCAAAGGAAATTTGTTTAACAAACGGATGCTGAGGCCGCCTTTCCGTTTCAGTTCAGAACAAGATGACCTGGAAATACTCGATTACCAAGGAGTGTTATTGTCTGTGTGGGTCACCTCTATGGCTGTATCCCCAGTATCAAAGGGATGTGAGATTTCTATTCGCCGCGGAGGCGGCGACAATTAGAACGTCTCGGACCCATGGTTAGTATTGCTCGGGTGGTTATGGAATTAGCAAATTGCTAATCAATTTTGCTCTCAAAAGTTGCAGGTTTTTTTACCCCAGCGCTCTGTCTATAGTGTGGGAAACCAAGTCGTTTCTCCAGGCTTGGGCCGTGTGGGTTAAAGGGAGGAGTGGATAGGAGAAGGGGGACAGACGGACTGACGGACACAGTCTAGCTAACCGTGCAGCTAAATGAGATTTGGAAGGCGAAGTCTCCCCGAATTAGTGCATGAATTTCCTATCGATCCGCCCGCGGTTCCATTCATCTCTGACAAGTCCCTCTGCGCACCCGCCCTCTAGCTCTGGACGCCTCCTCTCTCACCCCTACCCTTCCCCATCCAGCTGCAGAGAAAAGCCCCAAGCTCTGTGCTCTGGCCCCCGTATGGGTTCCCCTTTCGAGACGGAGCCCCCAACCCGCCAGTAACCTAACTCCCCATAGAGACGCAGGGTGCTAGCGCTCCCTCCCGCCGAGGGGAGGAGACTGGGGCCTTTGGAAGGTACAGAATGCTGGGCAGAGGTGAGGCAGAACAGGAGGGCTACACCGGGAGCCCCAACTTCTTAAGGGATCTAGGGTTTGCGCTCTGCCTAGCGCCCCAACAGGCCCTCCAGTCGCAACCTGCGCGCGCTCTCTCTCTCGCTCTCTCTCTGATCCCGGAGAGAGCGAGGCAAGGAGGGGGTCGCCCCGCAGGAGCCCTATGTAAATCCTGGTGTTGGGTGGGTGGGTGGGGAGGGGGAAGGGAAGAAGGGGAAATAAACCTCTTTGGCTGGAGTGGGGTCCGGGTGAGCAGATTTCCTTATCCGGGAATCGCAGGCGGGGCGGCCATTGGCTCGGAGGATCACGTGGGCGCCTAACTTTGTTCACTTGACAGTAAGTAGGAGGGCTTTCGGAAACAGGAAAACGAGTCAGGGGTCGGAATAAATTTTAGTATATTTTGTGGGCAATTCCCAGAAATTAATGGCTATGAGTTCTTTTTTGATCAACTCAAACTATGTCGACCCCAAGTTCCCTCCATGCGAGGAATATTCACAGAGCGATTACCTACCCAGCGACCACTCGCCCGGGTACTACGCCGGCGGCCAGAGGCGAGAGAGCAGCTTCCAGCCGGAGGCGGGCTTCGGGCGGCGCGCGGCGTGCACCGTGCAGCGCTACGCGGCCTGCCGGGACCCTGGGCCCCCGCCGCCTCCGCCACCACCCCCGCCGCCCCCGCCACCGCCCGGTCTGTCCCCTCGGGCTCCTGCGCCGCCACCCGCCGGGGCCCTCCTCCCGGAGCCCGGCCAGCGCTGCGAGGCGGTCAGCAGCAGCCCCCCGCCGCCTCCCTGCGCCCAGAACCCCCTGCACCCCAGCCCGTCCCACTCCGCGTGCAAAGAGCCCGTCGTCTACCCCTGGATGCGCAAAGTTCACGTGAGCACGGGTGAGTGCGTGGGCACCCCTTCCCCCTCCCACCCCTGGAGCTTTACACCAAAGGGACTTCGGAGGCATGGGTTGGGGGGGGGTTGAGCTGGGGAAGCCAATTGTCCCCGCTATAAACTCGCCATTGCCGGAGATTTACGGTCGCCTGTTTTCAGAGCCACATAATTACATCCCCCATAAATTTTTATGGCCTGGTGGGCCCTGCGCCTTTGAAGTAGGTTCCCCATCCTCTTCACCATTCTCACCAGCGACTTTTTCGCCAGGGAGATACAGTCTTAATGAAGTTGGAAGTTGGGGAGGGGTGGAGGAGGTGGAGGAGGAGAAGGAGGAGGAGGTAATCCGTATTTAAGCAGAGAGTTGAGTCAACTCCCAGTATTTATTTTTTCCTTTCTTCCAGTCTGACTCCTTGGCTGGAGAAGTGAGCAAAAGTTTTCAGTAGGGGTAGGCACTGCTTGGAATCTGAGCAGCAAGGGTGGGAACTAAACAGAGGAAAGGTTTAGGGAAACCTCCCCTCCCTCTTCCACCCCCTCATTCTCCCATTCTGGGGGCCCCAAGCTGAGGGGGAGAGAGGAGCAATTAAAACCTTGGGGGAGTCCTCACACGCCCCCCTTCCCCACCACACACCCAAACAAGGACACAGCACAGCCCTCCAAAACTTGGAGGTCTCTTTCTCATTCTTGGGTCTTGCATTCTTCCCTTTTCGTTTTTCCCCGCTCTCCCTCAGAAGGAAGAAGAGGTGGCGGGAGAGGGAGGGAGGGAAACGCTGTGTTCCCTGGAAGAAAGGACTCTCTCTTTCGGGGGCAATAAAACTTTCTCTTTCTCCCTCTCTCCGTGTGTGTCCAGTAAACCCCAATTACGCCGGCGGGGAGCCCAAGCGCTCTCGGACCGCCTACACGCGCCAGCAGGTCTTGGAGCTGGAGAAGGAATTTCACTACAACCGCTACCTGACACGGCGCCGGAGGGTGGAGATCGCCCACGCGCTCTGCCTCTCCGAGCGCCAGATCAAGATCTGGTTCCAGAACCGGCGCATGAAGTGGAAAAAAGACCACAAGTTGCCCAACACCAAGATCCGCTCGGGTGGTGCGGCAGGCTCAGCCGGAGGGCCCCCTGGCCGGCCCAATGGAGGCCCCCGCGCGCTCTAGTGCCCCCGCACGCGGGAGCCACGAACCTCGGGGTGGGGGTGGGCAGTGAGTGCAGGGGATGGGGTGGGGGGACAGGAGGGGGCCCTGGGGCCTGGGCCCCGGAAAAATCTATCTGCCCTCCCCCACACTTTATATACGAATAAACGCAGAAGAGGGGGAGGGGAAGCTTTATTTATAGAAATGACAATAGAGGGCCACGGGGAGGCCCCCCCAGAAGCAAGATTCAAATCTCTTGCTTTCTTTCTTAAAAAAAAGAAAAAGAAAAAGCAAGAAGAAGGAAGAAAGAAAAAGACAGAAAGAGAAATAGGAGGAGGCTGCAGCTCCTCGTTTTCAGCTTTGGCGAAGATGGATCCACGTTTCATCTTTAATCACGCCAGGTCCAGGCCCATCTGTCTTGTTTCCTCTGCCGAGGAGAAGACGGGCCTCGGTGGCGACCATTACCTCGACACCCGCTAACAAATGAGGCCCGGCTCGGCCGCCTCCGCCTCTGCTACTGCCGCTGCTGGAAGACAGCCTGGATTTCCTTTCTTTGTCCCCCACTCCCGATACCCAGCGAAAGCACCCTCTGACTGCCAGATAGTGCAGTGTTTTGGTCACGGTAACACACACACACTCTCCCTCATCTTTCGTGCCCATTCACTGAGGGCCAGAATGACTGCTCACCCACTTCCACCGTGGGGTTGGGGGTGGGCAACAGAGGAGGGGAGCAAGTAGGGAAGGGGGTGGCCTTGACAACTCAGGAGTGAGCAGGAAAATTGAGTCCAAGGAAAAAGAGAGACTCAGAGACCCGGGAGGGCCTTCCTCTGAAAGGCCAAGCCAAGCCATGCTTGGCAGGGTGAGGGGCCAGTTGAGTTCTGGGAGCTGGGCACTACTCTGCCAGTCCAGAGTTGTACAGCAGAAGCCTCTCTCCTAGACTGAAAATGAATGTGAAACTAGGAAATAAAATGTGCCCCTCCCAGTCTGGGAGGAGGATGTTGCAGAGCCCTCTCCCATAGTTTATTATGTTGCATCGTTTATTATTATTATTGATAATATTATTATTACTATTTTTTTGTGTCATGTGAGTCCTCTCTCCTTTTCTCTTTCTGACATTCCAAAACCAGGCCCCTTCCTACCTCTGGGGCTGCTTGAGTCTAGAACCCTTCGTATGTGTGAATATCTGTGTGCTGTACAGAGTGACAATAGAAATAAATGTTTGGTTTCTTGTGACCAGCACAGCGTGTTTTTGTTGAAACATTGGCGTAAAGATATGGACAAATGCCACCCAGTGTATATTTTAAGCACCCTACTGGGTTCAGCCCCACATTGTGTGTGGTTGAAGATTTTTTTCAAAGAGTCTGATGGGAATTTTTATCTCAGAGGACTCCAAATTGTGGTGGCTGGTTTGTTTTCCTTTTAGGGTGGGTGTGTTTTGTTTTGGGGCTTTTAATTTTTTCCCTTCAGTCCAAAAATGGATTGAAAGGACTGGGAAGGCTGATTCCAGTCCCTAATGGGGGAAAATGTTTCATTGTAGGACACAAGAGGCTTAAGTACGGCAAAGCCTTTCATATCGTGATTTATTTGTCATAAGCAAATAAAATGCGGTTAAGCTGTCTCCTTTTAGACAGAAGGCTCTTTGGTTATTAAAGTTCCGAGAGAGGATTCCATGAGGCTGGCCTCTTTCCTCGCAGCATAAGAAGGTATCGCTTTCCTCTGAGGTGTTTAAGGCTTTAATGAGTATAATTTTTTGCACAGATGTTTCTGGGTGTTTGCAGGTTTTCAGAGTATTTTTATATTACAAAGAAGCTAGCCAGTGCCATAGCTCAAACTCTGACAAGCAAATAGATAATCAAGAAGACAAATGGCCTCTTTTGTGAAGCCTTGCTCCAGTATTAATTTTCATTTTCTTTCTCATAGAAAGTATCGAAAGTATGACTGGGGACCAAATAGCTTTCTGTCTCTGAGGTCCCAGTCACCCCTAGAATGGAGTGGGGGTAGGGGAAAGGGGTGCAGGTGACCCTCAGAAGCTCTGTCAGGCTCAGATTGCTTTTGTGCAGCACTGCTTGGAAGTTCTAAGGTCTGGGGGCTCCAGCCTCAGGGTCTCTGGTCTATTGGTCATCCAGGGTGCAGCCACCACATCTCCAAAAAGCTCGGGGCTCGGGAGAGCATATGCAATTAAAAGTCGTTTTTTCAGTCCCATCTCCTTTCAGAAAATAAAAAGAACCAATCCCACCCGCGCGTTTTATTGTTATTTATTTTGCATTCCTCCAGCTTGCAGCTCCGGTAGTTGGAGGCTGGGTAGGGCAGGGGGAACCGACAGGCCGGTGTCCCCAGCCGCAAAAGAGCTGCTGAACTGTCCGTTTAAATGCTGCTGGGAGACTCGTAAAAAAATCATCGTGGACCTGGAGGATGAGAGGGGCGAGCTTTATTTCGGTCGGATTGCGGTGTGGTGGTTTAGCTGCAAGGGGATGCCGCAGCCCCAGTTGAGGGGGAAAATAGTTCTTAAAAAGCATATGCCCCCCTAAGGAATGTCTCTAAAGAACCAAATCAAAGCTGCTCTTTGGAAGGTATGAATAGAATTTAAAAAAAAAAGATTTCTATGGAGCTTAAAGTTCACAGCCATTCTGTGTAGACAAGAGCTAAGAAAAATGTGAGAATTATACAGAAAACCATTAATCACTTCTTTTCTTTAAATACGTATCCTCTCTCCTTTGTTATTATTCAACAGCAAATCTCCTTGGACCGGCTGTTGGGGGAAAAAAGTGTTAGCCGTCTCTCCCGGATCTGCAAGGGGGAAAAAATTTGGAACCATAAAGTTGAAAACTTTTTTCTCTCAGTTTGGAAGAAGCCCTTCGTCATGAATGGGATCTGCAGAGTTCGGGCGAGAGGAGGCGAGAGGCGCAAAGGTAACAAAGCCCGGGCCCGGGCTGGCGTGTTTTGATCGTTTTATGAGCTCTTTTCACAACTGAAAGAAGAAACACTCTCTCGCCTCTTCCTTTTTCTTTTTTAACTTTCTTGGCTGGGTTTTTATGGTGGATGCTTCAGCAGGTTTGCTCCCTTTTATGATGACTGATGCTTGGGTCAGAGGGAGAGAAAGAGGGGCCTCGACACCTGGAGAGTGTTTGAACTGGTTGGGACTGAGGTGTCAGGGCCCATGAAAAACCCCAGAGAAGACGGTTGTTTTGTGAGGCAGTTCAGAAGCGCTTTTCTGGTTTTGGAAAATGCAGGCAGGCACAGCGAGCCCCAGCATGTGTGCATGGGTGTGTCTAGTGAGGTCCACATGTGGTCGGTGTGTTCCTGTGACTCTGCTTGTCTACACTGGGTACTGGTGTCCCCTATGCCTGTTTACCAGTGAGACGTTGTCACTGCTGCCTCTTGGAAAAATCAAATCCAGTGCTTGGATGGAATGTTCCAGCTTTGGAGCGGGTATAAGTGGATATGTTCTTTTTTTTCTTCTTGTGTCTAGCTTGGGATTCTAGACAAATATGTGCTACTCTCTGGAGCAGGAAACTGCTCAGTTCACAGACAAGGTGGACTGATGCAGAAATATTTCTCTTCTGCTCTGTCCCCCCAGCCTTCTTCCTGGAGGAGCAATGTTGGTTTGGTTTGGTTTGGTTTCCCTTTGCTCTCCTAATTTGAGGTCTCTGTTCTCTCCTCTGCAGCCCTGTTTCTTAGGCTGAGGGAGTCAGTGGGCTCTGCAGCCGACCTGAATGTGTTGGCCCTTTTTCCCTGAGGCCTCACTTAGGGTTTGGAGGCGGGAGGCTGGCAGGAGAGAGAGTTCATGGAGAGGCCACGTTTTCTAGGCGATTAGCTCAGTATTAGAACCACAAAATGACCTCGGAAGCCCCTTGACCTCGCTGAGACTGGACATTGTGTTGGCATTTGCCTCCTGCCCAGGAGGGAGAGTCACACCTCTGCAGGGAGGGGTCCTTGGCCCATCATATGTCCCATCTTCTCCATCCCCCTCTAGGCCCCAAACCCATCTTTGCTATTTTGGAAATTTTGGATTATTTTTCTATTACTGCCCACTGGGGGAAAAAAACGTAAAGATTTTTAGCCCAAGGGTCCAGTTGGGGGACGAAAGTAGGGTGCTAATCTGTCTCTCTGTACACAGCACCTTCAGCAGTCCAGGCTCCAGCCATCCTCCCCGCAACCACTCCCAGGTCCAGTTCATCTCTTTACTATTTCACCTGGAGGGAACTGAGGGAAGAAAGACAAAGGGAGAAGATATGAGAGGTTGGAGGGGCCTAATCCACAAGGCTTCAGAGGGCCAGGGGAATAAACTCCTGGGCTGCGAGGAGAGAAAGGGCTTATCCGCCCTGAACATTGCTTCAGAGGCTGTCATCTCCCTGAGGGCTGACATCCAAATCCACAGCCTGTCAACCCATTTTCTGAAGTTCATTTGTTGAGGAAGCTATTTCTATAACTACCTTTACCTCTTTCCCCTAATTCTCAATCTCCTCAATAATGAAAAAAGCCCTTGGAGTGCCTCACCCACCAGAGGAGCAAGGGAAATGGGAGGAGGATCAGTGCAGGCTATTCTGAGTACTTTCCAGGGCCTGCTGTCCCAGGTTAGCCAAAGTTTCCAGAAACTTTTAAGAAATAGGTGAAGGATTTGCCAAACAGTGAGCCCTGAACATAGAGCCTTTCCAAAAACTGTATTCTGTTTGCTGTATCTTAAAAATCCACACCAGCAGCCACCCTCTTAGGGAGAGACAGAGACAAAGAGAAAGAGAAAGAGAGACAGATACAGACAGACGCTGGCTGGGAAGATGAAATGTTACCCTTCAGTTAAGACTAGGAGAGACAGAACCTTGCTGGGATATGTGGGTTGTTGGTTTGCATTTTGTAAATTGTTTCTTGACATTTGGGGACTCTATCTCAGGCAAGAAATAACTGGAGTGGTTGATACTCTCTCCTTTGTCCCTGGGTGGCATAAGTAGAGGGGCTGGAGGCCTCAGGAAAGACAGAGGATGAGCACAAAGCTAGCTAGGCTGCTCCTGGACTAAAAATATATGGGGCTCAGGGAGATGTGTATTCATTACCTGTAAGGGCAGATAGCCAGTTGTGGGCCTTCTACAGGCTCAAGTGACAAAGACCTAGTCGCCGAGGACTTTACAAACTGCTTTCTGCAATGTGAGGATTAGGGCCCACCAAAGGGAAAAGGAGAGAGACCATAGTCAGGGAAGCCTGGGGTTCACTAAGGGGAACTGCCAGATCTCCCATTTCCTTCACTCCAGACAATCCTAGTGCCACTCCAGTCCTCCCAACCTTTTGACTTCTTTCCCTCTTTCTCCCCAGTTCCCTCGGCCCTCCCCATTCTCCCTCCTACTTCCACCCGCCTGTCCTGGGCAGAGGGGGTTGCCCAGTTCTGCCAGAGCCCTTGAAGGCGGCCCCAGCGCTGGCAGTGGGTCTCCCTGGGAAGCGGCAGCTGGGGAGGGGGTCTGGTTGGAAAACGGAGTTGGGAAGTTTCTCAGCGTGAGTTGAGCGCTGACGGATTTGTGATCAGCCATAAAACTGGCGCGTTCAGATTCGTAAATCAATCTCGCCTTTCTCACAGTGTAAACGTTCGCTTTATCGGCAGCAAGAAAGTGCTCGGCTCGCGATCAGGCGCTTGTTTATTTGAACGTGGACATTCCCAGGATCCGAAAAGAGTATGGTCATTTTAACAGAACCTGCTGGCGTGCCTTCGTGTCATTTTGCTGTTCTTTTTCTTGTCCTTAAAAATTATTTCTCCGTTTTAGAGATTGCTGTCTTCCCACATCCAGCATTTCTCTCTCCTCTCTCTGCTCTCTCTCTATTTTCATTTTAGACTTTAGCAGAGTGTTTTTCTCTGGAGGACCATTTTTAATGGATTTGTGGCCAGAACGTTTCAGGGAGTTGCCCTCGCTGGAGCCGGGAGCAGGGCCCACATCGGGATCAGGCTGAATTCAATACCAGTCTGTGTTTTGTATCTGGACAATCAAAGCTGACCACCTCCCCTACAGAGTCCAGGCCTGGCCGGCGCCCCCACCCCATGAGGCCAGAGCAGATTCCAGTGCTCTTAGCTGGGGCAGAAGCTGTGCAGCTGCCACTGTAGCTGGAACCTCCGAGGCCGACACCGGGGTGGCTGTTTCTTTGGGGCTTGTTAAGACAACCGGGTCCTCAACCTTCTCTCCACTGAGTTGCTTTTGGTTTAGACCCCTTCGAACAAGCCGGGGGAGGCCCCTCAGACCCCTGCTCCCGTACCCTGAAGCTCATTCTTCCTGGATTCCCTGCCTGCCCCGGAGGCTGTGGTCCTGGCTGCCTCCAGAGCTGCTGAGGACAGATAAGGCTGCGACTTCTTCAGGAATGTCTTTTCTGCTTCCCTTTGCATCCCCACCCCCCATCCCATGCCCCGGCCGAGAACTCTGATTCTAGTTGCACGTAACTGGTCAAGTTTGGATGGGGGGTTGTTTTTGTTTTATTTTGTTTATATTTGAGTTGAAGGGGTCTGTGTGTGTCTCTCTCTTTAGGCCTGGGGAATAGATAGTCCCTGGTATTTAACCCTTTAACAGGCATAGCCATCCCCCATCTTTTTCCCACTGATCAGCCTCCATTGTTTGTTGATTGGAAGCTCGGGGTGCTAACACCTGGGAAATAGGGATCCTGGGGCTGCCAGGCTGACTTCAAAGCTTTTCTTTTCTTTTCCCTCCTCTCCTGTTCAAATCTCCAGCTGTCTTCACTGGTGGGTTTGGGAAGGGGGGGAAATGAGACAGGGTGTGACATAGGTAGAGAGAGGCTGACAGTCCGATTCTTTTGTGTAGAAACCTTAGTCCCAGTCTTTGTCTCTAGAATCTATTTTCAAACGGTCAGTCGCATTTGATTTCCTATAGTAGTAACAACACAACAGGGAAAAAAGTCCCCCTTGCGGTTATTCTCAACTCTGGAAGCTCCAGAGTAATCTCTTCACCCTGTCCCTTTTTTGCCCCTTCAAAAGGTACCAGAAAAGATCAAAACGAGAATAAAGCCAGAAGCCCCATTATTTATCCACTTATACCATGGACTTATGAAGTGTTTATTTTCAAAGTGGCTCCTTCAGAAATTTTGTCCATTATTTAGGAAGAGAGGGAGTGGGTCTCACTCAAGTAAATATCCCCAGGAGTTGGGGAAAAAATGGAGTTGGGGAGGGAACCTTAATCCTAAAGGATGCAGAGAGAAGAACTGGAAGCTGAGAAATCCAGGGGCTTGGAGAAGGGCTCTGAGCCCACCCCACCCCCACCCCCTAGACGCCCCTGCAGACTATTTCTGCACCTCCACGAACTAAGCAGAAGCAGGAGGAGAAGGGAGAGAGGAGAGGTGGGCTGTGGGTAAGTGTGTGTCCATGGGGGTTAGGGAGCTGCAGATGTAGTAGGTATGGATGTGAGTGTGGGAGACAGACGGAGACCTCACTACTGTTCCATTGGTGGGTTGAGGGGGAACTTATTTTGCAGGAAAATTTCTCCTCCTGAAGGGGAAGGTCATAGTGGTCCTTTGAGCCTGAAATCGAAAGACCCCCTTCCCCCTCCCGGTCACGTGATTCATTAAATAATTAATGCCGAGGTTGCAGAATAGATATGTATTCGTCAGGAAAATCGCAGGCTCGGTCTCCCTGTTTCTGACGTGCAATTCAACTGTCCTTTGAAAAACAAGCCTGTACCCCGAGAAAAAAAAAGAGAGGGGGGAGAGAGAGAGGGAGAGAGAGAGAGAGAAAGAAAGGGAGACAGCAATAAAACAGCCCCGCAGCCGGAGCCACACCGCGGGCTGGGGTATTGTAAGTAGAAGGGATTTCTCACTACCTACCGCGTCTTATATGTCCATGTAAATTTATTGTTTGTTATTAATGTTATTGTCGTAAAATGTGACAAATAGCCATCTTCATTTCCTGCCATTTCTCTTCACACGGTGCTCTGTGTGTTTATGCCCATTGAGGCATTGCATAGAGATTTTAGGAATATTCTTCTTTTCTCTCTCTCTCTTTCTCCCTCCCTCCCTCTCCCTCTCTCCCTCTGTCCTCCAACCTTTTTCTTGATTTATAGCAATATGGGTGTCAGCTTCTCAGCCGGCATGCCAGCCATTGTGTGTGTGTGTGTCCGCGCGTGTGTGTGCGTGCGCGTCTGCGTGTGTTTGTGAGCGAGTTGTGTTGTTTATGGCCATGTCTTCGATAAATCATTTTTCACGGAAAATGATGTGGAAGCTGGGCTGTTTCTGCGGCCGGCCGGGAGAGAGTCGCTCTCGGAGGCACTTCCTCCCTCTCTGCTCTGCTCCCAGGAGTTGGTTATTTCAGACGATTTACAGTAATATATCAGCAGTTAATATGAAAGCTCTATAGCTGGAGGTCTTAAATTACAGCATCTGTGATTATCAATTAAAGCGAGATTTTCATAAATTTGGTAAACCAGAAATGCCTCATTGGCATATAAACCCAGTCAATGACCATGGTCTAATATAAAAATTATATTTGTGAGCCTGATAGAGCCAACATTCCTGCAGCAGCAGACAGAGCTCCATTTTTTAGCAGCTCCCCTCCAGGAGTTTGGCTTCTCCAACTCCAGCCCTGGATGAACAAACCCAACTCTGAAGGCAGAAGGAGCCTTAGAGTAAGAGAGGTGGAAGTGGAGAAAGAAATTACTGGAGTTGAAGGCAAATATTTTTGTGATCAATGGAGACCAAATCAAAGTTCTGTGCAATTGGAAAGGGATGGGAGGGGTTCCGTTACATTATTAAAGCTTAATTTATAGGACTGATGTGTCTGGGGGGTGGTCAAAGGTGGAAAAGGAATCACCCAAATTGGGGGAGACAATGGAGGCAAGCAGAGGGTGAAGGGCAGGGAGAGAAGCTGAAAGCTTTGGCTCCCCACCCTCCTGGCTAACAAAACAAGGAAATGAATTCACACCCCAGGAGCCTTCCTTTGACCTGCTGAAACAAAGAAAAGTTTCCTCAGCAGTGAGGGACTCTGTGTTTGGGGCTAAAGTGGGGAGAAGTTCTCCGAAGTTTTTCTAGAAAAGAAATGTTCTAGGAATCAGGTGGTCCCAGAAAGTTGGGAGTGTTGGAGGATGTTGGGTGTGTTCTTTTAACTAAGTCCCCATCCAAAAAGGGAGCAAACGGGGTGCAGATTGGAGAGGGAGGGGAAGAGCTGTTAACTTTCTCCTATAGTTTCATGTGGAGGTCACAGTTCCTTCCTACTAGGGGAGAGGCTGCTGGTCAAGAGCAAAGCCAGAGGTGGCTTTGGGGAATGTTCTGCACTGTGCCCCAAAGTTGTGATGGATGAGGTGCAGAGGGCCAGAGCCTTCACCAACTCCAGTCCCAGCTGTTGGCCCCTCATTCCCTGACTGGAGCCAGGCCAACTGACTTTATAGCCACGATTATCTGTGATATTTAACTCTGCCTGCTAGTGTAAACCTTTGAGCAGGGAAGTTAGAGCAACGCCGCGCCCAGGTGTTAATTATTCATGGCATCCACTACGTGGAGTGGCAGCTTAGGCCCCAGTCCCTGCAGCATCCAGGAGCTCGCTCCCACACTCTGCTCCAAGTGAACACTGAGTCTCATCCATGTTAACAAGGGATTCTCAGTGGGTAGTGGGTGAAGCCTCCCAATTCAGGAGTCTCAGTTGAAAAGGGTTTGGGGAGAAAGAGAAGGCCAGGACCCAAGGCTGGGATGGGTAGAGGCACTGTCTGACCTGGATAAAAAGAACTAGGGAAAAGTCTGGATACAGGGGCAGCTTTGACAGCACTGGAGATTGTGAGGAGGTGGGAAGGGCTGGCAGAGGCAGCAAAGAGACCTGGGGCATAGGGGCTCCAAACCTTTCAGTCTCATTCCCCACCCACTCCTTGAGTGTTGGAGAATCCCACACACATTCAGTGTGAGAGGCAAGCAGTTCTACTTCTCCCTCATCTGGAAAGTGTTGGGGGGTATGACTGTGAAGAGGGTGCGTTCTCCCTCAAACCGGTGGTCCAGAGTTAGGGCAAAGTCTTGGAGTTTTTGAGAGAGCAGGGAAGGATCACTTCTTCCATGGGGAGGAGGAGGGACATGACAGAGAAGGAAGAGGGTAGAATCATTTGTATTAGCTTCTGAATTCAGCATGCTTTGAAAGATGGGAAAGAAAAGGATCTGCTCTTTGGGCCAGCCCATAGCTAGCATGGAGAGCCAGTCCCACAGGCCCCTTCCCCCTGCGTTTGCAACTCCTCCTCCCCAACCCTTTTCCATCTCCCCTCCTGCTGCTACCTTTGCCTGTGACGTGGAAGTCTGACCAACCACCCCCACCCCCACTCCACCAGCTTTTCCTCTTTATTCTTTCAGCCCTCTTCAGGTCTTTGTCTCCTCTGGCCCAGAGGAGAGGAGGTGACACTGATACCCCCTCCCCTTCCCTTTCCCCAACACGCACAGACTCTTCCCCAGGAGACAAAGCAAGGGGACCATCCCTTGCCACCATTATCTGGTAAATCCCCCATGTGATGCCTAATGCCTTCCATCCAGGCATCTAGGCCTACCCCAAATCAGCAAGTTTGAAAGGACTTTGTTGTTTATATATACATTTGCTTCATTTAGCTATGAAGCACCCTGTCTCTTACCAGTCCTGCACCCTCCACCCCACTGATTTGCTTTTGTGTTGTTCAGGGGTTGGGATAGAATGCATCTGGTAGACAGAGCTCTAAGAAAGCTGCTGACTCTGTCTTCTCCCCTAACTCTCTGCTGGTATCCTCTCTATATAATTGCAGTGTTTATCTCTGTGCCTTTAAGGAGGCAGGCTGCTAACGCTTTAGTGACCAGAGGAATTGGATAGAAAGATGAAGAGTGAGATGAGGAAGAGAGGGACCCAGAGAGAGAACAAGCAGCAGGATCCCTTTCTGGGATGGGAAGTCAAGGCTGAGCCCAAGGAGGTGATGACAGGGAGAGTGGAAACAAAGGCCAGTCAGAGGGGAAGGGAGGCTGTCCTGGAGGAAGGAGCCCCACAATTCACAAGGGGACACACACACAGAGTTAAGTGAGAACAAGGGCAGTGGGAAGGAAACTACCCCTTTTGTCCCCTTCTCTCTAGAAGAGAATTTCTCTGGATAGAGGGTGGGTTCCCCCACAGAGGAAAGGGAAGAAGAGACTCAACCTAATGGGTGAGCCCAGAAGTGATTTCTGGAGACACTCCTAAATCCTTTGCAAGGCTCAATTCAAATTCACTGAAGACACTGAGAGACGCAGAATTGGAAAAAGACAAAGGGGCTGTGAGAAAGGAACGGAGACAACAGAGATGGTTAGAAAAGACAGAGAGACCCAACACAGAAAAAAAGCCCAAACCCTTTGGGGAGCAGGCACAGAGGGAAGCCCCTCCAGGCTCCCTGCTCCCTAGCAGCCTTCTTTACAGGAAGCTGCCCAAAGCCCAGGCCATCTCAGAAACAACTGCCTCTAGAGTAGGCCCTTGGGGGTGCTAAATCAGGTGTGAGGCAGCTGTGGCAGGAGCTGAAGTGCCAGGGAATGGCCAAGATGTCCAGGACACTTCAGCCTCCACCACAATCACCAGCATCAGTAACTTAATCATTGGGACCTCCCCAAACAGAATTTCATCATGGGGGTGGGGGGAGTTGGGACTTTCACACCTGGACCCTGGAATCCTTTCTTGGCTTTTCTTCCCCCTTGTGGGTTTGGTCTCTTTTTTTCTCTAGGGACCTGGGGAAGTTGTTGATCTTCCAGCCGCCTAAGAACTTTCACCTCCATTCCACATCTCCTCCCTCAAACTCCCAGCCTTAACAAGCGGATGCTTCCCCTACTAATCTCCTTCCTCCCCCATCTTACAGGAAAGAACAAGAAAAGGAAAAAGAGAAAGCAAGTTCCTACCAGCCTAAGCAGCTTTAGAAAACTCGAGGGAAAAGGGGAGATGCAAATCTTTCTCGCCCGTCTGATCCTTCCTATTGCCCCCTCGCCATTGCTCTGTTCCCTCCATTGCCGCCCTCCCTGTCCCCACTCCTGTCCTGCCCAGAACTCTCTCCCTTCCCCTCCCTTCTCTGCCGGGTCGGACATATGGAACCCATTTCGCTGGTGACATTGAAGAGTCGCCGGTGTGCCCGCCTTCCGCCATGGCGCCCCCGGCGCTCCCTACGCCTCGCCGTGCCCCTGTCAGTTGCCGCTCCTCTCGCCTGGCAACTTGGCCCGCTCTCAAAGCCCGAGTTCAGCTCGGTGCCAGACGAGCCCGGGGTTCCCGCAGCCCTGCGCGGCCCGGACGGAGTGGGAGCTTCTCAGGAAACTGGCGTCTGCCGCGCCCGGAGTGCCAGATCCGCGCGCTCCTGGGGCCCTGGAGGCCGAACAAAGCCGGGGGCGGGGGCGGGGGCGGGGTGGGGGCGAGCGCATCCGGGCCTCTCCCCCAGCTCGGCGGGACGCTCGGGGGTTGCTGGGGGTTGCTGCGGGTTGAGCGACTAGGATGCGGCTGGCTGCGGCGGCGGAGCCCCAGCCTGGGCCGAGGGTCCGGGGCCTGGCAGTCGGCCCCCGCGCGCACCCAGCGCCCGGCCGCCCGCCGTTGCCCGCGCCCTAGCGGAAGACCGCACAGGTAAGTGTGGGGTGCGGAGCCGGGGCGCTCGGGGCCTGGCGGGGGTGCAGAGGTGGGTGGCTGAGACCCCCGCCCCCAGGCCTCTCTCCTGGGACAGGCCGGGATCCGAATTGAAGACGAAGATGAGAGCAACTTTGAAAGGCAGGGTGGGGGCTTCAAGGGGGTAAAGGGACCTGGGGGTGGAGGACGAGTGTGGAGGAATGTGGAGCTGTTTGGGTGGGCGTGTGGACATGATCTTGTTAGGGGATGGGAGAGCCCTCCCGCTCAGAAAGGGCGTTGAGGCCCAGGAGGGTTTTCCAGGGCAGTTGGGGGCTGTGGGTACTGAGGGAAATGTGAGGGGCATCTGTTAGGGGCAGTGGGGTTGGGGGGCGACCGCTGGGTCAGCTTCCACAACCCAGCTGCCACCATTGCCCAACCCTTTAGCACCTAGCGGGTTATTTGAAGGCAAAACTACAAGGGATTGCACTGAGGCTGAGTGTTAAGCCCAGAAGGTAGGAAAGGGGGTGATTTATGGCTTCAGAGAAGCTGTGTTTACTCCTGCCTGCTCTGGAAACCAAAAACCAAACAGAGCAGAGGCCAGAGAAGCCCCTCTCCTTGGAGTGGGAAGCGATGCCAGCCTGACGCACTGGGATTTATTTTCCCAGATGAGGGAGAATAGTGGGAACTGTCCCTTTGCAGGCGCACAGTGTGGTGGGTGTATGCAAAGGGAGCATGTAAGCAGGCACATGTGTAGGTATGTTTGTGTATTGTGTGAGTGCATCTGCACATCGGGAGCTGTATGTACTCCAGGTGGGGCTTTGCGGATGGGTTTGCAGAATCACTTTGTGAGCTGGGAGATTGGGAGTCAGGAGAGAGACCCCATGTTCTCTGGTTCTGGAACTCTGGGATGAGGTAGCTCTAGACACACTGCCCCTTGTCCTGTCCACGAAGTAGTGCTCTTTCCTGCTTTTTTCTTCCCGCAGCCACATGCAGCAGAGCCCACTTGGCCTGGCCTCCTGGCCCCTGCCCCTCTACCCTTTCCCTGTGTGCCTCCTGTGCCTTCTGCCCACCCAGCCTCATCTTCACTTTGAATTTTTAACTTTGTGGTGGGAAGCCAAGGAATTAGTGAGTATGGTTGGTTGAGGAGGGGAGGCCAAAAGGAGAAAAGGCTTGGTGTGGTAGGGAAGATCGGGGAGATCCGTGGTTTGAGGCTGGACCTTGGCAGCCTTGTGTCCCACCATTACTGCTCGAATTCCCCCAAAATCTCTGTTTGGGAGTGGGGAGCAAGTGAATAATACAAAGACGAGCAGAGTAAGGGAGCCATGCAGGAGGATGGCGGTGGGGAGAAAAACATTTTGACCCCCAGATAGTAATTTCCGCAGGCCAACTAGTGGCTCTTGCATTTCTGTCCAGACACCCAGCTTTGCCTGGAAATTGTTTTGCATTAAATTTTCTCAGCCGCAGAATTATCTTTCCTCGCCTCCAGCTAAACTTGCATTTTTCCACCAGACACTTGGGCCCCGCACCAATGAAATCTGAGAGGAAGCGGCTGGGCCCTAAGTGGCCGTAATTTAATTGATTTTATCATAAATCATCAACTTGATGAAGAACCCGAGGTTTCAGTGAAGTAAATTGATATTAATGGGAGTTTCTTGAAATGCAAACTCGCTGCATTGTTGGGGCATCTTGAGCTGGGGAGGTAGATTACACATTTCCCAAGAGCAGAGAGCAGAGACCTGGAGCCCAGCACAGCTTTGGGGGTAGGGAAAGCAAGCTTTGAGGTGCAGCTGCCGGCAGACCTATTTCTATGGGGAAGCACAGCAGAGCGTGGAACTTTGTCATGAGGGACACAGTCTGGCCCTGTGGACCCTGCTGGCCATCTGGGGGAATGCTTGTCTCCAACTGAGGGGGAGGCAACTGGGAAGGCTGGTAGGTGTATGGGCAGGGAGGGGGTCGGGTGAGAGGGCTCGGCTGGTACAATGGGTGCATTGATGCCTGGTTAAAAATTGCCAGGTTGAAACCTTCCTCCTTTAATTAGACTAATTAATTATTTACTGCTCAAGTTGCAGTGTCTAAATATAGCACTTTTGGTTTGGTAATGAGGGTAGAAAACAACCCACCCTACACACAGAAGAGCAGTAAAACGCAGTGCATGAGCCTCTATGGGGCAAGGGAGGGCCAGGCATCGGGTTGGTGCTCAGTGGTGGTAAGCATTTAAACCTCAAGAGGAAATACTCTGAATCTGGTGACGATGGTGCCCGTTATTGTCTGAACTCAGTTTATTACTTCTTGTCACTCACTTTTACATCAGCACATGGAGAATCACTAACATTCAGTCCAAAAAGAGACCTTAGAGATCATTTAGCTAAACCCCTTCCCTCCATACACATGCCCAGGCTTTACAGAAGGGGACACTCAGGCCCAAGGAGTGCCCTGCCTCATGTCACATAGCCAAGCTGGAACATCTGAAATTCAGGCCTTCCAACTCCCAAGCCTATCCCAAGTATGACTCTAGACAAATCACTTCCTTGCTCTGGGCCTCAGTTTCCTGATCTGTAACAATGGCAAGAGTTGGACTGGACACTTCCTGATTTCTCTCCTGTTCTGAAATTGGGCACCTCTGTGTGTACCCATCCTCAGCAGGACAGTGCATGGGAGGCACTCCCTTGTGTGTCCTGGAGCTCTGTGGGCATCTGGGTATAGAAGTTACTGCATGTTTATTTGCAATATTCAGAGTTTACATACACCCAGAGCAGTGGATGCTTACTCAGTCTGGCTCTAGGAAATCCACTGGAATCTGGACTATTCCTCTTTCTGAAGGTGCCCTTATTCTCAGCTGAGGAGTAGCCCTGAGGAGAGCAGTGGAACTAGAAGGAAGTGGTGAGGGGCCAGCTAGCTGGGTTGGGTTGAGATTGGCATTTGGAGAAGGGCTAAGTAAAGAAGGGCTGGGCCTTACTGAGCAAGAGTCTTTCCCTGCCAGGCACTGGGCTAAGGCTGTCATTGTTCAGTGTGTGTGTGTGTGTGTGTGTGTGTGTGTGTGTGTGTGTGTGTTTTGAGACGGAGTTTCGCTCTTGTTGCCCAGGCTGGAGTGCAATGGTGCAATCTCCACTCACCACAACCTCTGCCTCCTGGGTTCAAGCGATTCTCCTGCCTCAGCCTCCCGAGTAGCTGGGACTACAGGCATGCGCCACCACACCTGGCTAATTTTGTATTTTTAGTGGAGACACGGTTTCGCCATGTTGGTCAGGCTGGTCTCGAACTCCCAACCTCAGGTGATCGCCTGCCTCGGCCTCCCAACAGAGTGTGGTTTTTAAGGTGCCCCCTACCCCAGCCCAGGGACTGAACAGTGGTTTCAGAGTTTAGATTCTGTGATAGCAGGTGCCTCCCTTCTCAGCCTCACCCCAACCCTGGGCCTCTGAGCCCTGGCTTCTTGGGAGGAAGCACACACAGGGTGCCACAGCACTCTACCGGGTCTCCTCTAGGGTAGCCAGGACAGAAGGCCTGCATGGTGGAAGACTCCCACTCTATACTTGCTTTTATTTTCCAGCTCCTCCCCCAGTTCCAAAGGAGTGGTGGCTTCTCAATTGCATGGTTGTGAGCAAGGAAATTTCTTGCAGGATCAGGGATGTGAAGAGGCTAGCAGGGGAGGGGAGGTTTCCAGGCTGCCTTGGGAAGTGTGGTTTGGAATATGAATTCCGGGGAAGGAGGGAAGAAGAAGATGGGAAGAGATGGGAAACAACCTCATCTTTGGGGCTCTGGAAATCTGAGACACTGGGCAGATAATCCACTTCCTAAAGCCTAGCCCCAAACACTAATTTGAGAGAGAAAAAAAAAACAAAAGAGCTGGCAGGCCCAGACTCTGGCTCTGTCCCATTCTGACTTCGGAGTTTTATATTTGGAGGCAATTCGGAAGGCCTTTCGCTGATTGGTCATTAATCCACTGAGTTATTGTCTGCTAAACAGAGGTCACTGGGAGAGAAACATCCAGTCTGTCAGGAGAGGCCCGCTGAACCTCAGGGACTGGGCCCGTTCCTCTTTTCCTGCTTCTCCCTCCCTTTCCCAGCACCCCCTGCAGCCCCCAAGCTGCCCAGGATTTGCAGCCTCCCTTCCTCTGCCTTCTCTGCTCTGCCCACCTTTGTCTCAACACTTGCTGGGGGTGGGGTTTGCCAGGCTAAGGCTGAGCTTCTAGGTGAGGCGGGAGCCCTGATTCAGATTGGGATCTATCACCACCAAGGAGCCCACCTGCCTGAGGCTCCCAACTCGCTGGCAGCACCGCCATCCCCTCATTAGCATGTTCAGGCGGCCTCCGTGGTCATCGAGTGGACTTCGCAGACCCTTGTGGCTGCCCTTTTTGTCCTGCCACCCCTTCACAGGCTCAGCTGGGGAGAGGGCAGCGCCCCCACACGTGGGGTGGGGAAAAAGTACAGCTTGGATTTTTCTTCTTCCACTGCAGCGACCTTTTTCTTCTTTTGATCCCCACTATTGCTGAGCAGTGTCTATGCGAGTCTCCTCTTCTCCCTTCCGGGTGCCCCTTTGTTCCCTCCTGCTCTGGCTTATTGGAGAGCTGGAGATGGGGATCCAAATGCCAAGAGCCTTCTTCATTAGCAATTCCCACTTTACAACTCCCAGCTTTGAAATCTTCGTTAATACTTAGGGGAAAATGGAGATTCGGGTGAGTGTGTGACCTTTACACCACTTTTCTAGGGCTACAAAGTTGGGCAGTGAAGCTGGAAAACAGTGTGGGACTGGGAACCCAGACAGGGCCAGGAAGAAACACATCGCCAAACATCTCGCCCCAGGCTTACAGGTCCTAGCTCCCAAGCTAGCCTTTGGGCCAGGCAAATTTTGTGTGGATTGAGCCAGGGGCAGGATCCTTGACTGCCCCAAGTCTGAGATCAGAAATTGGTTTTAAAAGAGCCAACCAGTATGCCCTTATTGAGAGAATTTTTGTTTGCTAGTTGATGCATTTTTGGGGGAGGAGAGAAACAGGCACGATCCCGCCGCCGAGGTCTAGAAGGGCGGGTAGCCCTTGATTGTTCCAGAGGGTTTAAAGTGCTCCCGTCGCCTGATACTGGGTACCCAGTGGGGTGGGGGAGAGAAGTGCCAGAGCGAGTGCTCTGGCTCTGAAGAAACGGAATGGAAGAGGAAAAGATGTCTGTGAAGAAGGGCATTTTCTCTAATCTTTACCCTTATTATTTTTTTACTTCATTAGTTTATGCTAGTGTCTCTGTCTCTTACTCAATTTTCCTCTTTTTCAATTTCTCTTTCTCCTCCTTTCTCTCTCTCTCTCTCTCACACACACACACACCCTACACACATGGGCACACACACACAGTTTTCCAGGTTTCCCTCCCAAATCCAAGAAGAAATTGTTCCCTCTTCTGTATCTCCAGTCTGTTCCGAAATCATGGCTTCACTCTCAGGGATGATAAGCCCTTCTCCTGCTTCTCTTTTCCCAGACCCCAAAGTCTTCCCTCAGCCTGCTCTGGCGTCCCCCACCCCAAGTTCCCTGCTCAAACTCCTCACTACCAGCCTTTATCCCCTGAAGTTTGAAAATCCCCTGGCTAGCAGCAACACCTCAGTCCAAACAGGGGCCCTTAGGGGTGCCTGTTCCACCCTCCGTCCTCCAGCCTCCCAGCCCTAATCAGAGGGCAGCCCGCCTGCTCGCCAGAGACCTCTGAGAATGGAAGAAAAAAGGCAAGACAGAAACTAAACTGGGATCTAATTGCCTCCCAAGTATTCCAAATGGGCTCTGTACTCCAGAATTAAGAAGCCCCCACTCCATCTCCTACCGCATTTGGGGGTATATGTCCTCTGAGATTTTCTCCAGGTTCATTTTCTTGCTTCTCGGTCCTCTTTTTCACTCCCACCCCACTATGCCCCACTGCCTTCTGTAGCCCGAGGGACCACAAAGAGTTGAGGAGGCTTGGGGAAGGGAGGGGTCTGCTGTTGTCTCTGGAACACTCCTCCACTCCCAGCTCAGCTCCAGGCCCGCTTCTCCTGCAGCCGGCCCGAGGCTGCCTGGGTGCCTTCTGGACTCTCGTGTTATTCCTAGAGGCAAAGCTGCGCAGTCCCAAAAGCGATCAGGTTCTCCTCTTCTCTCAGTTTTACAATGACCTTCTCTAACCCAATGATAGTAACAGCTAGGACAGCAGAGGTTTTGAGGTACATTCTTGGCTTTTTTTTTATTTGGGGGAGTGATAGAAAAAAAAACCCCAAAGGTACTGGTTTCTTTAAGCCTCTGGAAGCCTCCCTGGCCTGAGTCCCTGACCCACCAAGCTCAAAGTTACATGGGGTCTGACCCTGTAGGTCTCTAACCAGAGTGTAGAGATCTCAGGACAGACTTTTTGCAGCCACATGCTCAGGCACCCCTAACAGGTCTCTTTGGGGTTCCAGGCTGGCTTGAGCCCCAAGTCTAGGTCTGACTTGGATGTTTTATTTTCTTGATACTACTAATAAACACAGAAAAATACTAATAAACACAGAATAATAGCTAATAAACACAGAAAAATAGCTCCCACCCTCCATCCCCATGTCCCCCAACCCGTGCTTCCCCCCAGCTGTCAACTTTCTAGGTGGGAGGTGGGGTCCTCAGGACATTACATTCTGAGGCTCTGCAAGTGGCTTCTGTTGCTGGAGGGCAGGAAGGCCATAGGTACCCCCAGTTTATCAGGGCCCCTGGAAACCGGCTGCTCCAAATCACCTGGCCTGACTTAGCCTTGCCTGGAAGAAGTAGGGGCTGGAGGCCAGGGGCCACTCCCTATCTCATCCCAAAGTAGAGCCTGTGAGTGGGGAGAGAGAGGGAATGAGGGAAGCTTTGCCAGACACCTCCAACCTATGCTGGAGGGAACACAAAAGCTGGAAATCAACTCTCACCTTTGTTGTCCCCAGTCCCGTTCCCTCTTCTGGTGCATCCAGATGGGAGAAGGCAAAAGCCAAGTATTCTAACCAGGAAATCACAGGGTAGTGCCTTACATGAAGTTAAGAGGACCAGTTTTCCAAGCTGCCTTTAGAGAAAAGAGTCAGCTTTCTATTTCATCCCCTAGCTCCGAGTCAGCAGTTAGGCAGAGTTGCAAACACTCCTGCTTTGGGAAATGTCCTGGTGCTCTTTTTGTCTTTTCCTTCCTCCCGGAATGACTATTCCCCACCCCCTGTCCCAAATCTGCAGACACCTACATTTTTGGCTCCTGTCTTCCTCCTACAGGCCTCCTCCTTGCCTTTTCCTGCCCTGCTCAAACACACCCTAAGAAAACTTTAGCTTTTGTGGCCTTCCTCACTTGTGCCAAGAGTCATAAATCTTGCAGGGCAGAGAGAAACAAACAGGGTTGTTCTGAATAATAATAATAACCATCTTCCATCTCTTCTGCCAGTGCATTTAAAATTAAGCGACCCTGCTAGTTCTTCTCTTCTTAGAAGTACAAATGTCCTTATCACCTCTTAGCCCCTTCTGCCTATTCGGAGGTGAGAATCATAACAGAAACTTATCCATGAAGTTCTTTCAGCCCGTCTACTGCCAGCCAGTCTGGAGCTCAAACTAAAACACAGAGTCCTCCTTTTGTCACCCTTTTCTCAACCCTCCTCCCCCTGCAAGATGTTCAGAGTTTTTAAAATCATCACTCACCGCTTGTTGTCTGTTCTCAAAAAGAAAAAGGGGGAGGGGTGTTTTTTTTTTTTTTTTTTTTTTAAGTTCTGGTCTTTCCCTCTCCCTTGGTTAGAGACTGGGCCTGGAGACTGGAGGGAGATTTGGGAGGAATAGAGAGGGTGTAGTGGAGGGAAGAAGCCGGGGCTGGAGACTCAGAAGGAGGGAGCCAGAGTGTGAGGGTTGGAGACCCAGAACTACTTTCTAAAAAAGTCCTGGTGTTCCAATTGCGAATGAGTGCAGAGGGGCACCCGGCACCCTCACCCCCGGGCCAGGCCTGCCTTTGACTCAGCCTCCAAATACTACTTCTCATATTAGCATAATAGTTCACTAGTGGGGTATGGGGGGAGCTGTGAACTTCACCGCCCTTCCTTGCCTTTGCTCACCTCTTCCTCCCTGTCCCTCCAATCTAGATTTAAATTTTTACCTGTTCTTTAAGGAAAAAAAAAAAACCCTCCTTCTTTTCTTCTTACTCTTTTTTTGGGGAGGCGGGTATTTTAAAATTTCCCCCCTTCCCCATCACCACCATCACCTTCCCTCCTTATCAGGCATCTAAGCTTGCTAAAGGGGGAGAGGTGGGGGGGTGTGAGCTTGTGTGTGAGTGAGTGTGTGTGTGTGTCTGTGTGGTTTTTTTTCCCTGTGCAAAAGCAGAGGCCATTGTTACGGAGAGTAGGGCGTACCAGTCTTATAGGGCAACCACACTGTGGCGGCTTAGCCCTGCTGGAGCCCGGAGCTGGATTCTGGCGAGCTGAGCCGCCCGGCACCTTTCGGTCTTCTATTTTTTTTCCCGCTCCCCCACCCCCTCCCTCCTGCGCACCCCTGCTCCTAAGCCGAGTGAATTGAAGCGGACGCCGCGCGGCTCCTCTGGCCGGTCTGCCCCTCGGGCTCCCCAGCCGGGGTGGCTTTGCGGGGCGGGGGCGGGGGGGCGGGGGGCGACGCAGCTTTAAACAGTGGTCTTTTTTTCCTTTGCCTTCAAGGAGGGGAGATTTGTCGCCTGCCGCTCGCTCTGGGGCTCGATGTGAATATATATTATGTCTGCCTGTTCTCCCCTCGTCGGTGGCTAAGGTAAGCTGGACTGAAATAGGCTATCAGTTTGTGAATGGCGGAGAGTATGTCTCAATGATTTATGGCCCATATGACTCCAATCTCGGTTCAAGAAGAGTTCACAAGCTTTAAGCTTCCTTCCACGCAGCGACTCTCTCTCTCCCTCCCTCCCTCCCTCCCTCCCTCCCTCTCTCTCTCTCTCTCTCTCTCTCTCTCCCTCTCTCTCTCCCCTCTCTCTTCCTGCTTCTCTCCTCTTTTCTCCTCTCTCTCTTTTCTTTCAGCAGCCAGATCCAGGGCTGAATTTTCTCCGCGGCTGCTAAGAAAGTCTCAACCTTTCTCTGTCTTCCTTTCTTGTTATTTTTCTTTCTCCCATTAATTTTTTTAAGTCCTGGAAGATGGCCTATCCCCTCTCTCGGGGCTTCCCCAGCTATTGTTACTCTCCTGGCTCTCCCTGGGGTGTGCTTGGCAAGGTGGGGTTCTTGCGGGGGGCTCATCTCCCTTCTCCAGCGAGACCCTGGGGGGAAGCCGGCAGCCACCGTCTCCCTCCCTCCCTCCCGAGGAGCCATATGGAACCTGAATTTTTCCAACATGGAGGCAAGGGAAATAGATCTGTTTGGCTTGGTAGAGTTGTTCCCCACCCCCTCTTGTTCTGGATCCCAGATCTTGGGTCCCCTTAGCACCTTTCTCTCTTCCCACTGTCCCGTCCGCCAGGCCTCGGCGCCCTCCAACCCGGAGCCCTGCTGAGCAAAGTCCCGAAGCGGAGTTTCTAAGGCGCCTTTTAATTCGGTTACCTCCAGCTCCCAAAACTTGCTGCCGCCCGCGGGGCTCGGCCCTCGGCCGGCTGGTGTGCTGGGAACCTGCCTCCGATAACCGTTTTGGTGTCCTGATCGCTTGCTCTTCTTCGCCTCCTTGGGCCATCGTAGGTGGCTGGTAGCTTGTCGCCAGTCGCCGCGGCAGCAGCGACCGGCTGAGGCAGCCTGGCAGCAGCAGCCAGGGACTACCCGGGTGCACAAACCTTCCCAGCCCTGTCTGCACCACCGGCGGAGTCTCCATTCTTTCCTATCGCGTCTCTGGCTCCTTCGCTTTCCACACTCGCCTGGCCTCCGTCCCGCGATGGTTTGGGGTTTATTGCAAGGGGAGCGGCAGGAATTTCGGCCCCAGGCATCTAGTTAAATTATTGTTTTATTATTATTACTATCATCATCATCGTCATCATTATTATTGCTGTAACAATCAGACTAAATAAAGCCAGGGCCTAGCCAGCCAACCCCCTCCAACGTTTTTATTTCATTCTCTTCTCTATTAATAACAACCACAACTAATGCCTGTTAATTAATTCCCCCTTCAGCCAGGGCTGCTTGGAAGCTAATTTTGGTTAAATCAGCAGAGGCTAATGGTAATAATAATAAAGGGATTGGGTCAGCCTGGTCAATTGAACTCTGGTTCTCCCTGGAAGGACCTGCTGCTTTGCAGACCCATGTGTATTTCCAGAAACCAATCGGAACTCAGGGTTACACTGATTCCCTTTTGAGTATAAATCTGTGCCATGAAGAAGGGGATTTATGTGAGGGAGGGACTTTTCTTCACCTGCACTCCTTTTATTTTATTTTCCTATGTTTAGTTTTCTTTGGAGTTGAACAGCTAGGCTGAATGAGATTAAAGTTTTCCAAACACACATGGCAGTATGGAGGTTTTATGAAAAGTGATGGTGAAGAGTTGGGAGAGATGGAGGGAAAAAAATGCAGTCAGAAGTTTCAGAACAAATACACAAAATCCTATGTTAGTTTGAATCTTTATTTTTCTGGCACACTTTTAAAAGGCTGTATTAAAATAGTGATTTTTTTTTTTTGCCTCAGGGAACCTCAGTCAACAGGAATACCTCTGTTTCTAACCTAGAGAATAATATTGTTAAAATTGCTTTGTTAATTTTTTTTTCCTCAGGAATAATTTTCTCTTTTGGAAAGCACTTTCCCCGTCTCAGTAGAAAAGTCTAGCAGTTGTAACTTCTTGTTTCTTATTTGCTTTGGGGGAAATCAAAGAAAACAGACGGTGAAGGAAAGGGTGGGAAAAATTAAGTCTCATGAAAAAAAAAAAAAGAGGTCCGGGGAGAGACCTGGGCCAAATGGTCACAGCACCAACTGGCGTGGCCCAGGAAATTGAAACAATCCTGCTCCATGTGGGGGCCCCACAGGGCCACTGGCTGCCCGATCCCAGGTTTGGCTGAGCAAAGACAAGGGCTGGAGGTGGTGGTACCTGCAGCAGGGCCATGGACAGATGAGTCTCGGTTCAGCTGGCTCTTGAGGTTAAAAATCATCAGGAAGTTTCTAGGTCAGGCTGTTGTTGTCTTCCTGGTGGGAGAGTGGTGGGAAGTGGAGAGGATACCTCACAAGAGAAGCTTCTCTGCTGAACTTGCTTCTCCTGCCTGTTCTTTTAGGAGATCCTTTGGTTTTCCTTCAGGCTAGACTTTGCTTGGGCAAGAGACCTAAACCGACTTGGAAGGAGGCAAAGGCTGGAAGCATAGAAGCCTCTGGGCTCAGAGGAGGGTGTTGATGATGCTTTTATTTTGGAGTCTCCTAGTGTCCCCTCCCTTGAGCCATCCTATCCCAGAGTTGGGGAGGAGAGATAGGGAGAGAGGGACTAGGGGAGGTCAGGGGCTAGTGCACAGGCAGGAGAGAAGCAATGGCCTTTGCCATAGATTCTACATCTAGGCAGTCTTGAAAGGCATATAGTCTTTATTTATTTTTTTATTTTTTAGTGGAAATGAAAACTGGTGGGCTTTTTTTTCTCAGCATCTGCTTTGGAGATGTTGGGGAGGGGAAAAGAAAAAACCCTATTGATGTCAGTTCCCTTTTCAGTTCCTAAGATGGATTCGAGCCCCAGTCCTCTTCTCCCCCTTGTGTCTCTTCTCTCGCCTCGCAGGTCAGCCGCTTGGAACAGACCCCGGAGGAGGGGGGCAGAGAGGGGAGGTGGGGGGGGGGGGTCCGGCGTGTCACGTGACCCCCAGGGTTGCCAATGTCCGGTCCTGAGGGTATCAGGCCTTTCCAAGTTGCCACCCACTGCCCAGGCCTCACCCAGCGATGCAGAAAGCCACCTACTACGACAACGCCGCGGCTGCTCTCTTCGGAGGCTATTCCTCGTACCCTGGCAGCAATGGCTTCGGCTTCGATGTCCCCCCCCAACCCCCATTTCAGGCCGCCACGCACCTGGAGGGCGACTACCAGCGCTCAGCTTGCTCGCTGCAGTCCCTGGGCAACGCTGCCCCACATGCCAAGAGCAAGGAGCTCAACGGCAGCTGCATGAGGCCGGGTCTGGCCCCCGAGCCCCTGTCGGCCCCGCCTGGCTCACCCCCGCCCAGTGCCGCACCTACCAGTGCCACTAGCAACAGCAGTAATGGGGGCGGGCCCAGCAAAAGTGGTCCCCCAAAGTGCGGTCCCGGCACCAACTCCACCCTCACCAAACAGATATTCCCCTGGATGAAAGAGTCGAGGCAAACGTCCAAGCTGAAAAACAACTCCCCCGGCACAGGTACCAGTTCTCTGCCTTCCTTGTCCTCAGCTTTTGTCGGAGCCAGGAATGTCACTGTTATTCTAGCACCCAGCCCCTAGGCGCCCGCGAGGCTGCCTGGGAACAATATTAGGTGGCCAGCGGGTACATTTTTGATACCCCTACCCCCTAATGACCCCTGACCCCGCCAACACCCTCCTCCCTCTAGCTGCCCTCCACCGGAGCTTCTGAAAGCTCCAGAAGGCCCAGTGCGTGGCCTCAAAGCCCTTCCCAAGGCCACAGAGCCAAGACGAGGCGCTGCCGGGAGGATGCAGAGTCGTCAACGATTGATTATTATTAAGTATGATTACTGTGGGTATTAATCACAATCGCTTGGACGGCCCGGGGTCCCGGCCTCCAGAAACGGCAGCCTCTTCGTGCCACACTTCCTGCCCACGAGTGTCCAGATTACCCCGAGGATTCTCCTCAGTCTCCCATCCTGTCCTCAGGACGGGGTGGGCGGGGAGGGGAAATGTCTTCCCTGACCTGGAATTGGGGATAAGGGGGAGAAAGCACGCACGCGAAAATCCAGCCCTAAATAAATGGCCATGCGGCTCTGTCTGCGTGACATGATCAAATTTTCATAAGCTGGGGCAGCGAAAGGAGAACAGGTCTCTTAATAAATGCCACTATTATAGAGTGTCCGCTAATGCGACGGGCGGTGGGGTGGGGGAGTGAGGAGGCGGCGGGGACCCGAAGGGGAGGGCGGCGGGGGCTCTGAGTCCAGGCCTGGATTTATTAAGAAACGATGCATTCAATTTCGGCGTGTTCAGTAATTATCTTTTATTTCATTTTCTCCCCTTCCCACCCCTCCCCCTCGGATCCAGCAGAGGGCTGTGGTGGCGGCGGCGGTGGCGGCGGCGGCGGAGGCAGTGGTGGCAGCGGGGGCGGTGGCGGCGGCGGCGGGGGAGGGGACAAGAGCCCCCCGGGGTCGGCGGCGTCCAAGCGGGCGCGGACGGCGTACACGAGCGCGCAGCTGGTGGAGCTGGAGAAGGAGTTCCATTTTAACCGCTACCTGTGCCGGCCTCGCCGTGTAGAGATGGCCAACCTGCTGAACCTCAGCGAGCGGCAGATCAAGATCTGGTTCCAGAACCGGCGCATGAAGTACAAGAAGGACCAGAAGGCCAAGGGATTGGCCTCGTCGTCGGGGGGCCCATCTCCAGCCGGCAGCCCCCCGCAGCCCATGCAGTCCACGGCCGGCTTCATGAACGCCTTACACTCCATGACCCCCAGCTACGAGAGCCCGTCCCCACCCGCCTTCGGTAAAGCCCACCAGAATGCCTACGCGCTGCCCTCCAACTACCAGCCCCCTCTCAAAGGCTGCGGCGCCCCGCAGAAGTACCCTCCGACCCCGGCGCCCGAGTATGAGCCGCACGTCCTCCAAGCCAACGGGGGCGCCTACGGGACGCCCACCATGCAGGGCAGTCCGGTGTACGTGGGCGGGGGCGGCTACGCGGATCCGCTGCCGCCCCCTGCCGGCCCCTCCCTCTATGGCCTCAACCACCTTTCCCATCACCCTTCCGGGAACCTGGACTACAACGGGGCGCCCCCTATGGCGCCCAGCCAGCACCACGGACCCTGCGAACCCCACCCCACCTACACAGACCTCTCCTCTCACCACGCGCCTCCTCCTCAGGGTAGAATCCAAGAAGCGCCCAAATTAACACACCTGTGATGGGAAAGGGCGAACGAGGATTAGGGGATGGGGAGGAAGAGAGAGACTGTGGAGCTCTGGGGGGCAACCTGGAGGTCTGAAAAGAGGAGCCAGAGAAGGTGGTACCCAGGCTTCCTGGTCAGAACCGGCCTGGAGCTCCTTCCCTTCCCCCTGGCCTGAGAGGTTGCTTTTAAGTCTTCCACCCCTTGTTCCATCTGCCTGCCAACCCATCGGAAAGGAATCCACATCATATTGGAGATGACCCCATCAACCCCAGGGCTCCAGCACTACCAAGTTGGAATTCCACGCCCGGGAGTGGGGTAGAGGAAGACGAGACAGGACGAGGCAGAAAAGCACATTTTAAAAACCAGACAAGATGGCTAGGCCATCACCAACCAACGGACTTACCTTACATCTTTGTAGGTAATTCCCCCCAAATCTTGATTTTTTTTTTTCCTCAATTATCCTTTAAAAAATAAGAAAACACATTTCAAACCCAAAAGGCACAAAACACGTTCCCTTCCAACTTTCCCAAAACCTCAAATTTGTTCCCATTTGAGGTTTATTGAGGTACACTTCTAGCCCCCGGTTTTTCTGCTCTAGAACATTCATATCTATACATCCCACCCCCATCAATTACAGTTTTTAGAGGGCTCAGGGATGGTGAGAGATCCTGAAAGAGCTGCCTATATTATAAATTATATACATTTTTTTTTAAGGAAAAGTGTGGAGGCTAGGGCAGGCAGGTTGTTAGGACTGAAGGTTTGCCCATTCTGCTGCCTCCATCTCAGCTCCAGCTCCATCCCCCTCTCCACAGAAAGCAGTTGGTGACACGAGGTTCTATACTTTTCTTCTGTTGCTCTCTTGACTTAACGTGAAAACAGGGTATATTTGAACAAACTGTCCCAGGCAGGGGCTGGGCAGGGCCTGTGTGCCTTGCTCAGCCTCCTGACAGGACACTTTTGTTGCACTTAGAATTTACATTTTAATGGATGTAAAAACAACTGTGAGAGATGTCTGGGCCTGCAGAAGTCCAGCATTGCTCAAAAAAGCGTGTGTTCTAGTGAACATTTTCATATATATTTATTGGTTATAGCCTGTTAAAATATTTTCTTTTTTGTATTATTTATCCCCCTACATTATGTATTTATATGAGGGAAAAAAAGGAAAAAATTGTACTTTTTTAGTATTTACCTGTTACAAAGGACATTGTGTTTCCTGTCATGTAAAACCAGCTATTTTAGTTACTATTGTACTCTAGAAAAGAGCTGTAGATTTATGTTAAACTCGTACTTACGAACAATTGTAATTAGTTCTAAAAGGCATGAACTCAGCTCCTAATCGTCACTGTATAGTCCTGAATTTGTAGAACTAGAGTTAATTCCCTCTTGGAACTTTCTTTGTTCTTCAGTAGTTACTTTTTTCCTTACCTAAAAGGGTTGTCTGTCAAACAATTCTTGAATAAACTTTCTGTTATCAATTTTATCTTGTCCTGGTGGTCCAATTTAGATAGCAGAGCAAGGCTGCTGACTGCCAAATTTCCCCCAAGGGAAGAAGGACAAGGACAAGGACACTGAAGACCCTTCCCTGGCCTTTTTGTCCACTGCCCAGGTTCCTGTCTCCCCCTTGATATGTCTTAAGTTTAAATACCATTTTCTCACTCATAAGAGCCTGTAACATTTTGCCAACTTCTTCAGCTGTGGTTTAAGTAGCAAGTTGGGAGGTAACGGGGGACTCTTGGATGCTCTCTGTAGGTTTTTCTGTTTGGCCTGTATGCCTCTAGGTTTTTCATTCATTGACCTTTCGTCTGTTAGCTCCTTTGGCCACAGCGTCCATGCACCCCCCACCCCCCACCCCTTCCCACCACCACCAAGAAAATCTGGCCGATTACGGTTTCTTCCACGAAACCTAAACTTCACAATCCTCTTCCGGAGCCACAAAGAAGGTGTCACGTGACCCGAAGCCCAACCACCATTGGGTCTAAAATGAAAACAAAGAAAAATGATTAATCTAAAAAAAAAAAAAAAACAAAACTGAGGCCTAGACTTCTCAGGTCAAACTTTAAAACTAAGTAAAATTAAATCACTAAATAAAACTCGAGGCGGAGGGAGGGGAAGCACGTTCGATTTCCCCTGCCAGAGAAAGGGGAGAGGAGGGTGGGAGAAGCTGTTGGATCCAAGCGTAAATAAAACGGTCCCCAGGCTAATGTGCGGCTCTGTTTCCATCATCCTTGGGAAAACTTCATTTCTTAGTTGTGGTTCCATAAAAGTTTTATCACATTGGAGTGAAAATAGAGAAGGTCTGTCAAAGATGAAATGTCACCGCCGAGTCGCTGGAGCCGATAAGAGCGAGAAGACAGGGCGGCTGAAATATGGAGCTAATTCGTTGAAAGAGAAGCGATGGCTGCTTGCTGAAGAGCTGCATAATTCTAATTGTAAGCGATGTGCCCGCATTGCTTAATTAGGAGCATATATTTGGTGGTAGTGATGTTGGGGGAGTGAGAATCGTTCCAGGCCCTGCCTTAAAGAGAGGGCTGATTTTCATTTTTATGTTGCATCCTGGCAGTCCAAGGTTAGTAATTATAGTCTTTATGCAACAATAAATAACAATAAAAAAGCAACCTGAACTCTACGCCCTCCCCCTTCCCCACCACCAAGTAGGATTTTAACTGGACTCATCCAAGCAGCAAGCAATTTAGCATTGGGTCAGGCTATAATTTAAAGGCATAAGAGCGTGCAAAGTTTGATTGGGATCAAATAACGCTCAAGGGTTTTTCTTTCTTTCTCTTTCTCTCTTCTTCCTTGAATAACATTTTCTGAATGATATAACTAGATGAAGCACCATGTTTGGCTCTGGGGCTGGGTTGGGTTGTTATTTATCTAGCAGGAAAGAGGCCAAGAAAGAGAATTTAGCTTAAGTTTGAAAAACAGAGCTTTGGCTCGAAGCTGGAATTGCAAACAAGAAAAATAAGAACCAACTTGGCTTGGTGTTCCCTATCCTTCTCTTTGGAAGATTCCAGGCGCTCAGCTAAAGCAGCCAAAGACGTGGGTAAAATATCCGTGCTGTTAAATTCACAGCAGGACAGGGGGGCGGGGGAGGGATGTCTCTGAAAAGGAGGGTTCTCTGGGCCCCTTTTAACACCCAAGTTTTCCGCTGTTTGCTAATCTGGCCATAAAATCTGTCAGTGAGGGTTAGAGAGAGCTGTATTTCCTGCAGGGACAGTCTGCCCGAGTTGCCTGAGATAAGCTCTGGATCCTTCAGCCAGCTACAGAAGCTGTTGCTAAACTTTCAGAGGTGTTCAAGGGGGTGGCCAGAGGGAGAACCCACTCTCAGGCCTCCCTGCATGACTTCCAGACAGCTACTATTTGGATTATTCTATGCCCACCCCCATCCACACCTCTAAATGGCAAAAATTGTTTTCTTTGGAGCCTAGTTGCACACTACTGTCGCTGGCCACTTTGCCCAGGTCAGAGCAGCTCTCTCTGTTCTGAGCCCTCCAGAGCATGCCTCCTCGGTCCCTGCAGCCCCCACCTCCAACTCCCCTTTCTCCATCCTCCTCTCCCCCACCCTCATGCTTCTACTCAGACTTCTCTGTCCTTCTTTTTAAGTACTCACGCAGATGTTACACTGACAGAAAGTTTCTAGTTCCAGCTCCGGGCTCAGTTGCCATTTCTCTGCTAACCAGCCTTCTCCTCCTGGCTGGGCAGCAGAGAGAGAGGAGGGGGAGGGGAGGCCAAAGCCATGGGAGTTCTCCAGGCAAACTTTCCACCCAACTTAGCGCTTTCCCTCTGTCCCCATTTCCCATCTGTTTCCCAGCTCTCCCAGAATCACCCTTCTCTTTTGCACCCCCACCCCCACCCCCAGGCCTTTTTAAGGGATGTGAAATTTTGGCTGTTCGCTCTGCTTTCCCAAAGAGCCAAATTCTTTGATGCAATCGGAGGGAGCTGTCAGGGGGCTAAGATTGATCGCCTCATCTCCTCTCCATCCGTCTGACCCACTTATTTAAAAATCTTCCCCCAGATCGACTTTTCATTTTCTGCTTTGAGGCCTAGTTTCCCACCAATTGCTTGGGGCTCAGAGTCTTGTGCCCTCTCCCCATAGTAAATTACAACACTCTAAACTTCAGACTATCTTGGTCTCCTCAAAATAAAATAAATTTTAAAAACATTTTCCCCCAGCAGCCAGAAATGGAATATCATCTCAGTGGTCATTATTTCCACCCCTACCATCTTCAGGGAATTCTTCCTTGTCAGGGATTCTTTTTTTTTTTTTTTTCTTTTTTCTTTTTTAACTAGCACAATGGCAAAAATGGGAGGGAAAGTCTCTTTGTCCTAGGGGAAAATCTCCCCACCACACTCATGCACACACATAACGCTGATCTGAACTTTGAGAGTGCTCTAAGTTAAACCAATGGCTACCTCAGTTCTTGTTCATGTCCCTGGATATGGATACAGATACAAGCTTGAGGCTTGAGTGGGTACATGCACATCTTAGACTCTGCCTGTTTTTGGGGGATGTCACAGAGAAGCATGGAAGCCTGAAAGTGAGGAAAGCAGGGGTACATAAGGGGCAGAGGCAGTGCTGCAAACACTGGGCAGAGAAGAGAACCCAGACCATACAGCGATGGAGGCCAGAGGCCCAAAAATGCCCCTTATGCTCCATCTCACTCCTATGTGTCTGCCTGGGAGTTCCTGTCCATTTCCCAAGATTTAACTGTTGTTTTTGGAGGGTAACAGGGATAGTGGTGTGATGATTGTAAATCTCTTTCTTATTTTCACCTTAATACTGACCTTTTTCAAAGAGTGGAAGCCTCTTTCGACTCCCTCTTCCTCCAACGCGGAGATCCTCACTCATCTTTTCCTGGGGAAGGGGAGAAGGGAAGGGGATGCTGCTGGCCACGTAAAGAAGGCCTTAATTTACTCTATTAAAATACTTGGAAAAGAGGAAGGTTTCTCCCTTAGAGTCTCTTCTTTTCCAGGCTTCTGAAACCTTCTAACCTTCGAAGGGGATGAGGAAAAGGTTCCTCTAGCTTTTCTGGAGAAACGGAGGCATTGGGGAGAGAGCATGTGAGGCACTGGTGTAGGAATGGGGGCTCATGGTGTCCTGGTCGTGGTCCTCTGGTGTTTTTGAATCAATTAAACCAAATAATGCTCTCTGTTTTCCACCAGGCCCAGACGAGCGATTGGCGGAGGCCGGTCCCGTGACCACGAATTCCCTGTAATTTCGCTGGAGTCCTGGGTTTAATAGAGAGAGTCCCCATACGCTTGTATTTATCAGCAATATACAATTATAAAGGCCCAAAATTAAAAAAAAGAGAGACCGAAATCTCCCCCTCCCAAAATCGCTCCATTACATAAATCGGGGGGGGTGCAGGAGGGGGGTCCCTTCCGATCCTCCCTCCTGACGCCCCCCCCAGCAGCCCCCTCCCCCACCATTGAAAGCCATGAATTTTGAATTTGAGAGGGAGATTGGGTTTATAAACAGCCAGCCGTCGCTCGCCGAGTGTCTGACTTCCTTCCCCGCTGTCTTGGAGACATTTCAAACTTCATCAATCAAGGAGTCGACATTAATTCCTCCTCCTCCTCCTTTCGAGCAAACCTTCCCCAGCCTCCAGCCCGGCGCCTCCACCCTTCAGAGACCCAGGAGCCAAAAGCGAGCCGAAGATGGGCCTGCTCTGCCGCCGCCACCGCCGCCGCCACTCCCCGCTGCCCCCCCGGCCCCCGAGTTCCCTTGGATGAAAGAGAAGAAATCCGCCAAGAAACCCAGCCAATCCGCCACGTCTCCTTCTCCGGCCGCCTCCGCCGTTCCGGCCTCCGGGGTCGGATCGCCTGCAGGTCGGTAAGCGTGGTGGGGGTGGGGTGAGGGGCAGCTAGAAGAGGGGGAGAAAAAGCAGTGGAAGGAGGTTTAAAAAAAATGGTGGCGAGCCTGTTGGGGTTCCTTACCCCCTCCATTCCTGGGATGGGGAAGTAGAATATCCCACTGGGGTTCAGGCCTGGCCGCTAACAGCGTCTTTTTTTTTTTCTGTCTCTCTCTCTCTTTCTCTCCCTATGGCTGATTTTGGAAGCTGGTTGGGGAAACGCCTTTTTTTCTGCTAGAAGAAAATGATTTGATTGAGGTTTTCACCCGTATCTGTGTAGGGGAATGAGTATGTTGTTGCTGGGATAGACCCTAGAAGCAGAAAAGATTCGGTCCTTTCTGCCCCAACTCTAGGAGAAGAGGAAGAATTCAGAGCTAGGGAGGAAGAGGGGTGAAGAACAATCTTTCTGACCCTCGCTCCGGTTGAGTTGGAAAGTTCCGAATTGAGGGGTCCACTGGGAGGGCTTGGGAGGGGGATCTGAGGTTCCGGCGCCGAAGGGAGCCGCTCTCCGCCCCCTGCGTGGCCCGTGGGCGGCTCTGAATGCTTTGCCCTGACCCGGGCCGGGGCTGTAGACTAGAGAGGGAGAGAAGAAAACCCAAAAGCAGTAAAGCGAGCGGCTTTGGGGTGGGGGCGGGGGTGGGGTGGCGAGGAAGGGGAGAGGTGATACTGGTTTTGGAGGATGGGGTAGTCCGAACTGAGGTTGGGCTGAGTACACGGCCCGCTATGACGCCGAGCCTGTTTTCCCTGCAGATGGCCTGGGACTGCCGGAGGCTGGTGGCGGCGGGGCGCGCAGGCTGCGCACGGCTTACACCAACACGCAGCTGCTGGAACTGGAGAAGGAATTCCACTTTAATAAGTACCTGTGCCGGCCACGCCGCGTCGAGATCGCGGCCTTGCTGGACCTCACCGAAAGGCAGGTCAAAGTCTGGTTTCAGAACCGGCGCATGAAGCACAAGCGGCAGACGCAGCACCGAGAGCCGCCGGATGGGGAGCCTGCCTGCCCGGGAGCCCTGGAGGACATCTGCGACCCTGCCGAGGAACCCGCGGCCAGCCCGGGCGGCCCCTCCGCCTCGCGGGCGGCGTGGGAAGCCTGCTGTCACCCGCCGGAGGTGGTGCCGGGGGCCTTAAGCGCGGACCCCCGGCCTTTAGCCGTTCGCTTAGAGGGCGCAGGCGCGTCGAGTCCCGGCTGCGCGCTGCGCGGGGCCGGCGGGCTGGAGCCCGGGCCATTGCCAGAAGACGTCTTCTCGGGGCGCCAGGATTCACCTTTCCTTCCCGACCTCAACTTCTTCGCGGCCGACTCCTGTCTCCAGCTATCCGGAGGCCTCTCCCCTAGCCTACAGGGTTCTCTCGACAGCCCGGTCCCTTTTTCCGAGGAAGAGCTGGATTTTTTCACCAGTACGCTCTGTGCCATCGACCTGCAGTTTCCCTAACCTGTTTCCTCCTCCCGGTCCTTTCGACCCCCGCGCTCCTTGGCCGTCTACTGGAAAAATCGAGCCTCTCCCACCCTCAGTCGCATAGACTTATGTGTTTTGCTAAAATTCAGGTATTACTGAATTAGCGTTTAATCCACTCCCTTTCTTCTTCTTCTAAAATATTGGGCACTCGGTTATCTTTTAAAATTCACACAGAAAAATTCCGTTTGGTAGACTCCTTCCAATGAAATCTCAGGAATAATTAAACTCTAGGGGGACTTTCTTAAAAATAACTAGAGGGACCTATTTTCCTCTTTTTTATGTTTTAGACTGTAGATTATTTATTAAAATTCTTTAATAATAGGAAAAGGGGAAAGTATTTATTGTACATTATTTTCATAGATTAAATAAATGTCTTTATAATACCAAAACGAGTGTTTGTGTTGGGACCTAAACTCTTTCCCCGCGGCCCCAAGGCCGGTCCTCACCCCTCCAGGACCTGTGCGAAGTTGATTAGGTTCAGCGGCCCATATGGCAGCAAAGCCTCCAGGGCCGGCGAAGTCCGGGTGGTACAAAGGTGACCCGATTGATGGCCGCTTCGCCCACGGCTCCGGCAAAAGTCGGGAGTTTGCAGGAAGCTGGGTCACCTCCCCGCCCCTCAGCAGAGGGTCTTTGGTCCTGAGCGGGTGGTTCTGGGGCCTCTGCTTGGAAATAGAGATGGGCAGGTCGAGGGAGAGAGTGTACAGCGAACAGAGGAGGGTGAAAGGAGAGGAAGCCTGTGGACAGTCTTCAGGGTCGTGGCGGGGGCAGAAGTTTACTGGAATTGGGAACAATCCAAGGGCTTCCTAGGCTTTTGCTTCTTATGACCGAAGCCGGTGTAGGACCTTTTTCCGAACTCAAGAAGCCTAGGGACGCGAGGCCTGGGGCTTGAGCCGGGCCTCTTTGGGAGCTGTAGGTGGCTCTCCAAGGAGTGGAGTGGGGTCGGGGATTTTCTCGGGAAGCAGGGTCCCGCACCCAGGGATGGTAACTGGCTTCCCAGTGGGCAAGAAAAGAGGCCAGCTGAGAAATGTGGCGCTGCCGGGACACCCATGGACTCGGGCTGCTGGGGTTTGGGAGACCATCCAAGCAGCAGCCGGGCGAGAAGCCCAGGGTGGCCCGGCAGCGTCGCGAGGCGCTGGACCTGCGGGGAGAGAAGGAGGAGCGAGGAGAGCGGGAGGGAGACAGGGAAGCAAAGACGATGCTCAAAATGGCGCTGGGGCCGGGCGGCGGGCCGGGGGGGGGGCGAGGGAAGAAGCTGTGGCCGCCATGACAGCCGCTGCAGGAGGCGCCGGCCCAGCCGGGATCTGCCCCCGCCCCTGCGTCCTCCCAGCTGGATTTTCCAGAGGCCAGGGAAGAAGGGGAGCCTGGGGGGTCCCACCTTCGTTTTAGTTAGTTTGATTTTTTTATTTTTAAAGTGGAGCCCAACGGACGCTGAGGACGCGAGATGGAAGGAGAGTCCGGGTGGATGTGGGAAGGGAAGGAGAGCGGCGGGTCTGCGGGCCTGGGTGTGCCTCATCCAGTCTGACTTTTGATTCTTCGCTGTGGGATTTGAAGCCAGGCCAGAGCTTTCTCTGAATGCAGACCCACCAGTCTTGACCAACAACTTCATTTCACGTATCAACACCATGTCCTGTCTATCCCCCACCACACCCTGCCTGGTTCCTTGTAAACCTGGTAAGCGGGAAGCAAGGATCGATCTCCCCCATCTGCCTCCTGGTTTGTTCTGGGAAGGTGGAGGTTTAAAGGTCCCCGGAAAGCCATCCATCCTCCTTAGGTTTCTTTAATATTTCTCCCGCTCAGAAACAGACACTACGGGGCTATCTCCCCGGCAGATGCTGCCCTTCTCAAAAAGCAGTTTATTTCCTGGGCCTCCAGACTTTCCCCTGGACCAACAGGACCGGGATTTAGAGTACCAGTCACCCAGAGGCAGCAATTGTCAGGATAAGCCAGGAGCCAACATAGGTTGTGACACAGAGGACTAGACAGGCCCTTTGCATATTTTAAAATGGGTCCCTCAGTGTGGGAAGTACACACCTCTTAGTTAGCTGGAACTTAATCCCTTAAACTGTCTTAATATAGAATTCATCTCGTGCATTAATCTTACATCATGTTAAATTGCACTTATTTCTCTCATAAATAAATATAGAACAATTAGATGTGTTATAATAATGTCATGTATCTTATTTTCCCTCATAAAATATATAGGTATGAAATAAATTCAATATATTAAAGTAGTAATACACAGCTTATTGGCTTATGTGTTTATTTTCCCCATAAATAAGGGAATATACAATATATTAAAACTACGCTATACATCTCATTGGGCTGTGTGTTTATTTCTCCATAAAATATGCCCACAGGCAGTGTTTAACATCTTAAAAATCACAGCACACAAGCCATCTCTACACTAGCAAAATGAACAGATATTTCAGCTGGGGCTTTGATTTCTATGGACAGTCAAACTAGATAATTTGGTCTAATTAAAAATGCTCTTGCAGCTAGCTATAGCAGGTTGTTACAAAGATCAAGAATATCACAAGGATCTTGCTAATGTCCTACCTTCCAGTTTCTTTGGTCAAAATGAGAGCACCCTTCCTCAATGCCAAAAAAATGCAGAGTTGGCTCTGCAGGAGAGAATTCCTATCCCCCATCATGGTCTGCAGCACTCAAGGGCCTCCGATGCACCAGTTCTCTGCAGCCTGGCTGCTCCATGGACCAGCAGCATCAGCACTACCTATGAGCTACTTAGAAATACAGAATCTTAGGCCCCTGAATCAGACCTACTGAATCAGAATTTGCAGTTTAGCAGCTCCCCAAGTGATTTATGTACACTTAAAAGTTTGAGAAGTACTGCTAGATCACAGTGCCACCTTGCTTTCTGCCTTCCTCCATGCTTCAGAATTTTTGACTCACTTTACCTGGCCCCTGCCTTCCAATTCTCCCAACCCAAACCAGTAGCTCAAATGGCAGGGAATCTTTGTTCCTGCCTGGGCCTGCATCAGTCCTGATTCCTTCCTGCCAAAGTAGTGGTGAGCCAACCAAAGGCTCAATGTACCTGTTTAGATTCAGGTACTTTGGATATCCTAGGGGTGAGAGGTCTTAGTCCAGGTGTTGTCTTTGGCTGATTATTGGAGAGGAGTTGAAACTCTTTTTACAGGAAACACAAAAGCGTTGCTGGCTGTCTTCTTTCCAAATTTATGAAACTCACCGTCTCTGATGATACCACGGCAGCACAAAGAGGCAATGAATTTGCAGAAGGAAGTGACTCCCATCTTCAATTTCCCTACCCAATTCAGATTCAAGGGAATGCCTGGCAATTTGGGATTCATAAAGGATTGCAATTCAGGATCCCTGTGTTCCGAATTAACTTCTTTTCCTTCTTTCATCTCTTGGGTCATCCTTTTTAGCTTGAGTTTTCCCAGTTGGCCATGGAGGAGTAAGGGGAAGAGGGGGTGGTTCCCAGATAGGGCAGCAGACCCCAGTGGTGGTGGCAGATTAGAGGGCAGCTCCAAGTGGCCGCACTCACTTATTCCATCCTGATTGGGGCAGGGTTCCTCTTGGGTCAGGACCAATTGTGAGTGGTCTGTAGCACAGAGTGGTTATAAATTCCCTGTGGTTGGAGTGGGAAGGTTTCAGTGCAGCCCGGAAAGCTGCTCGTCAGTCTGCCCTGCTCTTAGTGAATCATTCTTTTAAGAGGCATGTCCCATTAATATTACAGTGAAAGCAAAGGACCATTAGACTGAGGAATTACTCGCAATCATGGTAACCCTGAGTCATTAAAAAAAAAAAAAGTTAACTTATGCCTGAGCAAGTCTATTCCCCTTTCTGGACCTCAGTTTCTCTATCTGTGAAATAAATGTAAGAATTAAATGCCTCTAATGTACTCTACATTAATATATGCATATTCTTTAGTATATATTATTTAGTCTTCACAAACAATGTATTAACTGTTTATTATGGCCGATGTCTTGTGCTGTTAAGTAACTCTTGGTGTTTGACAGTGACCTACCTCACGTGAATCTGGTGGGGCCATTTTAACAAATTTTCTTTTATTTTTTGAGATAGGGTCTCACTTTGTCACCCAGGCTGGAATGGAGTGGTGCAGTCACAGCTCACCACAGCCTCAACCTCCTGGGCTCAAGTGGTCCTCCCATGTCAGCCATCCGAGTAACTAGGAGTACAGGTGCGAGCCACTAAGTTTGGCTAATTTTTTTTTTTTTTTTTTTTTTTTTTTTTTTACAGAGTCTCGCTCTTGTCGCCCAGGCTGGAGTGCAATGGCGTGATCTCGGCTCACTTCAACCTCTGCCTTCTGGGTTAAAGCAATTCTCCTGCTTCAGCTTCCTGAGTAGCTTGGATTACAGGCGCCCGCCATCATGCCCGGTTAATTTTTGTAGTTTTAGTAGAGACAGGGTTTCGCCATGTTGGCCAGGCTGGCCTCAAACTGCTGACCTCAGGTGATCTGCCCGCCTTGGCCTTCCAAAGTGCTGGGATTACAGGCATGAGCTACCGCAGCTGGCTGGCTATTTATTTATTTATTTATTTATTTTTGAGACGGAGGCTTACTCTGTTGTCCAGGCTGAAGTGCAGTGGCAGGATCTCGGCTCACTTCAACCTCCACCTTCTGGGTTCAAGTGATTCTCCTGTCTCAGCCTCCCAAGTAGCTGGGACCTCAGGTACCTGCCACCACGCCTGGCTAATTTTTATATTTTTAGTAAAGATGAGGTTTCACCATGTTGGCCAGGCTGGCCTCGAACTCCTGACCTCAAGTGATCCGTCCGCCTCGGCCTCCCAAAGTGCTGGGATTACAGGTGTGAGCCACCTCCCCTGGCCTTTTATTTATTTTATTTATTTATTTTTTACGGCTAGTTTTAAAATATTCTGTGGAGATGATATCTCACTGTATTGCCCAGGTTGGTCTTGAACTCCTGAGCTCAAGTGATCCTCCTGCCTCAGCCTCCCAAAGTGCTAGGATTACAGGCGTGAGCCACTGTGCCTGGTCAATACATTTTAATTAGTATCTTTACACCAATAATCATGCATTTATCTTTATTTAAATGAGTAGAGAGCAAAATCTTTTCAACAAGCAGGTAATCGGGTGCAGCATTGTCTGCCAGGTGCCTGGTATTCAATAAATATGAGTATTAAAAAGTATCCTAGCCAAGTTTTCCTTTGACTTTCATCCTCTGCCACCTCCCCCAACATTTGGTTATGTTTACTCTTTTTCTTTTGTTTTTTGTTTGTTTGTTTTTTTAAGTAGGCCATTTCATATAAAAAGAGCCACCAAACTTCTTTTTTGACATGATGTTCTAGACTTTAACAGTCCCTTTTAGTTATGTTTAATCTGGTTGCTGGGGCATCAGAGCATAGGCACAATTTCTGAGACTCCCTAAACAGCACTGCTGAATTCACCTACCCATCTTTACCCAAGTCTCTGACAAGCACTTGCTGGCCCCACTGCAGATCTTCTTGGGATGTACTCTCAGTCCTCACTTTGCAGAAGGTGGCCTGTAGGGCCTCAATTCATCTTCTGCCTGCTGAGGCTGATTATAGCCCAGATCCTCCACTGATCTCTCCAGCCCAGCTCTGCCTACCCCTCTTCTCTCCTCCAGCCATCCCTCTGTCCACATTCAGGGTAAGGTAGATATTTAGTGCCGGAAAGAGATCTTCCTCTTCAGAGGAGAGAATGAATAGTAAAGGAGCCCTCTTAAAACTTTCTCTCTCTCCGGGGCCGGGCGCGGTGGCTCACGCCTGTAATCCCAGCACTTTGGGAGGCTGAGGCGGGCGGATCACGAGGTCAGGAGATCGAGACCATCCTGGCTAACACAGTGAAACCCTGTCTCTACTAAAAATACGAAAAAATTAGCCGGGCGTGGTGACAGGCGCCTGTGGTCCCAGCTATTTGGGAGGCTGAGTCAGGAGAATGGCGTGCACCCAGGAGGCGGAGCTTGCAGTAAGCCGAGATCACGCCACTGCACTCCAGCCTGGGTGACAGAGCAAGACTCCGTCTCAAAAAAAAAAAAAAAACTTTCTCTCTCCCCCAACAACTGCAGAAAAATCACAATCTGTATAGTCATTCAGACCCAAATTCAGCTTGATCACTGTTTGGCTAAGATTTCCAAAGCAGATATTTTGGCCAAAAAAAAACTATTGCATTTAGATAAACTCGATTAAGTAGAAAATTATTTTAATTCTTCATGTCACGCTAACCTTTCCTTTTAGAAAGATCTCAGTCATTATTTAATCATGCCCCCAATTATTGACTCCAGATGGAAGTTTACATCTTGCTGATCTGTCTAGATCCAGAAGTCAGGTCACCTCTAGGATGGACAGTTTCCAAGCGAAATTCCTTAAGGAAGAAGAGACAACATCCTCCCTAGAAAACTTTTCCCCAATGTTTGGAAAATCAAGAAGTTCTTTCTAATATCCAACCACAAACCTTTCTGTTGCAATTTTAATAATTTGGATTCTTTATAGGCATAAAATATTAGGCTTTGGTTTTCAAGAAACCCTTCAGGTTAGAAGAAAATCCTTTGCCTAAACAGAGCCAATCTTCTCAATTCTCAATGAAATTTGCATATGATAAAGTACATATTATATTGTATAATATATGGTGCTATGTTACATGAAAATATAGCCTAAATGCTATTCTCCTCCTATCACACACACACACACACATAGATAGATAGATAGATAGATAGATAGATAGATAGATAGATAGATAAGTTTTTGTTCGTTTTTCGTTTTTTGTTTTTTGAGACAGAATCTCACTGTGTCACCCAGGCTGGAGTTCAATGGCGTGATCTCGGCTCACTGTAGCCTCCACCTCCCAGGTTCAAGCAATTCTCCTGCCTCAGCCTCCTGAGTAACTGAGACCACAGGTGTGTGCCACCACGCCCGGCTAATTTTTGTATTTTTAATAGACACAGGGTTTCACCATGTTGGCCAGACTGGTCTCGAACCCCTGACCTCTGGTGATCTGCCTGCCTCAGCCTCCCATAGTGCTGGGATTACAGGCATGAGTCACCGCACCCAGCCTACTTATTTCCATATTTTAATATGCTAGTTATATTAAAAAGCAGAAGACTGACTCATAGCATTTCAGAATGTGATTTAAAGTTAATATCATACATTTAGAGAGTTCCCTGTGGTTTGTATTTTCTTGTTTGCTTTAATCCTACTAACAAGGCAGCAAGATAAGTAGTATTAAACCCATTCTTTTTCTCCGAGGCTGAGACTAATAGAAATCAAGAAACTTGTCCAGGGCCACAATGCTAAGAAGTGGCCAAGCAAAGGCCAGGCACAGTGACTCCCGCCTGTAATCCCACACTTTGGGAGGCTGAGGCGGGTGAATTGCCCAAGCTTGGGAGTTCGAGACCAGCCTGTGCCACATGGTAAAACCCCATCTCTACCAAAAATACAAAAAATTAGCTGGGTATGTTGGCACACACCTGTGATCCCAGCTACTTGGGAGGTTGAGGTGGGAGGATTGCTTGGGCCTGGGAGGCAGAGGTTGCAGCGGGCCGAGATTGCGCCACTGCACTCCAGCCTGGGTGACAAAGTGAGACCCTGTATTAAAAAAAAAAAAAAAAAATGGCCAAGCAAGGGCTTGAACCCAACTATTCTGGCCCACATAGCTAGCACTAATCCCATTACAATATGTACTACATACAGTCTAAGGTTCTCAACCAGATTTATGACAGTTTAATTAGCTTGCATTAAAAGAAATATCCTTTCTCTAACAGCAACAAAAACAATTCATCTCATAGTGAAAAACTTGTGGTGGTGCATGCTTGTAGTCCTACCTACTCAGGAGGCTGAGGTGGGAGGATCGCTTGAGCCCAGGAGGTCAAAGCTGTAGGGAGCCGTGATTACACCATTGCACTCTAGCCTGGGGCAACAGAGCGAAACCCTGCCTGAAAAAAAAAGAAAGAAAGAAGGAAAAAATTATGAATATTCTTTACTTCCTAAGCCCCAACTTTTTTTTTTTTTTTTTGAGTCTTGCTCTGTCGCCCAGGCTGGAGTGCAATGGTGCGATCTCAGCTCACTGCAACCTCCGCCTCCCGGGTTCAAGCGATTCTCCTGCTTCAGCCTCTTGAGTAGCTGGGATTATAGGTGCCTGCCACCACACCCGGCTAATTTTTGTATTTTTTAGTAGAGATGGGGGTTTCACCATGTTGGTCAGGCTGGTCTTGAACTCCCGACCTCAGGTGATCTGCCCTCCTTGGCCTCCCAAAGTGCTGGGATTACAGGCATGAGCCACCTCACTGGCCTAGCCCCAACCTTTGATCTTGGGTTTGGCCTCCCTAGATTTGGGCTGGGGAGAGCAGATAGAGACATTTAAGGTCTAATGAGAGAATTTAGATTGCTCCTGCCAAGCCCCCAGCTGAAGCAGCTTCCTTCACAGAAAGGACCAGAATCTGAGGTTAAACTTCTAATATATCCCCATTCTGGTTAGATAGTTTCCTTGCCTGCATTCTCAGTGTGATAAGGAGTGAAAACTGTCAAAGATAACTTCAGTTCCAAACATGTCTATGTTCTCCTTGCTCTCTTTTATGTACAAGCAGATCATACAAACTAGGACATCAACTTTATTTCATTTTGGTGTTGGGTCCACCCAGACCCTCTCTGGTGAGTTTAATTTGGTCCACCAAAAATCCTATGGGCCATAGGTTATTCCAGTCAGCGAAGCTTCTTTTAGGGAGGAGGAGGAGATTGGGAACCTAGGGAGCAAAGTTGCTTGGTTCTCCCAGTCTTTTCTGCTGGGGCTGGGAGAGCCAGCAGGAATTTGGGCAAGTTTTAATGTCCCTGCTAACACAAGAGAAGGTGGCATGACTCAGGGATGAATTGGGGAGCATAGTGAATTTGGAAAGCTGAGGCAATCACTGCAATTGACAGTATAACTTGAGGCACTTTTTTTTTTTTTTTAAATAGAGACAGGTTCTCTGTCACCCAGGCTAGAGTGCAGTGGTGTGGTCATAGCTCATTGCAGCCTTGAACTCCTGGGCTCAAGCCATCCTCCCTTCTGAGCAGCTGGGACTTCAGGGAGGCACCACCACACCCAGCTAATTTTTGTATTTATTTATTTTTGTAGAGATGTGGTCTCACCATCTTGCCCAGGCTGGTCTCGAAGTCCTGGGCTCAAGTGATCCTCTTGCCTTGGCCTTCCAAAGTGCTGGGACTGCACCCAGCCAACTTAGGGCACTTTTGCCTCAGTCTTTGCTTGCTGTCATGAATAATAGATTGTTGGTGACTTCAGCTGTTATAAAGGGAATGCATTCCTCAATTCCCAGATTTGTGCTGTTTTATTAAACTGATTTGAAATTCACTTCTTCCTTTAGACCTCAAATTGTTCCCTTAATTATGAAGGCAAAGGATGGGGTGAGAAGATTCTCCCCGGGATGAGGAAAAGGTGGAAGGTGAACAAGTCTCAAGTCTCTCAGAAGCAGGGCTGCCAGATCAGATACAGGCCTTGTTCAAATTTGGGGTTAGAAGACAAGCCCTAGATTCCTCCAGACAAGTTATTCTTAGCGTCTGTGGAAGACATCTTAAAATGAAAGGATGAAGCATCTGCAAATCTTCTCCCCGAAAAAGTAAAATAGAAAGAAATAAGCTTGCTCTTACCTCAATAATTTCTTTCTCTTCAATTCCTCTGCAGGTCACCTCCTCCCATCTCAATTTTCCTTTCTCTTGTCTGCCCTCATTCCCTTGGCAAGTGAACATTCTCTCTCACCCCCATTGCATCTATTAAAGAAGTTACCAGCTTGTGCCCCTCCCCCTCAGCTTGAAGCAGGGTCTGAAGCAGAGTACACATGATCGGGAAAAGGAGGCAGGGGTTCTGTGAAATGCTTTGAGCTCTTTCAGAGTTGGGGGTGATGGCCAGGTGTGGCAGCTCAGGCCTGCAATCCTAGCACTTTGGGAGGCCGAAGCAGGCAGATCGTTGAGGCCAGGGGTTCGAGACCAGCCTGGCCAACATGGTGAAACCCTGTCTCTACTAAAAATACAAAAAAAATTAGCCAGGCCCAGTGGTGCCTGACTGTGGTCCCAGCTACTCAGGAGGCTGAGGTGAGAGGATTGCTTGAACCTGGGAGGCAGAGGTTGCAGTGAGCTGAGATCATGCCACCGCACTCCAATCTGGATGACAGAGTAAGACCCTATCTCAAAAAACAAAAACAAAACAAAACCCTCCCCCTCAAAAAAACAGAGTTGGGCTAGGCCCACAATTATTAGAGAAGAGAAAGGCAGTGTGATGCTGGTGGTATAGAGCAGAAAGCAGGAGAGGCAGCTACGGTAAGGCCAAGCAAAACAAGAGGGAATGGGAGACAAAGATGGAGGGGCAAGACACAGACTGCAGGGGACAACTTTGGGGTCCCTTGCAGAGGAAGGAGTATTCGCCCTGCCCTTTTTGGGGTGTGGAAACCTGAGAAGTTTTGAGGGTCCTCCTTAAACCTGTCCCACCTGCTTCCCTTTCCTCTCCTGAGCTCCGTTGTTTACAGAGATCACTCCCTGAACTCTTGCCCTCCTGGACTTGCCCTAGCTTCGGCCCCAGGCCTCCGGCCAGGCAGACACCCTGACAGGTTACAAATGAGCGTGGGTGTTGGATTGCCCCAAGCTCTTGCCCTCAAGTTGTCCGGAGGAGGAGAGTCAATGGGCTCTACCTAAGGGCTTCTCTTCTAGTCCCATCTGGGTTTGGAGTCTGAGAGAGTGAAGAAGACACATCCTGTGTCCCTCCGCAACAGCCACACAGAACAAAAAGGGGCGAGACTCCACTCCTCACTCTGGAGTCTTAGAATTCAGAGCCTCAGGGCCTCCACCCCGATTCTCCCACTCTCTGACCAAACTCCCTTTATCAATCCTAGAAAAATTACTGAAATCTGGAGGAATCTTTAAGATTTAACTGGTATTAAATTTATGCATTTGAGGTTTGGAAATTTTTTTTTTTTGGAAGGAGATGGAGGGTGGTGAAGGAGAGACAGGTAGGAGGGAACCAGGAGAATGCAGGTCTCCACTAGTTTTAAACACTTCAAGAAGAGAATAAAAAATTCCCCTCCTCTTCACCCCGCTGTAAACATCACCTGGCTGTGCTCATTGTGGCTCTCTAGAGAGATATAGGGAGTTATTTAAGTCTGAGTGAGTGAGCCAGCTACAGCTATGGATGGCTAGAGAGAGGATAAATACATCTAGAGAGATGAGAGGTAGGGAACGAATATAAATATGGAGAAAGATGGACGAACAGAGAGATGGATTGAGACAGAGAGAATATAAAGAGAGGCTGAGGGAGAGAAATGGATGTGTGAATGAGGAGAGAACATTTATGCAAAGAGAGAGAGAGGGAAGATGGGGCATTTCTCATCCTTTTCTCCACATTTCTGTAGTCCTGCCTTGCTCCCTGAAATGCCAATTTCCCACCCCTGGCTTCATGAATTCTTCCTCTAGATTCTAGATCCTGCCCCACACCCTTAGGTGTTTTTGCACCACCTTCCCCCACCTCCCCACCACACAGTCATCCATTTGGCCCAAGATAACATACCTCACCCGGCTGTCCTAGCCCACCACCCTAAGACAAATTGGAAGAAAGGAACATGGTTTGGGAGTTCTGGGCAAAGTATGGAAGCTGGATTCCCCACCTCCAGGTCCACAGACTTAGGGGGAAGGTTTCTCTGAGGGGTGGGAAGAGTGAGGGGCAGCTGGCTTGAATTTGTCCAAATCTAATAACCCAGGAGCCTATTGAAGGCCTTGGGGGTTGGGAGGGAAGGAAAGTCTTGAATATTCTCCTAACTTTTTCCCCCTCTCCCTCTGGTCCCTTCTTTCCAAAAGTCTTTGAAGAAAGATGTTTTTGACGCTTCCATGTCGCTCTCAGATGGATGGGCTGCGGGTGATTGAAGTGTCTTTGTCATGCTAATGCTTGGGGGGTGATGGATGGGCGCTGGGGCTGCCAAACTCTGGCCCGCTTAGCCCATTGGCCTGGGAGAGATCACATGTGCCCCCTCACCCCCACTCCCTACCCCCTTCCTAGGGAAGCGCTTGCCCAGGCGAGCGGGTCAGGCCATGGATTCGAGCCCCAGCGCTGTGACATACTGCCGAAAGGTTGTAGGGCAAGAGGGTGTCTCCCCCAAACGGGCCGACCCTCCTGCGGCCTTGACGCATGGACTATAATAGGATGAACTCCTTCTTAGAGTACCCACTCTGTAACCGGGGACCCAGCGCCTACAGCGCCCACAGCGCCCCAACCTCCTTTCCCCCAAGCTCGGCTCAGGCGGTTGACAGCTATGCAAGCGAGGGCCGCTACGGTGGGGGGCTGTCCAGCCCTGCGTTTCAGCAGAACTCCGGCTATCCCGCCCAGCAGCCGCCTTCGACCCTGGGGGTGCCCTTCCCCAGCTCCGCGCCCTCGGGGTATGCTCCTGCCGCCTGCAGCCCCAGCTACGGGCCTTCTCAGTACTACCCTCTGGGTCAATCAGAAGGAGACGGAGGCTATTTTCATCCCTCGAGCTACGGGGCCCAGCTAGGGGGCTTGTCCGATGGCTACGGAGCAGGTGGAGCCGGTCCGGGGCCATATCCTCCGCAGCATCCCCCTTATGGGAACGAGCAGACCGCGAGCTTTGCACCGGCCTATGCTGATCTCCTCTCCGAGGACAAGGAAACACCCTGCCCTTCAGAACCTAACACCCCCACGGCCCGGACCTTCGACTGGATGAAGGTTAAGAGAAACCCACCCAAGACAGGTAGGGCTCAGATGTGGCCACCCCTTCTCCGGGGCCCAAAGCATCTCTGCTTCCCCTGCAGTGACATGTCCTGGGTCTGGGCTGGGTTCTTCTCTTTCAGCGGCTCTGGTAGACACAGGTAAGAGCACAACCTACGTCTCAGGTCAGGTGAGGTCTCCCCACCCAGTATGTAACCGGTCACCCCAGGAGTAAGTTTCCATACACACCCCACTTCCTGATCTGTGCACCCAGCACAGACCCAGGACCTGGTGTGCATGGGGGATGGAAGTATGGGGAAGGCTGCTCCAGACTTGGTGATCACCATGGGGGTACCTGGTGGTCCCTGGGAACTTTGACAACTGTACTTGGGCAGAATGGCAAATGGAGGTCCAGAGCCAGCCCCGGGAGGAGGGAAGCGGAAGGAGAAAGAGGTGAGAGAATTGACCTGGCCTTTCTCCCTGCCCCGCCCCTAGCGAAGGTGTCAGAGCCAGGCCTGGGCTCGCCCAGTGGCCTCCGCACCAACTTCACCACAAGGCAGCTGACAGAACTGGAAAAGGAGTTCCATTTCAACAAGTACCTGAGCCGGGCCCGGAGGGTGGAGATTGCCGCCACCCTGGAGCTCAATGAAACACAGGTCAAGATTTGGTTCCAGAACCGACGAATGAAGCAGAAGAAGCGCGAGCGAGAGGAAGGTCGGGTCCCCCCAGCCCCACCAGGCTGCCCCAAGGAGGCAGCTGGAGATGCCTCAGACCAGTCGACATGCACCTCCCCGGAAGCCTCACCCAGCTCTGTCACCTCCTGAACTGAACCTAGCCACCAATGGGGCTTCCAGGCACTGGAGCGCCCCAGTCCAGCCCTATCCCAGGCTCTCCCCAACCCCAGGCCTGGGCTTCACTGGCCTGGGGATCCTCTCTAGGGCTGAAATGCCAGTTTAGAGCTGCCTGGGGGTGGGAGGGGGGATGGGGAAACATTTTTCTCAGACCTGGGTGGCTGGGGGCCCTACAGGACCAGAGGCCTGGGAGGCATGGAACCTGTCAAATGTAGAGGGAAGGGCTTCTGCCTTTGATCTGGGGATCAGCTCAGTGTCAACATGTGGTGGGGGTGGGGGCCAGCCTCATCCTCCTGGATTCATCCTCCTTTCCCTTCCAACTTGGGTTTATTCGGTTCAGTGCCTTCGAGCTTTGAGGAGTCTCCTCACGCACTCTTATCCTAACTCCCCCTTCTAGGCCTGACACAGAACCTTAAATTTTCTTGTGTGGGAGGTGTTTGGGTGCAGCCATATTATTATCAATGCTTAATCCAGTCACCACAGACCTTACAATAGCACCAGCTGCCTTGTGACAGACCAAAAAGCCCCCCGCCCCCATCTAACCCCATTAGCCCTCTCCTGGCATATTTATATTGCACTAATGCAGCCTTCAGAGGTTGTTTTCTGAGACCTGCCTCCTCACACCAGCGACCTCATCACTATGTCACCAAAGTGTTTTGGAACTTGGTATTCCAGAGACTTCTGGAACGCCGTGCAAGGCCTGCCCCCAGCAAGCCACAACCAGGAAGGTGCAGGCACGCCCCCACTAGCTCCTCCCCTATTTATTGCCTCCTGGAAAACCCAGGACCCTCTTCCCCATCTCCACCCCTACCCCTGGGGGCAGCCCAGGGAGAGCCAGGCACAATGAGGGCTCCCAACAGCTGCAAGGATTTATCTGAACCTTTGAGAAAGAGGAGGAGCCATCTAAGTTTCTGGAAACCTGAGCCCCAAGTGAGCCCGGGTTCTCTCTGTACCTGCAACTACCTCATTTCAATAAAGTCTGTGTTTTCCCTTCTTCCTGCCTGCTTCTGTTTCTCCATTCAGGGGTAGAAGAGGCCTCATACTCCGTGCACCGTGGAGAAGAGGTGAAGAAAGAGTGGCCATTGGCTGGTTGGGCTGGAATGAACTGAGCTTTAAGATCTCAGCTGGATAAAGAGAAGGACTTACTGGGTGTGGCCTAAGCAGGATTGGGTCCCAGGCATTCAGGCTTGACAGTTGTCAGTCCCTTGGTTATTGGGAGAATCCAGAAAAGCATGGAAGAAGTCTGTGGAATGAATGCAATTCCCAGAGATTTTTCTTTTTCTTTTCTTTTTTTCTTTCTTTCTTGCTTTCTTTCTTTCTTTTTCTTTTTCTTTTTTTTTTTTTTTTTTTTTTTTTGAGACAGGGTCTGGCTCTGTCGCTCAGGCTGGAGTGCAGTTTTTTGGTTTGTGTTTTGTTTTTTGGTTTTGTGTTTTGGTTTTTGTTTGTTTGTTTGTTTGAGACAGGGTCTCGCTCTGTTGCTCAGGCTGGAGTACAGTGGCATAATCTCCGTTCACTGCAACCTCTGCCTCTCAGGTTCAAGCGATTCTCCACCTCAGTCTCCAGAGTAGCTGGGACCACAGGCGCACACCACCACTCCCGGCTGATTTTTGTATTTTTGTAGAGACAGGGTTTTGCCATTTCGCCCAGGATGGTCTCCAACTCCCGGGCTCAAGTGATCTGCCCGCCTCCGCTTTCCAAAGTGCTGGGATTACAGGCGTGAGCCCCCGCGCCGGGTCAGCCCAGAGGGTCTTGAGAGGAAGACGGGAAAGAAGAGAAACATCTGTTTGGAGAGGACAAAAAGAGGGTGTTAAAAAGAGGAGGAAGTGTGGGGGAAGGCGACGTGAACTCTACCCCTTCCCTTCCCCCTCACCTGCCTCCCTCCCGCCCAGAGCCAGGCCTGGCTTAGACTCCAGAGGGGTCGCTGACAAACTCCAAATTGGCACACAGCTTAACACCCCCACTCCCACCCCAGCCCAGCGCCCTTCCACCCAGCCACTCCTCGGGGACGTCAGGAGTGGCTGCCTGAGTCCGGCCGCAGCCGGCCAGCCTCCGCAAGGCCTTTCCGCCTGGGCTCAAGGTGAAAGCCCTGGGTCTCCGGGCACTGGACGGCAGGAAGGAGGTGGCCGCGAAGGGGCCTAGTGGGGGGCAGTGTGCCGGGCGGGGGAGGGGAGACCGAGGTCTGGAGAGGGAGGAAGACGTCAGGGGCGGGGGGAGTCCGAGGATGGTCGGGGGCCTGACGGCGGGCGGAGGAGGCCGAGGTAACCTGGGATCCCGGGCTGACCTTTTTACCTCGAAGCGCCTCTGGGCTTTCCAAACAAGCCGACAGCGCGCCCGCGGGGGCAGCTATTGTCTCCGGGCCGGTCCCACTGGCAAACCTTTGGTCGGCGGAGGCGGGGGGCCGGGGCTCAGGAAGCTCCGCGGCGGGCAACAAACCTCGATCGCTCTCTGGCCCCGCCGAGCCGTCGAGATGCCGCGGGCCTCGGGGATCGGGCCCTGGTTTATTGATTCCGGTTACCCCGGGAGCCCAGATGCCCAGGGGCCAGGATGGAGGCGGGCCAGACCAAGGCGGGGTGTCTTCTCCACACCCTCTGATCTATTTAATTCTTGGTCTTTCGAGGGAGGCAGCCAAAAGGACTAGAAGCGTACGTGAGAAACGCTGAGCATTTGATTCCTAATGAAATTGGTGCCATTATATGAGAGGCAACGTTATCAATAATTGTATAGCCCAGCTGGAGAGGAAGAGAAGTCTGTTGCAATAAGCAGCCTAGCTTTCTCAGAGGCTGATGTCTTGCCCTTTGTCAAAACAAAAAAAAAAGGAAAGAAAGAAAAAGAAAAAATTCTATTAACTGCTTTTCTGCATTTAATTGAAATTGCCACCAAGCTTGATTCCCCAAAGAGGTCACCTTGACAGAAGGGAGAGAGTGAGTGTCGGTGGAAACAAAACTCCCCTTCCTTGGAGACATTCAGTGTGAGCCAGTGGAGCCTTCTGGGTTGGGGTATTTGTGGATCCTCCAAATTTTGGACAAGTGGGCAAGAAAGCAGGGAGGAGGAGGAAGGTGCGGTGGTGAGAGCAAAGCAGAACCATGAGTATGGTGGAGCAGGGCCTCAGAGGGGCCGACAAGTCCTTGGGGAGGATTGATGAAAGGGCCAGGAGGAAAGAAGAAGGCTGCTGGCCCATTTGATTTTTGATCATAGCAGAGGGAGCCACCAGATTCCCCCAGGGAAGGGTGAGGGACAAATCAATTCTCTGTTCACACAGGGGCAGGCTCAAAATAATATCCAGTGAATGTAAGCCTTCCATCTCCTTAGATGCAGAGATCCTGACCCCTTCCTCTCTCCTACTTGCACTCTCCTACTTGAATTCCACTTCCAATCTGAGGCCCTAGACAGGCCTACATGGGAGACATTAGGACAAAGGAGAGAATGGTAAACTAACAAAAACATTTTGCCCCCATTGAGATAAATTGATAGTCTTCATTGTTTTTTGTTTTGTTTTGTTTTGTTTTTTTGAGACAGGGTATCCCTCTGTCGCCCAGGCTGGAGTGCAGTGGCCTGATCTCAGCTTGCTGCAGCTTCGACCTCTTGGGCTCAAGTGATCCTCCCACCTCAGCCTCCCAAGTAGCTGGGACTACAGGCGCATGCCACCATGCCTGGCTAATTTTTGTATCTTTTTGTTGTAGAGATGGGGTTTCACCATGTTGCCTAGGCTGGTCTTGAACTCCTGAGCTCAAGCAATCTGCCCGCCTTGGCCTCCTAAAGTGCTGGGAGCCTCCGTGCCCAGCCCTTCATTGTTAAACTTTCCAGAATAGATGCCAAATTGCTTCACTCATAGACTTCTTCATGTCTTTCAGATTGCTGTTTTTTTCATAGCTCTGGGAAGGAGGGTATTATATTTACTAGGAGGTCTGAAAGTAATTTTTTTTTTTTTTTTTTTGCAAAATTTGAAAGCTGTCCACCCACACCTCCATTTCCCAAATGTCAAAAAATATCTCCAGTTTGAAAACAAAAAGCTTGAGTTTTTTGAGTCTTGACTGTCTTTTTTAAAAATTTAATTTAAGAGATGGGGTCTCGCTGTGTTGTTCAGGCTGCTCTTGAACTCCTGGGTTTAAGGGATCTTCCCACCTTGGCCTTCCAAAGTATTAATACTGGAATTACAGACATGAGCCACCATGCCTGCCTAGTCTTCATTCTTCACAGGAGGGAGAATTCTCTAGGCTGGTTGAAAGTTTGTCAAGATTTCTGAGGAGCCCCCCACTCCCCACAAACCCGGGCATCAGGTAGGGAGCCAGTCAAGTCTTCACTCCACCCAATCCTCTGCACCATCTGTTTCTCAGCCAGAGTGTGAACTTTTCCTCTTTCCTTTGCCTTTTCCCTCAGCGTTTGTTCTCCCATTGTGAGGCCCTTTGATCTCCTGAACAAGAGAGAAAGAAAAAGATTTTGAAGACCCTGAAGCTCTTCTTCTTCTTTTTTTTTTACGGAGTTTCGCTCTTGTTGCCCAGGCTAGTGTACAATGGTGCGATCTCGGCTCACCGCAACCTCTGCCTCCCAGGTTCAAGCAATTCTCCTGCCTCAGCCTTCCTGAGTAGCTGGGATTACAGGAATGCGCCATCATGCCCGGCTAATTTTTGTATTTTTAGTAGAGACGGGGTTTCTCCATGTTGGTCAGGCTGGTCTTGAACTCCCGACCTCAGGTGATCCACCCGCCTCAGCCTCCCAAAGTGCTGGGATTACAGGCGTGAGCCACCATGCCTGGCCAGCCCTGAAGCTCTTCTAACTGTTAATGCAAGTTTCTTTTTTTTCTTTTCCTTTTTCTTTTTTTTTGAGATGGAGTTTGCCTCTTATGGCCCAGGCTATGTGATCTCGGCTCACTGCAACCTCCACCTCCCAGGTTCAAGTGATTCTCCTGCCTCAGCCTCCCAAGTAGGAGTAGCTGGGATTACAGGCATGGGCCATCCCGCCCGGCTAATTTTGTATTTTTAGTAGAGATGGGGTTTCTCCATGTTGGTCAGGCTGGTCTCGAACTCCTGACCTCAGGTGATCTGCCGGCCTCAGCCTCCCAAAGTGCTGGGATTACAGGCGTGAGCCAACACGCCTGCCCGGCCAATGCAGGTTTCTTTGTTGTGAGCATTCCTTGTGCAGATAGCACCGGGCTCCTGGGAAGGAGTTGGTGGGATGATGTTTAGAAGAGAGTGTGGATGGCAGGCTTGGAGGAATCTCTCCAGATGACAGACAAGGGAGATCAAAATGAGCCAGAGAGCAGCACCAAGGAGTTGGGGGACATGTCTAGGATATCTGGGTTCAAATCCAAGCCCTGCCTCTCACTAGCCCTGTGGCCTTGGGCAAGTTGCCTAATTCCCTGTGCCCAGTTTCATTATCTACAAAATAGGGATAACGACAGTACCTATTTCATGGGGTTGATGTTGGGATTAAATGAGTTAATATGTGTAAAATGCTTGGAATGGTCCCACATAAACAAAGTGAGCAATAACAAATTATTATCATTATTAAAAGGGACTGTGATCTTCCCTTCTATAGTCCCCAATCTCTTCCAGGGAGTATCTTGACTATGCCCACTTCTCACACTCATAGCTTATTTGATCCCTGATAGGTGTATGGAGCTAGAGACAAATGGAAGGGATTGCCCTCTTAGCAGCTGAGAACACTGAAGGTTCATTTGGCTGAGAAACCTTTTTGTTCTGTTCTCAGCGTACCCACCTGTCGAAGAGGAAAGTTATCCTGGCCTCTCACACTCATTCCCTCTCTTCTCCATTATAGAAGATGGATAAGAAGTCTGGAAGGCAGAAACTTCAATTCCCTGACTTAGGGTGGTGGAGAGCAAGGGTTCTGGAGTATAACTTAGTGTTCAGAATGGTCCCCTTTTATTAGCTGGATGAGCTCATGTGAGTTGTTTAGTTTCCCTGTGCTTCAGTTTCTTCAGATATACAATGAAGGATATTGAATAATACATGATATATATGAGAGATGCTTAGAACACTGCCTGGTGTATGGTGAGTGTTGAGCAGAGGCTTCCTATTTTACATAGTTACATAGGACATTTTCCTATTACTTTCTTACATTGAGTTATTCTTGGTCTTGGCATGATGAAAGCAGATGTTGTCCAGCCTTGGCCCCCCTGCGCTGTACCAGCAGACCCAGCCAGCACCATAAGCATGGGACTTGCTGCTAGACAGTAAAATAATTATGAATGAAAGGTTTCAGAGGAGTCCACAGAATACAGGCTTTACAGGCTTACAGTTAAGTACAGTATTATAATGAGGGATGTCCTTGACAAGACAGACTCATTGCGTAACTCGGGAGGGTATTCTCGTTGTAGTCCACGAAATTGGCGCCCCCTGCAGTTGTACCAGATTTTTTCCCCTGTGCCTCAGTCCTGGCTCTGAATTCCTTGCATGACTCAACCAGAGTATTCCAGAGGCTTCAGCTTTTGCTATTTCTGTGGCTCTCAAAATGCTTCCTATAATCAGAGTGTATCCTGGGTGGGACAAAAGTTGGAGATGTAAAATACTTAATGTCCATTCCTGGGAGAACATGGAGGCTCAAGTAGCTGCAGGATTCAGCTCCAAGGCTGACCTCCTGGCCCTCATCCACTGTTATTCTCTTCATCAGAAAAGAAATGGATCAGATGCTTCAGAGAAGAAATAATTTTGTAGGAAGTCAGGAGACCTAAGTTTAGTCTACTAAGACCCTTCCTTGTGTCCTTGGGTAAGTCACTTAACCTCTCTGGGCCTATTTTCCCAGTCTTTAATATAAGTTAAATTATCCCACTGCAGCTGGACTCATTCTTTCCTTTGAGGGTAGATGAAGACTTAGGTAAGAAAGAGTGTAAACTTGGTGGGAGATGGAAATAGTTGGGTGGAGAAGCATCCTGTTGGATGTATTTTACTGGCCTAGTTAGAGCTAATTAAAATCACCCCTTTCCTTCATCCTCTCCAGATCACTGGCCTGAGTCCAGAGAATTCTGAGCCCTGCAGCCCTTTCTGCCTGGAGGGGAACCGAGCAGGGAGGGAGCTGCACCAAACATGCGCCCTCTGCTCCTTAGAGGCCTGATGCTCCCTTCAGTTTACTCTGGCTTGACAGCTCCATTTCAACCCCCACCTTGGAGATGAGGCAGCTCAATATTTACTCAGCCAGAGAGGTTTGTCCAGAAGCCTGCCTCCCCAGCCTCCTCCTGTTGGCTCTGCTCTGTTGCCCCCACCCCCTTCCTTCCCGGTTCATAGAGAGTTCAGCCCTGCAATGGCTTGCAGCCCCCTCCACTCCCCAGCCCTGACAGAGCCGCCTGTCGGGGGACTGCTGAGGCCAGAAGAGCGGGGGAAGGGCACCAGTCAGTCGTGGGGTCATGTCCTGGTCTCTCCACCCTTACTGGACCAGCAGCCTAGGCCTCTAGAAGAAGAGAAGACTCAGCAAATGATTGTCTTTTGGGGGAAGAGTGCGTGGAGATTGGCTAAAATGGAACTGTGGGGTTGGGGACATGATCCAGGACTGTAAAAGCTTCACATAGCTGTGTGCAATATTATAAACCATGGTTTATGGTAGAGAAACTTGGTAAATTTGTAACAGTCTGAACTCTTTCCAAAGACACGAAAAGAGCTAATACAATAAATAAGTGACACTTGGGTTTTCAGCAACACATCTGAAAACTGATCTCTTATCTCCTAACATTCTAGAATGTAAGATCCATGAAGACAGGACTTTTTTTTTTTTTTTTCCTTAGAGACAAAGTCTCGCTATGTTGTCCAGGCTAGACTTGAACTCCTGGGCTCAAGCCATCCTCTGGCCTTAGCCTGCTGAGTAGCTGGGACTGTACAGGTGTATGCCTACTGCACCCGGCTAAGCAGGGATTTTTGTTTGTTTTGTTCCTTGTTCCATTTCCAGTGCCTATAACAATGCCTGGAACATAGTAGATGCTCAGTAAATATCTGTTAAATAAACGAATATTGAAGCAAAATTCTTCTGCCTAGAAGACAAGCACCCCAAAAATGGTGTTCTGAAATGATGTTAGGCTGGGCACAGTGGCTCACGCCTGTAATCCCAGCACTTTGGGAGGCCAAGGCGGGCAAATTGCCTGAGGTCAGGAGTTCGAGACCAGTCTAGCCAACATGGTAAAACCCACTCTCTACTAAAAATACAAAAAAAAAAAAAAAAAATTAGCCGGGCATGGTGGCATGCGCCTGTAATCCCAGCTACTCAAGAGGCTGAGGCAGAGGAGTTGCTTGAACCAGCAAGGTGGAGGTTGCAGTGAGCCGAGATCACGCCACTGCACTCCAGCCTGGGCGACAGAGTGAGACTCTGTCTCAAAAAAAAAAAAAAAAAAAAGAAAGAAATGAAGAAACGATGTTAGCTTTAGATGTTTGATTAGTCTAATAGTGCTATCATAATGAATATGTTAATATGAAGATATTTCAGACAGGGTTAGAGATGGATGAGGACTTGGGAGGCATTTTCTTTCTCCCTCCCTTCTGTTAGAGGAATTTATCTCAGGCAAATGACAAAGCATTCACTGGATAGCTTTAGGGCGAGTCTGATCTAAGGGTTCTCCCACAGAGTTTTTGTTTGTTCTTTTGTTTTGTTTGGCTTCCTTTACTTTAGCAAGTGTAAACCCAAGAAAAGACTCAACTTTGGAAATGTAAAGGATTTGAAGGACCAGCTGGATGTTTCTATTGGCAGAAAATGGACAGAGAAGACCTCCTGCAGGGACACCCAAGAGAAGTGAGCCTGTCTCAACCCTTCCTTTCCATCTTCCCACTTCCCACAGAAGCTAGTGTCAGATTCCCTTCTCCACCACTATACCAGGGTTTGGTTTCATCTTTTCCAAAAACATCTGGGTTGTCTTCCCCCTTCTAAGGTGAGTAAGGTGAATTCACACAGGGCTATGGGTTTAGATTTTTTGGGATCAGAAAGGGGACAACATTACTGGAACTCAAGGGCAAGGATGGCCACCTGTTGGAAGCTTCACAGAGCCCTTGGGAAGATCAGTCTGGCATGGTCGGTTACCATCAGTGGAAATTGTTGAGAATTGATGACATCTTCTTGCTTCCTTCTTCCGCACATGGATCTACACACATGCATCCTGATGCCACAGAAACAGGACCTGGAACCTGACTTGAGTCAGGCAGAGGGAAGGAGAAAACTGGCAAGGAAAAGGAAAAGGAGAAAAAAGAGGGTCACCTGCCTGGGCATGGTGGTTCACGCCTGTAATCCCAACACTTTGGGAGGTCGAGGCAGATGGACCACCTGAGGTCGGGAGTTCAAGACCAGCCTGACCAACATGGAGAAACCCTGCCTCTAATAAAAATACAAAATCAGCCAGATGTGGTGGCGCATGCCTGTAATCCCAGCTACTCGGGAGGCTGAGGCAGGAGAATCACTTGAACGTGGGAGGCGGAGGTTGTGGTGAGCCAAGATTGAGCCTGGGCAACAAGAGCGAAACTCCGTCTCAAAAAAAAAAAAAAGAAAAAAAAGATCACCTGCCTGTTCCACCCTGGGGTTAGATTTCTACATTAGGACCCCCCTCCTAGGGAGAATGAAGCTAGGAGAGAGAATTCCTCACTTGAAGGAAAATGAAGGTTCAAGAGTCCAGGGCAAGGATCTAATAATTTTGGCCAGAGTTCTCTGATTCCTCATTTCAGACCAGCTCAAAGCTTCTGCCAGGAGCTGTCACTTTTCAAGCTGGAAAGTCTGAAGAGGCAAAATGTGTACAACAAGCTGTGCAGGGGGATGCCTTTGAGGTGTATCTTCCTGGAAGCACAGCAGGAAGATAGATGGCAGGAAGAGCTACCTCATGTTCTTCTCAGGCCCAGAACTTCCTCTCTTCCGTCACCTCCAGTTACTCCACTATCTCTCCTATTCACACTCAGTCTTCTTCCAAAACTCAATTTTTTTTTTTTTGAGACAGAGACCTGCTCTCCTAGGCTGGAGTGCAGTGACGCGATATCAGCTCAGTGCAACCTCCAACCTCCTGGATTCAAGTGATTCTCTGCCTCAGCCTCCTGAGTAGCTGGGATTACAGGCGCCTGCCACCACAGCCAACTAATTTTTGTATTTTTAGTAGAGATGGGGTTTCGCCATCTTGGCCAGGCTGGTCTTGAACTCCTGGCCTTGTGATCCACCTGCCTCGGCCTTCCAACATGCTGGGATTACAGGTGTGAGCCACCACGCCTGGCTTTTTTTTTGTTTGTTTGTTTTTGAGACAGTCTTGCTCTGTTTCCCAGGCTGGAGTGCAGTGGCACCATCTCAGCTCAATGCAACCTCTGCCTCCTGGGTTCAAGTGATTCTCATGCCTCAACCTCCTGAGTAGCTGGGACCACGGGTGTGAGCCATCATACCTGGCAAATTTTTGTAATTTTTTAGTAGAGACAGGGTTTCACCATGATGTCCAGGCTAGTCTTGAGCTCCTGGCCTCAAGTGATCCACCTGCCTCAGCCTCCCAAAGTGCTGGGATTATAGGCATGAGCCACTGTGCCCAGCCCCAAAACTCAATTTTCAATCCCCACACTTGAGTAGGGCAGGAGAGACGCTGGACTAGAAAGAGTCTGAGCAAAGCAGGAAGGCGTCCCTGGAGGATAGGTGGGCTGGGATGGGGCAAGGCCTGAATCCAGCATGGGGTCTCCATTCAGAACACTCAAATCCAGTAATCTGGATGTTGGAAATGGGAATTACAAAAAATGACTTTGAAAGACTCTGAGTGCTTGCAGGTTCCCACCCACAGTTCGCACGTTTTACACCCATTGAAAACCCATTGAAATCCACACCTGGACACATTGCTGCAGACTTGCTGGCCTCCCTTACACATTTGCAGACCTATCTGTAAGCAAGCATTGTTGCCAGGCATGGTGGCTGATGCTTGTAATCCCAGTACTTTGGGAGGCCGATGTGGGTGGATCACCTGAAGTCAGGAGTTCGAGACCAACCTGGCCAACATGGCGAAACCCTGTCTCTACTAAAAATACAAAAATTAGCTGGGTGTGGTGGTGCACACCTGTAATCCTAGCTACTTGGGAGGCTGAGGCAGGGAGAATTGCTTGAACCTGGGAGGCGGAGGTTGCCATGAGCTGAGATCACACCACTGCACCCCAGCCTGGGCAACAGAGCAAGACTCCATCTCAAAATCAAACAAACAAGCAAACAAATGAAAACACAAGCATTGTTCCTTGTGTTCTCAGTCAGAAAACAAACTGACCTTGTACACAGTTTTGCAGACCTGGTTTCTGCATAACCAGAGAAAGCTGGCGAGGGAGACAAGTATTGTTAATTATGAGAAAACAGTCTCTTTCTCTTCCACCCTCTGGAGTTTCTATTTGAGCCTCAACCTCAACCTCGACCTCCTGGGCTCAAGCTAATCCTCCTGCCTCAGCCTCCCAAGTTGCTGGGACTACAGGCATGCACCACCACACCCGAGTAATTTTTTTCTACTTTTTGTGGATATGGGCTCTCACTATGTTGCTTAGGCTGGTCTTGAACTCCTGGGCTCAAGTGATCCTCCTGCCTTGGCCTCCCAAAGCATTGGGATTACAGGCATGAGCCACATCTGACCTCTTTATTTTTTTCAAAATCAAAGGAATATGGGAGACTGGAAAAAAATTCAATGCAGATTTTGCTTTATTCTTTTTCTTCCTCTAGTCCTCTTGTACACAAATCTCCAGACAAAAACAATGCCTTAGGTTTCCATTTAATTTAATAGATACCATAAACCTCTTTTTCAGTATTACCTCTGCATTGGGCAGGCGCTGAGTTGCTCTCAAAGTCGGATTCCTCCCTTAGTAAACAAGAAAATACCCACTTCCCTCTTTTTATCCTTCCCAGAACCTTTAAGTTTAATTCTCAGTTTTGTTTTTGGTGACGAGTGTAAATGTTTGCCCAGTCCCTGAGAAATAACTCAGATTCTTCTCTTGGGTCATGTGGAAACCTAGAGGAGCCCTCTTCCATCCTCTCCTTTCAATTGAGGCAGGCTTTAAATCTCAGCTGGAGGCTGGTTGCAGTGGCTCACACCTGTAAACCCAACACTTTTGGAAGCCAAGGTGGGAGGACCCCTTGAACCCAGGAGCTCAAGACCAGCCTGAGCAACATAGGGAGACTGTCTCTATAAAAAAATGAACAAAATTAGCCAGGCATGGTAGTGCATACCTGTAGCTACTCAGGAGGCTGATGTGGAAGATCGCTTGAGCCCAGGAGGCAGTCTGCAGTGAGCCAAGATAGCGCCACTGCACTCCAGCCTGGGCAACAGAGTGAGACCCTGTCTCAAAAAACAAGAAGACTGAGATGGTGGGTTTTTGGTTTTTTGTTTGTTTTCTTTTTTTTTTTTTTTTTTGAGACGGAGTCTCGCTCTGTCACTCAGGCTGGAGTGCAGTGGTACAATCTCAGCTCACTGCAACCTCCACCTCCTGGATTCAAGCAATTCTCCCTGCCTCAGCCTCCCAAGTAGCTGAGATTACAGGCACCCGCCACCATGCCTGGCTAATTTTTGTATTTCTTAGTAGAGACGGGGTTTCTTCATGTTGGCCAGGCTGGTCTCGAACTCCTGACCTCAAGTGATCTGCCTTCCTCAGCCTCCCAAAGTGCTGGGATTATAAGCATGAGCCACTGTGCCTGGCAGAGATCACTATTTATAAGGAAGACTCCCATAATGTTAGGCTGCTGTAAATGATAGAATGGTTCTTTATATGGAATGGGAGTTTGCCTTCTTGGCACTTACACCCATTGATTCTACTTCTTTGTTGCCCTCTGGAGCCAACACAATAACTCTTAACTCCTTTTCCCTACGCTACCTCTCCAAATATTTGAAGACAGCTGTCCTGTGTGCCCATAGGTCTTTCCCTCTGTTGAGCAATATACATTCTCAATTTCTTCATTTGTTCCTCCTGAGACCTGATTTCCAGATCTTTCCTCACTCTGTTCTTCCTTCCTTAGTTAATATATTCTATAAAATGAGGTATCCAGAACTGAATAGAAAATATTGTATAATCAGATAAATTCTAATACAGTGAGAATACTATATCCCTTGAGCTAGCACTGTGTTTCTATTGACATAAGCAGGATAGCCGGGGCAGGGAAGGACTATGGGGCAGGCTGGGAGTGAGAAATGAGAGGAATTCTCTTTCTCTTGCAAATTGTGTCCATCTACTTGAGCTCTGGGGCTGCATCAGTCACTGATACCTTAATCCATACAAATCTCCAAGCTCAGAAAGGGAGCTGCCACATCAGCAGCCATTTGTGGCAAGCAAACATTTGCCGAGTAGAATCTGTAATTTATGAGAAGGGAAAGGAGCATTAGTGCAGAGAAACAATGTGGACAGGTGAGAAGGAGAGGCCCTGTTATCTCAAGGGAAGGAAGTGCAGATGACCTAGGCTAGGGAAGCTAACTATTTCCACTCCTCTTTTCCATTGCTGTTCAGGTAATTCCTTCATTCCTCCCTCCCTCCCTTCCTCCCTCCTTCTCTCTCTTCCTCCCTCCCTCCTTTCCTCCCTCCTTCTCTCTCTTCCTCCCTCCCTCCTTTCCTCCCTCCTTCTCTCTCTTCCTCCCTCCCTTCCTTCTTTCCTTCCTTCCTTCCTCCCTCCCTTTTCCTTCCTTCCTTCCTTCCTTTTTCCTTCCTTCTTCCTCTCTTTCTTTCTTTCCTCTCTCTCTCTTTTCTTTTCTTTTCTTTTTTAGAAACAGGGTCTAGCTCTGTTGCCCGTGCTGGGGTATAGTGATGCCATCATAGCTCACTGCAGCCTCAAACTCCTGGGCTCAAGAGATCTCAAGGGATCCTCACAAGTTAGCCTCCCAAGTAGCTGGGACTACAGGTGTGTGTCACCACGCTTGACGAATTTATTTCATTTTTTTTAGAGACAGAGCCTCACTAAGTTGCCCAGGCTGGTCTGGAACTCCTCGGCTCAAGCAATCCTCCAGCCACAGCCTCCTGAGTCACTGGGATTACAGACATGAGCTACGATGCCTGACTATCTATTTCTTTCATGAAACTGTATCCCCACCTTCCTCCTTGGTGGCAGCTGTTACTAGCTTTGTTGTCGTTATTGTTATTGACATTTATCTAGCACTTTGCTATTAGCGCTTATTTCTCACTACATCTCTGGGAGGTTAGTATGATCATTATTCTCACTTTACATATGAAGAGCCCAAGGCTTGGAGAAAATAAGTAATGTATTCCAGATCATATATCTGAAAAGCAACATATAATTTTCTTTTTCTGCCTCTGGTCCTCAAGAATTTATATACATTTACATATGTTGAATATGCAGTACATTTAGGATGATGGCCTCTCTTTCTCCCTACTCCTCAACACTACCCCTAGGTATCAGATCATCAAGCATTGTTTAGCGTCTTAGGTCACTCCCTCCTCTTTTTCCTTTTGGAAAAGAAAAATCAAGCAGACTGCCCAAATAGCCAAGATCATCAGGTTCAGCAAGAGAATACCCCTCTCTGTGTAACCCTTTAAGATGAGAATCACTGCAAATAGAGTCCAAGTCAGACACTGACTCAGATTTTGCGAAAACCTCTAATAGTCCATGGCTTGGTGGTGATGGGTAGTTTTGCTTTAGGGATCTTCCGCTTGGGGTGGTCTTCTCCATGTTTGGAAAGATATTGTTTGAACGTGACTGATCTTGCAGTTGAAGGTTCCAGTTTCTATACCACAGCAAGCCTGGGAAAATGAGAAGGGGGTTATTAAAATGAATTTGAGAAGCGTTTTCTTTGAGGACATCTCTTTCTAAATCCTTCCAATGGGCATGGAATGCTATGACTATCCAGATAGTGGGAGTCATGATACAGGGAGGAGTAAGAAGTGGGGGCTTTCAGTCCCAGAGTTAGAGACCACAGCATTGCCCAGTTTCCTGCCCTCACATGAATCAGCCTCCCTGCACATCGCTTCCTCCCCCACCTTGTTAAAAACCCCATCATGGTAGATATATGGGTCAGAGCTTTGAAGACTTTGGGGAATAAGCAGATCAAAAGTCCAAATGTCCAACTCCTTTCACCTGTGAATCTCCCATCATTGGACTGCAGAGCCAGCTGCAAGGCAGATGGAAGGCAGAAACCTGGAGGCTACAAGCAGCTTCCCATCCTATAACTCAGCCCAGGTCCTGGGGAACCTGTAGAGGGTCCTGACAGCAGAATTAACATGATGGGGAGAGGCAGGCAGAGGAGAGGAAAGGGACACAGAGCCAGATTAGGGGCAGTAGATAACTTGGGTCTGGCATCTGCTCTTCTGCTTTATGCAAATGTTGCTTTAACCCCAAAGAAGCCACATTCTGAGACTAGCTTGTTGTTTATTTAAAAATATGCAGACTTTGCAGCCCATCTGGAAAGCTCTGAGGGGCTCCTGATACAGGCATCTCGTCATATCCCAGCAGCAGGGCAGTAAATCGAGAACATGCAGAAACATCAAAAAAGCCCTTCCTTGATCAGATGTTGTAAAGAATTTGCCAAGTCTGCAGATAAGGAGATCACTGGAGTGCCTGTGTGAGATCCTCAGAGAAAGCCCATTTATTTTCTCCTTCCCATTACCTTCTGCTCTCTAGATGAGCAAGGCATGCACAAGAAGGGGGAGGTGGGTGAGCCACTGGTAGCGAGGCCACGCGGTCCACATCACATATGGCCCATCCTCACCAAGTGCTCTGAGGGAACAGTGTGGGAGGATCTTGCCTTTCCTTATCAGTTTTGAAATACAAGGCACAGAGCCTCAGTGGCTGCCAAGGTAAAAGGCTATCACAGAGCAAATACCTGAATAGGAGAGACATATTTGAGAAAGAACAGATAACATTTTCAACATATTTAGAGATCCTAGCTCTCGTCTAGCTTCAGTATGTCTTTACCTGAGCTTTTACCAGCAAGAGGTGTCAAACAGATTAAATAGTTTATGGGAAGGCAGGATCCAGGCACCTTACAAGTTCTTTTTTCATATGTTGGAGCCGGCCTGGAGACAACCAGCTGAAATAATGGGTCTTGGTAATTTTCACAAGCTAAGGGACTCCAAATCTGCAATATTTCACTTACTTTGCAGATAGTCACTCAGCCCCCTGACCAAGGGGAATATCAATTTTTGCCGAGAATCAGTAAAAATCATTAAACGACAGTGAGAGTATAAGGGGGTGGGGTGGGATTTACAGCTTCTTTTTATAAGACCAAGTTAAAGCCTCATGAGTCTCCTGCACTTTCACTTTCACCTCTCCCATCATCAGCCCTGATTGGTAGCTACAGAAATGGAGGCCCACGGAATTTCAATAAGCTGGAGGCGATATCAGAGGAAACCGAGAGCTCTCCACACATGACAAGCTTTCAGGGAGTGTCATGGCGAGAGAGCCAAGATAAGCCCATTAAAGGGCAGAGTGGGCAGGTAGGACGTACTGTGTGGGGTCAAAAAATCTGAAATCTACAATGAGGAAGAGACCAATTCCAGGTTGTATCTGCAAATCTTAAAATGCAAGGATACCTGGGAGGAGAGAAAATTCTAAGAACGAAAAGATATTGGGTTTTAGGAGACAGGCTCTGAAAATGGGAAGAAGAAGATAAACAGAAGGTTGGTGCTTAAGTAACTCTCTCCTTTAAGAACTGTGACCCATGTTCCTAATGTTTCTGGCTTTTCATATTTCCTTGAGATTCAGTCTTACTTGGTTACTTGTCCCTCTAAAACATGGCACTCTTGGCCAGGCGTGGTGGCTCACACCTGTAATCTTTGGGAGGCTGAGGCAGGTGTATCCCCTGAGGTCAGGAGTTCAAGACCAGCCTGGTCAACATGGTGAACTCCTGTCTCTACTAAAAATACAAAAATTAGCCCGGTGTGGTGGCATGCGCCTGTAATCCCAGCTACTTGGGAGGCTAAGGCAGGAGAATCACTTGAACCTGGGAGGCAGAAGATGCAGTGAGTCGAGATTGTGCCACAGCACCCCAGCCTGGGAGACAGAGACTCTGTCTCAAAACAAAAACAAAACAGAACAACAACAAAAGTGGCACTCTTTCTATCTTGATTTTTAATAAGTCCTTTCTGTTCTTTTCTTTTTTTTTTTGAGTTGGAGTTTCACTCTGTTGCCCAGGCTGGAGTGCAGTGGCGCGATCTCGGCTCACTGCAAGCTCCGCCTCCCGAGTTCACGCCAATCTCCTGCCTCAGCCTCCCGAGTAGCTGGGACTACAGGCGCCCGCCACCACGCCCGGCTCATTTTTTGTATTTTTAGTAGAGACGGGGTTTCACCGTGTTAGCCAGGATGGTCTCGATCTCCGACCTCCTGATCAGTCCGACTCAGCCTCCCAGAGTGTTAGGATTACAGGCGTGAGCCACCGCTCCAAGCCCAATAAGTCCTTTCATTTGTCTGAATGATCTTCTACTCATTCTCTGTCTAGAAAATCTTTATCATCCCAGATGCAGTTCAAATGTCACTTTCTTGCAGAAGCCTTCCCTGCCATTCCAAACAGCATGAAACTCTCTCCTTGTTTGCTCTCTCTGTGCCATGGTCAGCCCACTGCTGGGCACATAGCACATTGCTGTTTTCACCTGTTAATACGTCTATTCATTTTTGTATCCTTAGTATCTAGGAAAATATGTATCTTGTAAGTATATATGAACTGTTGAAAAGATAAATGAATGAATACGACGGTAAAGATGAGACAGATTGGACAGTTCGCATAGATGGTATAATATTATAGCTGACAGATACAGCAAATCTATTCACTTTTTTGGTTTTCTCTCTTCAGATAAAGTAAAGATCTTCAAGATTTAAATGACAAGGCTAACCATATTTACTTTTTGCCATAACTCCAAGAAGCAAAGTATTATCATAATTCTCATTTACATCCAATAGAATTGACACTTACAGAGGATAAGTAACCTGTCCATGCTCATACTAAAATATTATATCTCTAGCAGTCAGGCGCAGTGGCTCACGCCTGTCATTCCAGCACTTTGGGAGGCCGAGGTGGGTGGATCACTTGAGGGCAGGAGTTCGAGCCCAGCCTGGCCAACATGATGAAACCCCATCTTTACTAAAAATACAAAAATTAGCCGGGTGCTGTGGCACGCACCTGTAATCCCAGCTACTCAGGAAGCTGAGGCATGAGAATCATTTGAACCTAGGAGGCACAGGTTACAGTGAGCCAAGATTGCACCACTACACTCCAGCTGAGGCAACAGAGTGAGTCTCTGTCTCAAAAAAAATTTTTTTAAATAAAAACTAAAATATATTTCTAGTAATACAGCTCATGGTTACTTTCATGTTTTGTTTTGCTGACTTTTTTTGCGGGGAGCAGACACCCGGAGTTGACTCATACTGAAACATCTTTTTTTTTTTTTTTTTTGGCACATATGGTGGCTTGGTTTTATTTTCTCAATATTGAAAGAATAGTACAATGAATGCTATACATCCACTGCCTGAAATCCATTGTTGCCATTTTGCCAGTTTGGCTGTATGTTATTATGCAAGCACTCATTCTTCCATCCAAGCATTTCAAAATAACTTGTACCTCAACCTTGACTTTCAGCACACATCTCCTAAGAATAAGGGCATTGCTCAATATAACCACAGTGCCATTGTCATACCTAAAAAATTAGCAATAAAACCCAGTCCATATCAAATTTCTCTAATGTTCTCCGAATGTTTTTTAAAATTGTGATTAAATACACAAAACATAAAATTTACCATCTTAATCATTTTTAATGTACAGTTCAGTGGTGTCAAGTATATTGACATTATTGTGCAACCAATCTCCAGAGTTCTTTTCATCCTGAAAAACTGGAGCTCTATACCCATTACACAACAACTGCCCATTCACCGGTCCCCCTGGTCCCTGTAAACCACCATGCTACTTTCTGTCTCTGTGAATTTGATTATTCTAGGTGCCTTATATAAGTGGAATCACACAGTTTTTGTCTTTTGTGCCTGGCTTATTTTACTTAGCATAATGTCCAGATTCATCCATATTGTAGTATGTGTCAGAATTTCCTTCCTTTTTAGGGCTGAATAATATTCCATTGTATGGCTATACCACATTTTGTTTTTCCATTTATCCACTGATGGACACTTGGATTGCTTCCATCTTTTGGTATTGTGAATGCTGTTACTATGAACATGAGACTCAGCTTTCAGTTATTTGGGGTATACACGCAGAAGTGGAATTTCTAGATTATATAGAAATGCTATTTTTAATTTTTTGAGGAACTGTCATAGTGTTTTCCATAATGGCTATAACCATCTTACATTCTCACTAAGACTTCACAAGGATTCCACTTTCTCCACATCTATGCCATCTATTAATTATTATTATTATTATTTATTTATTTTTTTTGAGATGGAGTCTCACTCTTGTCCAGGCTGGTGTGCAGTGGCATGATCTCGGCTCACTGCAACCTTGGCTTCCCGGGTTCAAGCAATTCTCCTGTCTCGGCCTCCCGAGTAGCTGGGACTACAGGCACATGCCACCATGCCCAGCTAATTTTTGTATGTTTAGTAGAGACAGAGTTTCACCATACTGGTCAGGCTGGTCTCAAACTCCTGACCTCAGGTGATCCACCCACCTTGGCCTTCCAAAGTGCTGGAATTACAGGCATGAGCCACAGCACCTCGCCTTGTTTTTGTTGTTGTTGTTGTTGTTGTTGTTTTGTTTTTTTTGTTGTTGTTGTTTTTGATACAGAGTTTTGCTCTTGTTGCTCAGGCTGGAGTGCAATGGCGCGATCTCAGCTCACTGCAACCTCCGCCTCCCAGGTTCAAGTGATTCTCCTACCTCAGCCTCCCAAGTAGCTGGGACTGCAGGCGCCTGCCACCACGCACAGCTAATTTTTTGTATTTTTAGTAGAGACGGGTTTTCACCATGTTGGCCAGGCTGGTCTCGAACTCCTGACCTCAGGCAATCCACCCGCCTTGGCCTCCCAAAGTGCTGGGATTACAGGCCTGAGCCACCATGCCTGGCCTTTTTTTTTTTTTTTTTTTTTAATGGTAGCCACCCTAATTGGTGTGAGGTGATATTGTGGTTTTGATTTGGATCTCCCTAATGATTAGTGATGTTGACCATCTTTTCATGTGCTTATCGGTCATTTGTATATCTTCTTTGGAGAAATGTCTATTCAAGTCCTTTACTCATTTTTAATTGAATTGTTTGGGGCTTTTGTTGTTGTTGAATTGTAGGACTTCTTTATATATTCTGGACATTAACCCCTTATCAGATATGTAATTTGCAAATATTTTCTTCCATTCTGCAGATTGCCTTTTTACCCTGTTGACTGTGTCCTTTGATGGAGCAATGACTTTTTTTTTTTTTTTTTTTTTGAGACGGAGTCTCACTCTGTCGCCAGGCTGGAGTGCAGTGAGGCCATCTCAGCTCGCTGCAACCTCTGCCTCATGGGTTGAAGCGATTCTCCTGCCTCAGCCTCTTAAGTAGCTGGGGCTACAGGTGCCCACCACCATGCCCAGCTAATTTTTGTATTTTTAGTAGATATGGGGTTTCACCATGTTGGCCAGGATGGTCTTGATCTCTTGACCTCGTGATCTGCCCGCTTTGGCCTCCCAAAGCGGCATGAGCCATCGCGCCCGGCCAACAATGACTTTTTGAACTCAAAATAGCTTATCTTTATCCCAACTAAACTTCATGGCTTTGCATGTTTTCATCCCTGCCTACAATGCCCTCTTACCTTCCTCTGGTTTATTTAGATAACTTCTATGCATTCTCTAAGACCCATTCCAAGTGTTGCTTCCTTCCGCCCTGAGTTAGGAGCCCTTCCCCTGTATTCTAATAGTGCTCCACATGCACACCTGTACCATGGCTTTTACACCAGTGCATTTATAATCCCCTGGTTACCTTGAAGACAGGGATCATCTTGTTAGTCCTTGTTTTCCCCAGTGCCTAGTACAGTGTTTGGCTCATAGATGCCTATTGAACTAACAACTGCTATTTTTAGCTGAACACTATGAACTAGAGAGATCCAGAGGAGGTCAGCCAGAACAGAGGAGAGTATGATGGTGATTACAAAGCATATGTATAATGTTTTATAATAATCAAATAATGTAGGCATATATCATCTCATTTAATCCTTTCAACCATAGGTAAGTTATATACATGTGGTCTCCACATTATGGAGAAAGAAAGTAAGCCTCGGGGAAGTTAAATGACTGGGTGAAAAGGTCACCCAGCTGAAAACTGATGGAATTAGAACTTGAATCCAAGGCCGGGTGCAGTGGCTTACTCCTGTAATCCCAGCACTTTGGGAGGCCAAAGCAAGCCGATCACCTGAGGTCGGGAGTTTGAGACCAGCCTGACCAACATGGAGAAACCCCATCTTTACTAAAAATACAAAATTAGCAGGACATAGTGGCGCACACCTGTAATCCCAGCTACTTGGAAGGCTGAGGCAGGAGAATTGCTTGAACCCGGGAGGTGGACATTGTGGTGAGCCAAGATCGCGCCATTGCACTCCAGCCTGGGCAACAAGAGCAAAACACCATCTCAAAAAAAAAAAAAAAAAGAACCTGAATCCAGGTCTTTTCAGTCCCAGTTAATTGTTATTTCCCTGCATAAGGTGTTGTTGAAGTAACCTGAAATGCTTACTTTAGAGGAGAAAAGACTCAGTGCAGACATTATAAATATTTTCATAGATTTGAAGGGATGTCACATGAGGTTCTTGAGAGGGCTTCCATTCATCCCATTTTGCTTCTTTGAGTGAAATTAGAAAATGAATAGAAAAAAAAGTTTTGTTTGTTTTTGTTTTGTTTTCTTAAATAAAAACTGTCCAAAATTGAGCTGGGCTTCCAAATGAGGTCCCTACCACTTGAGCTGTTAAAGCATCAGTGTATGACCATCCATCAGTGATATAGTAGGGGAGAGTCTTGGGTGGAAGCTTGGACCAGATGCCCTGAGATCTCTCAGTGACTCTAGGATTCCTTTTGGGTTTTCCCTATACCTTGTCATGTGAACATCTACATGCCTGGCTTAACCACAACTACCACCAAAAATGGGCATCGCCTTTTTGCAGAGAAGTGGATAGTGCCAGGCGTTGTGGCTTATGCCTATACTCCCAGCTTTTTGGGAGACTGAGGCAGGTGGGTTGCTTGAGTCCAGGAGTTTGAGACCAGCCTGGGCAATGGGGCAAGACCCCGTCTCTAAACAAATTACAAAAATTAGCTGGGTGTGGTGGTGTGCAACTATAGTCCCAGCTACTCAAGAGGCTGAGGTGGAAGGATCACTTGAGCCCAGGAGGTTGAGTTTGCAATAAGCCAAATCATGCCACTGCACTCAAGCCTGGGTGACAGAGTGAGACCCTCTTTCAAAAAAAAAGAGGGAGAGAAGTGGATAGTATCTTCTCCTAGAAGCCGATAAAGAAAACAACTCTGAAGTGGAAGAAATAAAGACTGCTTCCCACCAGCAAACGTATTCTTTCCAGTGATGGAACCAGGAAGTCAAGATCTCTGAAATTCAAAGGCATGACCAAATGAAAATACGGGGAACAGCTGAATTAAGCAGAGGCCAGAATAGACCTCTGAGTAAGACTTCCCTTCTGCAGGCCACATCTTTCTCCTGGAGCCACTTTGGAGACTTGGTTATGGATTCTTTCTGGGGAAAAGGAGAAGTCAGAAACCTGGAGAGTCAGAGTGGGAATCAAATTCTTAGGACATAACCCAGTTGTCAAATGTCCTTCATACTCCTTTGACAGCATGAAGTCAAAGGCTTCCAGGAGATCAGGAGCCCTGACTGCTCAGGGCAACACTGAACCCCTGAGAGGAATGGGTATTGAGGAACAGTGATGTCTGCACAGTGAGGATTTAATAATCCAGACGCATATTGTGCTTACTCTTCTGTGAACTCTGACCTTCCTTTCAGGTCCCTGGACTCCATGTTCATTAAAAACTGGAATCACCAGTGACCTGGACCCTAGTGCACTGACACTGCCTTGGTCCTTTCATTTCTGCTCTCGCCCTCATGTGCTCCACGGATGCAAAACAGCTGGGGCTCAGTAGTGAGAAAATCACTGGCTGAGAAATCCATCTACAGCGGGGACCTCAGTGTGGAGCTACGGGATGGGTAAAGGACAGCTGGAAATAGGAGGCTTTGCCCTGCTGAGCAGGACAATATTGTTTTCATGGGCCACCAGGAGGCAGAGGTTAGGGCAAAGATGAAATTCTAAAATTCTCTTCTCTGTAAGGGAAGAAAAATAAGGAAGAAATAGCATCTCTCTGGCTGTAGTCAAAATAGTTTTCGGACCAACCTTTGGGTCAGGCATTCACCTATAGTCTCCTCTTGCAGCTTTAAATTCTGTATCTGAGACTTACCTCCAAATTCTTTTTGAAAGGGTGATTTGGCTTGTGTTCACAACAGCTGCTTTTTCAAAATATAATTTTCAGGTCTTGCCCACTGGCTCTGCAGTTCTCACTCTGAACCTTCACGGAGATATAGGACTGGAGACTTTTGACATGATTTGACATTTTCCAGGCCTTGACATTGAACAAGGACATGTGGTATGAGAAGTGACTCTCCTGGACCAACAGGATGTGCATACTAGGTTGGAGCAGGATGAGTCATCCATTCTGTCTGGCCCAGTTGCCTTAGTGACCACATTTGCAATGTGACAAGAGAAGCTCAATGGTGCAACCTAAAATTGAAGAGTTGGGTTTTCTCTTTTTTTTTTGGCATGACCTAATACTTAACAATAACCTCAATAAATGTTTGTTGAGCCACACCTGGTGCTGTACACAGTGGCAGGTGTTTACATAGTGCTTCCTTTTTGAGCCTCTTTCACAGACATCTCACTGCCTGTACACTTTTTGTATGTGTAGCCAGTGTTATCAATTTTATTTTACAGATGAAAGATCTTCATTTTACTGAGGATCAAAAGAATTAAGTGACCTGCCCAAGGTCATACATTTAATCAAAGGTGAAACACATTTTCAGACTCTAAATCCCGAATTCCCTCTCCTATAAGAAAATACCTACCCTTGTGACCAAAATAACTAGATTAAAATGGACTAGATCCATCTAGAGCAGTTTGCATGATATAAAAGTGGCCTTGATTGATAATTGTTGAAGCTGGGTGTTGTTGGGTATATGGAAGTTCATTATATTCTTTTATTTATGTATATGTTTGAATTTTTCTGTAATAAACTTTTTTCAAAAAAGAATAAATCTGTTTTCTGTGCTGAAATCTGCCCCTTTGAAACTTTCTTCCATAAATCCTGTCTCCAAGTTTTATTTTAATGGTTGAGTCTCATTACTGACAATGATGGCCATTAACTGAGAGTTTAGTGTATCAGGTGCTCTGATAAGTGCTTTCTTCACATGTCTTAGTGTTTAACCCTCACAACCAGCCTGTGACTTAGGTACTAGTATCCTTGTTCTACAGATAAGGAAACTGAAGCTCAGAGGGGTCACATAACATGCCCAAGATCACACCCTTAGTAAATATCAGAGCTGAGACTTGAACTCAGGTGTGTCCAGTCCCAAAGCATCCTCCGCCCCTTTTTTTTTTTTGTGAGACAGAGTCTTGCTCTGTCACCCAGACTGGAGTGTAGTGGTGTGATCTTGGCTCACTGCAACCTCTGCCTCCTGGGTTCACGTGATTCTCATGTCTCAGCCTCCCAAGTAGCTGGGATTATAGGCATGTGTCACCATGCCTGGATAATTTTTGTATTTTGGGTAGAGACGGGGTTTTGCCATATTGGCCAGGTTTGTCTCGAACTGCTGGCCTCAAGTGATCCACCCCCTCTTGGCCTCCCAAAGTGCTGGGATTACAGGTGTGAGCCACCGTGCCCAACCCAAAGTCTCATCTTTAACTATTTCCACTGCTTCACTTCCTTACAACCAGAGGGGAACATCTTTCTCTTGGAGGCAATACTGTTTGAAATGTGCTTTCATTTGCCTATCTTACAAGAAACTTGAAACACGGAATTGGAGACATTTTCATCCCCCCTGCTGGAAAAATAAGAATTGTAAACAGAATAGCTCTTTCATTCAGCCAGGCTTGTCTGTCCCCAGCTCCCTGAGGGGATTCAAGCACTTAACTTTGTTTTGTAATCTCAGGTTGAGGAACCTGGCATCCATCTACCACCTGAGCACAGGGGTCATGGTAATTTTTTCAGCTCCTGCAAGCGAAACCTCTGTCAAAGGAGTAGGGGAGGCAGGTGGAGTGGGGTGGGGAGAAGAGAACTACCTTTGAAAGGGATTTAGGTTCCATTTCTCTTCATGGATTTATAGAGCACTAACTTTTGGTGGGCAACCTCTTTGCCCTTAATTGGCCCTAACCTGGCCAAGGTGAAAGGACACCAAAAATTTGAGGTGGGAGCTAGGATGCCCCCACCTTAAGTCCTGCATGATTGCAGCCAAGCCCAGCACTGGCTAGGTCTCTCCCTTCTGTAGCAGCAGCCTTCTCAAACTAGTGGGAAGAGCTTTGGGCTGTTATCTGATGCAGTATCAAATATTTAGCTGGAGAACTTTCAGAGTGCTTCAGGGACGCAGGGAACTGTTTAGATATCAGATTCTCTCCTGCCAGGTCAGGCAAACCCCCTGGTGACGAATGGCTGTGTTTCCTCAAGCATCCTTCCCAGCAGTGAGCTATCTTGTGCGCCCTTTAACTCTCTGTCCAGCTGAGAGGCCCCAGGCCTGCAGAAGCTGTTCTTCTAATCCTCATCTCAGGCTCAAGCTGCTGCAGTGGGCGATGGAAGATTGTTTACAGAAGATGAAGGCTCACTGCCTCGCACCTGGTTTCTGTCTGGCCCACACTGATGGGGATGAAGGATACTTCATTTATCTCAGCCTCTCTTCTCAGGCAGCTCCTGCTGTCATGGCAAGCTTGGGCCAGTGTTTCATTCCCTGATAAGCAGCTTTCTAAAGAGCCGGGGAGAGCCACTTACGGGCTTTACATACCTCTCTTGAGCCCCCATCCCAGTTACCAGGGGCAGCAGGGCTGGATGGGGTGAGGGCTGCTGAGGTTTTATATCAAGGGGTCAAGTGAGACTTGCTTTCCAGCTATCTGGTGTGCAGGGTGTTTCGCTCTTTCTCTATTTACAGATTTTGGAAACAGGTAGTCAAATAATTCATCTGTCCTTCTTGCCTTTGGAGAATTAAGAGAGAAGGGGTGTCTGCTTGGCAGAGGGCATCAGAGACAAACCTTGTTTTATGATGGAGGGGGACGGATAGACGAAGAGAAAGGCCCACTGGGACAGAAGTAGCATTCTAGAAGGATGCACTTGGAAGTGGAGAGTGAGGAAGCCCCCTCCCTAAAAGCCTCTAAAGATAAAGTTAATGATAACAACATTTATGGGGTGCTTACCATGCACCCAAGCCCTGTGCTAAGAACTTGATCTCATTTAATCCCAAGAAATAAATACTCTTATTATATCCATTTAACAGATGAGGAAATAGAGGCTTAGAGGGATTAAGTATACAGCTTGTAAGATGACAAGCTGAAATGTAAACGTGGAATAGCCTGGCTCCAGGGCCCCAAACCCTTAACAACTGTGCTCTAGTAGAGAGACATACCATGGGCAGCTGAGTCTGAGGGTACAGAGTTCTGTGGACTCCGGTTTGAGTTTAGAGTTGCTCAGCGGACCGAGTGTCAAACTGTCCCTAGCCCTTTCCTTATGCAGTCTCACAACATCAAATCCTGCTACTTACAGAGGTCCAGGATCCTGACACATCCACTCCTCCCCTTTCTACCCCTTGAGAGGCAAGCAGTTATGAACTTGAGGCAAGGAACAATTGCCCTCTGAGGGAGGCTTCTTCAGTTTCTTCTAAAATTTCCTTGTTGAGTTAGCAACAATAAATGTTTTCCACATGTCCAGCCACGCTGGGCATGGTGGCTCATGCCTGTAATCCCAGCACTTTGGGAGGCCAAGGTGAGAGGATTGCTTGAGCCCAGGAGTTCTAGACCAGCCTGGGCAACATAGTGAGATCTCGTTTCTACAAAATAAACAAACAAAACCCAAACACTTCCAGCCAAGAAACTCAAAAAGTGGCACAGCGACCCCCTTCACAGTCTTACTCTTCCTAGGTCTTTGCCAGTGCAGGCTTTGAGCCCAGCCACCTTCTGGCCAAACTGTTCACTCTCCCTCAGCCACAAGTCTACCCTCCAATGTAGGCATGCACTGTGGCTGGTTTCTCTCCTGGGGGAAAAGAGGGCTGTGGGGGCTTACAGACCAGTGTGAGATCTCTACCTGCTTTTGCTTGATGACATCCTGGGTGCTTGAACCTGGAGTGAGGCAGCAACTCTAAGGGGTCATGGATCAAGCAGATAGCAAAGGGTAAGTGTGAATTGGACCCTCAGAGAAGCTGAATTTGGAGATGGGCTTTGAGGGTTTGGGGCTGACAGCTTTTGGAGTTTTGAAGAGGCAGATTTCCATTAAAAAAACATTTCTCCTTTACTTGGCTAAATCCACTTGCTGTCTCCCACCTTCCTGGGAAAAGTCAATAACCCTTTGGAAATGAATTCCAATAGTAGATATGGTGGTGGTACTCTTCCAATAGAGTAGGAAGTTGATCATCTCTGTTATTGGAGTCTACTCCAAATAGTTGAATGATGCACTGATGCTCTAGGAAGGTGCCACCTCCCTCCTGAGACAGGTGTCTTAAGTTGTTTGGATAAGTCACTGACCTGTCCTGAACTGAAGGAATACTGAGCCTGGCCAGAGAATGGATCTTTCCCCTGTTCACAGGCTGGGCCTTTAAGCCCAGGCAGACACACCTGTTGTGCTGATGATCTTGGAGAACCAGGCAAGAGAGCATGGATGGCACAGTGTGATACATCCTGACCATCTGACTATCCTGCGGAGCGGTCTGGAACATCTTCATTTTTAAAGCTGGTTGTGATCATGAGAACGGCATGAAGAAGGACTGAAGACCTCACTTCAGGGCCCAGGAAGGACTGGTCCAGGACTCAGGAGGTGTGTGTTGTATTCTTGACGCTTTCACTGAGTTGCTGTGGGATATTAAGAAAGTCTTACCATCCCTGGGCCTCCCCTTCTGGAATACAGAAGTTCATCCCATTCCCCATCGTGAGAATGTGACATGGACAAGGACAAATGGCATCACTTAAAATACATGTCACCTACATTCAAGGCAAGGCGGCTTTGATAAAGGTAAGTCCATGTCTCTTCTCTCCACCTCCTCCACTGAGCTCTAGGCTGCTTCTTTCTGGGAGCAGTCAAATCAGTTCAGAGGACCTCACTGTCTGCAGGGCAGAAAGCATTGACAGGAGGGCTTCTAGCTTCTTTCCTACAATTGCAGCTCCTATCTGACCCCTTGAGGACAGATAGTTGGAGACAAGGGGAGATTGAGGTTGGGGGAGAGAGAGGACGCTCTGTTTTACACCCTTCCAACCTGACGCCACCAGGGCTGGGATGGTGACAGGCCCTGGACTCAGCGTTCAGAGCAGCTGACTCCGTGGACAAGAAGCAGATAAACTGCACCAGGTCTCTTAATGAACCCAGCGCCAGCTTCAGATAAACTGTCGCCACTTACTCCTCCCCGCCCTCCTTCAGGAAAGACTCCGCTTTGCATCAGCTATGGGCTTGGAGCAGAAGCTGAGATCTCAGTGCTGGCTGCTCTCCAGGGAAGTTCTGGAGGGAGCAGAGACTTCAGGGAACTCTGATGAGAACCTTGATTCCTCTTAACTCCAGCTGAACCCAAGTCTCCAGGACCAATGACAAGCAGAAAACTCACAACTGTCTGAAAAACACAGGTAAAAACCACTAGGGCATGTTAACTTAAAAAAAAACTATGTGTTTTATTTACTTTCTTGCTTTTTACTACTTTTCTTCACTTCATATTGCCTTTGACTCACACATTCTTTCCATCCACACGAGCGGTATGTACATTACAAGCAGGCAAATTCTACTTAGCAAAGTGGAGAGCCCCATCCCAGATCAGCAGGACAATGGCAAAGATAAGACCAAAATCTGAGAATCCTGCCTCCCATCCAGGGATGTTGCATTATAGTATTTCCCCCTCCCGTTTATCTCAATAATTGCCTTAATTATATGTTTTGTCTTGGCCCTTGGAGGCCTGGCCATGCAGGCTCTAAGGAATGGATCATCTCTTTGCAGGCGACTGGGACAAACAGATTTAAGCTCATTTCTTCTAGGTTGTACATTGTTAGGATAATCCCATGAGTTCATAAGAGTTATACAAATGTTAACTAATTAATATTCCTATGGGTGTGAGTAAGTCGTCATTTGTATTCGGGAAGTGAAGAAACCTGTTCTGAAGGCATTTGGGAAAGAGGAAGATGTTTCAGTGCCCAGAAGCAGGTTGAAGTGACCTCAAAATTGTCTTCAAACACTTGGAGAAGGCCCAGGGCAGGGGAGGATTTGCAGTCTCCACCCTCAAGCATATCTGTTCTAACAGTTTTAAGATTCCAAGGGAATGTGGCAGGAGACAGTTACAGTGGGATGGATATGATCTGGCAGGATCAAAGCCTGTCTGATCTTTATCTCAATGTTTTACATCCAGGGTAAATGTTTTTAACTGAAAGAGATAGGAAAAATTTTTGACCTAGCTGCTGTGTTTGGATAGATTGGTATTATTCTCTAATGGTTTCACCTAAATAAGCAAATACCATGACATAAATTTCTTCTGTTGACCACACTGGCTGTTTAACACAGCTCTAGTGACTTCATGGGGCTGAATGAGTTTTCGATGTTTACTTAGCTGGTGGGCCTAATCAGTGTCATCATCTTTTTCATATGACCAGTGAACAGTCCATAGCTTGCTACTCAAAGCGTGATCCACAGGCCATCCTTAGCAGCATCTCCTGGGAGCTTGTTAGGCCTGCACGCTGGGCTTGGTGGCTCATGCCTGTAATCCCATCACTTTGGGAGGCTGAGCGGGGAGGATCACTTGAGCCCAGGAATTCAAGACCAGCCTTGGCAACATAGCAAGACCTCATCTCTACAAATAATAATTTAAAAATATTAGCTGGATGTGGTGGCACAGGCCTGTAGTCCTAGCTACTCTGGAGGTTGAGGCAGGAAGATTGCTTGAGCCTAGGATGTCGAGACTGCGATGAACTGTGATCGCACCACTACACTCCAGCCTGGGCAACATAATGAGACTTCATCTCAAAAAAACAAACAAACAAAAAAGAAGTGCAGAATCTCAGATCCACCCAGACTTACTGACTCACAGTCTGCAATTTAACAACATCCCCTGATGATTCATATGTACATTAAATTTGGGAATCACTGGTCCATATTACATTATCTCACTTGATTCTTCTACCTATGAGGTAGACAGGGCACTTTTTTTTTTTTTTTTAGGTGGAGTCTTGTTCTGTTGCCCAGGCTGGAGTGCAGTGGCATGATCTTGGCTCACTGCAACCTCTACCCACCCAGGTTCAAGCAATTCTCCTGCCTCAGCCTCCCAAGTAGCTGAGATTACAGGTGCCTGCCACCATGCCTGGCTAATTTTTGTATTCTTAGTGGAGACAGGGTTTTACCATGTTGGCCAGGCTGTTCTCACACTCCTGACCTCAAGTGATCCGGACAGGGCAAGTATTTTTATTTCGAATTCATATAATTGGAAACCAAGGCTCGGAGGTCAGGCGACTTGCCCATGCTCACACAACTAAACGGAGAGGTTGGAATCTGAGCCTAGCTCTTTTGACTCCAGATGCCAAGCTCTGCCTACTATGCCATTATTCAGAAGTGGAGACAAAGTAGCTGACTTGATGCAAATGTGTTATCCTGAGACATGACCTCTTTGTGCTGCTGATTGTGTTTCTCACCTGAAGTAGTGTTAAGAAGCTTTCTGAAAGAGGATAAGCTATAATGATGAATTCAGTTCTCCCTTCAGTCCTTTTTTTTCCCCCAGCCACCTAACAGCATCTCTAACCCTGGCCAAATACTACACAAGCACGGGCTGTTAGCAATAATTGCCAGCACCTGTCACAGTGCCTGGCATTTAGTAGGCACTCAACACATGTTTGTTGAGCCAAATAGAATTACCTAGCATTAGCAAAAGCTCTCAGTCTGATTACCAAGGCACACTGGTAAAGAAGCGTTCTGGGTCTTCGTGACTTCTCTCTCTAGTCCTGCAGAAACATTGAAATTACAGGTCCTCCAGACAAGAATTAGTGACACCATCTTTTTAACTCGAAGGACAGATTTTCAAAACAAATTCTATTGTCTCTGTCTCTCTGTGTCCTGAGCAGGGCTCAAGCCAACAGCTGCAAAAGCCTGAAGTTGATGAGTGTGGAATTTACATGCTTACACTGGAAAACAGGCTCTGCTGCATTTTCTTTGACTGGAAGCAGGAAGTGTGGGAAAAGTCAAGCGCATTGACTGAATCCAGTTTGGAGCCAGGGGTCAGCAGAAGGAGATTGTTGGGTGGCAGTAACTGTGGACTGCCTGTTAACATCCGCTAATGTTTGGGGTTCTCTCTGAGATTTTTGATGGGAAAAACCTGAAGTTAACCAGGCAGGGGATCTCAGTGCATCAAACGGACACAGGGCTGAATGGGAAATGCCTAGTTTTCTTTGCTCCCTTCCCCAAGAGGGCAGAAATGAAGGAAAGTTCTGAGGAGAGTTGAATTATTATGCTGCAAGAAGTTTTCTGAAGATCTGCGTTATGAAGATGGATCCCATTAGTAAATTTGACAGCTATTCCACTCCTCCTTGCATTTTAGCATCTCAAGCCAAAATATAAATGAAAGGAATACACTATATCTCAAAGGAAGCTATCAATCCTTACCCTCCCTGAGTGGGCACAATTTGGGGGTTCTTCTACTTAGGTTGGGCTGGTTTTGCTGCTTTACCCACATACTCTCATCCAACACTCTTTGTGTCTGGTGAAGTCTGTGAGCCATCAGACAGAGAAGTCTATAATTTTATCTTCCTTTGTGCGCATCAGACCCTACGCTGCAGAGTGAGGGAAGCCTATGTGCAACAAGACACAATGTGGCCTTTGATCATATGAAGATTGGAGAGGCTTGGTTCATCCTTGCCCAGCTTCTTTGGAAATCAGCACAATGACATTTTCCCTTCTATATAGTGATCTGGGTAGGCAGGGATAATACAATATAATATAGTATAGTATAATATAGTATAATATAAATGACTTTTTTCCTTCTATATAATGATCTGGGCAGGCAGGGATTCAAGTCTTCTGATATGGGTGGGAGAAAGCCCTCCCTTTGTCCTTACCCTGCTCAACTTGTTTTGGCCAGGAAATCTAGCCTTGGGATTTTCTAAGAGTTAGATCAGAAAGGAAGAGAGTACTAGGCTGGGAGTAGTGGCTTACGTCTGAGACATACTAGGCAGGAAGTGGTGGCTTATGCCTGTAATCCAAGCACTTTGGGAAGCTGAGACGGGAGGATCACTTGAGCCCAGGAGTTTGAGACCAACCTGGGTAGCATAGTGAAACCCTGACTCATTTATTTAACTTAAAAAAAAATTAAAATAAGAGAGTACCAGCTTCAGGGTATATCTATTAGATATGTCAGTTTCCAGGGGTTGTTTGCAGGGATGTATAACCCCATTCCTATTCCCTTTAATTTAGCTGGTTTTTCGTCTCATAGCATTGCTGGGGGCAGGTAGGTTTCTTTCCCTTCCTACTATTCCACCCACTCAGATCTTCTACTCCAAGCTATTTGTAAGCTCATTCATTCATCCAACACATATGGGACACCAATAGCGTGCAGAGCACCACATAGGCATGGGAGAGAACTGACCACTTCTTCCTTGGCACCCCAGTGTTCCCTATGCAGACTTCTGTCACAAACCTAACAGCATTTTATTGCATTTATTTGATATGTCTTCAGATATCTCCCTTTAAAAGACAATACACAGCTGAGGGAAGGAATTGTACTAGTATTTTTTTTTTTTTTTTGAGACGGCGTCTGGCTCTGTCACCCAGGCTGGAGTGCAATGGCGTGATGTCAGCTCACTGCAATCTCCACCCCCCGGGTTCGAGCGGTTCTCCTGCCTCGGCCTCCTAAGTAGCTGGGACTACAGGCGCCCGCCAGCATGCCCAGCTAACTTTTTTTAAAAATATTTTTAATAGAGACGGGGTTTCACCATGTTGGCCTGGATGGTCTCGATCTCCTAACCTCGTGATCTGCCCGCCTCGGCCTCCCAAAGTGCTGGGATTACAGGCATGAGCCACCGTGCCCGGCCTAGTATTTGTTTTTATCCTAAGTGTCTAGCCAGGGTCTGGTATATGGGAAATATTCAGTATATGTTGACTAAATGGAATGAACACAGAAGGTTGAGAGGACAAGGACGAATTAATCAGAGAGATCCATGTTTTGGAAAGAAAATAGATCTAAGTTTTTCTTCTGAGTATCTTGGGCTTAGGGAAACTTTCAAAATAATCCTGGGTTTGGAAATTTGACCTCTTCAACCTTGACATTGCTACAGCCTCAGTGTGGTTGCTGGGCTGTTAATAGTGTCACAAAGATATTTGACAGGACTGAGGACAGCTGATATGTCATCATTTTGAGCACCACATAGGGCATTTATCAGTGATAGAATATTGCTTAGAAACTGCTGCAGCAATGCATTTTGTTAGTTGATTTGTAAAATTATTAATATACCTAACTGTTCATATTTTTCTGTGCATTTAAAAGACACTTTATTAAGGTATAATTGACACACAAAAAGCTGAACATATTTAATGTGTACAACTTGATTAGTTGTATATTTGTGAAGCCTTCACCACAGTCAATGCCATAAACATATCCACACCTCCAAAAGTTTGTGTGCATTCTTGAACAGAGCCATCAAATGTTAAAAGTGAAAATACTATAGAAGGGAGTTTGCCCCTTTCTTTTTACAAATGAGGAATGGGAGCCCAGAGACTGAGCAAGGGTGTATTACCAGCTAATGGAAGAGCTGGGATTAGAATCAAGGCCTCCCAATTCACAATAAAGGCTTAGAAACCAGGGAGAAGATGGCAGTGGCTGTGTAAGAGTTACTTCTCTCTTATTCAGGGGACTTGAGCATTTTTTCCTAGTTCCTATACACAGAGGCATTCCTTTCTCTTTCTCTCTCTCTTTTTCCTTCCTTCCTTCCTTCATTTATTTCTATTCCTAACATTTAGAGTATGGGATACTTATGGTGTAGCAGGAAAGAGTTTATACACATTCTCTCATTTAATCTTTTTATTTTGAGATGGAGTTTCGCTCTTATCACCCAGGCTGGAGCACAATGGCACCATCTCGGCTCACTGCAACCTCCACCTCCTGGGTTCATGCCATTCTCCTGCCTCAGCCTCCTGAGTAGCTGGGATCACAGGCATCTGCCACCATGCCCAGCTAATTTTTGTATTTTTAGTAGAGACAGGGTTTCACCAAGTTGGCCAGGCTGGTCTCGAACTCCTAACCTCAGATGATCCACCTGCCTCAGCCTCCCAAAGTGCTGGTATTACAAGCATGAGCCACCATGCCTAGCCCTCTCATTTAATCTTCACTACAACCCTATGAAGTAAACATAATAATAACAACAGCAACAGTTATTATTCCCATTTTGTAGAAGAGGTACAAGGAAGTCAAACAACTTGCCCAAGATCCCGAAATCAGTAAGTGGCAGGGTTGGAATTCAAACTCAAATATGTCTCACTGTAGAGTCCATGCTCTTAACCATGGCTCTATAATTTTTGTTTGTTTCTTTGTTTGTTTGTTTTTAACAGCGTTACTCAGACTTCAGCAATGCCCCACTATGGAGAACTGGGCTCACTTGCTGATAGAGGAATCACCCTTGCTAAGTAGGTACCAGACTCCATCCTATTTTGTATACATCTCCACTATAGCCCGTTTGTAATTATTTGTTTTATTCCCATCTCTTACATGAGAGTAGAAGCTGAAGAAATCGTGTCTTTAATCATTTTATTTTCAACACCTAGCACAGAGAAGGTGTGTCATATGTGCTGAATAAATGAAGAGCTGAATGAAACCCTGACACAGCTCCCAGGGTTATCCAACACTAACAGAATGACTCAGAGCCTCTGAATTGGGGACTTGATCCACTACATCTGTTCTCTCGGCTTGGTTTCCTTGTGGGAGAAAGAACAACCTCGTTCATGCCCTACCAAATACAAATGTCAATAGATAATCTTCCAATCTCTGAAGCCAGAATTTGGCCTATGTACTCCTTTGCTGGGTGCATTTTGGCCTAGAGGCATGGCATGGGCAGTGAGGATCGTAGCCGTAGAACCCAGGGGCCATGGTGCCTTACGTATCAATACGCACACATTCGATGCGGGAAGATGGCTCTGCTCTCTGGGGTAATGCAGATCCCTTGGGGAGGTCTGTGCATGGGGAAAAGAGCAGTGGTGGTGTGGTGCCCCTCCCCAGTTCAGCAGTACTTTGATGTCTGAAGCCAGGAATCAGTCTCCTTGGTGGCTTGGCTGGACCTTCCCAAACCATGAATGACCTAACCTGGCATCATGGGCCTCATAAGAAAATTATAGGGCTTATTGGCTGCTGAAGGCTAACTTGTTTTTTGTTGTTGTTGTTTGTTTTTTGTTTCGTTTTGTTTTGTTTTGAGATGGAGCCTCGCCCTGTGGCCCAGGCTGGAGTGCAATGGCGTGATCTCGGCTCACTGCAACCTCCGCCTCCCGGGTTCGAGTGATTCGCCTGCCTCAGCCTCCCGGGTAGCTGGGATTACAGGCGCGTGCCATCATGCCCAGCTAATCGGGTGCGGGTGGCTCACACCTGTAATCCCAGCACTTTGGGAGGCCGAGGCGTGTGGATCACAAGGTCAGGAGTTCAAGACCAGCCTGGCCAACATGGTGAAACCCCATCTCTACTAAAGAGGCTAACTTGTTATTTTTCACAAGACTAATTTCCCCAAATCCAGTTTCCTTTTACACAAGACTAATTTCCTTCTCCCAGTTTCCATACTGGGAGAAGGGTCCATGGCGCTGGCCCTGACGTGTGACATGAGCCCCTGCAGTACCCACTCTGATTCAAAACTTCTGTGAGGGAAGGCGCTGGTCCAGGGACCATATTCAGGTCCCTGTTGGGTTAATCACCTCTGCATTGGGTCTGTTTAGATGCTTCTAGTCAAAGCCTGATGAGCCCAACGCTGGCCTCCCCACACCGAGCTCCCTTTTCCTGCGAAGGGAACTGATCAGGCCCAGGCCTGGCTAGGCAGGGTGGGTTGCCATCCAGGTCTTTGCCCTTTCTAATGACATGAGAGCTCCAAACTCCCACTGGGAGACAGGCCTGCTGTCCACAACCCTCTCCAAGAATGCACTCTCCCATGGGAAAGGGCATGGGCCCTTCCACCCTGAGCCCCCAAGAGAGGCGCAGACAGTCACAGGAGGGTAAAGAACGGTCCCCATACTATAAATATTTCTCAAACGTCTCCTGTAAATCTCCAGATGTGTCATCAGGGCACAGGGAAGAGATCTTGAATTAGAGCCGATTAGAGACCATATTCTCCCAGAGGAGGGCAAGCCTGCCCGTCAACCGAGCCCCACTTGGCCGCCGGGACCACCTCGGGAGGAAGCGTCTCCTGACAGCTTTCCTGGAGGCTGCCCCGTACCCTTCCGGGGCGCTGAGGGCTCTGGGAAGCACAGACACCATTTCCCCTTTGCCCTCCTGCCCTTTGTGGTGACAGCTCCGGAGTCGTCCCCGGGTGTGCCCTCTTCCGAGGTGAGTGGGGGGACAGGGAGCGCGCGGAGGGAGAACCGAGACGTGGCAGCAGCAAACTGCCCGGGCGGATGGGTGATTTACGAAGTGCTGAAAAGCATCTTCGAAGCTGTCATTTATCTTACAGCTCTCAGCCTAAATAAACACTGAATCCGCCTAATTATAGTTACAGTGGAAACACAACACCCGAACCTCCTCGCCAGCGCTGCCGGCCCGGCTCCGGCGCGGCTCCACCCCAGGCCTGGCTCCCACGTCAGCCCACAGCTGCACCCTAGCGGCGGCCTCTGCGCCCGCGGCTCCCGCATTCCCGCGCGCCTCTCCGGGCGCGCCTTCGTCCCTTCGCCCCTCTCCCTCTCACTATCTCACGCAGGTACAGTCCTGAAAACAATTTCGGTCAAGAACAGAGGCACCATCTCCATCCTGCTGGGAAACTGCACCTGCGGCATTCCTTCAGCTGCGGTGGGGGCTGGGGCTGGAGAGGACCCTTGACCTGGATGCTCCCACTCTTTCCCAGTCCTGGGATTCCTTGGTGTGTGGTCAGCTGGTCTGGCCTGGCCCAAGGGTCTACTGCAAGGGCAAGGGAACTCTCTCTTTGCCAGATCAGGAAAAGCAGCGCGGGGGTGGGGGTGGGTGGGGGGCTGGGGGTGGGATTGGGGGGCTGGGGGATGGTGGTTAGGAATCACTTAGGGTAGAGAAAGGACATTCTTTTTGTTCCCTGGTGATTTTGTGTCCTCCCAAGGAGAGGGGAAAGGTTCCTCCTGCCTGATAGTCCTTCCTTTCTCTATTTCTGTTCCTGGCCCTGAACTTGGAACCTCCCTTCCTCTTTGACATATGGGAGGCCTCCTGTCTTTAGAGATTCTTCTAACCTAGACTTCAAAGTGAGACAGGAGTTGGGTAGGACTTGTTTTGCAAGGTACAGGTCACAAAGATCCATCTGATAAAATGAGATGTAAAAAAGCTGGCCAAAACCTACCAAAACCAAGATGGTGACGAAAATGAGCTCCAATCATCCTCACTGCTCATTATACATTAATTATAATATATTAACATGCTAAAAAACACTCTACTAGTGCCATGACAGTTTACAAACACCATGACAATGTCTGGAAATTACTCTATATTGTCTGAAAGAGGAAGGAACCCTCACTTCTGGGAATTCCCCCACCTCTTTCCTGGAAAATTCATATGACCAATAAACAACCGTAAAAATAGCCAACCAGCAGCACTTGGGGCTGCTCTGCTTATGGAGTAGCCACCCTTTTATTCTTTTACTTTTTTTTTTTCTTGAGACAGAGTCTTGCTGTGTTGCCCAGGCTGGAGTGCAGTGGCATGATCTCGGCTCACTGCAACCTCTGCCTCCTGAGTTCAAGCAATTCTCCTGCCTCAGCCTCCTGAGTAGCTGTGATTACAGACACCCACCACCACACTCAGCTAATTTTTGTACTTTTAGTAGAGATGGGGCTTCACCATGTTGACCAGGCTGGTCTAGAACTCCTGACTTCAGGTGATCCACCTGCCTCAGCCTCCCAAAGTGTTTGGATTACGGGCGTGAGCCACCGCACCTGGACTATTCTTTTACTTTTTTAATGAACTTTCTTTCACTTCACTGTATTGGTTCACTCTTGAATTCCTTCCTGCATGAAGTCAAGAACCCACATGAACCCCAATTTCCCAAATTTGGAGGTCCAAAATTGGGGTTTATCCTGTGACAAAAGCAGAGGCAGATGCTTCAGAAGCAATCCGACTTGGATGCCCCAGAGTGGTTCTGAATGAAGCCATCATCCACTGGGGCACCTTCTCTAACTTAGTCTTTGTCCTTGGGGAGGTAGAGCTTAGGGCTTAGGGCGAGGGCTGGATTTGACACAGCAAAAGCACCCAGTTATTCTAACAACCATGGGACTCAGCCCCATGCCTGATGGAATCATAGTCCCTGAAACTCTGCAGAAACCAGTTTCCTAAAAGTGAGAATTTCAGAGCCCAAGGGGTTGCATTAACAGGGGCAGATCTAGATTTCATCCACATGGTATTAACTTACATGCTAGCATATAAATTACACTAGGCATGTAACTCACCCTTAATTTACTGCTGTCTTTTTGGGTGTGCAGGGTCTTGTTCTTATAGATACATTTGGAGATCTAATAACAAAGTAAAGGAAGGATTCCTCAATGGCAGGTGTAATCTGAGTAGCCTCCTGGAGGATGTGGTTTGGAAAAGAGTATAAATAAAAAAGGGGCTGCCACCTACAAGTTGAATAGGAATGGAGAGGAGACTTTGTAGAAAGAGAAACTGGGAGTGAGCATATAAGAAAGGACAGAAGAGGAAATAACTCTGCCTGCTCATTAAGAGCCCAGGCTGGGAATTCTTAATCCTGATTTTACTTCCGCAGTCACCCCTGACTTGCTGTATCAGAGAGTTATGGAATGTAGTCCTGCTTCAGTTCCAGCATTGAAACCAAGCCAGAGCAGCCAAGGCTGTGAACCCACATAACTGCGAGGGGCTTGGGTTCAGGCGAGAGGCTCTGGGTTTTAGCTTTTCCATGACACCAGCAGCCTCCCTGCTAGTCTATGGGTCCCTTCCCTCTCCAAAGAGCAGGATTTGCCCACCCAAATCTAGTCTACTTAGCCTAGTCTCTGAATTCTATCTGAAGGAGAAAGGCAGGGCCTTTTTTATGGTACGCATCGGAGTGTAATAAAAGAGAGATCCATTTTTTTTTTTTTTGAGACGGAGTCTTGCTCTGTCGCCCAGGCTGGAGTGCAGTGAGGCAATCTCGGCTCACTGCAAGCTTCGCCTCCTGGGTTCATGCCATTCTCCTGCCTCAGCCTCCCACGTAGCTGGGACTACAGGTGCTTGCACCACGCCCGGTTAATTTTTCGTATTTTTAATAGAGACAGGTTATCATCGTGTTAGCCAGGATGGTCTCGATCTCTTGACCGTGTGATCCACCAGCCTCGGCCTCCCAAAGGGCTGGGAATTACAGGCGTGAGCCACCGCGCCCGGCTCCCCCCCTCCTTTTTGTTTTTCACTATTTACACTACTGCTTATCCACTAAAGTAAGATAAAAATACCTGTTCCCTGCCTGGTTCCCAGAGCACCAATTCAAATGAATGAGGATGTAAAAGCTCATGGTAAGAAAATCTCTCCCTAGGTAGTTTCAGATGAAAGAACAGCTCTTTAGCACTTCTAGTGAGTTAGACAATGAGGGCTCTCCTTATAGCCGGCTGGGGTAATCTCTGCATTTTTTTTCTTTTAAATAAAAGAGAGGCATAAAGCCTCAGTACAGTTGAGTGACTTTCCAGAAGTCACATAGTAAATCACTGTTGAAGACTTGACCCTTTGTTTATTGGATCACAAATGCATTTTAAGAATATTTGGTTTGCATTCACTCTTTGAAGGCCAAGGCAGAAGAAAAGCATGTTTTAAAATGACATATCTACAGGTAGATGAGAAAATACTTTTTTTTTTTTTTGAGGCGGAGTTTCGCTCTTGTTGCCCAGGCTGGAGTGCAGTGGCATGATCTCCGCTCACTGCAACCTCCGCCTGCCGGGCTCAAGTGATTCTCCTGTCTCAGACTGCTGAGTAGCTGGGATTACAGGCACCCGCCACTACGCCCGGCTAATTTTTGGTATTTTTAGTAGAGAGGGGGTTTCACCATGTTGGCCAGGCTGGTCTCAAACTCCCGACCTAAGGTGATCCGCCCACCTCGGCCTCCCAAAGTGCTGGGATTACAGGTGTGAGCCACTGCACCTGGCCGAGAAAATACATTTTTAATAGAAAGGGGAAAACTCTCCTGATTTCTGCCTTGCTGAGTCTCTTTAGGTTTTGTGGGTCTTTCTGCCTTTCCTGCTTTTCCAATGTTCTCCCCTTGCATTGATTCTCCTTTTTCTTCCCTCCTGTCTCTTAGCAGTCCAGTCAGCAGTTTTGTCCCCAGGATGCTTTGCTTTTTTTTTTTTTTTTTTTCTGCCAGCCCTTTCCTGCCAGCCGCCAGGGCCTCCCCACCCTCCTGACTTCCTTGGTTGATCCTGTGCAGAAGTCGATAGCTTATCTCCACGCAGCAACCAGAAAGTGAGATGGTGAGTGCAGAAGCCAGCAACCCTGAGCATCTTGGGAAATGGCCTGCTGTTGTGAGCAGCTCTGCCCCCTACCCAACCCTACCCCCAAGCAAAGATCACCCACAGATACCTTTTGCCTGTCTGGTCTGTTATCCTACAATCAGAGGGGTCACTGGATTGGGAAAGAAAAAAGAAAAGGCACTGGATAGCTGGGGATGCACCACATGCCCTTGTCCTTCAGATGTCTAACTCAAAGGGAGTTCAAGTGCTGGTTTTGTCTCTGATGTGCTGTGCAATATCAGAAAGGTCACTCAGTCTCTGAAACTCCAATTTCAGTAGGCAAGTAGGCCCCAACCATAGTGGGCCTTTATGTATTTGAATCCAGGTTCAGAGCCCTAGTAGGTCCCAAGGAATGGAAAGTAATTGCTGTTTCCAGTAACTTCTGTTGGGGCATGCCCTTACCCTCTAGCACTTCCCTCTTCTGTCACTCTGTTCTGCACTCCAATGGTTAGACAAGGAAATTTTGTCCCTGGCAAAGATTTTCTCACCTGGAGTCCTCCCGGGTTCAATTCTGAGAACACCTGGGAGTTGGAAGTACATTTTTCATCAATTCTTTTTTTTTTGGAGATGGAGTCTCACTCTGTCACCCAGGCTGCAGTGCAGTGGCGCAATCTTGGCTCACTGCAGCCTTTGCCTCCTGGTTCAAGTGATTTTCCTGCCTCAGTCCCCTGAGTAGCTGGAACTACAGGCACCTGCCACCATGCCTGGCTAATTTTTGCATGTTTAGTAAAAACGGGATTTCACCATTTTGGCCAGGCAGGTCTCGAACTCCTGACCTTGTGATCCGCCGGCTTCGGCCTCCCAAAGTGCTGGGATTACATGTGTGAGCCACTGCGCCTGGCCCAATTTTTTTTTTTTTTTTTGAGACGGAGTCTCTCTCTGTTGCCCAGGCTGGAGTGCAGTGGCCGGATCTCAGCTCACTGCAAGCTCTGCCTCCTGGGTTCACGCCATTCTCCTGCCTCAGCCTCCCAAATAGCTGGGACTACAGGTGCCCGCCACCACGCCCAGCTAATTTTTTGTATTTTTAGTAGAGACGAGGTTTCACTGTGTTAGCCAGGATGGTCTTGATCTCCTGACCTTGTGATCTGCCCGCCTCGGCCTCCCAAAGTGCTGGGATTACAGGCATGAGCCACTGTGCCCGGCCCAATTCTTAATCTAATAAATATTCAACTTCTCTGCTAGAAAAATATTTTCCATTCCCACAGGCAATAAAAAGTAGAGAAATCCCTTCGTGTTTTGCTTCAGTCTAAGTCAGTAGTTCTCAACAGGGAGTGATTTTGTACCTCTTCATTCCCCCAAACACAGGGGATATCTGTTGTTATCTGAAGGCATTTTTGGTTGTCACAACTGGGAGGGGGTTGCTATGGGCATCTAGTGGGTAAAGGCCAGGGATGTCCCTGAACATCTTACAATGCACCAGTCAGCTCCCTACATCAGAGAAGGATCTGGCCCAGAATGTCAATAATGCTGAGGTCGAGAAACCCTGGTCTAAGTCATCATTAAGCAAGGTCCTTGGTGGAGTTTTGGGAGCTCACAGAATGTGGAGTTGGCATGGGCTTGCCCTCACAATGCTCCTGTATAATCTGGGTTAGGAGGCATCTTGTCTGATAAGAGAGACATAGTTCTTAACTTTGTGCTTGGGGAGTTTATAGTTTAAAGAGAATTGTATAGAAACATGATGCATTTAACCAATATTTATCCATTTAACATGTATTAATTGAGCTCCTATTGTATTCCAGGTTCTATGTATGGCACTAAAGATGCCCTAAATGAGTTCCCACTCCATGCACCTGGGAGAGAGTTTTCCTTCCCCTCAGTCCTGTTTCCAGTTACCACGGTGGGCAAGTTTTGCCTAATATGCTTGTGGGTGGGAAGGAAGGATATTCCAGAAGAATAAAAGGTAGTATAAAGAGATGCTAGAGAGCTGAGTACTTACAACACAGAGTATATGATGAACAGCACTTAGAAAAGTAGAAGCCAAACTTGTGGGAAGGAAAAAAAAAGACTTGAGTTTCATTGTAAGAGCAGGCATGCCTCCTGGAGTCAAGAAGGCAGCCCAGCACTGGAGACGCTGCTCAGACTTGAGACTGGTAACTGCGGTCAGACCCGGGTCAGGTGATTGGAATTCCCTCAGCTGCATGACTAACAGGATTCAACATGGACAGCCCCGCTCTTCAACATGCTTTGGAGCTCACAGCAAGTGTTCTGTGAACATGGTAGAAAGAGAGAAAACTTAGCAAGCACAGTGCAGACTGAAGTGCTCGGTTACTCTCACATGGAGATCTTCCTCCTTTGTATCCCTTGCACAGTAGAATTTGCCATGAATGGTGAAAGAGGAGGATCCCCAGAAAGTTGGGAGTAGGTCAAATACTTGATTCTGAATTGTCCTTCAGGAACTTTAGGGACATGAGCAAATTCCTTTTCTCATGAAGTAGGATGCAGAAGAAGTAGGCTTCATATAGGATTATTACATGCATTCATTTGAAATTTATTAAACACCCACAATGTGCAGGAATTATTCTATGTACTTCAAAGGTTTTTTTTGTTTTTTTTTTTTGAGATGGAGTCTCGCTCTTGTCTCCCAGGCTGGAGTGCAATGGCACGATCTCGGCTCATTGCAACCTCTGCCTCCCAGGTTCAAGTGATTCTCCTCCCTCAGCTTCCCAAGTAGCTGGGATTACAGGTGCCTGCCACCATGCCCAGCTAATTTTTGTATTTTTGGTAGAGACAGGGTTTCGCCATGTTGGCCAGGCCTCGAACTCTTGACCTAAGGTGATCCGCCTGCCTTAGCCTCCCAAAGTACTGGGATTACAGGCATGAGCCACTGCTCCCGGCCATACTTCAAAGTTACAAGGATATGTTTGTTCATTATTCATTCATTCACTAACAGTCATATAGTGAACCCCTACTATATGTCTGGCGCCATGCTAAATGGTTAGATACCGAAATGAAACAGTCTCTGTCTTCAAGAGTTCATAGGAAACAACCAGTTCTTAAATTTCAACCATGTACCAGGCATTGAGCCAAGAGCTTTATGCACATGATTTCTTTAATACTCACAACAACCTCAAGTCTACTTTATAGATGAGGAAAATAAAAGCCCAATAAGTTTAAGCCAACAGTATGGTTATTCTTCCAAAACTTGATAATAGAACTACCATAGGATTCACCAGTTCTACTTCTGGATATATATCCAAAAGAATTGAGGAAGTCAGGGTCTCAAAAAGATATCTGTACACCCATGTTCATAGCAGCATTATTCACAATGGCCAAAAAGTGGAAGCAACCCAAGTGTCCATCAGTGGATAAATAGATAAACAAAATGTGGCATATCCATAAAATGGAATATTATTCAGCCTTAAAAAGGAAAGAAATTGAAGGCCGGGCATGGTGGCTCACGCCTGTAATCCCAGCACTTTGGGAGGCCGAGGCAGGCAGATCATGAGGTCAGGAGATCGAGACCATCCTGGCTAACATGGTGAAACGCCGTCTCTACTAAAAATACAAAAAATTAGCTGGGCGTGGTGGCGCACACCTGTAGTCCCAGCTACTCGGGAGGTTGTGGCAGGAGAATGGCATGAACCCAGGAGGCGGAGGTTGCAATGAGCCCAGATCATGCCACTGCACTCCAGCCTGGGGGAAAGAGCATGAGACTCCATCTCAAAAAAAAAAAAAAAAAAAAAAGGAAAGAAATTTTGACATGTGCTACAACATGAATGAACCTTGTGAGGACATTATGCTAAGTGAAATAAGTGATTCACAAAAGGACAAATACTGTGTGGTTCCACTCATGAGTCATCAAATTCATGGTGATGGAAAGTAGAGTGGTGGTTGTCAGGGACTGAAAGGGAATGGAGAATGAGGAACCGTTGTTTAATGGGTACAGCTTCAGTTGTTCAAGATGAAAAAAGGTTGCAATATAACGTCAATATACTTAACACTGCTAAACTATACACTTAACAATCATTAAGATGGTGAATTTTATGTTATGCATATTTTACCACAATTAAATTTTTTTTAAAAAGTTTAAGCCATGTAACCCAGGTCTGATTCTAAGATCCCATTAGTTTCTTTCATCACAAAACAACTATAAGACAAGGGGAATGTGACATTAGAAGTATAAGCAAGGAATAATTTACTAATGTGTTATCCTTTGCATCTGAAGATAACAGCATTACTAGTTCTCTTTGGGCAACTGTGGCTACAAAGAGAGGCAAAAGCCCATAGCCCCTAAGTCAAGATTTAACACCGTTCACAGAGTCTGATGAAGTTGGAGATTCAGACTTGTCCTCGCTAAGTCATTGTTCAGGAAGATCTTCACCCCATCTCCCTTCTCACTCACATTCCTTTTTTGTCCACTCATGTGACCTCTGCAACTGCTCACAGCCAAGAACTGAGATTCACTCCTGGTGGAAACAAATATTCTGAAGGCAGAAAGTGCCAGCCCCCATCAGATTTTGAAGGAGGCCAAGTTTATCTTTCAGGCCTTGGGCTTTTGTTTTCTGCAACTGGCACCAGGCTTAGAGTCGGGACACCTAAGTTCTAGCATCCTAAGCCATATTAACTTGCTGTATGATGCTGTGAAAGACACTCCTCTCTGGGCTTTGGTTTCCTCATCTGCAACAGGAGGAGTCTGGCTCATGATTGCTGAAGCTTCCCCTCCAGCACTAACCTTGTAGAAGTTTTGAACCATTTGGCCCCTTAACTCCATTGCCTCACCAGGCTCTCTCAGAAAAACTAAATTTCTCTTTCAGCAAAACTGCTGTGGACAGGGTCTGATAAATTCATTCCCACAGAGGCACATTCTGTCCCATGGTATTTGCATTTCCATTTGGATCCAGATGAAAGGGAATGAGACTCTCACTTAGGAATGTCTTTTGATTCAATGAGCAACAGGCTTTTTGAAGGGGCAGGGTGGAGGTGGGGAGAGGGACTCACCCCAGGCTGCCAACTAGTGAAGCAAGCCCTGGGCCAGGACTCAGCCCTCAGGTGGAGATCTTGGTGTATCTCTCCAAGCATGACCTTTTTGTACTGGCCCAGGTGTGAACCCACCATGCAGCTTCCTCTTTTTCTGGGGGCTCTGCAGGGATGCTGGCGGCCTCTCTGTCCCTGGAGAAGAGAGTTCCAGCTCAGATACCAATGAAGTCATCGAGATCCGTGGTCTGAGCTGGAATCCGGAATCTGGCAGGAGGGCCCACACGGCAGCTGTTTGTGGTTTCTCTTTTCCTCTGAAGGAAAGTCTGAGCAGATGATGGCCTAGGTGCTGCCTGTTTCCATGTGAGGGAGGAGCAGGATGTGGCTGCGGATCAGTGGAACAGGAGGGGAATTGGCAAGCAGAGTCTGAGTGATACATAGATTACTTATTTCATGAGATGAAAGATCCCAACCTCTCCCAGAGAACTTCCTCAAATCTGCTTTTGTTCTTGAGAAAACTCATTTCTTCCCTAATATTTATTCATGAGGATTTTTGTTTTCAGAGACTTCGAGGAGCAGCTGCTTTGGGTCTGGGGGAATTCATTCCACCGCAAAGACAGCTTTTCATCTTCTGTGCAGCTAGGCTCCTCATCAAGGAGCATCAGCTCCTCTGAGGGATGGGCCTCCAATTCCAGCGGGATGAGTGTGCCGTTGTGGAGGACTCCCAGCATCCCAGCTCCTGGCCCAGCATCCCTGGGGCCTGGGGACAGGGCACGGAAGGGGCAGCTTCCAGAACACAGGGAAGGTCATGTGACAGGTCAGACATACCTGCCTGAGCACCTCTTGGAGCCTTGTTGGCCAGCAAAACACTTACTGGAGGCTCCAAGAGCTGTGAGTTCCAGACTGCCATCATCTTTTCAAAGTTCGTATCTAACAGGAGAAACCAGGGACTTCTCTCACCAGAACGCAAATCCAATGGAACAAAAACTTAAGTGCCCCCGGGACAGGGCCAGGCTGGTTCAGATGTACAGAGGGAGGACAGAATTAGAAAAAGATGTGCACCGGGTGGTTTTGATTGAGAACATCAAGAATTTTAGAATATCAAAGTTGAGACAGAATTTGAGTTCTGGCTCAACCCTCCTATTTTCCAGATGCAGAAATTGTGGGAAGTGATTTGTCTAAAGTCTGCATCAAAGAGGAGAGTCACATAGACATGTTCTGACCCCAGTCCAGGGTTTTTTTCTCTACATTTGATCTCTAAATGTCTGTTTTTCTCAACATTATAGGGCTCCAAGATTCACTACCCCTATGTCTTCCCAACCAGCCCTACCTCATGCACATCCTTTTTGTGCTGAGTTTCCACTCATCCCTCCTCCTCTCTGTTCACCACTGTTGTTTTGTTTTGTTTTGGTTTGGTTTGGTTTTGAGACAGAGTCTCACTGTTGCCCAGGCTGGAGTGCAGTGGCACGATCTCCACTGACTGCAACTTCCACCTCCTGGGCTCAAGCGATCCTCGTGACTCAGCCTCCTGAGTAGCTGGGATTACAGGCACACGCCACCATGCCTGGCTATTTTTTTTTGTATTTTTAGTAGAGATGAGGTTTCACCATGTTGCCTAGGCTGGTCTGGAACTCCCAACCTCCAGTGATCCACCCACCTTGACCTCCCAAAGTGCTGGGATTACAGGCCTGAGGCACCACGGCCCAGCCCACCGCTTTTTTTAAATGTCCATCTGAGCAAACCCTGCTTTGTCACTGGCCACTGTAATGCTCACAGGGTTGTGAATGTAAAGCTCCAGCTTCCATAGAAATAAGAAACATCCTGGAAATGTTTTTGCCCAAAAAAGGGGGCACTGACCTTCTATAAGGAAAGAAGCAGGGAAAACAGGACTGAGCTTAGGTTCTTCCTGAGGCTCTAGACTGGTTTCTCTTATCGTGTGTTGTCAGCACTTCAACCTGGCATTTGGTTCTATCCTCCAGGGTTTTCACCTGGTCTTGACTGCCTGGTCATCTCTCTCCACCTCCCACTCCACTCTCATTCAAGAACTGGAGCTTCAAAAAGTGTTTGAGCACTTGGGCATATGGATTAATCCTCCTTATTCTACTCTTTTCATTGGCTTTGCTTCCCCTTCTCAAACCCTGGGCACAGCCCTGATGTCATTTTAAATTCTAAAAAAAATTGAGAATTCTTGGATAACTGCACTTGGGGGATACGAGAGATAATAGTAATTGGGATCGTAAGCATGGTAAAAGAGTGGAAGATAGACTATGAATCAAGCCCTCTGGCTAGGCTTTCCTGCTACCTTGCTGTGTGGTCTTGGGCAAAGCCTTTAATGTATCTGTGCTCCAGTGTCTTATTTTTCAGATGAGGATAATACTGCCTGATGCACTGACCTTTAAGATATATTGAAAATCAAATGGGCCGGGCATGGTAGCATGCACCTTTAGTCTCAGCTACTTGGGAAGCTGCAGCAAGAGGTCGCTTGAACCCAGAGGTTCAAGACTGCAGTGCACTATGATGACACCTGTGAATAGCCACTGCACTCCGGGCTGGACAACATAGCAAGACCTCACCACTAAAAAAAAATTAAAAATCATGTGGGAGAGCAGATTTGAACTTTTTCTTAATTGAAAAAAATAATATCGTAACATATTTTAAATCATTCTCCTTCATCAGTGTCCTCTGAGATATACTGGTAAGCAGCTATCTGCTAAGCCAAGTCTGAATTTCATCTCCTTTTATATCTTCTCTTCTGGGCAGAGGGAGCTGACAAGCAGTAATATAAGCATAATGGAGGCCGGGGGAAATAGAAGACCTATGCACTCCAGAAGGATCTGAACAATCTCATGTCCATTGTGAAGAAAAACCAAGGGAAATATCACAATAGAACAAGGTTCTGGGTTCCCTCTTCTCATCTTAATAACACTTGGTCATCTGGATGTTGTTAGGGTTGGGTTTAGATTAGGTTTAATTTATAATTATTGTCTATGTTAGGATTAGGGTTAGGGTTGGGTTCCAGTTAGGTTTAGATTTCAAATTGGGATTCAGGTTTAGGTTAGGGTTAGTTTAGAGTTAGGAATGAGAAATTAGGTTTATTTATTTATTTATTTATTTTTTGAGACGGAGTCTCGCTCTGTCACCCAGGCTGGAGTGCAGTGGCGTGGTCTCGGCTCACTGCAAGCTCCGCCTCCCAGGTTCACCCCATTCTCCTGCCTCAGCCTCCCGAGTAGCTGGGACTACAGGCGCCCGCCACAACACGCGCTAATTTTTTGTATTTTTAGTAGAGACGCGGTTTCACCTGATCCACCCGCCACAGCCTCCCAAAGTGCTGGGATTACAGGCCTGAGTCACTGCACCCGGCTTAGGTTTATTTATTTATTTACTCATTCATTCATTCATTTATTGAGACAAGGTCTTGCTCTGTTGTCCAGGCTGGAGTGTAGTGGCATGGTCATGGCTAACTGCAACCTCTGCCTCCTGGGCTCAAGCAATCTTCCCTGCTCAGCCTTCTGAGTAGCTAGAACTACGGGTGCATGCCACCATGCCAAGCTTATTTTTGTTTTCATTTTTTAAATTTTTCAGACAGGGTCTCACTCTGTCACCCAGGCTGGAGTGCAATGACGTGATCTCAGCTCACTGCAGCTTTGACCTTCCCAGCTCAAGGAATCCTCCCACCTCAATCCCACAAGTAGCTGGGACTATGGGTACACATCATCATGCCAGGCCAATTTTTGTATTTTTTTGTAGAGATGAGGTTTCACTATGTTGCCCAGCCTGGTTTCGAACTCTTGGCCTCGAGTGATCTGTCCACCTTGGCTTCCCAAAGTGCTAGATTACAGGTGTGAGCCACGTGCCTAGCCTTAGGTTTATTTATTTATTTATTTATTTAGAGACACAGTCTCACTCTGTTGCCCAGGCTGGAGTGCAATGGCATGATCTCAGCTCACTACAACCTCTGCCTCCCAGTTTTCAAGTGATTCTCATGCCACAGCCTCCTGAGTAGCTGGGATTACAGGCATGTGCCACCACACCTGGCTAATTTTTGTATTTTTAGTAGAGACGGGTTTCGCCATGTTGCCCAGGCTGGTCTCAAACCCCTGACCTCAGGTGATCCGCCCACCTTGGCCTCCTAAAGTGCTGGGATTACAGGCGTGAGCCACTGCGCCTGGCCTCCTTCGGTTTATTATTATTATTATTATTATTTTTGAGACAGAGTTTCTCTCTTGTTACCCAGGCTAGAGTGCAATGGCACAATCTTGGCTCACCGCAACCTCTGCCTCCCGGGTTCGAGCAATTCTCCTGCCTCAGCCCCCCAGGTAGCTGGGATTACAGGCATGCGCCACCACACCTGGCTAATTTTGTATTTTTAGGCCACCACACCTGGCTAATTTTGTATTTTTATTAGAGACGGGGTTTCTCCATGTTGGTCAGGCTGGTCTCAAACTCCCGACCTCAGGTGATCTGCCTGCCTCGGCCTCCCAAAGTGCTGGGATTACAGGCATGAACCACTGTGCCGGGCCTGGTTTATTCTTAAAGTTAAGGTTAATAGTATTAGTTTATTTTAGAATTAAGGTGAAAGTTGAGACAGCATTTCTAAAGTTGGCAATATGGACATTTGGGGCTGAATAATTCTGTTTTGAGGGTGCTGTTCTGTGTATCCTAAACATTTTAGAATGTTTAGCAGTATTCCTGGCCTCTACCCATTAGATTCCTCTTTTTTTTTTTTTTTTTTCTTAAGGCTAGTCAAGCGAAGCAGTGGGAGTGGAGAAGGAACAAAGAAATCTGTAACTGGTTGTGATCAGTTAGTTGTAAACACCACTGCACTTGGACCAGCCTACGGATTAGATTCTAGTATTTCCCCTCTGCATTGTAGGACCCCAAAATATCTCTAGTCATTGCCAAATATTCCCTGAGAAGAAGAGGGGTAATCACCCCTGACTGAGTTAAAATAAGGATTAGGGTTAATGTTAAGATTGTTTTTAGAGTGAGGATTAGGATCTGGGATCAGGTTATGTTTACATTTTGAGTTGGGTTCAAGTTTAGATTAGGATTAGAGTTAGGGTTTGGAAACGATTTAGATTTAGGGTTAGGAGTGAGGCTAAGGCTCAGGTTCAGGTTCAGGTTCAGGCTAGGTCTAGAGCTTGCACTTTGGTTAGGTTTAGGTTAGCACCTTGCAGAGACAAATGTATTTCAAAAATATTACACAATGAATTTCAAGTCTGAGTACAAACAATTGTAGGGCTGCCAAGCCACTATTTCTCTCCATTAGCCCTACTGGGAAGTGGCTGTCATAGCACACTGCTAGGAAATATACCCACACAGGGGGCTGCCCATCGAACCTTGCTGAGTCTGGGGAAGGTGACTTCATAGTGGCCTTCAGGACTAAGGAAGGTGATAATTTGCGGTTGTTCCTTATCTATACTCTGTGTGACATGCAGACTTCCGGAAACTGGCCTGTGTGTGCTCGCACGCATGTGCATACATACTCTTTGTGCAGAGTGATGATTTACATCTTATTTCATATCCCTATTTGCACACGGTGGCCACAAAGGTCCTTATGCTTACTGTTAAGAAACCAGTGCAGCTGGGCAGGGTGGCTCATGCCTGTAATCCCAGCACTTTGGGAGACTGAGGCAGGCAGATTACTTGAGGTCAGGGGTTTGAGACCAGCCTGGGTCAACATGGCGAAACCCCGTTTCCACTAAAAATACAAAAAAAAAAAATTAGCTGGGCATGGTGGTGGGTGCCTGTAATCCCACCTACTCGGGAGACTGAGGCAGAGAATTGCTTGAACCCAGGAGGTGGGGGCTGCAGTGAGTCAAGATCACACCACTGCACTCCAGCCTGGGTGACCGAGTGTGACCCTGTCTCCAAAAAACAAAACAAAACAAAACAAAACAAAAAAGCAGTGCCTATGTGAGGGCTCTCCTTCTGTCAAGTTGCGCAGGTATGAGGAAAGGGTTCCTAGCAACAGTAAGGTGACCCAAAGGCCCCAGCAATGGGAGGATCTTGGAGCTGGACACCATGACACCAATTTATTCTCATCTTCATTGTCCTACTGTGTGTAAAATCACAGACAAGTTCATCTCTCTGTCTCAGTGCTCTCATTTGTAAAATAACCAGAATAAACCTTACCTGAAATCTTACCTGGAAGTTCCATCAGGGATAAAGTTTATTTCAACAAGCTCTTGGAATGTTTGGGAAGGAAGATGCTGCATCAACCCAAAATATTTTTATTGTTTCTTGTTTCCAGAAGGAAAGGGTGTACAGAGCTTCCTCCAGCACAGCACCCATCTGCCCATGTCAGAGAATACAGGAGGAATGGTGGTGCCAGAGGCAGATGCAACAGAGAGGGAGCCATGCTTCACTAGCTTGTCAACATGTCATTAGGGTGTTCCTGTGGGAACCAAGAGCAGAGGCAGGAGGCAGGAGCCGTGGGAGGGAGGGAGGAGGGAGGAAGAGAGAGAAATGGAAGAGATGAAGGGGTCCATGCCAGTACCACATTCATCCCTGTCATGAGGAGAGCTCTATCAAACCAAGGCCAGGCCTATAAATCAGGCCATAATTAGTTGCAAAGAGAAAGCTTTAACATCCCCATCAAATTGATTAATACATCTTGCAGCACAGGACAGGCTGGCCCTGCCTTGGAAAAACTGCAGGCTCACCCAGCAAGGTGGGAATGGAGTGGGGAGAAAGGATAGCTCTAGCCCTGGCAGCACGAAGTGAGGTGAGTCCTGCCCCTCTGTTTACTCCCTTGAAGAAGGCTCTGACAGGTGGCAGTGAGACTGGCTCTTAGTCCAGGAGGTCCTCATGGGCCTGAAGCCTGGAGAATCAAAGGAATATGTTAGTTTTGCCAGGAAATAGCCCCGATACTGTTGGCAAGTTATTTTTCCCGCCTCTGGGTCTCAGCTTTATCATCTGTAAAAGGGCTATGTTGGACCAGAGGAACTTTAAGTTTGTTTCCAGTTCTGACATCACAAATGACTGAGCCTAATGGACAAGGATTTTTGAAGGTCATGGCTAGCGAAGACCTCACTTTGGGTTTAATTTCTAGGACATCCAATGAGAAGTCAGGAGTTTGGGACAAACTTAAATAAATTATTCTTACTTCAGGCTTGAGATTACCAAGCATTACCTATGTGTCCATTCCTGAGGCCTGAGCAGCAGATACCCCTCGTCCTTCAAGGCAGCACTGAGAGGGAAGATAGCAGATTAACTTGGATTCATGACCTGGCTTACCCACTTACTAGCTCTCTGTTTGGGAAAAGTTACCTAACCTCTTCAGCTTCCTCCTCTGCAAGATAGGTGTAATAATGCCTACCTTGCTGGATCATTAGGAGGAATAAATAAGATATAAATAAAGTGTCCAGCTCAGGGCCTGGCTTACAGTAGGTGGTCACCAAGTAATAACCAGTATTATCTTTGTGGACATGACTCTTGACGTCTTCACAATGACATCCAAATTACATGGAAACTGAAAAAGTAAAGTCCAGTGAAAAAGTAAAGTCCTTACTCCATTTGAGATGTCCAACTAGTCACCCTCCCAGGATAAAAAAAAAAAATCAATATGTAGCATTTTTATTTGGTAAAAAGCACTGGACTGAAACTAGGAAGACTTGGGTTCAGATCTCACCTTTGCTATTTATGAATTGTGTGATTTTGTGCAAGACCTTTCATCTCTCTACGTCTAGCTGTCCCTAATGAGGAATGTTTTCAACATCCAATCAAACAATATGTACAAATGATCCTTGTAAACTATAAAGTATTATTAAAAATATAAATCATTTCATAAGCAATGTTCTGGGTATCCATCACCCTTGTCTGCTGCTGAATGCCCCTGAACTCCCCTGTCTGGAAGGACAAACAAAACAGTCTCTTTTCAAGCCCCTGGGACATGTTCCATTACTCGAAGGGATCCTATGTCCTTATGTCCTCTATGGATCATACTTTCCCTGTTTCCACTTTAACAAAAACTCTGACCTAATTGCTCATAATAACTGAAGAGCCTCTACTTGGTGGTATCTGGGTCACATCTAGGTTGATGTAATGACACTATCCAAAAACCTATTCTTTCCTTCTTCTACAATAATTGAACTACTCGGCCTATGGCTGCATACACACACACACACACACACACACACACACATATATATACACACATATATGTAGACACATACATATATATATATTTCCCAGCCACCTTACAGTTAGGGCTGATCATGTGACTAAGCTCCTGATCATGGAATGTAGGCAGAAGTGATGTGGACCACCTATGGGCTGGGACCTTAAGAAAGGTGCCTCGGCTGGGCACGTTGGCTCACGCCTGTAATCCCAGAACTTTGAGGCCGAGGCTGGCGGATCATGAGATCAGGAGATCAAGACCATGCTGGCTAACACGGTGAAACCCCATCTCTATTAAAAATACAAAAAATTAGCCAGGTGTGGTGGCGGGTACCTGTAGTCCCAGCTACTCAGGAGGCTGAGGCAGGAGAATGGCGTGAACCCGGGAAGCGGAGGTTGCAGTGAGCCGAGATCGTGGCACTGCACTCCAGCCTGGGTGACAGAGTGAGGTTCTGTCTGAAAAAAAAAAAGAAAAGAAAAAGAAAAAAAAGAAAAAAGAAAGGTGCCTCATCCATATTTTTTATTCTTCTTGAGACCTAGAACATGAGTGTACCCACAATCTAGCTTGGATCATGCAGACAAAGGCTATACCTGACTGGGTGTTGTCCTGTAATCCCAGCATTTTGGGAGTCCAAGGTGGGAAGATCAATTAAGCCCAAGAGTTTGAGATTAGTCTTGGCAGCATAGCAAGAGCTTGCCACTATTTATTTTTTTAAAGAAAAAGGTGGAGGGGGTGCCGCTGGGCACAGTGGGCTCATACCTGTAATCCCAGAGCTTTGGGAGGCTGGGGCAGGAGGATCACCGGTGGCCAGGAGTTTGAGACCAGTCTGGGTAACCTAATAAGAACAAAAATTAGCTGGGCAAGGTGGTGTGCCCTTGTAGTCTCAGCTACTTGGGAGGCTGAGGCAGGAGGATCACTTGAACCCCGGAGTTCAAGGCTGCAATGAGCTATGATCATGCACTGTACTCCAGCCTGGGCAACAGAGTGAAAAACCTGTCCCAGAAAAAAAAAAAAAAAAGGCTACAGGCTAGGGAATGGTGGAAAAGCAAGATAGAAGGAACCTGGGCCCCTGCATGACTGCATGAAGCAGAGCCGCTTGCTAAAAAATAAACTTCTGTCTTGAACCATTGAATTTTGAGACATCTTTATCAGATAAGCTTAATCTTTCATTCTAACTATTTGCAAGAGTCCAGAAGTTTTCTGACTAATTCTACTACCTCTAAGTCATAGTGCCAATCCATACCAAATGTGTAAGATGTTCTCCATTTAATTTTTTTTTTTTTTTGAGACAGAGTCTCTCTCTATCACTCAGGCTGGAGAACAGTGGTGCAGTTACAACTCACTGAGGCCTCGCTTCCCAGGGCCAAGTGATCCTCCCACCTCAACCTCCCAAGTAGCTGGGACTACAGGTGCGCACCACCATTCCCAGCTAATTTTTTTCTACCTTTGGTAGAGATGAGGTCTGATATTGGTTAATGCTGAAATGAGTTAAGATTTGGGGGACTGTTGATAAAGCATGATTGGTTTTGAAATGTGAGGACATGAGATTTGGAGGGGCCAGGGGCAGAATGATATGGTTTGGCTGTGTCCCCACTGAAATCTCAACTTGAGTTGTATCTCCCAGAATTCCCACATGTTGTGGGAGGGACCCAGGGGGAGGTAATTGAATCATGGGGATTGGTCTTTCCCGTGCTATTCTCGTGATAGTGAATAAGTCTCACGATATCCGATGGGTTTATCAGGGGTTTCTGCTTTTGCTTCTTCCTCATTTTCTTTTGCCTCTGCCATGTAAGAAGAGCCTTTCGCCTCTTGCCATGATTCTGAGGCCTCTCCAGCCATGTGGAACTGTTAAGTCCAATTAAACCTCTTTTTCTTCCCAGTCACGGGTATGTCTTTATCAGCAGCGTGAAAACGGACTAATATAGGGTCTTGCTATGTTGTCTAGGCTGAAGACTCCCCAGTTTTAAAGACATTTTAGGAGATCTCTCTGCTCCTGTTTTCTTGAAGGCTGGGCCTACAGCTAGCTCAGAATCAGTAATAATTTTATTACAAAGCTCTATAATAATAATAATAATAATAATTATTATTATTATTGAGAATGAGTCTCACTCTGTTGCCCAGCCTGGAGTGCAATGGCATGATCTCGGCTCACTGCAACCTCCGCCTCCTGGGTTCAAGTGATTCTCCTGCCTCAGTCTCCCCAGTAGCTGGGATTACAGGTGCCCACCACCATGCCCAACTAATTTTTGTATTTTTAGTAGAGACAGGGCATCACCATGTTGGCCAGGCTGGTCTCAAACTCCTGACCTCAAGTGATCTTCCTGCCTCACCCTCCCAAAGTGCTGGGATTACAGGCGTGAGCCACTGCGCCTGGCCTCTATTAATATATACTCAAAACTATCTCATAAAAATGTTTAATTTTCTTCCTCCTTGTACCATCATATTATGATAAATCTTACTCTATTCCTGGAAGGCAGCTGCAACTGGAATGGGTGGGAAGATGGGACAGAAATTAAGACAACTGCAGATAAGGAGGATGCCTGGGGGGACCCACAGGAATCTGAACTTCAACCCTGGCTCAGGAAACAGGGCAGGAAGGCTCAGGGAATACAGACCTGGAGAAAAGGACTAGAGATGCTCAAATGACTCATCATGTGCCTCAGGAAGAGGAATTTTGAAAGTATGGACACTGAGTCTTATGTTTCTAATCTCCAAGAAAACGTGATGCTTTCTAGCTGGCCCACTTCCTCATCAGTTAAGATTTTCACAGAGCCTCTGACATTTAGAAAGCCTATCTCCTGACACCCACCTTTTGGAATGTGGTCCTGGGCAGACTCAGAATTGCTGTTTAAAATGTTTAATTGAGCAGATGGTTTGGAATGTGAGGACTGAATACCCCCTTTTGAAAGCCAAGAGCTACGGGAGTCTATCAGGCATGGGATGGGGGAAGAGGAGAAAACGAAGGAAAGACATCATTCCAAATAGCCACAGGTGGGAAGCCAGAGTGGGGAGGAGGGGTGGCCTCACTTTGTCACACCACTGACCTGAATCACAGGGCAGGGCCGGAAGGGAATGCCAGTTGCAAATCTTGCCACCTCATCTCACAGCTCACCAAATATTACGGCTTCACACATAAAAACCAGAGTGCTAAGCTGCCAGGAGTGTTAAACTCAAGTAGCTGTGACCAGAAGCAGGCAGGCTCTGGGGACAGGAGTGGGGAGGCTGTCACAGCAGGGCCAGCAGCTCCCATTGGACCCTCCCAGCTCTTAGGTAGCAACTGGAACTGAGCAGGAAATGTAGCTGTTGCCCTGAGAGCCACCTCTGCTGCTCGCCTCTCCATGGTGACAGCATTTAGGGGAGTCCTGCACCTCCTTAGCAGGAGCTGGGCTGCCTCTGAGCAGAAAATAAATGCTTTCAAGCCCCATAAATCAATGAAAATTAGCGGGAGTCAAGGTAAAAATCCATCCTCCACCACTTGGATGTTTGAGCCAAGGTTCTTCTCGGTGATTTAGAGCCATGTAATTAGAGTGATCCACTCTCAGTTGCTGTTGTTGTTTTTTCTTCCTCCCTTCTCTTTCCAGACAAAGTCCTCTCCTATGAGGCAGGTTCCCACTGGCCTCTAGCTCCTCTGGCTAGAAACAGGTGTGTGCACCTGTCAGCTTGGCACCTTGATGGATCTCTGTGCTATCTTGGTTCGCCTCCTCCCTGCCTGCCCCTAATGAACAGTCCGCCCCAGGCTAGGTATGAGATGTGGGTGGGGAGACACACCATCCTTCATAGTCGCCCTCTATCCTCCGCAGAAGTAGAGAGGTGTGGCTGTTAATCCTCAGGTGAAATGTGGCCCCATCCCAGAGGTGGAGGAGGGGGCTGGAGTAAAGAGAGCCTCTGACCTCTGAACTGGGGAGAAGATTGATAGTGGCATGAAGGTTTCCCAGCCTTGCGACCCCTGCCGGATTAGGAACATAATCCAGCAGTTGACAGACATGTGAGGTGGGATTCAGAGGAGTTAGTTGCCTGGATTTACATTTTAAAAAGGCCCCAAGGCCCAGAGGGACAACATGACATGAGGAAATGCAGATAGAATTTAGAGTCCCAGAGACAAAGATTCAAATCCCATCTCCATCATTTCTTATCCGTATGACCATGAACAAATTTCATCAGCTCTTTGAGCCTCAGTTTCCACAATTTAATTTTACTTAAAATTAAAATATTGATGCTATCTCACACAGAATTCTAGTGAAGATTAGATGAAGTAATCAATGTAAAGTTCTAGCATATAATGCCTGGAACATAGCATTTTTTCCCAACGCGCTACCTTTCTGCCTCTCAAATCTTCTCCTTGCTCGAGGCTGTACAACAAGCTAGGAAAGGAATTACAACCCTAACCCAGCTCCTGACATCTTGCTCAGGAAGTGACCTATGTGGGGCTCTCAATCTAGATGCTCACTGAATGGCAGAGAAAACAAAATTAGTAGTTTCCTTCAGGAGGCCAACTAGAACATGCCGCCTCTGAAGAGTGAGGAAGCACGACCAGCATGCTGTGAGGTACCTTGCCAGGTTCAATTCCTGCCTCAGTCTTTTTTTTTTTTTTTTTTTTTTTTTTTGAGACAGGGTCTCTTATGCTTTGTCACCCAGGCTGGAGTGCGGTGGTGTGACCATGGCTCACCACAGCCTCAACCTCTCAGGCTCAAGTGATCCACCCACCTTAGCCTCCCAAGTAGCTGGGAGAAACACCCCCAGCTAATTTTAAAAATATTTTGTTGAGACAAGATCTCACTATGTTCCCCGGGCTGGTCTTGAACTCCTGGGCTCAAGAGATCCTCCTGCCTCAGCCTCTCAAAGTGCTGGAATTACAGGCATGAGTCACCACGCTCAGCCCCTCAGCCACTTTTAAGTTATGACCCTGAGCAATTCCCTAAGCTTCGGTATCTCCCAATGTAAAGTGGTTATAATTGTAATTCTTGCCACAGGGTGGCTCTGAGATTCAAAGGAAATAGTGAATGGGAATACCCTTTGCAAATGATTCCGTATGTATAATAAAGTAACAACTTTACTAACAGAATTTCTCTTAGGAAGGGAATTCTGCTTAGAAGAATGCCTTGATGTGCTTAACACATGGCAGATGTGCTCACAACTTCAGAGAAGGGAGAATATTGCTCTGCATGAGAGAGAGAAGAGAAAAAAGAGGAGGAGGAGCAAGGCACCAACGGGATGGAGAGAGGCCAGGTGTGGAGAAGGGAGAAGTGAAACTCCATACCGTTGGATTGACAAATGGGTGTTTAACAACAATGATGCCCATTGTGCCCCTTCAAGTTGTCTGTGCTGCATAATGTAAGCTCTCTCTTTCTCCCCTACAAAATCTTTGAGTATATCTATTAAACTCACAATTTTTAGAACATCAATCACAAAATCTGGTGATTTACACATATTCTTTCATTTATTTCCCCTATAACTTTTCACAGATGAAGATACAGGCTCAGAAAATATGGACAACTTGCTCAAGGTCACACAAGTGACAGCTGTTGGAGGAGGGCTCTGGATACTGTAGTGCGTTGCCCTTCTGGGCCTCAGTTTTTGAGGTTAAAAAGGTCACTTAACCTCCATGGGTCCCCAGTTTTTCTATATTTAAGAAGTATCTTGGCTGGGCACAGTGGCTGACTCCCGTAATCCCAGCATTTTGGGAGGCTGAAGCAGGTGGATTGCTTGATGCCAGGGGTTCGAGACCAGCCTGGCCAACATGGCAAAACCCCATCTCTATACAAAAATTAGCCGGGCATGGTGGCGTGCGCCTGTAGTCCCAGCTACTCGGGAGGCTAAGGCAGGAGAATTGCCTGAACCCAGGAGACAGAGGGTGCAGTGAGCCAAGATTGTGCCACTGCACTCCAGCCTAGGTGACAGAGCGAGACTCTGTCACAAAAAAAACACAAAAATCTTTATTGCTTCTTTCCTTGGTCACTCAGATACTTGATAGATGAAAGAGGTCATAGATGTAAAGTACTTTCAGAGATTTTAAACAAACAACTGTGAAAGAAAGCTATTTATTAATATAATACACATCTCCCCATGCTAAAAGGTCTACTTAATCCATCCTGTCCTAAGAAGCCAAAGAGAACTAACCTTCACTCCTGTTTAGAGAGAACAGTTTAGTTTGTCCTTTCTAGTCCAGTGCCAAGTCTATTGCACTTTGCTTTCTCACAATAGAAACCAAGCATATGGATCTCCCTTAAAACCACACAAGTCCAAATAACATGATCATCTCAAAGGATTCCCTTTCTCCTGGAAAATATTTAACAAACAGCTTTCCAGAAAAAAAGTTAAGTCCTGATTTGTTGCATTCGTCTATTTCCTTGGTGTAAATAATTCCACCATGCCTGATTTCAACTTTCTTCATGACATCATTGAAAACAGGATTAGGAAGAGATGTGCAGTTATAGTGTTTCTACCACCTAGGTACACCAGACATAAATAACCCTAAAAGGTTAGATAGCAATGAAATTTAGCAAAATAATTAGGAAGTGATGATATTTAGTATCTTTTTTTCTTTTAATATAATTTGGGCCACGTATAGGCACGGTGGCTCACACCTATAATCCCAGTACTTTGGGAGGCTGAGGCGGGAGGATCATTTGAGGTCAGGAGTTCAAGACCAGCCTGGCCAACATGGCAAAACTCCGTCTCTAATAAAAATACAAAAATTAGCCAGGCATTTTGTCACACACCTGTAATCTCAGCTACTTGGGAGGCTGAGGCATGAGAATCGCTTGAACCTGGGAGGTTCAAGGGTGACAGAATGAGACTCAGTCTCAAAAAAACCTATATATATATGTGTGTGTGTGTGTGTGTGCATAAATATATATGTTTGTATATATATACATATAATTTATTGTAACTTTATACCATTTTAGTTTGTTTTCTTTTCTTTTTTTTTGAGACGGAGTTTTGCTCTTATTGCCCAGGCTGGAGTGCAATGGTGTGATCTCAGCTCACTGCAACCTCTGCTTCCTGGGTTCAAGAAACTCTCCTGCCTCAGCCTCCTGAGTAGCTGGGATTATAGGCACCCACCACCATGCCTGGCTGATTTTTGTATTTTTAGTAGTGACAGGGTTTCACCATGATGGCCAGGCTGGTCTCCAACTCCTGACCTCAGGTGATGTGCCTGCCTCGGCCTCTGAAAGTGCTGGGATTACAGGCATGAGCCACAACATCTGGCCAATTTTAGTTCTTTTTAAAAACAATTTATTTTTGCAAAATTCTTGACAGTTTAACAATCAGTGCTCATGAGCAAGAATGTGGCAGCTTCACTTCCCTCCTTGTGACCTGCACTTGCACCTGCACTCAGGCAGGCCGGAGCACAGAAGCTGAGGCATGTTGGAGAAAGTGCCAAGTGCTTCTGTGATATATTTTTCATTTCTAAAAACAAGATTCACGAAGAAATAACATGCTGAATTGAAAAATGGTTATTTCGATCTCAAAGATTCTTTAATTGAAAATACTCATCTAGGTCAATTCCCTAGCCATGAGCAAGAATTCTTTCTGGTTCTGTTCTCCAGGGTACCTTATTGATCACAGTCCTGTTGGAAAACAGATGGCACACTCAAATGGGGTTTGTCTGAGTAAAGTTTAATGCAGGCATATTTACAAAGATATGGGCAGGGTTCAGAGAAACCCATAAGAAATGGTGCGGTTAGCCAGAATAGGGAATAATGACCACTCGAGGCCTAAAGGATTGGGAAGGAGCAGTCCTCACAGTCTGGAGAGAGTTGTAGGAGAGGGTTGGCCCACAGGAGCTGTGGCCTTTAGTTGAGGAACATAGCCACTGTCAACCTGAGGCCCAGCTGGGGGAATAAATATCCTGATGCTACCCTCAGCCTTTTCCAGTGGCTTGCTGCATAAAAAATTATAAATGCATTCTCCTGTTTCCCTATAAAAACTTCAGGTAAAGTCACTATTTTTTTTTCTTTTTTGAGATGGAGTTTCTCTCTGTTGCCCAGGCTGGAGTGCAGTGGCACGATCTCTGCTCACTGCAACCTCTGCCTCCCAGATTCAAGCGATTTTCCTGCCTCAGCCTCCTGAGTAGCTGGGACTACAGGCACATGCCACCACACCTGGCTAATTTTTGTATTTTTAGTAGAGACAGGATTTCACCATGTTAGCCAGGCTGGTCTCAAACTCCTGACCTCAGGTGATCCACCCGTCTTGGCCACCCAAAGTGCTGGGATTACAGGCATGAGCCACCCTGCCTGGCTGGTAAAGTCACTATTAATGTCACTTAAGTCACTGCTTCTTGAGCACTGACCATTGGCTGAGCCCAACCAGAAGCCAGATGACAAGGGAGCCTGTTGAAGCAATGAATAAAGGAAGCGAATTCATCAATTCACTTCTTAGTCCCAAGAGCAGGGGAATAAGGATGGCAAGTGGATTTGGAAGGGCAGAGAGATTATCCAGCACAGTTCCTCAATAGCTCACTGCAAGAAGTTATTCCCATTGAAGCATCTAGGCTAATGCTTCTGAAATTTTATTGGACATACTTATCACCTAGGGATTAAAATGCAGTTTCTGATTCAGTAGGTCTGGGGTGAAGCCTAAGAGCCAGGTGATGCTGATGCTGCTGGCTGGAGACTACCCTTTCAGTAACAGGATCTTAGGCTATCCCTGACCTCCATCCTAAGCCCCACTGAGCTTGTCTAGCTAAGGGGATCAGGGTCAAAAAAAAAACCCTTAGTGCTTCCCTTCCCACTTCCTACCTCTCTTTCCTCTCCTTCTACCAAAATGTCTTCCTGATGCAGCCCAACTACCTAGTAACAATCCAGAATTCTGTTCTCTGTCCTCCTCTTCTCCCAAGGCCAAGCTGGAAATGGGGTGAGTTTGTGGACCCCCAGTACTTTAAAGCAGACCTCTTCAATGGAGGAAATCCTTAGGGAATATTCCAAATTCCCCACAACCTCCCCTGTGTACTTTTTTTTTTTTTGAGACAGAGTCTCACTCTGTTGCAAAGGCTGGAGTGCAGTGGCATGATCTCGGCTCACTGTGACCTCTGCCTCCCTGGTTCAAGCAATTCTCTGCCTTAGCCTCACCAGTAGCTGGGATTACAGGCACTCGCCACCACGCCTGGCTAATTTTTTTTTCTTTTGTATTTTTAGTAGAAACGGGATTTCACCATCTTGGCCAGGCTGGTTTTGAACTCCTGACTTTGTGATCCACCCACCTCAGCCTCCCAAAGTGCTGGGATTACAGGCGTGAGCCACCACACTCGGCAGTTCTTATTTTTTCTCCTCATCCTCATCCTTATAGTCAAGGTTGCTGGAGAAAGCCAGTGATCTCCCAAAAGAAAAAAATTTTCAGCCAAGCCATGGGATGGGACTGGGGAGAGAAGTGTCCCCACTCCCCATTAGAACTTTTCATTGCATGGAGTAGCTCAATGGCCATTCCACTCGTGCACCTTTGAGAGCTGCCAGGGTGTCATTATTGACTGGCTCTGGCCATGATAGAGGTCCCTGCTCCTTCACCAGCACTTAATGCAAGCCCTTTGGAAGGCACAGTGCTGGGAGTTGTTCACAAATCTTGAGCATTAAATAAAAGATGTGCCTGTGTTTGTGTGCGGGACCGATTGGCCACCAGGAGTAAAACTGTGGGTGGTATGTCCATTCCTGGACATATGCAAGCCAGAGAGGCTCCCATTTCTGGATTAATGGGAATCTTCACTCAGTTAGTAATGACTGCCAGGAAGCAGGTTAAGTCTTCATTCCTTATAAGGCAAGGATGCAATAACTCACAAGACTTAGGAACAGGTTTATTTAGCTCTGTTCTAAAGCAGGAGGAAGTAGCTGTGGCCTTATCCCTTGGACCCTTGTTCAGCTTGCTTGATATAAGAAAGATTGGCCCTATGACTATTCCCATTAATTCTAGATATGATGCAGGTATTCATGCTAGCAGGTATATATGTATGATATATGCATGGTGGGGGGCAATGATTGTAAAGCTGGAAGTTGGATCAAGGTAGTTTAAGTACAACTTCTCCTCCTCAGGAATGTAGATAATCTCCTTCTCCTTCTCCTTCTTCTTTTTGAGGTGGAGTCTTGCTCTGTTTCCCACTCTGGAGTGCAGTGGCGTGATCTTGGCTCACTGCAACCTCCACCTCCCAGTTAAAGCGATTCTCCTGACCCAGCCTCCCAAGTAGCTGGGATTACAGTCATGCACCACCATGCTCAGCTAATTTTTTGTATTTTTAGTAGAGGCAGGGTTTCACCATGTTGGCCAGGCTGGTCTCGAACTCCTGACTCAAGTGACTCGCCCACCTCGGCCTCCCAAAGTGCTGGATTACAGGCATGAGCCACCATGCCCAGGCAGGAATGTAGACAATTTTCTGAAAGGAGGACAATGCAAGAACAATAATTAGATGTAGCCCTTCTGAGACTTTCCTCATTATCTATGTTCACTTACCATAGTTCCCACATGGGATAATTTCCATGCACTGTTCTAAGAACAGGAGCCACAGTAAGGGAGGGCTTCCCAGTGATGGCTTGCTAGTGAAGTCAGCACCAGATATTCAGACCCTACTAGTAAATGACTCCCCAAGGGGCATGTATCTGGTGGCCTGGGGATAGTCCTGCTTGCCCCTTTTCCTGAAAGAAAGCGGAAGAGGATGTGTCCCCAGGTTCCTGGCAAGCAAATGAACCATCCCATAACACCCACCTTTCCATTTATTTGGCACTTACAAACCTGACGCCATAGAGCAATTTAGTTTATAAGGAACTCTTTGACTACATTACCACATTTAATTTTTACACAAACCTGTGAGATAGTTAGGGCAGGTTTATTACTATTTTGCAAACAAGGAGCTCATGTTTGGCTGGGTGCAGTGGCTAATGCATGTAATCCCAGCACTTTGCAAGGCTGAGATGGGAGGATCGCTTGAGGTTAGGAGTTTGAGACCAGGCTGGGTAACATAGTGAGACCCTCGTCTCTAAAAAAATATAAAACTTAGCCCAACATGGTGGCATGCACGTGCAGTCCCAGTTACTTGGGAGGCTGAAGTGGGAGAATCATTTGAACCTGGGAGGTTAAGGCTGCAATGTGCCATAATCTCACCATTGCACTCCAGCCTCAGTGACAGAGTGAGACCCTGTCTCAAAAACAAAACAAAACAACCCAAAAAACAATCGAGGTTCACAAAAGTTAAATAATGTACCAACTCATCTGAAGTCATAAGACTCTTAGGCGGTAGAGCCAGGACTGGAGTTCAGGTGTTCTGACTCTTAACACGGTGTCTTTCTTTAAGCTGCCTTCCTTTTATACACTTTTGTCTAGTAGCTAATTTTAATTACTTCCTGAGTTTGTCCCCTACAGATTTGTGAGTGCTCAGAGAGCACTCTGAGAGAGTCTTTGTCTCTTTCATTTACTAATATTCCCTCAACACTTTCAGCAGTGCCTGATACCTAGGATGTGCTTCATAAAATTATGTTGAGTAAAGACAGGAAATAGATCACCAGAAGGTGGGACTCTAATTTTGACTTCTTGGTATCCCTTGCAATATTTACACAATGAGAGAGTAAATATTATTGATAAGCATAATGACCTAACATCCAGTGGGGGTGTGATGACTCCCAGGAAGCCATCCACCCTGTAAGGTAATATATTTTAAGGAAGAGGATCCCTGCCATGGCTTCCCAAATTCTAAGCACTAACTCTCTATTCTTAGCCTTTCTCATTGTCTTCAACTGCCCCTCTCTCATCCTCAGGGTTAGGACATTTGCCCTTCAAACAGACTGCCTGGAAGTTGAGGCTTGTGTCTTTTTGATTTAGGAAATAGGCTCTATGGAGCCTCGTAACAATAGCTCTCATCTCCATGTGTTCCCACTGCCACCAGAAATTATAAAATGGTTTGTTTTTCTCTTGGCAGCCTCCACCCAATGGTTCCCCATGCGTGTGTTGCTTTCTTCAATTTTCCCCTCTACAAAATCTGGTCATGTTTAATAACAATAAATCAGAGGAGAGATTGCAGCCCAGAAGAGAAGTCTGGGGCAGCCGGGGTTTCCACATCTGGGGCCCATTCGAGTTGAAGTGATGACAATTCCTAATAAATGTTAATGGAGAACCTCCTCAGATTCATACACTCCAGCCATAATTTAGCCTGTCTCTATGCCAGATGACCTTTTGAATATCCAGAGTACACCCAGCATAGCAGCAGCTACAGCCCTGGACTGCTTCCTGCATATGAAGTGGAAAAAACGAGGCTGTTGTTATTGATTATATTTCTCCATTTTCCCTTCCCTGGATTTTTCTTTCAAAGGCTCACAAAGCCTTGGGACTCCCTCAGCCACCCAGGTGGTTAGAGACAACACAGTCTGGTTAAAGGATGTTACGCTCTGCTCCTACAGGAGAGCTCCCTAAGAAGTCTGACAGCCAATGCTGGTCGCAGAGAAGACAGGGCTGGACATCAAAATTCTCCCTTTCCAGCCAGGTGCAGTGGCTCATGCTTGTAATCCCAGCAATCAAACAAACAAAAACCAAAGCAAGCAAACAAACAAACAAAAAAAAACCCCACAAAATTCTCCCTTTTCTTGGCTTCTGAGACCCTCTGCTGATTTTGTTTCTCTATCCCTTTCACCAGCCACGGCTTCCCCCACCTGCCCTTGCTAACTAGGCAGTGTGCCAAGCTGGCTTCAGTCTCTGGCTTTTCTCTTCCTATACCTGTCACCTCCATGAGTCCAATGACCACAAGCGGTTTTCTGTTCTGACTTCTCTCTGAAGGTGTAGTCCTGAATTTCTTTCTTTCTATTCTTTCTTTTTGTGAGGCAGGGTCTCACTCTGATCCCCCAGGCTGGAGTGCAGTGGTGTGACTTCAGCTCACTGCAGCCTTGACCTTCTGGGCTCAGGTGATTCTCTCACCTCAGCCTCCCGAGTAGCTGGGATTACAGGTGCGCACCACCATGCCCAGCTAAGTTTTTGTATTTTTAGTAAAGCCGGGCTTTGCCATGTTTCCCAGGTTGGTCTTGAACTCCTGGACTCAAGCAATCCACCCTACTTGGCCGCCCAAAGTGCTGGGACTTACAGGCATGATCCACTGTGCCTGGCCTAGTCCTGAATTTCTACCTAAGGGCTAGGCATTTTCGCTTCATAACCAGCCATTGTCTAAATTCTATTGTCTAAAATACATTATCATTTCTCCCAAACACAGCTGGCCTCTTCTCCAACTTCCATGTATCTATTAAGAGCATTTCTATTATTTCAGCTATACAGGTATAAAATCATGGCGCTTCCTTAGGCACCCTCTCTCTCCTGCCTCCCTTTCCCATCAGGTGATAGAACTATTGAATCTTCCATCCATCCAAATCTCATTCCTTTTCACTCCCACTGCCACCCCACACTTTAGGCCCTTATTCCTTCACCTTGAAATTACCTTCTAACTGCTCCCTCTCTCTGCTAAACCATCTCTGAACACAGTGATCACATATATCATCTCAAGATGCTTTTTTTTTTGAGACAGAGTCCTGCTCTGTGGCCCAGGCTGGAGTGCAGTGGCGCAATCTCGGCTCCCTGCAACCTCCACCTCCCAGGTTCAAGTGACTCTTCTGCCTCAGTCTCCTGAGTAGCTGAGATTACAGGCATGCACCACCATGCCCGGCTATCAAGATGCTGTCTTGATCGGTCCTTCCACAGCTCAAAATTACTCAGTGGCTCTCCATTGACTGAGTATTATTATGATTCAAAGTTTTTCACAATTAGGTGCCCATTTACAATGGAGTGAATCTTTATGTTTCCCCCAAATTCATATATTAAATCCTAGCCCCCAAGGTGATGGTATAGGATGGGACCTTCGGGAAGGGATTAGGTCCTAATGGTAGAGACCTCGTGAATGGGATTAGTGCCCTCATAAAAGAGGTGGTCCCAGAGAGTTAGCTTGCTCTTCCCACCATGTGAGGACACAGCAAGAAGGCACTACCTATGAAGAAGCAGGCCTTTACCAGCCACCAAATCTACCAGCACCTTGATCTTGGACTTCCCAGCCTTCAGAATTGTAAGAAATAAATTTCTGCTGTTTATAAGCCACCTAGTCTATGGTATTTTGTTACAGCAGCTGGAGCAGAGTAAGACACCACTGAACTATCTAAGATCACATAGTGTAGAAGCCAGATGTTTAGACTGTAAATCCTATCTCTTTTTCATTATTTCCCCCTTACCTGCTCTAGTGACATGCCCTTATTAGAAAGAATTTATTTAACAATTTTTTTTTGGCCAGGCACAGTGGCTCACGCCTGTAATCCCAGCACTTTGGGAGGTTGAAAAGGGTGGATCACCTGAAGCCAGGAGTTTGAGACCAGCCTGGCCAACATGGTGAAACCCTGTCTCTACTGAATTTTTTTTTTTTTTTTTTTTTTTTGGGACTGCTACATGCCAGAGTTTGCTGAGTACTGGAGGATAAAGTTGTGAATATGACAAACATTGTTCCTGCCTTTATGGAAACACTTTCTAATGGGGGAGACAGACAAATAAAAAGAAAGAAAATAGGCAAATAAAATAATTGCAAATTGCTAGGAAATAAATAATTTATAAACTGCTAGGAAAGAAAGATAAGAGAAAATAAGGCAGTTCTATGACTTTTTTTTTTCCTCAAGGCTGAATCTTGCTGTTACCCAGGCTGTAGTGCAATAGTGCGATCTTGGCTCACTGCAACCTCTGCCTCCTGGGCTCAAGAGATTCTCCTGCCTCAGTCTCCCAAGTAGCTGGGATTACAGGTGTGCACCACCACACCTGGCTAATTTTTTGTAGTTTTAGTAGAGACAGGGTTTCACTATGTTGGCCAGGCTGGTCTCAAACTCCTGACCTCATGATCTGCCTGCCTCGGCCTCCCAAAGTGCTGGGATTACAGGTGTGAGCCACCACACCTGGCTCAGTTCTATAATATTTTAATTAGGCTTCCAAACTCTCATCTCTCCCATTGCTACTTTTCTGGTTCCTGAAGACGATCACTTCTTAAGGACCCACCTTCTAATAGCTCCAATAAGGAAAACCATAGATGATACTTTGTAAATGCAAATAATTCCCTGAATGCACCTCTATTTTATTCATCTAAATATATAGTAAACAATTCAAGCTAGATTTGGACATTTAGAATCAAAGATGTAATCTAGTGATCCCTCATTTGGACCACAAATGAGATAGATCTTTACATTAATGTATGACGGATTTAGGTTAGACACAATGAAGAACTTTGCAGCAAAAGTTCAGTGGAACAGGTACCTGAGGGAGTGTATCAGTCAACTTTACTAAAATAATGCTGCATAACAACTAATCTAAAATCTCAGAAATTTATAACATTTATTTTTTGCTCACAGGTTTGTGGATTGGCTGCAGTGATTCTGTTCAGGTTGTGAATCTTGTTCAGGTCTGCTCCATGTAACTTCTCATTCTGGGACTCAGGCCGAAGTGACAAGGGCATGCTCTTCTCGTGGCAAAGGGTAGAGGTGCAAGAGACCAAGCTTAACCAAGCAAGTAGAGTTAAAGCCTCTGTTTACATTCCATTGGCTAAAACAAGTCACATGGCTAGACCCATCATCAATGGAGTGGGGAAGTTTGCTCCCCCAACGGAGGGAAATAGAGAAGAATGAATGTTTGCTGAGCAATAATACACTCCACCACAGGGAGGTTATGGAGTTTCCTTCACAAGTGGTCTTTACAAATAGAAGAGGTTGTTATCTCTCTGGGTTCCTCTGGGTACCATATTACCTGAAGTATAGCAAAGGAAGACCAGAAGACATGATTTCTTAAAGATGCCTGTTTTGGTACAAGGGCAATGTAATTTGTGTTTGATATCTGGTTGCCACTGAATCCCCTTTTCCTTTTCCACCAGAGCTGTGCCATGGGGGTGATTTCCAGGCCAAGTCTTAATATCAGAGTCTCTGCATGATTGTATACAAGTGACAGTCACACAGCAAACATAAATACAGATGGCTCTGATACCATCGGGGAACAGTATTCCTGCCATCGGGCCAGTTTTGTCTGCTGCTACAGTGCAGTTAACTCTGGAATGAAATTGGAAAACTAACTGATGGTCAGAGAGGACTGGAAAGATTTTCATTTGTAACTGAGACAGGCAGGGCTCAGCAAAAGGTGATGCAAGAGCAGATTTTACCATAGGCTCAGTAAATCCAGCTAACAAACATGCATGCATTGTATTGAATCACTTAAGGATCTAAATATTTGAATGTATTCAAATGGAAAGACGTGATTGTGCACTCACACCCTCAGCAGTTTTTGACTCCAAGGCTTCATATTCTGTACCCTTTGCACCCTTGGTGATAACCTTTCCTTCTTCTACCTCAGTGTGCTCATTCTCCCTCTTCTCCCTCCCCAATATCTGTTATCAGGAACTCCTTAGGTCCTACTGAAAGTATAGTCCCCAGACCAGCAGTAGCTGGTCTCAGGTGCATCACCTGAGAGCCTGTTAGAAATGCAAATTTTGGGGTGCATTCCCCAGACTTGCTGAATCAGAATCTCTGGGTTTGAGGTGGGGAACAGTTGTCTCAGGAAATTGTGTTTTCATAAGCTCTTCAGATGAGAAGTTAAGCACATACACAGAAGTTTGAGAACTAGGGCAATTCTGACTCAGTAGGTCTGGGTGAAAGCCATGACCTGCGTTTCTAACAAGCTTGCAGATGATACTGATGCTGCTGTCTGTGGACCACACTTTGAGTAGCGCTGCTTTAGAACTCAATTACATACACATGAAATGATGGCCAACAGTTAAAAGCCTTACTGGTCCTAAGTGGATAGGATCAAAGTCTTAGTGAATAAAATGAGCCACTAATGGTGGAATTTTACGCAACAGCCACCAGGTTTTTTTTAAAGTATGTTTTGAGCCGGGCATGGTGGTTCACACCTGTAATCCCAGAACTTTGGGAGGTCGAGGCAGGCGGATCACTAAAGGCCAGGAGTTTGAGACCAGCCTGGCCAACATGGCGAAACCCCATCTCTACTAAAAATACAAAAATTAACTGGGTGTGGTAGAGTGTGCCTGTAATCCCTGCTACTCAGGAGGCTGAGGCAGAAGAATTGCTTGAAGCCAGAGGTGGAGGTTGCAGTGAGCCGAGATTGCGTCACTGTACTCCAGCCTGGGCAACAGAGCAAAACCCTGTCTCAAAAAAAAAAAAAAAAAAAAAGGAAATGTATATTTTGGTCAGAGGGTGGGCCTGGAGCCTCTGAAGCCACACTGTGTGTGATTACCTTCCATCCCACATACAGAATCCATCCTGTCAATGGATGATTAAAGAATGAATGTAGCACGGGGGGAAAGCACTGGGCTGGGAGTGAGGAAATCTGGGTTCCAGTTCTTGCGCTGTCACTGAGATTGTGCACGTGGTTGGGTCCCTTACCTCTCTCATACTCATCTATATAACTGAAAAAATGAACTGATGAGAGATACACAATCTCCAGCATCCCTGCCCCACTGTGCCCACTTTTTCGCCTTGGTTTTTCAAAAATGTTTGTGGGTAAATAGTAGGTGTATACACTTATGAGGCACATGAGATATTTTGGTACAGGCATGCAATGTGTAAGAATTATATCATGGAAAATGGGTATCCATCCCCTCAAGCATTTATCCTTTGTGTTACAAACAATACAATTATACTCTTAGTTGTTTCAAAATGTACAATTAAAGTATTATTGACCATAGTCCCCCTGTTGTACTATCAAATATTAGGTCCTATTCGTTTTTTCTATTTTTTTTTTTTTTGTGCCCATTAACCACCCTACCTCCCCCTCAGGCCCCCCACTACCCAGCCTCTGGTAACCATCCTTCCACTATCTCCAGGAGTTCAATTGTTTTCTTAGATCCCACAAATAAGTGAGAATATGCGATGTTTGTCATTTTCCATCTCTTTAAAAATTATACAAGGTTATGATTACCTTAGCAAAGATTTCCTTTCCAGACGAGTAAGCGAGTCTCAAAAAATGGTAAACCAAAGCTGCAGAATTGAGGGCCCATAGAGTTGAATGCTGTGAACCATGAGTAGAGTTGCGCCCGACTCTAACCATCCCACCACACCCGCCTTAGTGCCTACTCAGGGTCGGGGTCTCCACTTCCCACTTCCTAACTGGGTGACTTGGGGCAAATTACTCTCTCTCCTGGAACTGTGGTTTTCTATTCCATAAAATGAAGATGAAAATAACACCTACCTAATAGGGTTGTTGTGAGGTTTAAAATCATTAATACATGTCAAGTGCTCAGGACAGTGTCTGGCACGAGAAGAGCATTCGATAAATGTCAGGGACTATTATTACTCCAGGAGGAGGAGGGGCCGCCCTCATCAGCCCCCGCCACAGACTGTTGAAATCTCAAGCCCAAGCTGCAGGTCTTCCTCTGTCCTGTAGGTGGCGCCTCCCCGCGTTGAGCGTGCCACCTGCGTCCTGGAGCGCTTCGAGAAAGCGGAAAGAAGTAAGTTTTCACATCTCTGCTCAGTTCAGGATTGCTAGAGAGGAATCTTCTGCAGTCACCTGAAGCCTGTGCCCAGGACAACCAGGTTTTGGGATCCGATTTCCTTCCTGGAGTGGCTTTAAATCCATTTCTCGCTGCACCCCACCCCCATCACCTGGGCGCCTCCCCTGCACCTGCAACCCAGAAAGACTCCTCCGAGGATTGCACTCCCAGCACCTGAGGTAGGCAGTTGAGTGGGAGTTTCTTTGCTGCTCGGTTAAAATGACAAGTTGGTACACGAGTGCTTAATGAAAGATGCTGGAAACCTCCTTGGAGATCAGAAAAATCGCCTCTCCGAGCTGACAGCCAGGCCATCTGCATTCCCGCATTCCTATTAATTCCTTAACAATAAACGACAGGAGCGCCTAGAGGGTTAACAGCTTAATTTAATCTCTGAGATTCCTTCCTGGAGCATTGAGAATTAGAAAGGCATTTACACAACGTAATCTGCACACCTGATTTTTCCTCACTTGATGTGTCTGGGACTAGTCACACCCATTTCTGACACATCTCCAGACAGAGGCTCTGCCTCTCTGGCTGATGACTGCATAGTCGCCACAGGTTGCTGTGGACTCTGAACCACGTGACTGGACTCTTAGTGTCACAAGATCTGGCTTCTTAGCAGCTGCCCCCATAGTTGCTTTACATTATGTTCCCAGGGCCTTTCAGGGACAGGAAGGTCCCCAAATAGAGATAGAAAGGTGGTGCCCAGTTGGGAGTGAATTTCCTTCCCTTGTGGGAAGCAAGGCAAAAATGGGAAGAGGTACGTGGTAGCAGCAACCAGCTTGGAGAGCTGTGAGGTCAGATTTTGAGAGTCCCTGGCAGATTGAGAACTATGCTTTGGAAATGCTTGACTCTAATGCCAGTCCTCTCATTTTATGGGTAAGGAAACTGAGACTTGGAAATGTCTAATAAATTTGTTTAGGCCCTATGTCCAGGTAATGTCAAAGCCCCAAAGTAGAATTCAGGTCTTTTTACTCCTGGACAAATATTTGTTTCACGATAAGGTTGGCAAATAGATTTCATCTTGCATGGTAACTCCCATCATAGGCTGGTAGGGGCTGCCCAGGGCCCTATGGGCTTCTCAGGGTATGTCCAGGCATAGCAGGAAAAGCCTCAGTGACCATTTGAAGATGTCTTCCAGGAACAGGGAAGGAGCAAAGGTGCCAGATATTTGCTATCCCTGCATTTTTCATGCTGTTTCCTTCAGGTTAAAGCATTTAAAGGCTCTATTAAAATGGAAATGTTAGCTGGGAGGGGTAATGCATTAAGCCATTATCTGTCATTAACACCTTGGGTAAAATACATTGAAGATTAGTTTGCTAGTTGCCCAGCAGGTCCCTGGAGGAATGACAGTTTTGACCCAGATAGGGGCCAGGGAAATGACACACAGCCCTGCCCATAGGGGTGCAATATTTGGAGGCCCACTGCAGATAGGAGTTAGGTTGAACACACTGGATATCTAGTGGAAAGAACTCTGAGGGACCAAGTTAGGGAAAGAAGTGACCCTGAAGACATTTTTGCACAATTCTCTCTTGGTTTACCTTGTATAACACAGTTTCTACCAGTCACATTGCTTGATCCTTCGTCTCTCCACCTGTAAAATAAAATTAAAATTTTAAATACCAATGCTTGGCTCCTACCCCAAGCCAATTAAATCAGAATGTCCAGGAATGGGACCCTGCTCTCCCTTTCCCCCAACACTTCTCTATAGAACATTCTGGTCTTGGTATTAGTCATCGTACTGAAACAGGAAATTTTCCTTGACCCCTTCATGGACCTTGCAACAGGGGTGCCTCAGTTACTTAGCCCCCAGCTCTCAATCCCTCACAGGAGGGGGAGCACACAAGTGAGCAGGTGCAGGAGCCAGAGTGACTGCTTTTGGGTGCTGGCAGGAGCAAAACTGTGCAGCCCTGCAGCAGCATCTGTGGGGGTACCCGCAACCTCTGAAGACCCAGAGGGCATGTGTTACAGTGTGCTCTTTTAGCTTTTCTGTCCATGAATGGCTTAAGTGTTAACAGCTCAGTGGAGGGTCAGTGTGACAACCTTTTGCACCCATACCTGAGTCCTTGCAACCAAGGTTGCATGAAAAAATTGAAGGGTGATGAATGCGGAGAATTTTATTACTGATGAAAGTGGCTCCCAGCAGGATGGGGAGCTGGAAGGGGGATGGAGTGGGAAGGTGATCTTCCCATGGAGTCCAGCAGTCCCCTGCTGTACACTTCTCCTAAGTCCCACCATCAAGCCATTCCTCTGAAGTCAAGCTGTTTCTTTCCAATGTCTGGCTACTTCTTCTCTTCTCTCCTTCTTTGCCATCTGCCAGTTGGGCCAGGGGATTTAATGGGTACAGGATGAGGGGTGAGACAGGTCATGGTGATTTTGGAAAAGGCAACATTTGAGCAAGAAAATAGGAATGCATGCTCTCACTTTGGACCGCGGTTCTAGGCTTGAGGGTGGGGCTTCGCCAGGGACCCTGCCCTTTTCTGCCGAGAATTTCCCTGCTTCCTGCCCCTACCAATACCATCCTGTCCTTATCCACACACTAACATATTTTATGTACTTACAATGATATAGATTCTGTATCATTTTATATTTTGAATGTGTCAAAATGCAGAAGCAGGTAACAAAAAACTAAAAGTGTCAATAAAAGTTCTTACTCTCTCACAAAATAAGAAATGTAGAGGTCTTATTTTGGTTCATCAGCTGAAAAATGCTATGACTGACCAGGCTTCCTTCATCCTTTTGCTTTTCTACCTTCAGTGTTGGCTCTTGGTCTCTAGGCTTGCATGGTTGCCATGGTTGAAGAAATCATGTGCTCATACAACTATATTCATAGACATGAATGAAAGAGTAGGAGCCTCATGCATACTCGTCTTTTTAACTAGAATAAAAATGTCCTCAGACGTCTCCCAGTAGTCTTCCCCTTCCTCTCCTTGGCCAGAACTGTGTCATGTGGCCTAATATAATCTGAATGTTTGTGTCCCTTCAAAATTCATAAATTGAAATCTAATCCCCAATGCAATATTTTAAGAGGTAGGGCCTTTAGGAGGCGATTAAGTCATGATGGTGGAGCTTTGTACCTTTGTAAAAGAGGCCCAAGGGAGCTTGTTCACTCCTTCCATCATGTGAAGAAGCAGCAAGAATGCACCACCTATGAAGCTGAGAACACGCCTTCATCTGAATCTGCTGGTACGTTGATCTTGGACTTCCCAGGCTCCAGAACTGTGAGCAATAAATTTCTCTTGTTATGAATTATCCAGTCCGAGGTATTTTGGTGTAGCAGCATGAATGGACTAAGACAAGGCCATTCCTAGTTGTAAGGGAAACTGAGAAAGCAATAATCTGGTTTTTCAGTCTCTGTCGTGAGAAGCAGCTCTGCCAGAAGTATATTTGAGAAGCAGTAAGTATATTTGAGAAAACATGGAACAAAATTAAATATCTATAACAGCATTTGAGGACTTAAATGCAGCTGCTACTTTATATACTACTTTCTTTACCAACTAAAGCCATTTTCTTCATATCTGTGGTTCTAGCTCCTGAGACCACAACTTCCTACCTAGGCAGGAAGTATAAAAGAAGATCAAGGCCATTTAGATGTGTTTGTTAATTTGTGCTGTGACTATAAATGTCTTCCTGAACAGCAGACTCTTGTCATCTGGGATCTGATTCCTCCACTTCATCTTGCTAACTAACCTCACAGTGTTGAGACCTTCATCATACTCTTGAACAAGGGAGACTGCCCACTTTCTGGGATCTGTGCTTTCATCTCTAGATCCCCAGACCTGGTGTGTGTCTCTCCTTAGCATCTGCACAGCTCTCTAGTGATCTTATCTCCCTGACAGGCAAACCAGGTTCTGCTGTAGAGTGTGTGAAAAAAGGCATGACTATAGTTATAAATCTGAATATCTATGGAACAAGCCAAATGTGTAAATATTTAGGAGATACCAAACCAAGGAACCATCAGCGGAGTTAATCAAATTAGGGCTAGCTCCTGGCAAAATTTGACATTTAAAAAAAAGGCCTTTGGTTAATGGGTTAATATCCTTAATGTATAAAGAGTTCTTACAAATATATAAGAACAAAGGGACAAATATCCCTAAAGAAAAATGAATAAAAAGTAGAACAAGGTAATTTATAAAAGAAGTAATATGAAAGGCCAGTACATACAGTTTTAAAAGTTTATCCTGGCTGGGCGTGGAAGCTCATGGTTGTAATCCCAGCACTTTGGGTCACTTGAGCTCAGGAGTTTCAGACCAGCTTAGGCAACCTGGTAAGAACCCATCTCCACAGAAATAAAAATAAAAATAAAAATTAGCCAGGTGCCATGGTGCACACCTGTAATCTCAGCACTTTGGAAGGCAGAGGTGGGTGAATTGCTTGAGCCTCAGGAGTTCAAGACCAGCCTGGGCAACATGAAGAAACCTGCCTCTACAAAAAAAAAAAAAAAAAAAAAACTTTAAAAATTAGCCAGGTGTGGTGGTGCATGCCTATAGTCCCAGCTACTTGGGAGGCTGAGGTGGGAAGATCATTTGAGCCTGGGAGGTTGAGGCTGCAGTGAGTCGTGATGACCACTGCTCTCCAGCCTAGGGTGGGCAGGGGACAGAGTGATACCCTGCCTCAAAAAAACAAAACAAACAAAAAAAGCCCCACAAAGCTCATCCTTACCAATAATCAAATAAATATTATTTAAAACAGTATACCAATTTGTCAACTTGACAAAGGTTTAAGAAGGTTCTAAAAAATGTAATATATATAATATGCTAGATAAGATTAATTCACACTTCATATTCATTCCCACTATTTCTGATGTGCTTTTTTGTACTGCAGAAGCTGTAAAATAAAATACTGCATCTTCCAGACTCCCATGTAGCTAGGGTTCTGCATGTGAATTGGGTTCTGCAAGTTAAATGCACTTTGCTGAGATTTGTATGATGCTGCCTGCCGCTGTGCAGAGGCTTTAGCCATGATTCTTTTGGGTTAGATCCTTTAAATAGTTGAGCCCTGTGGCAAATAATAGGCTTTGTAATAGCTAATGTGTAGGATGCTTTAAATAAGATAGAAGGCCAGGCATGGTGGCTCGCGCCTGTAATTCCAGCACTTTGGGAGGCTGAGGTGGGCGGATCATGAGATCAGGAGTTCAAGACCAGCCTGGCCAACATGAAGAAACCCCGTCTCTAATAAAAATACAAAAAATTAGCTGGGTGTGGTGGCACACACCTGTAATCCCAGCTACTGGGGAGGCCGAGGCAGGAGAATCTCTTGAACCCAGGAGGTGGAGGTTGCAGTGAACCGAGATCATGCCACTGCACTCCAGCCTGAGTGACAGAGCAAGACTCCGCCTCAAACAAACAAACAAAAAGAAAAGAAAAGAAAAGAAAATTTCCTGTATATTAGCTCAAGGAAATAAATTATTTTGTCCCAATTTTGGCTCTGGCTTCGTGGCCTTGAACAGGTCACCTATCTCTCTGGGTTTCAGTTTCCTCATCTGTGTGGTGAAAGATGTATTAGATTACTCCTGCTGTCTCCAACATCCTAGCCCCATACCAATCAAACACAGGGCTAGCTCATTTCTCTTTAGGAGCATCTGTCATTCAGGTGACCCTAACTTGGCTTGAAGATCAGTGGGGAACCCCAGACTCCTGTTGTGGCAGATCAAATTTCATTTCTTTGGTCAACTCATTTGGTCACAGTAGAGATCACATGTACTTGCAGTGTTAGTATTTATGTGTTTTTGCCATTTTAGTTCCATGACTCTTCTACACAAGTGGGTGGGTTCATGTGGTTTTACGGTGCCTAGGCCAGGGTCCTTAAAACTCTCCTGCCAATGATTTCCCACCCCCGACCCATCCTGAATGCTGGCATAATGCATTCACCATTAGAAATGGCTCTATTAGGTCAAGGAATTGTTTCTAGTTAAAGTGAAAATACATTATGAAAAGAAGTAATACATTAATATATTAACCTCAGCTAACTTCATTAGCACTTATTACACATAAGGTTAGCTAACTGGTTATCATTTTGGAGGGCAGAGAGCAGATCTGGAGGAGAAAGGGAGCCCAGGCTTGACAAAGTTTGACTGGGAGAAAGGGTTCCCGAGAAAAGCAAGATTAGGTGAGGCGCCACAATGGGACACACTGGGAACCTTGGAGACAGCATGAATGTATGAATGTACTTCTTTATTTATTTATTTATTTGAGCCCAGACTAGAGTGCAGTGGTGTAATCTTGGCTCACCGCAACCTCCGCCTCCCAGGTTCAAGCAATTCTCCTGCCTCAGCCTTCGCAGTAGCTGGGATTACAGGCGCACTCCACCACACCCAGAACATTTTTGTATTTTTAGTAGAGACGGGGTTTTGCCATATTGGCCAGGCTTGTCTCGAACTCTTGACCTCAGGTGATCCATGTGCCTAAGCCTCCCAAAGTGCTGGGATTACAGGTGAGAGCCACCGTGCCGAGTTGAATGTACTTCTTTCCTTCATTCAAACAAATAAACATTTATCAAGCCTCCATTATATGCTAGGCACTCTGTCAGGTGTTGTGGATACAGAGATGAGTAAAAATTAGTTGTGATTCCTAAGGAGATATGATCTAGTTGGGGAGAGGGATGAAATGTAAAGTAGGCAAGAAAGTACTACATGCACACACACAGATGTATATGTGTACACATATACATCTTCAGTGCGTGCGCAAGATAAGGAGTGGCCAATTCTTGGGAGGCATCAGAACAAATTTCATGGAGTCAGTATTTCTTTCCTTCCTCATATGAAGAAGGAGCCGTGACGGGGAGGGAGGATGAACAAGCTGCAGCTACCTCATTATTTTTATCTAGGGCCAGCCTTGATAAGGGAAGTGAAAACTCTTCTTTGTGATTGGATAATGAGACAAATAAATTTATAGAGGAATTGGAGGCAGAGTCCCATTTGAATCCTATCCTTTGACCTTTGGAGGGCAGGCTGTCTACCCAGCATCTGAGAGTCACCAGTAGCAACATGGGGTACAGCTTTTGGTGGCTGAGAGCATGGGCTTTGCTGTCAGACTCTCTGGGTTTGAGCCCTGGCTCTTTGACCTTGGGCAAAGTACTTAACATCCATGGCTCCGGTTTTCTTGTTTGTAAAATGGGGAAGAAAATAACACCTGTTTCATGGAGTTGGGAGAATTAAATGTAATAATGCATAGAAAACACTGTAGTAATTATCATGGATTTTTCTGAGATGTGTTCTATGAAACAAAAATGACCTAATTCAGTAGTAGAGCCGAGTGATTCTAGCTCTAGTTCAGTATCTTTTACTTCACTGGCAAAACTGACAGCTAGTCCGTGGTGTTCCAGGGATCTTGCAAATCTTTTTTATAACCCCTTTGTCTGCCTTGTATTCCCATCCAGTTCTTTTGTAATTATGATCATGCCTCACATTCAGAAAATTCAGGACAGGAAAATCTGAGTGTGTTAAATTATACATCTAGGGTTTGTTTTTTGTTTTTTTGTTTTTACTTTAAGTTTTGGGATACACGTGCCGAACGTGCTGGTTTGTTACATAGGCATACATGTGCCATGGTGGTTTGCTGCACCTAAGTTTTAAGCCCCGTGTGTATTAGGTATTTGTCCTAATGCTCTCCCTCCCATTGCCCGCCACCCCCCAACAGGCCCTGGTTTATGATGTTTCCCTCCCTGTGTCCATGTGTTCTCATCGTTCAACTCCCACTTATGAGTGAGAACATGCAGTGTTTGGTTTTCTATTCCTGTATTAGTTTGCTGAGAATGATGGCTTCCAGCTTCATCCATGTCCCTGAAAAGGACATGAACTATTCTTTTTTAAGGCTGCATAGTATTCCATGGTGTATATGTGCCACATTTTCTTTATCCAGTCTATCATTGATGGGCATTTGGATTGGTTCCAAGTCTTTGCTTTTGTAAATAGTGCTGCAATAAACATACGTGTGCATGTGTCTTTATATTAGAATGATTTATAATCCTTTGGGTATATACTCAGTAATGGGATTGCTGGGTCAAATGGTATTTCTGTTTCTAGATCCTTGAGGAATCACCACACTGTCTTCCACAATGGTTGAACTAATTTACACTCCCACCAACAGTGTAAAAGCATTCCTATTTCTCCACAGCCTCGTCAGCCTCACCAGCATCTGTTTTTCCTGACTTTTGAATAATCGCCATTCTGACTGGTGTGGGATGGTATCTCATTTTGGTTTTGATTTGTGTTTCTGTAATGACCAGTGTACATCTAGGGCTTTATATTCGTATTACAAAATAATTATTTGTTTTAAAGGAGAATTAATCTTTATGAAGTTAATTTCCTATGTACCTGCAAAGCTGAATGCAAAATATAAAAACTTATTTTTACATACATCTTAGAATCATAGAATTGTGAAACCTTAAAGTTGGAACAGGCCTTAGAAATCATCTAGGCTAGTGGTTTTCAAATTTTTATTATAGCTGCCCTATTTCTGTAAAAGTGTTATATTTCTTAGATGCATGATGCAGATGAAAGCAGAGTTACTCTGATTAAACCAGGATGGGGAGGTGGAGTACTCACTCCTTTGCCCTCTTGCCCTATCCTGGAAGCAGCTTCTGAACACCTCTGAGTAAGCCAAAGGCTTCTAGGAACATAAATTTGAGTTCCACTGATCCCACTTAACAATTTCGTTTTGTACATTCCTTTTGTAAAACGTGGTTCTACTGTTTTTCTATTAATTCAACTGTCTTATTTTCTTTTTTAAATTATAGGTTCCTTGAGGGCAGGAACCTTTTTAATAAAAAAATTCTGGGCTGGATGTGATGGCTCACACCTGTAATCTCAACACTTTGGGAGGCCGAGGTGGGAGGACTGCTTGAGCCTAGGAGTTCGAGACTAGCCTGAACAACATAGGGAGAACCTGTCTCTACAAAATAAAAATAAAAATAAATTAGCCAGGTGTGGTGGTGCACTGTATAGACTCAGCTACTCAGGAGGCTTAGGCAGGAGGATTGCATGAGCCTGGGAGGTCAAGGCTGCAGTGAACTGTGTTTGTACCACTGCACTCCAGCCTGGGTGACAGAGTGAGACTCTGTCTCAAGAAAAAAGAAAAAATTCTTAGTGTACTTTCTCTGCATGTGAGTATTTAAGGCCTTGTCAAAACCTTCCTGTTAGTGTCAGAAATGACCAGAGACTATAATTATATATAAACATCCTTTATTGAATCTTTGAAAAGTGATTTCATAGAACCATAGAATTTTCAGCTTGAAGGGACCCTGGAGAACATGAACTTTAACATTCTCATTTTCTGGATGTGGAAACTGGGGCCCAGAAAAGTGGTTTGGTTGATGTCATGTAGTGACTTAATGGTAGAGCTGGGACAAGAGTCCTGGATGCCTGATTCTTGGTTTAGGGCTGTTTCAACTTATAACTTACACTGCTAGGATATTATAGATTTGTATTCCTGAGAATACACTTCAACTACCTACAAATCGTCTAACTTTTCTCAATAGTTAGACTAGAGAACTATCTTTATAATCCATGGCTTATGTTTTATTATGTGTTTGTTTTGTTTTGTTTTGTTTGTTTGTTTTGAGACTGGCTCTCACTGTCACCCAGGCTGGAGTGCAGTGAGTGGCATGATCACAGCTCACTGCAACCTTGAACTCCCAGGTTCAAGTGATCCTCCTACCTCAGCCTCCCAAGTAGCTGGGACTACAAGCATGTGCCACCATGCCTGGCTAGTGTTTTTTAGTCTTTGTAAAGATGAGGTCTCATTATGTTGCCCAGGTTGGTCTTGAACTCTGGAGCTCAAGCAGTCCTCTCGCCTCTCAAAGTGCTGGGATTACAGGCATGAGCCACTGTGCCTGGCTCTGTGTAATTTTTTTAGTAATAAAAATTAAGAAGTACTGACATGAAGAGATGTCCATGATATAGTAAATAGAAATGCAACTATTAGATATGTCCCTTTTTGTTTAAAGCTTTGGATATTTCCCTAAGGTTTATCTGGGTGTATTTTTCTATGGTCACTCTTGACTCAAGTATCTAGTGAACACCCAAGGATTTAATGATATAATAACCACATCTGTTAATTTTTATAAGTTGGCTTTCATGCCCTTATAACTCTTATAACAACCATAAAGTTATAAATTTACTTTCTTATTCTTTTTAACTATTACAGTGTTGCATAGTATCTATGCATCATAATTTTATAATTTATTTACTCAATTCCTTATTGACAACATTTAGGTTATCTCTGAATTTCAAAAAGTTGCAGTGAAATTCCTCACACATACATCGTTTTGCATAGCTGTGAGCATTTTTGTGGGATAGATTCCTAGAAGTGAAATTGCCGGATCAAATTTTGAGATACATTCATCCTCATATTTGTCTTTTGTTGCTGAAACTAAAATGAATAAACTCCAACATCTGTACCTAACTTTGTAGTCTATTGAGGTTTTTACACACAGAAAGGTATTTGAAGCTTTAAACATCTGTGTGGGTTTATGGATGGAGAAAATGAGGCTTAGACAAGTAAGTTATTTGCTCATTCTTAGGGCTAGGGAGTGTACAGTCAGATTTGAAAACTAAGGCTTTTCACTCTAGGTATAGGGCTAAAAGTCCCAAGTGAAAACACAGAAATAAACTTAGGAGGACAACAGGAATGTGAATACATTTTCTTTAGGCATGAGAGCCCACAAGTTTGGTCTGTTGGTAGCTATCAGCTGAAGCAAAAACATATCTGGACCTTACCCTGATGCCTTACTGAAGAGAGCACCAGCTTTCCTGTCAGAAGCCATCTTCACCTTCGCAAGTGTTTTTTTGTTTGTTTGTTTTTTGTTTTTTTTGTTTGTTTGTTTGTTTTTCAGACAGGGCTTCACTCCATTACCCAGGCTAGAGTGCAGTGATACAATCTCAGCTCACTGCTGCCTTTGCTTCCTGGGCTCAATCGATCCTCCCACCTCAGCCTCCTGAGTAGCTGGGATGACAGGCACCCACCACCACGCCTGGCTAATTTTTGTGTTTTTTGTAGAGATGGGGTTTCGCCATGTTGCCCAGGCTGATCACGAACTCCTGGGCTCAAGCAATCTGCTTGCTTCAGCTTTCCAAAGTGCTGGGATTACAGGTGTGAGCCACCGTGCCCAGCCCATAAGTCTTTATTTCCTGCGCAGTCTTCCAAACCAGATGTCCCCTGTCCCTCTGAGATGAGGACCTTTGGTGAAAAGTGGATGTTTTTAGATAGAGGTAGAGCATGTCTAAGAGTCCAAACCTTTAAATTATCCTGAGAACAGTTTGGTTGTATATCCAGAAATGAACACTGCCATAGTCTGCCATGGTGACAAGAGGTTCAAAGGGTGTTGAGAAAACTATTTGTGTCCCGGATGCAGAGGAGAGGAGAAGCCCTGAGATACGTGAATTAGACCTACTGGACAGGCCTTTATGAGCAAAAAAGCTGTATGTGTGTGAGGGGAGAATGTGGCATGAGACAGTTTTTCTTCTGGAGACAAGGAACTCTGTTCTGGTGAGCTTCCTGCTGTGCTCTAAGGACCTTCAAGTTGCCAGAGGATTTTTAGCATGGACTGGGCCCCATGAATGTCCGGTGACAATAAAGATATTCCTGGATAAACATTTCTTTTTTTTCTTTCCACCAGGGCCCTGTCCATGCTAACTTCTTTTAAACTTTTCAAACCGATTGATGGTAAAGCATACATCAAGTCATATTCAGTTTAATAGACATTTAGCGGGTGCCTACTATGTGTAAGGCCCTGTGGATGCAAAGCAGAAGAATATACAGAGATCTCTGCAGAAAGACTGCGGGGGCTTCTGTAGCATCTCCATTCTCAGCCACCCAATCCTACCCAACCACAGTATCTCTTGGGAGCAGATGCTGCTGATGTGGGCAGAGCAGAGTTAGCAAAGGCACGACTTGTCACACACCACTGCCACAATCCGTGGCTGTAAGAGGGCCTCAGCGACCTTTTTGGGCGTGGGCTGTTTGGTTCAGCTTCCTCTTCTGAGACCCCATCTCCTAGCTGCATATCATGCTAGCAGGACCCAGAGAGATTTATCTGGTGACCTTTCTGCATGCGGAATCCAAGCAGGGGGACCGAGAAAATCAGCTCCGAAGCGGTTAATTTTACTGGCTCCTAAATTGATAAGCGGTGGTACGTCAGTCTGAAATGAACTCGCCTTGTTCGACGGGGTTCTAAGACAGCGGAACTCAATCAACAGCGGGCCGCAAGGTTCAAGGCTGCAATTCATCCCGCCGTGCCTCTGAAAAATGGGAGGTGACAGTTCATTTTGCCAGTGACAGTCTGTCGGTCTCGCTCGCTGCTTCTCCTGTCGATTGCCTGGCTGAGGTGAAGTGCAGCTCAGAAACACCCTCGTTTGGTATTCTACTCAGCTGAGCAGGATGGTCCCAGGACCCAAGGTGTGCAAATCTTACTGCCCCTACAGCTTGTCTTCTTCCCTTCTGGGAAGCTCTGAACTGCTCATGCATGATTATGGGTCCCAGGAGTCATCTTCCCACTTCCTGTCCTTCACCTTTCCCTCCAACCTTCACTTCCGGTGGACTGGGCTTCCTCCTGTCGCTGGGACTTTGTGAAAGAAAGCTAACCTGCTCAGGAGCCTTCCAGCCTACCGATAGAGGACTGCATAGGCAGCGACAAATGGGCGTGGTGCAGAGAAGTTACTAGTGCAAGTGGGGGCTTGAGGGAACACCAGACACAACCAGCTTGGCTCTGCCTTGGCAACCACAGCTTTAGTTTTAGAGAAAGCCCTTGAACAAGGGCAGAGAGAGGGGAAGGAGAGAGAGAGAGGTTACCTTATGAATGCATGCACCTAATCCCAGACTGCCACGTTTGCCTAGCACTTTCTACTTCTCTGAAAATGATAACACATATTTGAATTAAAGTTCATGTGCCCTTTGCTAACTTTCCTCATTTTGATAACCATACTGGGTGTTTGTGGGTTTTTTTGAGACGGAGTCTCACCCTATTGCCCAGGCTGGAGTGCAGTGGCACGATCTGGGCTCATTGCAACCTCCGCCTCCTGGTTCAAGCGATTCTCCTGCCTCAGCCCCTGTTACTGGGATTACAGACGCATGCCACCACGCCCAGCTAAATTTTGTATTTTTAGTAGAGATGGGGTTTCACCACGTTGGCCAAGCTGGTCTCGAACCCCTGACCTCAGTGATCCACCCGCCTTAGCCTTCCAAAGTGCTGGGATTACAGGCGTGAGTCACTGCGCCCGGCCTCGTACTAGGTGTTATTTTTAAGGGAATATCCTCATTCTTAGAAAATACCGTTGAAGTTTTTAGGGAAAAGGAGCGTGATGACTGTAATTTACTCTCAAATTCAGAAAAAAATGTAAATTAATCTAGTACTAATTACTTTTCTATAATTAACATTTTATTTATTATGAAAAATAAAGTAAATTTAATAATTGATGATTATTAAATTTAATAATTAATAATCGAAGTTAATAATTGATGATTCCAAGTGAATGGTATACTTGAGTTCTAGATACTATGATAACTTTTCTGTAAGTTTGAAATTATTTCAAAATAAAATTATTTTTAAAAAACCCAACAGGCCAGGCATGGTGGCTCACGCCTGTAATCCCAACATTTTGGGAGGCCAAGGTGAGTGGATCACTTGAGGTCAGGAGTTCGAGACAAGCCTGGCCAACATGGAGAAACCCTGTCTCTACTAAAAATACAAAAATTAGCCAGGTGTGGTGGCACGCACCTGTAATCTCAGCTATTCGGAAGTCTGAGGCAGGAGAATTGCTTGAACCCAGGAGGCAGAGGTTACAGTGAGCCGAGATCGCACCATTGCACTCCAGCCTGGGTGACAGAGCAAGACTCTGTCTCAAACAAACAAACAAACAAACAAACAAACAAACAGACTTACCTTGTAGCACTCACTCAGTAATCCTTTATTGAGGACCTACTATACACCAAGCATAGCAGTTGCTGGGAATACATTAGGAAATAAGATAGGTAAGATCTGAACCCTCAGGAGGAGAAGACAGGTGGCAGGTAGACAAGTATTAGGTTGGTGCAAAAGTAATTGCTGTTTTTGCCATTACTTTTAATAATTTTAATAATTACAGATGGGATGTGAGTTTTGAATAGCAGGTGCTAAATGCTACAGGAATGTAGGAGAGGGAAATATAACCCAGTCTGGGGAGCCAAGGTTGGTTAACCAGACAAAATGAAGTTGAGACTTGAAGCATGAGTAGGAGTTAGCTGGGTGAAGGGGAAGGGGAAGAGTGTTGTAGACAGAAGGAACAGCACATGTGAGCAAACGGAAGTGGGAGTGGGTATGACTCATTGAAAAACTGCAGGAAGTCTGTTACTGAAGATGATGGAGAGTAAAGGGTCCATGCAGGCAGCAAGGCTAGAAAGATAAGCAGGAGGTTATGGTGGTGGCGATGGTAGACGCTTGTTAGCCATTGTGAGGAAGTGAAATATTGGGAAGCTACTAAAATTTTAATTAGGAAAGAGGCATGGGCAGATTTTTAAAAATGACATCACTGGTTTTAGGGTGGAAAATGGGTTGGTGGGGCGTAAAACCAGAGGGTTGCAAGGTAGAAGATGATGGTGGCTTGGACCAGGATGGTGGCAACAGACTAGAGAGAAACAGATTGTTTGAAACATATTTTCCAGCTAGACTTGGCAGAGGAAGAAAGAGGGAAGAAAGATGACCCCCCAGGGTTCCAGATTGGGCAACTGGATTATCCATGGTGCCATTTACTTACCTAGAGAAGTTGGAAGGAGAAGGTGACTTGGCCAAGAAGGGGACAAGTGGTTGTGGAGTCTGAGTCCACCCTGCACATTTCACATCCAAAAATGTAACACCAAGTATAGCAGAGTCCCAGGCAGGATGGAACTAAGGCTTCAGTGAGTGGAGTGAGCATAATCATATCCCTGATTTTCAAGGGCTCAGAATTGGAAACTTTTCTATAATGATTCAGGCATACATAGGCAGGTCTGAAGAACAAGGGGTATGATGGATAGATTGCTTTTTCTGTGCAGCAAACCTACCCATTTCTTCCAGAAATAACCAACTGTGTTGTCTAAGAATTTCTTTTCTCCCCTATTCCACACAGTTTCTGTAGGAGCTGTTATGTAATTGACACCACCTCACACCCCACCACACCCCATGGCCACAACGCACTCAGGTTGGGCCTACCAACTACTGGAGTATTAACAACTTGGACCGACATGAGAATTACATAAATGGTTGCCTCCTCCTCCTCCTTAAAACACTAAAAGGAACTTCAGTGCATGTTCCTGGAGTCCATGGTAATCCCTGGGAGCTGGACAAACCCTTGGTGCTTGCCACACTGATGATGTTAAGCTTGAGGCCAGGGAAGCCTGCTACTTACAAGATATGCGTTAAATGCTGTAAAGGGATCCTGGAAAAGGTTGGGAAATCTCCACCTTTCGAGATCATGGAGTTCTGGCATGTTAGACCTAGAAGGAACCTTATTTCCTCATTTATAGTTGGGAAACTGAGTCCTTTAATAAAAAGGAAAGACAATTAAATTACCTGTCCTAGATGGTTTAGTTACTCAGCAACCAGAAGACATAATGTCAGACCAGATGTTCTCTTGGGGTTCCTATAAACTCCACTGTTCTTTGATCTTGTGATTTTGTGTTGGACACCAGCCAATGAAACCCCTGAGCAATCAGGTTTATACTCTCCTCAATGGCCTTAGAGAAAGAGTATGGCCTGGGTGGAGACAGTTGTGTGGAAGCCCACAGTTCTGTCACGTAACTATTTTCTTCTTTAGAATCTTCTCTCTTTTGGCATCAGCTGACACAGGAAGTGGTAAAGCTATTATCTGTAGATTCAACCAAATCACCATTTCCTGATTCTAATGTTCATCAACCACTTTTGAATCCTCCCCCCACTTCCCCTCTATTTTAGTTTGAGGTTCAAAAGCACCCATGAGGTAAATTAATACTCAGCCAAGCAGAGTGAGGCCCTGATGCTCTTGTGGTTCTGCCATTAATTTGCTGTAACCCAGGGACATCCAGGCTAGTCCCTCAGGTTTCTCTCTGTAGGTAAAAGGGTTTCTAAAGTTCCTTCCAGCTCTGAAATTCTGAGATTCCTTGTTGAATCTCATTCTGCAAGGGGAATCTTATGGACCAGCTCCCTCTGGGAAGAAAAATGTTTCATGCAACCCTATGAATCTCATCTTAGTCCAAATCTTTTTTTGTTTGTTTGTTTGGTTTTTGTTTTTGTTTTTTAGAACACTATACTGGAAAAGTGAAAGAATCAGAGAAGCAGGATAACTGGCAACTGAAGTCGGCCAGCATCTCATGTGAATTAGAAATGGAATCGGGGTGCTAGCATCCAAGTGACCAAAGAAACTCTTTGCTGAGGTTGCATGGAGTTTAAGGAAAGAGGCTGTGGGGTCCTCCTTTGATGCAGCTACATTTCCCTCTGAGCCTCTGTCTGTTTCCTGTCAGTTTAGTGCAAAACTCTAGTCTACTACTCTGGGCTGGCTTAGAAAAAATGCATCCTGGTTTTGTTCCAATTCAGGATAGAGGTGGGGAAGTCCTGCTGAGCCTCTCCCACAGTGAGCCTTCCCCTCACCACTGGCAGCACTGACACCAGTGACTAGCATTCATTTCTTGGGGTATGAGTCCACTGAGGGTGGGAGGATCCTCACATTAACCATTATTGGGTACCATCTTAAATTGCGGACTTTGGAAGCCCTTGGCCTTCCCTTTCCCAGGCATTTTCTCCTTGGAGTGAAGATGTTGAAAGTTGGAGGTTAAATGACTTGCCCTAGGTCACAAGGTTGGTGGCACAGCAGGGATGAAAACCTTGGCCAATCTTCTGAGTCCTTGGTCAGACCCTTACGCCACAGCTGCTCTTTGTATAAGGGACAGTCTCACCTCCCAAGGACACTGCGCAAGGATGCCAGATATTGATATGACTGTTGTCCCAGTCCTCAGTGACCTTCTACATCCTGCAGCCTGCTCAGACAGTAGAGGAAGCAGCTCTGGGGCAGAGGGAACTGCCATATGTAGAGCTGCCCTGGTGGAGATAAACAGGTTGTCTGTCAACGTATGAAGCCTATGTAGGGCCAGGACCACAGAGCTTCCATTGCAGGAGAAATTAAACCTGTCTTGCACACCAATCCCAGTGCTCTGATTACATTTACAGAGGTCATGGCCTGCATTCTGTCACCATGGAAACCTCTCAGGCTGCCAGGGTGTTTTCTGTGCATGTGGTTGATATTTAAAGGCAAAGTCGCAGGCCGCATTGCTGAACTATCAGCTGCCAGGGGCAATTGCTCTCCTCCACCAGCCCGCGTCCTGGTGCTTCGTCCCAGAGATAAGAGGAAGGGGAAGAGATGAAGAAAAGGGCCCACCTGTCTCTAACAGGAAGGTCTTTTTAGTAGAGCCAGGTTTGTAGGGAGTCAGGCTATAGGGTGCAGGTGCTGGGATAGCAGATGAAGGGCAGTAAAAAAGGGCCCCAACATTGTCAGAATATAAGCATTTTCTCGCAAGAACACAGGCCCTCATGTTTAGTGCATCTCATTTTTTCTCTGATTCCTCCTCCAACTCATGAGCACATGTCATAGTGGCCATATGGAGCTGGGGAAGCCCCCTTTGCCTGAATGCCCTTGGTGGTTTCTATTTTGCACATCTGGTAGCTGCATGAATTGTGCTGATAACAATATAGCTTATGAAGGATCCCTACTTATTCTAAAGACCCCATAGCACTGTCCTGGAAAAAGCTATCATGGGAGTGACTTATCAGGAGTCCCAGGTGTTGGAAGAGGTAAATAACACCAGATTCAACAGAGTAAGAAAAGAACACAAGTGCTGACTTGGCTTGTGACCATCAATTTTTTCTTTCGTCTCAAGACAATTATTTCCACACCATTGAATGAAGTGTAGATAACACGGGCACCTTAATAGGCTGAGAGCAGAGGCTGTTTAGAGGAGATTTCAAGCACTGTGAGCATAAAATGAACATGAATATTCTGCAATATGCATCTTACAATTTGTCATTAAGTGGATGGCCTCAGTGATGTGATGCAACAGGCTTTGATTGGAATATTGAGCTCTGAAAAAGGAAATTCTGCATCAATAGTCTCATGATGCAAAATATCACATATTACTCAATAAGAAGTGTCATTGTGTTGAAAGTGCAGATGCTAAAAAGTACAGCAGCAGATAGGAACAGCTTGATCCACAAGGCACTTTTCTTTAGGAATTTACAGCCATTCCCTGAAGCTACTCAATTGTCCTTGGAGGTAGAACATGGTATAGCCTGAAATTACAATTCAGGAAATGAAGTGGATCTGTTTGATTTAGTTTCTAATCCTTCAAACTATGAAGACTTCTTTATGATGTTTTCTATTTCTCCACTTATTTATCTTTTCATTCAACTTCTCATTCACTCTCTTTTCCCTTTTTCTTTCTCACTAGCCTCATCTCTAGGCCATCAACCCTCCCACACACTCCCCAAGTCGTGTCCGTCTGCCACAACCCCAGCCCTTCTGTAGAGCTTAGCCCTGCTGGCAGCTCTCCAGACTAAAGGGACTACAGACTCCTAGGATATGATCTTCTTTCTGATTGGTTCTTTGCAGGGTCTTTATTTATAGTGAAAACTTTGTTTTTGCTGCAATAAGTGAAAAGAGGTGTTAATATCTCACGCCTTCCAGATCAGTGTTTCCCCCATGTGGTTTGGAGAACACTAGAAGTATTCTAGAATAGATAGGGCAGGGAGGAAATCTCTGGAGGTGGGTGGGGAGAATCTGATAACCTTGATTTGTTAGAGCCTGGTGCCAAGGAAGCCAAGGCCACACTCTATTCATCTCTTTAAAGGCAGATTAGCTTGATAAAGAGGAAAACTCTCATCCTTGGCAACCAATGATACCTATATCTTGGCCACTCCTCAAATATATCTTTAATGAGTAAGAAAGATCAAATGAGAGATTATGGATAATTTGTATATATATTTATTGAGCATCTGACAGGTGCTAGTTTTTGCAGGGAATGCAGGGACAGTAATCACTAAACTTTACAAAGCACCTACCATGCTGCAGGCAGGTGTAAGCACTACATATATTAGCTCTTTGGATCTTCACAACAACCTTGAGAATACAGTTACTATTGCCATTTTACAGCGGAGGAAATTGAGGCATATGGAAGATAAGTAACTTGTCCAAGGTCACAGCAAGCGGTGGCAGATTTGAGCACAGGGTTGTCTGACTTTAGGACCACTACATTCTATACTCTATCACCTCTTTGATGGGGTCAGAGCCATGCTTTGGGATATATACTCTGAAGCTTATATGAGGGGTGGCATGGGATGGTGGGGAAATTGGATGTGGGAGGCCGGGTTAGAAGCCATTTCAACATATCACTTCCCAACAAAGATATTGAGAACCAAACCCAAAGAGGTGACATTAAGGACGCAAGGAGGGTAAGGATTCAAAAGCCACTGCGAGGAGGTAAGACTAGTGGCCTTAGTGGCTGTTTAGAATGAGTGAGGAAGGGTCGAAGATGACTTCTATATTTTGAGCTTGAATTACCAGGAAAACAGCAATGCCTTTATAACATTACCTATTTTTTTTTTTTTTTTTTTTTTGAGACAGAGTCTTGCTCTGTCTCCCAGGCTGGAGTGCAGTGACACGATCTCAGCTCACTGCAACTTCTGCCTCCTGGGTTCTAGTGATTCTTGTGACTCAGCCTCCTGAGTAGCTGGGACTAAAAGCGTGTGCCACCATTTCCGGCTAATTTTTTTATTTTTGTAGAGATGGGATTTCGCTGTGTTGGCCAGGCTGGTCTCAAACTCCTGGCCTCAAACAATCCACCTGCCTTGGCCTCCCAAAGTGTTGGGATTACAGGCGTGAGTCACCACACCCGGCCTAACTGTTGCAATTTATGGAGCATATACTATATACATACATCATCCTACTTAACCTTCATAATAACCCTGTAATGTAGGGATTATGATCTCCAATTTACCGATGAGGAATCTGAGGCTCATGGAGCTTTGCCCAGAGTCTTAGAACAGGTAGGTGGCAGAGCCAGAAACGGGACCCAGGTCTTTCTGATTTGTAAGCCCATGCCCTGTCCACTGAGCTTTGTTGCTATTGCAATAATTAAGGAGAGAGGAAATAACAATTTGGTGGAACTGCTCAGATATCCAGGTGGGAATGTGGGGCAGAGGTACAAATCAGCAAAGCAATCTGTACAAAGGGGAAAGTAGTAGTAGTGTGAGAATAAAACCACTAGAGACTCAGAGAACAAAGAGAGAAATGAAAGAAGAGGGATGGGAGAAAGGCAAGTAGAAACTCTGGCGAATACCTATGACTAGAAGGTGAAATGAAGAGAACCAAAGAAGGAGGCAGGGAAGTCACAGACAGTTAAGATGGACAGAAAGAGGATCAGATAGGGCAATGCCAAGCAAGCTATGTGCTTACAGCAAGAGCAGGTGGTCAAGACCATCCAATGATCCAAAAGGAAGGCTGGTGAAGACAAAGGAGAGTGGAGAAGGAGGTCAGTGATGCTCTTGGGAGAGATATCCCTTTGGTGGTGTGAAGACAGGCAGGCAAGGTTAAGAGACGGAGGAGAAAGGACATGAGATTTGATGGAGGAAGTTGATGGGGGCAGGGAAGGAGAGGAAAGGATGAGAGTTGGAGGAGGTAGAGGGGTGAAAGGAAGATCTTGGTTTTTAAGGATAGAGAAGACCAAGGATGTTAGCAGGCAGAAGGAAATATTGAAGATGAAAAAGAATGTGAGACTGAAGATCTCAAAGGTGGTGTAAGAGAGTGTGATCACAAATTCTAGTGGAGGGATGAGAGGAGGCAAGACAAGAGTGAAACTGAAAAGCAATGCAACATGAACTGACAGTGCCATTTTGTGTATGAAAGATAGTGTGGTTTACACAGGAAGAAAATGTTGTGGGAATGGGAGTCCAGGGATATTTAAGAATAGAGGCCGGGTACAGTTGTTGGCCAGACACGGTGGCTCACGCCTGTAATCCCAGCACTTTGGGAGGCCGAGGTGGACAGATCACCTGAGGTAAGGAGTTTGAGACCAGCCTGGCCAACGTGGTGAAACCCTGTCTGTACTAAAAATACAAAAATTAGCCTGGCATGGTGGCATGTGCCTATAATCCCAGCTACTAGAGAAGTTGAGGCAGGAGAATCACTTGAACCCAGGAGGTGGAGGTTGCAGTGAGCCAAGATCCCACCGTTGCACTCCAGCCTGGGCAACAAGAGTGAAACTCCATCTCAAAAAAAAAAAGAATAGACATTTAGAAAGAAAAAAAATGAAATGGACACTGACACAATTCTGAAGGCAAGGAAAGAACATATCTTGAGGACCAACGATATCCACTAGGGCAAAGGTATTTTTACTCACTTTCTTACATCGAAATAATCAGCTATTGCTGTTTTTATCTCTGACTCTAGTGTTTCTGTCTGTATTTGAGAATGCTGGTGGTTCTTGTTAGAATATCCACTCATCTTAGTGTCAGTATCCTCCAAAGCACATGAGCACATGTGCAGTGCAGGCGAGAGCTTTCTACCAGCTTCTAAATAACTGCCCCTTCTCTCACCTTGAATCCCCCTGCTCCAACTCTGAATTCTAAGACCTGTAGTAAAGTGAGGAAGAAGAAAGGATAAAAAGTAAGGAAGGGGTTTGGGAACTTAAATTTTTTTACCTTTGAAATAACAGATGAAAAGAAACCAAAGAAACCCAGGTCGACTTTAGAAAATTGCTGTCCTTCTACCTTCAATCTCCTTAATCCCCCAGAAGAAAAGACTATTTCTTCCAGCTAGTTTCCAAAGTTATGTCTGAAAATATATAGTCTATAGTCTATAAAATTAGTCTTAGCCTCATCTGCTCTCATGCAGATTAGCTACACAGACTGTTTCCACATCTCACTCAGAGTGCACAGCTCATCTGGCTACAGCTGATACATTCTGAGTCCCCCCATCTCCACTTCAGATCCCCAAGAGAACCAATCAAAAACAGAGAATGTCAGAGTCAGCAACCTCTTTGGTCTTCAGGTCCTCTGCTGGGCTCAGCAGTGCCCAACGGGGATATCTAATGTGGTCTAAAGGATAGGTAAAGAAGATTAAAAAAAAAAAAGGATTGGGAACAATAGAGAAAAAATAATAAGAGGAGTGATAGATAAGATAAAGAAGAAAGAAAGAAATGTTACTATTTATTTATTTATTTCAGACAGGGTCTCAGCTTTGTTGCCGAGGCTGGAGTGCAGTGGCACGGCAACCTCGAACTCCTGGGCTCAAACAATCCTCCTGCCTAAGCCTCAAGAGTAGCTGGGACTACAGGCTTATGCCACCATGCCCAGCTAATTTTTGAAATTTTTGAATTTTTTGTAGAGACAGGGGTCTCACTATGTTGCCGAGGCTGGTCTCCAACTCCCTGCCTCAAGTGATCCCCCTGCCTCAAGTGATCCCCCTGCCTCGGCCTCCCAAAGTGCTGGGAATGAAACATTACTATTTAGATGGAGGAGGGCCAACAGTGATGACTTCGTAGAGTGGCTCAGTGATCCCTAGGCTGTAACTATCTATCTTAGGTATTTTTCAGTTCTACAAGAGCTTTGTACCTGATTCTAATGCACAGCTCCTGGTAAGCTGGGGGACCCTGGGTATAGTGCTGGGTCTGTTCCTTATCTTGAATTTGCTCCCTTTGAAGATTCTTTTGAGTTTTTATATAGTCCCTCATACTGTTCCAAGCCTGTACCTCACTGAGAACCTGCTTATGGAATTGTTTCCTGATGTGATATGAGAAGCTGCTTATTTTGTTGTATGTATTAAGGCAGAGAATCTAGGAGTGTGAGCTGGAAGGGGAGACCATTGGAAGTGTATTTGTGTGAGTGTGTGTATAACAGGACCCTCCTAAGTTGAAGAGTTAGCTAATTGGTAAGAACAAGGCTTCTGGCAAGCCGTGGAAACTTCATTTTTAGGCCACTGAAGTAACGTGCCCAAGTTAGCATCTTATGTCCATCTCCTCTGCCTTCAAGGTGGCATGATGCTTGGTTTCTGGAGCCTTGCAAAACATACAGTGAGCCTGGTTCTTGGCACCGACAGGATGCATCATCTCTCCTTCCACATCTCTTAATGAAGTGTGCAGCTCTTGGCCTCATTAGGCCCCAGCATTGTCAATAAAAGAGTCAATAAACCCGGTTGATGGGGTTGGGACCGAGAGGCTGAGAGGCAGTGGCTGCACATCCATAGGGCAGACGTCAGCTCCGCCACATGTCATGACCCAGCATTCAGGGATCAATAACCAGCTCAGAATAAAGCCTCAGAGCCTGCCCTCTGCAGTTTCCTCTCCAGACCCATTTCAGCCAGGGCAGAGCGGTGCCAGCCAGCTCCTGCTTTGCTTGCAGTTGTGTTCCCACTGCATGCCATTCTGGGTGCCAGATGCTTTTGTTTCTTCCTGATTGGTCCCTCTGGACATCCCATAGATGCCTATTTAGCGAGTGCCCACCTGGCATGAGAACATGTAGACAGCATTCCCAAGAAGCTCAGAGGCCAATATGGGCCCTATTTTCTGTGTCTTCTGTCTGCTGACAGTGCGTGAAGGGTCCCGGTGGACAAGGCGGTGTGTTTTCTGCATGTTGTGCTGCTGGACTCCATTCCTGGCTGTTCTACATCTCTTTAGATCCCCTTATCTTATCTAATTACAAGGAATTCCAGATTAATTTCATGGCCTCTGCTCCAAAGGACCTCTTATCTGTGAGGGCCTTGTATTTTAACCTTGTCATTCTTTTGTTGTTTGTCTTTAAGGGGCAGGCAGCTAAGAAGAGGATGCTAAGATCTTGCTGGAATTGGGTCTGGGGGGGACGGGAAGAAAAGGGAGGCAGACAGACCTGAGATTTGTGTATTCTGTTCTGTCCTCCTGCCTGTGTGCAGAGACAGCTGGCTGCTTTCTTCCATGACAGCCACATAGTACCCAGCCACACAGAACAGGACCCAGGCAGGGACTCAGCTACTGCCAACCTCTCCAGATTGCTTTGATATTTCTGACAGAACAGTAAAGGACTCGTGACTATCACGTTTTGCCTTGCCTCTCTTCACCTCCTCTAAGACTCCTCCATGTGGTTTCCATGGCTACCCCCAATCAGATTTGGCTTCCTGCGAAATTGGATTTCAAAAAAGGACAAGGCTTCAAAGGAATTTGTCCATTTAACAGAATGTCATTAGGAGTGGGGCTGACTGCTGAAACAGGGTCCTCAGATGATTAAGGAAGGGCTGCGTTCATGTGTGGAGGCAGATTTCTGTCTGCAATGAGGAACCTTGATGCAACATGACAATACCGTATTGGAATCTGCCAGTCACTCACTACATACTACCCGACTGTGCACCTCCCTCTACCCCTGTCTCTCTAAAACCCAGAGATTCTTGTAAGGAAGGATGCATATAGAATACGTACACTGTGAGTTTTTGGTGTAAGTAAGCTATGACAGGCAGTGAAGCCTGCAAAGAAGTGCAATTACCTGGGTTTACTGCTCTTTATCAAACAATTCATTAGCTGGTAGCTTATATTAGTATGTGACACCATATCCTTGAAGAAGAGGGGGAGGTTATCAAATTTTCTTCTGTTGCCAAGAAGGAAAGCAAGGCAAAGTTTAGGTTGACATATGGGGAGACTTTGCTGCCCTTGCTGTATTTTTTGTGTAACAGTTTAGATTTACCAAAAAAAAATTGAGATGATAGCACAGACAGTTCCCATGTATCTTTCCTTGCTTTTTAGTATGCCTCATAAGTACTTCAAAATGATTCTAGAGCAGCTACAATTTTATAGGTGAAGTGGTGAAGTTGGTAAAAATGCCATGGGGGTACCTGGTACTTGATCCCAAGCCTGAAAGGGGTAGTCTGCCCATTGCTATACTTTCTTTCTTTCTTTCTTTCTTTTTTTTGAGATGGAGTCTTGCCCTGTCACCCAGGCTAGAGTGCAATGGCCTGATCTCGGCTCACTGCAACCTCCGCCCCCCGGGTTCATGTGATTCTCCTGCCTCAGCCACCCGAGTAGCTGGGATTACAGGCGTGCACCACCATGCCCAGCTAATTTTTGTATTATTAGTAGAGACGGGGTTTCACTATATTGGTCAGGCTGACCTCAAACTCCTGACCTCGTGATCCGCCTGCCTTGGCCTCCCAAAGTGCTGGGATTATAGGCGTGAGCCACTGTGCCCAGCCACCCATTACTATACTTTCTCAGGGCAGGAAGGAGGATGAGCAGGAGCCAGATACCCCAGAGAGGCTCATGCCAGCCTCTGTCCCCTCACCCCAATTTACTGCAGCTTGTAGGTGGGTCATGTGACACTGAAACCAATGCACCACTGCTTTTCAGATGGCAGGATGCACTGTACTCCTTAAAGGATCACACCCTCATCTTTGAGGCTGTATCTCTGGATGGGAAACAGTACAAGGAGGCAGGCACTTTTATCACACTCATCCTTCTCGATGGTTTCTTCTTACTGCTCTTGCCCCGTCTGCTAGATTGAGTCCATCATTATTCCCCTTATGGCTGTTGTAAAAACCATTTTACCCACTTCCCCCTGTGTCTTTTCCCACCACTCCTAATCTTTTCTACATATTCTGTAGGTTGAGTCTGAGAATAGAAATGCCATTTTTTACAAAGAAGGAAAAAGGCAGAGGTGGAGATGTGTGAGGCCACATACCACCCCGGAGCTCTGGTTAGGTCATTCCCAATCTCAAAAATTGTCAATGGCTCCCCAGTGCCCTCTCAATTAAGTTCAACATTCCTATTCTGACTTTCAAGTCCCTTCACAGTAGAGCTGCAGTTTATCTTGACAACCATAGTCTTTCTACAACATCCAGTAAAAGAGGGCTACTAACTATTCCTCAAGCTGGTGAGGGCTCTTCCATCTTTCTTTACTCTGGTCCTTCCACCTGGAAAGTCCTCTGCCCCTTCAAAGTCTGGTGTGTTTTTCAGAGCCCATCTCAAACACCACATGCACCTTTAAACACTCACATGCACACTGGCACTTCTTTTTATTTTCTTTCTTTTTTAAGAGACAGGGTCTTGCTCTGTTGCCCAGGCTGGGGTACACTGGGGTGATCATAGTTGGCTGTAACCTCAGATTCCTGGGCTCAAGTGATCCTCCTGCTTCAGCCTCCCAAAGTGCTGTGATTACAGGTGTGAGCCACAATGCCTGGCCTCTTCCCTCCTTTTCTGGTATTCAGCTCCCTTCTTTTATCAACCATAGCACTTTATACTTTTTTCATGGCAGTTGACCTATTGTACTTAAAAAACCTCTTTATTTTGAGAATTATAGATTCACAGAGAGTTTCAGAAATAATAGAGGAACTCTGTCTACCTTTACCCAGTTTCCCCCAAGGGTAACATCTGGCACTATTACAGTACCATGTCACAACCAGGACACTGACACCAACTGTCCCTTGAATGAGACCGTGTGATTTTGTCCTTCACTTTCCTCCCTTCCGCAGCTCCTGGAGGGAAAGGGCTCTGTTCTCCTCTCCCTCAGCTTTCTCCCTGTGTTACCCCTTCCTTTCCTCAGGGCCTTTCCATCCTGAGGGAGAACAGCACAGTTTGGTTTCCTGTGTCCCTTGCTGCCACGCTGCCGCGATTCTCCCAAATGTTGGTGTCCTTATATTGCTTATTGGGAATTAATCATTTCCTTTCAACATTGTGGCTTCCCAAAGAGCGAAGTTTTGCCCTCTTTTCTGGGGATGGAGATGTGAACTGGACCGGCAATTGAGGGGTGCTATGCTTGACGGGGATCTCTTCCTTGGATTCTGCCTCCCTGCACCCTACTTCAGGCACCCCGTGGTCTTTCAAATCTGCCACCGTGAGGTCAACTGTTCGGTGCTTAGGATGGAGTGTCCAAAGCCGTGGGTCCTTTGAGCCTTGTGAAGTCTTTTGTTTTGGTGGGTGCTGGAGGGGCGCACCTTTGGCCTCGCACGGTGCGGTGCTTCCGGCACCCCCAATCCTTCTACCGTGGGGCTCCGGCGTGAGCGCCACGTGCACCCACGCCCCGCGCCCCGTTCCGGTCCCCGCCTGCCGCCCGCGCCACTTCCTGACGCGCCCGGGGACCCACGGCCCCGCCCCGCGGCCGGGCTGGGCGGGCGGCGACCGCGGCTGAGGTACAGGTGCCTCGCGGTGCAGCCGGGTCGCCTTCCAGCCCGTCCGCCTCCCGACCAGGGCCCGCGCCCCGTCCCGCCTCTCTCCCGCCCAGCCAAATGCAGGCCGCCGCCCTCCCTGAGGAGATCCGTTGGCTCCTGGAAGGTAACGCCCTGGCGCAGGCCCCCTCCAGTGCTGAGCCGAAGGCCGAAAGGGGACACCAGGCCTCCCACGGCCAGGCTTTCTTTACGGCTTCGTCACTCACCTCCTTCTAGAACCTTAAGGCTTCTAGAGCCCTCAACTCCCTAGAGCCAGCTTTCCATCCTCTCACCTCAGGGCCCCTTTCACTCCCTGGAGTCCCACATCTTCTTTTGCCTTGAGGCACCTCCACGCCTCCACTTCACCTCCCCGGCTTCTAAAGTCCTCAGGCCAGGTTCTTGGTCCCCCATGCCACCTTGCCTGGTCTCCGACCTGTCCCTTTCTCCAAAGGACTGCCCTACATCTGTAGGGTTTCCCGTCCCCCTCCTTCCCCAGCCACGACTTCCTCACCTCTCACAGAAGACCCCAAACCTTCCTGCTTAGAGGTCCCCGAGGCTCTCCAGGGGGCTGCGAGGGGCTCATGGGATCCCCATGGGCCAAGGCCAGGTGGTTGACGTGAGTTTTTGTCAGTGCGAAAACCCCAGCCCTCCCTTTATCACCCTGCAGACGTCTAGGGGTCTCACCCACCCCAAGGCAGGCTCATTCTCAGTATGGGATTTCCTCCTTTTCTAGAAGTGCCCCCATTGTGGTGTGTTCACCTTCCAACTCCCATTGTGGTGTGTTCACCTTCCAACTACAGTGTCTAAGCGGTGGTTTAAAGAGTTCCGGCCATCCCCGTCAACACTCAACACACACTGCCAACACTCCAAAGAGATGTCACAAAGAGACGTTGCTAACGGGCAGTTTCATCTGCTGGGTTTCGTGGTGGAAGTCACTTTTACTTGCTTTCCTGTAACTAACCTTCCAGGGAGGACAGAGGCCTGGAATCTGCAGTCGCATAAGGCTCCCAGGAGGAAACTATTCAGAATTAAGCCTTTTGGCATCTAAGTTGACATAGTTGACACATATTTAACAGACGGCCTGCTTTGGGCAGGTCATATTTTTGGCAAGCAGTATTTTTTTTCAGTTTCTCTCAATTTAATTGGTTTTATATCTCCATTACCTTGTTATCTCGGTATAAATGCCTCCTAATCAAATATTTGGCAAGTCCTTTTGGTCTCTGTCTGTAGCACTATTTCCATTCTGGATTGCTTCTATGTAAAAGCTGTCAGCTAGATATTTCTTTTGAGGTGAGGTTTCCAAAATCCGTTTTACTTACGATCAGAATAAATCTAAATTTTGGGGGTAGAAAACTATTTGCAGGGTAAAAGAGAATTATCTGGGTGTCTAAGAAGAAACAATCCAGCCTTTCCCTCTGTTGTTGGTTTAATATTAGGCTTGTGAAGGAAGGCTGTAATTGTCTTTGGTTTCTAGGAAAGAAGGGACTGTGGCAAAAAGTTTAACTCTGCCCTTGCATTGAAATATATAAACTGATTCTTTTTATTGGTATCTGTCATTTGATGAGAGGAAACCTATTTTATAAGCTTATTAAACTATACTTCAGTTTTGTGTCTAGGCTTGGTAGAAAATTCCTTTTTATTTTCAGAGGCTTGCAATGAAATCCATTCCTTCAGCATTTTTGATGTGCAGTTCTTCATTGTTCAAAACTGACACTTTGGTAAACAACTCATTTCTGCACCTGCCACCTTCCTTTAGCTTAGATTATTTTCTTGTTAGCTGACTGTTTTTAATTGAAGTCTTCAGATCTCCTTCTAAAGCAGAACCTTTGTTTGCTGACAAGTAGAGCGGGGTATGAATGGAGATTAATTGCATGTCGCATACTTCTGTATCAAGCTTGCTGTATCTTAACAATCTCTGTTGGTGCTCAGGTCTTTAAAATATATGGAGGAGTCTGAAACCAAATTATAAGGAGCTTCGTTGGTTAATGTATTTCTTTAAGGCTTTTTTTTTTAAGTTTGCAATTAGAACTTGAATCTGAAGTAGAGAAAAAAATGTAAAGTGTGATTCATCCAGTAATTCTATTGAAAAATGTTTGAAGATATGTTTTTTAAAGGTTCCTGTAATAATAATAGCAATATATTGGTTACAAGTTTTATTTCTTTTGGAACACAGTCGCTGGTGTAGACCAGGAGGATTATTCATTGTGTTACAAATAATCTGTCCATATTAGAAACCCAAAATGGCCATCAATTTGTTGTTTGTTGCTATTTGTCTCCCCCACCACACACTTTTTAAGGTTAACTGTTGACAATTAGAAAAAATGGAGGTCCTGATCTCTATATAGTCACTCTGTGGGAGGGAGTCACAGGATGTGAGGGCTGCAACTCTAGTGCTGCCACATGGCTGTGGGGGTGGGGTTTCCACAATGAATTACTACTTTCATAAACCAAGGCATAAGCATTTGCACAGTGATTTAACACTGGACATCACAGCCATAACTTAAGCATTTATTTATTTATAACTACACAAGCATAAATGACAGGGGCATTTTTTGACATAATGTGTGTGCTTTTAAGAATAAAATATGTAAAGCATTGTGAAAGGTAGATAACAAAATTTTGCATAATGAAGAGAACAGAAATTCCCAAGGCCTAAAATTAATTTTGTTTAAATATAAAATTTGAGACACTTGGAAATGTTTCACTCGACCTAGAAACCTCACTTCTAAAAATCTGTCACTGAAGTGAAAGGTCATGAAGTAGTATATGCACGAAGATCTATGCTAAATGTTAATAAGTTGGGAGACTCAGGGTGATGGTTGAATGAATTATGGGACATTTGTCTCATGGAATACTTCACAGCCACTAAAAGAGTATTCTGTGGATCTATATATAGGCTTGGAAAGTGTCCATGGCATATTTTTAAGACTAAAAGGCAAAATGCATGATAGTACATGTAATATCCCATTTTTGCTTGAAAACCAAAAGACAAAACAAGAAAAGCCACATATGTTATAAATATTTGTGTAAGCCTAGGAATAAGTAAAAAAGAATATATACCAGACTGTTAACATTGGCTTCCTTGAGAGAAGACTGAGAGTTTGGAGGAGGGGAGGTTATTAATTTTTATTTCATACATCTTTGTGTTGTTTGAATTGTGACAATGACCATGCATTACTTCTGTAAACAGGAAAAAATAAACAGTAAGGGTATTTAAAAGAAAAAGGAACAAAAGACAAATAGAAACTCAGAGAGGTCAGAGTGCTAACGGACCATTTACTATGCTTGTGATCATGTTTTTCTCTTTTTAGCCCTGAGGGGTATGGAAGGTGGAGAAATTAAAAAAAAAAAACACGCTATCTTGGATTTTTGGCAAATATCAAAACAGTGTGAGGTTTCTAGAGTAACTCAGGAAATAGCTTCTTTAGATAGACTCTGTCAAGCTCTCATATAGAAATAGTAACTAGTCCCCTATCAACAAATAAATACCTCATAGATAAGTAAAATGGAGGGTGCTTTCTGCTTTATTGAAAGAGGAGGAAATATTCAGGTCTGTTTTCAAATAATGGGGCTTCAGATGTAGAAGTTATCTTTTTGTTTTTGTTCTGTGATAACCACACCGAAAACAAAAACAATGAAGTGCTGGCAGTTTGCATAATCTTTGCTCCACAGATATAAACATAATCAGTCTCTTCTTCCTGGTCTTTCTAGCCCTGCTTTTGAAGTCAGAAGCAAAAGAGACAAGTATGAAGGAGGTGGAATAGATATTTCTTTGGTTCGTAGTTTGTCCTGTGTGATGGAATGGGGCCTACTGACATTACCCTGGTAGCTGATAGGTCCCAACTGCCTACATGGTACTAAATCCTGCCCAGAATATGGATTTAAGCCAAAATAACATTAACAACCTGGCTGCATGTAGTAGCAATTGCTGTGTTAATGCTGATTCTGATATGCCTATAGTTATTTATTTTTAAACTTCCTTGTAAAGAAGCAGTCATTAATCATTTCCTTCCAGATTGTTCTCCAGATCTGTATTAGTCAATGCAGTCAATCATAAAATCCGTTTCAGTATAGTAAAATTCCAACTGTGGGGAACTTGCAGAAATGAGTTGCTCTGGATAGCTGAGGAGATTCTCTTTAAGCACTCTTTTCTTCTTCTTATAAATATTTGTGATCAGGTTTTTCCTAAAATGCATTAGGAATTTTTCTTCTTTAGCCAACCAGTCTACGGCTATCTTCAAATGAACCTCTTTAGAGCACTCTTTAACTCAAAGTTGTTATAGTGAATATCTATTACCATACTTTATGGTAATATATTGTTTAGGATGTTTGGCCATAGTTGCCCCTGAACTGCTTTGTAAGTGTCTGTGTCTGCTTTATATTTTTATTTTCATTATTTTTTTCTTGCTGTTAGGCCAAGGCCTATCACTTTGCACCCTTGTCTGTGTGTCTACATTCCCAGTGCTTCTGGTACATCAGATAACCACGTTAGTTGGAATTGAGATATATGTAAAAGAAGTTACAAAGAGCTTTCTTGATGAACAAAGTACCCACACCTTTAAGTGTGGGCTTTGTAAGATGTATTTTGGCTGCTCAGAATCTTTTTTGCTTAATTTTTGAAACTGGATTGTCTTGCAGATCAGTGAGGCTACTGCTCAGTTGAATTCTGAAAAGTGAGATATAACTATAGTTCTATTCCTTTTTTATGTTAAAATTTTCTGATTATAAAAGTAATAATGCTAATTATAGAAAATTTAGAAAACACACAATAGGATACAGTTACTCAGAATCAATAATTGTTAAATTTCCATGTATTTTTCTCAGTGTTCATTATATGGATATACTTTAAAAGTTGGGACATATTTGTGCACAGGTTTGTCTATTGATTTTTCTACTTATAATTTTTCACTTGTTATTGTCTCCTGAGGGTTTTCGTTTCTTTTTGAGATGGAGTCTCACTCTGTTGCCCAGGCTGGAGTGCAGTGGCACAATCTTGGCTCACCACAACCCCCGCCTCCCAGGTTCGAGCAATTCTTCTGCCTCAGCCTCCTGAGTAGCTGGGAATACTGGCGCACGCCACCATGACAGGCTAATTTTTATATTTTTAGTAGAGACAGGGTTTCACTATGTTGGCCAGGCTGGTCTCGAACTCCTGACCTCATGATCTGCCTGCCTCAGCCTCCCAAAGTGCTGGGATTACAGGCATGAGTCACCCCGCCTGGCCTTACTGAGGGTTTTCATTTTCTTTTTCTTTTTCTTTTTTTTTTTTTTGAGACAGAGTCTCACTCTGTCTCCAGTTTGGAGTACAGTGGAGTGATCTCAGCTCACTGCAACCTCCGCATCCCAGGTTCCAGTGATTCTCCTGCCTCAGCCTTCTGAGTAGCTGGGACTACAGGCCCACGCCACCACACCCAGCTAATTTTGTATTTTTAATAGACACGGGGTTTCAGCATGTTGGCCAGAATGGTCTTGATCTCTTGACCTCGTGATCCGCCTGCCTCGGCCTCCCAAAGTGCTGGCATTACAGGCATGAGCCACCGTGCCTGGCCTTTCCTGAGGGTTTTCTTAGATCACGGCTATGCTCTGGATGTTTGTGATTTGCCAAAATTTTTATGTTGAAATCTAATTACAAATGTGATGGGAGGTGATTAATGCCCTTATAAAAGAGGTCCCAGAGGGCCGGGCGCGGTGGCTCACGCCTGTAATCCCAGCACTTTGGGAGGCTGAGGTGGGCGGATCACAAGGTCAGGAGATTGAGACCATCCTGGCTAACACGGTGAAACCCCGTCTGTACTAAAAATACAAAAAATTAGCTGGGCGTGGTGGCGGGCGCCTGTAGTCCCAGCTACTCGGGAGGCTGAGGCAGGAGAATGGTGTGAACCCGGGAGGGAGAGCTTGCAGTGAGCTGAGATCGCGCCACTGCACTCCAGCCTGGGTGACAGAGCGAGACTCCGTTCTCAAAAAAAAAAAAAAAAAAAAAGAGGTCCCAGAAAACTGCCTTACTCCTTCCACTATGTGAGGACACAGTTAAAAGGTGCTATCTATGAACCAAAAAGCAGGCCCTCAGCAGAGACTGAATCTGCCGTTGATCTGGACTTTCCAGTTTCCCACTTGAGAAATAAATTTATGTTGTTTATAAGCTACCTAGTTTGTAGTATTTTGTTATAGCAGCTCAAATGGAATAAGACAATCGTTAAGTGAGTTTTTTTTTGCCTTCAAGTTATATACCCTATTTTTATTCCACAAATAGTTTTACCCTAATGTCTTAAAATAAAAATCGGGCCAGGCGTGGTGGCTCATGCCTATAATCCCAACCCTTTGAGAGGCGGAGGTGGGAGGATCACTTGAGCCCAGAAGGTTGAGGCTGCAGTGAGGTGAGATTGCACCACTGCACCCCAGCCTGGGTAATGTAGTGAGATCCTGTCTCAGAAAACAAACAAACAAGAATGTTTTCCCTGCTTAACTTGTTCATTTCTTACTTTTGGTACCATGAATTTTTCATCCTTGAACGCTATTTTATCTCTTAGATATTAACACTGTGCTGTTGACCATAATAGTCACTAGCCACATGTGGCTATTTCAATTTAAATTATTAATTAAATTAAATACAAAAAAAAAGTTGGTTCCTCAGTTGTGCTAGCGACATTTCAGCTGCTTAGTAGCCACAGTGGCTACTGTACTGGACAGTGTGTAAAGTCCTGGTAGTTGATGATCTAGAATATAATGCTGAGTGAATTTCTCAGGAAGGGTACTTTGATAATAGGCTTACTAAGCCTCTGTATGTCTGAGAATGTGTCTCCCTTATTTCATATAAACTTAGCTGTGGGCATGAAGTTCTGGGGTCACACTTTTCCCCTTCCTTCAACCTCCCCTCAACTAAGCCTCTAAAAATTGTGCCATTATTTTTTGGCCTTCAGTTTTGTGAAGGAGAAGTGTGATGCCAGCCTGGTATATTTCATTTATAATCCACTCCTCTCAGCTGGGGTAGTATAGAATATTTTTCTTTGCTCTCAAAAATGTCACTAGTTAGTATCAAGGTCTTACTTAGACTTTTTAATACTTTTTGTTGTTGTTGTTCAATAGCATGCCAGGAAGGCCTTTTAATAATTTTGCCTGGTATGTAGTGAACCTGCTTGATCTATGGACTCTGGTCTCCCTTTGAGTTGGGAAAGTTTTCTTCTATTATGCTTCTGCTCCATCTGTTTTATTCTGTCATACTTGGGTTTATAGCATACATATATTGGACTCCTGATATGCTCTCTCTGTTTCATCTTTTTTACTGTCTCATCTGTCATTGCTTTCATTATGGTTTTAAATTCAACATTTATTTATTTTTTAAAAAGTTGCCATGTATTCTTTCCTCATCATTCATTGTCTCATTTTCATTACGTCTATAAAGTGCTGATTTGTACATTTAATGACTTTTTGGATGTTGCCGAGAATTAGAAATTTTCTAAACATTTCTGTTCTTTAATAATAAATCTGCTTCAGAAGGAGGCATTGTCTTTAGTTCTTCAGGTGATCTTTTCTTTTTGAACATTAATGTTTTCTCATAGGTCCTGTATATTTTCTCTGTGTGCAATTTGCCTAGATTCAAATTCTAACTCTTCCACTTTCTTACTACCATTTACTCACTAAATGGACCATGGGTCTCAGTTTCTTGATCTGTAATATTGAGATAATAATGGTACCTATCTGTAGTATTGAGATAATAGTGGTACCTATCTTACAGAATTTATATGAAGAATAAAGGAATGAATATTTGAAAAGAATTTAGAACAGTATCTGGTATGTACTAAACACCATATAAATGTCTGATAAATAAAATTAAATTTTTTTTCACTTGAGTTATCCAGCTGACCTCTTTTGTTTGTTTGTTTTGGCAGCTGCCTTTCCACAGTAAAACTCCCAGTCATGGTCTTTTGCTTATATTGGTGGCCCATCCCTGTTTTTATCCTTCTTCTCCATTATGGGAGGCTTTTTGTTTGTTTTGAGATGGAGTCTCACTCTGTCACCAGGCTGGAGTGCAGTGGTGCAATCTTGGCTTACTGCAACCTCTGCCTCCTGGGTTCGAGCGATTCTCCTGCCTCACCCTCCCGAGTAGCTGGGACTACAGGTGCACACCACCAAGCCCAGCTAATTTTTGTATTTTCAGTAGAGATGGGGTTTCACCTTGTTGGCCAGGATGGTCTCGATCTCTTGGCCTCGTGATCTGCCCGCCTCAGCCTCCCAAAGTGCTGAGATTACAGGTGTGAGCCACCGCTCCCAGCCCGACTTTTAGGGATTCTTTCAAAATCTCCATTTCTTTCCTTCAGAGTCTAGTGATCATTTTGATGAGAAACTTTATGGAGGAAGGAGAGAAAATTAGCTTCATTGCTTTTGTTGTCACCTAGCCTGCAGTTCTCTGAGTTTTCTATATTCTTATAGATTCCCAGGCATATAATTTTTCTACCCTGATGTTTCAGTTGAAATTTTGTTTTGTCACAAAAGGATTCTCTGAGATGGCACTTGAAGCTTTACCTAGTCTGTTTGTGTATGACTGAGCATATCAGGAAAGATAAGTGTTCCTTGCCTTGTTATAGAATACCCTGTTTTGTGGCTGGGCATGGTGGCTTACACCTGTAATCCCAGCACTTCGGGAGGCCAAGGTGGGTAGATCACCTGAAGTTAGGAGTTCGAGACCAGCCTGGCCAAGATGGTGAAACCCCGTCTCTACTAAAAATACAAAAAATTATCCAGGTATGGTGGCAGGCGCCTGTAATCCCAGCTACTCAGGAGGCTGAGGCGGGAGAATCACTTGAACCTGGGAGGCAGAGGTTGCAGTGAGCCTCCCGCCTCGTGCCGTTGCACTCCAGCCTGGGTGACAGAGCAAAATTCGTCTTTAAAAAAAAAAAAAAAAAAAAAAGAACACTCTATTTTGTGTGTGTAAAACTAGTATTTTGCATTAATTCCCAGTTTTTAAAAAAAGGTCTATTCTCCTCCCTTTTGTTTGCTAAAATTTAAAAAAACGTGGTAGAGATATTTGAACTTCATTCTGATTATCGTCTAGTGTTAGATGGACTGCCTAGGTCTTTTGAACTCTAGGTAAGAGCTGCTCCCCATGGAAGTTCACAGCTCTCCTCAGGATCAGGGTGATTCTCAAAGAGCATGCCTTGTCAAGGTCAGCTTTCCCTCCAGGCTTCCCTGCTGCTATGCATGCTGTCTGTCCTGGGTTGTGTAGGCCCAAACCAGTGGTTGCCAACAGGGGTGATTTTGACCCTGGGGGCTTTTGGCAACATCTGGAGACGTTTTGGTTGTTACAGCTCGGGAGGGTGCTCCTGGCATCTAGTGGGTAGAAGCTAAGGATGCTGCTAAACTTCCTACAATGCACAGGACACTCCCTCCACAGTAAAGAATCATCCAGCCCGAATTGTCAATAGTGCTGAGGTTGAGAAGCCCTGGCCTAGACATGTTTTCCTTCTCAATTTCCACAAAAGCCTATTCACATGAAGTCCCTATGAGTATAGAAAACATCCCTGGAGAATCAGGGGGTGCCAGGATGGGGAGGAAGGGTTTACATTACAGTCATGCAAATGATTTGAGCATTAGGCATTCCTATTCCTAAATACCCTTCTGCCACCCCAGTTATCAGGGTATATCCTCTATTCTTTCACTTGATTTAGTTCCCAGCCTTATGCCTTCTCATTGTCACTTTCTTTCTTTATCCTATCTAAAGTAAAAAATACATATATTTTTTTCCCTGCCACATGAAAAGGCAGTTTAACTATCTGTATAGTTGTTTAGGTTCCCACCAATAGTGACACACAGCAAAACAAGTTATTTTCCCAAACAATGACAGTTCTTTCCCTAAGAGGAACTGTAGTACCAGTTATTAAGATAATATTTTTACCTAATTTCATAAGTATAATACTTAAACAGTTTTTAATCATTTTAAATATAGGAAAAATAAGGTAAGTATCAAGTTTTACCACCATCTGAGAATCTTAACATATTGACCTAACTATCATAGATCTAATTTTTTCATGTTATAAGCCATTACACCCTACAGAAATCCTATAATTTCTGCTACATTTATTCATATTTGTTTCCCCTGTGTTTCCGAGTTCATTGCTTGCTTTCCAGTTTGTCAGTGCTGCATTATAGGTTAGGTGATTATAACAGATGGATTTTCAGGTTTGGAGTCTTTGAGTTCCACTGCTTAATTTTAGTATCCAGCATTTACATGGAAGATAGGACAGATCTGAGCTCAGGAATAGAGTGGTCTTACCATCCAGATAGCAAGTCTTCCTCAAGGCTGCTGACTCTAATAAAATCATTTGTGAATTATTTGAATTCTCATTTAGGGTCTCCTCCTAACATTGTTGACATTCTAATATGAGTATGTTATGGGAAAATAAAATTTTTATTCAAATAATAGACGCTTTACTAAAATATATCCAATGGCACATATTTGTGCTTAGTTAAACCAATATTGTAGTAGCTGGAATTAATTAAGGTACTATATATTATAAATCTAGTATGAGAAGTAGGCTGGGGTGCATAGGTAGCTACAGAAAACATCTATTCACTGCATTTTAGTAAACCTTCTTAAACTACACTCCTTTAAAAATAACTTTTCTGGCCGGGCATGGTGGCTCACGCCTGTAATCCCAGCACTTTGGGAGGCTGAGGCGGGTGGATCACCTGAGGTCAGGAGTTCGAGACCAGCCTGACCAACATGGTGAAACCTCGTCTCTAGTAAAAACAAAAATTAGCTGGGTGTGGTGGCGCATGCCTGTAATCCCAGCTACTCTGGAGGCTGAGGCATGATAATTGCTTGAACCCGGGAGTTGGAGGTTGCAGTGAGCCAAGATAGCACCACTGCACTCCAGCCTGGGGTGGCAGAGCAAGACACTGTTTTGGAAAAAAAAAAAAGCCCCAAATTCTTTTCTTTCTCATAACTTTTTGTATGAGCCCTTTTATCCATTCATCCATCTATTAGGTTGATGCAAAAATTGAGGTTTTTGCCATTACTTTTAAATGGCAAAATCTGCAATTACTTTTGCAACAGCCTAATGTTTCTTTCTCCCTCTCTCCCTCCCTCTCTCTTCTTTTCTTCCTCTCTTCCTCCCTCCCTTCCATCCATTTTTCTCCCTTTCTTCTTAGCACTTTAGGTATGACTTACATACCATTTATCTTAAGTGTTAAAATTGGTTGACTTAAGCATATATAGACACCTATGTGACCACTCCCCAGATCAAGATACCTTATCAATATACACCCACACCACCTTCCATCCCCCTAGAAAGTTTCCTTTCCAGTCAGTATTCCCTCCCAGAGCTAATAACTGTTCTGACTTCTATCATAATGCAATCAGTATGTACTTTTTTGTATCTGTTGTCCACACTGTATTTTTGAAATGTATCCATGTTATTGTGTGTATTGGTTTGTTCCTTTTTGCTAAATAGTATTCCATTGTGTGAATATTCCACAATTTGTTTATCCATTCTTATGCTGATAAACAATGAATTGTTTTCAGTTTTTGGCTATCATGAATACAGCTGCTATGAGCATTCTTGTATAACTTGTTTTGTGAACATAAGCACTCATTTATCTTGGATAAATATATCTAGGAGTGGAATTACTAGGTCATAGGGTAGTTGTATGTTAAACTCCAAATACTTTTCTTAAGTGATTATACCCATTTTCCACTTCCACAAGCAGTATATGGGAGTTCCTGTTGCTCCATATCCTTACCAACATTTGGTATTGCAGTCTTTTTATTTTTAGACATTCTGGTTGATGTCATGGCCCATGCATTTTTTAAATTATGAAAATAATTGATAGATATATTTTTATTGTAAAATATTTGCACAACATAGAAGTATATAGAATATTTGGTGGGGTGGTTGTTTGTTTCTTGGGGTTTTTTAGAGACAAGTTCTCATTCTGTTGTCCAGGCTGGAGCGCAGTGGCACGATTACGGCTCACTGCAGCCTTAATCTTCCAGGCTCAAGTGACTCTCCCACCTCAGCCTCCTGAATAGTTGGGACAACAGGTGCATGCCACCATGCCCAGCTAATTATTTTTATTTTTAGTAGAGACGAGAGTCTTGCTGTATTGTCCAGTCTGGTCTTAAACTGCTGAGCTCAAGCAATCCTTTCTCTCCCCAAATGCTGGGATTACGGGTGTGAGGCACTGCACCCACCCTGGTTTGTTTTTATTGTTGTTGTTGTTTTTTTTTACCATAGCAGTGTTGGAGACTTTTTCATGCAAATCAATCTATCCATCTATCTATGTGTATATATATTTAAACTGCTACATAGTATTTAACAATTTATTTAGCAATTGTCCTATTGATGGATGTTTAAGGTGTTTCCAAATATTTTATATATCCACACTGCTGTAGAAAACATCTTTATCTGTGTATCTTAGTGTACATATGCAGAATTTTCTTTTTCTTTTTTTTTTTTTTTTTGAGACGAAGTCTCGCTCTGTCACTCAGGCTGTAGTGAAATGGCACAATCTCAGCTCACTGCAACCTCTGCCTCCTGGGTTCAAGTGATTCTCACACCTCCACCTCCTGAGTAGCTGGGATTACAGGCATGTGCCACCACGCCCAGCTAATTTTTGTATTTTTAGTAGAGACAGGGTTTCATCATGTTGCCCAGGCTGGTCTTGAACTCCTGACCTCAGGTAATCCTCCTGCCTCGGCTTCCCAAAGTGCTGGGATTACAGGCGTTAGCCACTGCACCTGGCCATATGCAGATGTTTCTATAGAATATATTCTTAAACTCTCAAATAAAGATTGCAAAAGTGTTAATCCTGGATTTCTAGGCTAGCTGCTAGTTAAAACTTGATCTAAAGTACTCTCATTGTTTTAGTTTCTGGTTTTTGTTTTCTCTGTGTTGTGAGTATATAGGTATTTTCATTTTTCCTCTACAGGAGGTAGAAGGAAAATTAAAAATACAAACACTGCACATTTCTTAGGTCATGGGGCAAACACAGTTAGCAGGTCGAACCTAGCCACAACCAGAACATGCCCACGACTTTTCTATTGTAATGCTGACAACTTCCTGCAAACCAAAACAAAGCTGGTAGGTATAAGGTTTGATTTTAGCCTGCCAACACGTTTTCCTTCTTGGCAAAAGGTAAAAAGTATATGCCTTAATGATGACATTTTTCAGATCAAAAGTTTTAGGTAAGTTTAAAACATGTTCTAGACAAACTGAAAGTCATTTTTCCCCACTATGGTACTTTTATGTAATTGATGTGAAAATAGTGAAGGTTTCCATGAAGGTTTCAATTAATAGGACAGGAAAATTAAACACTAAAGTCTTAGAGGTTTGATTTTAGTGATATATTTAAGAGTGACTGCAGAAATCCTAATGGTCTGATAACTTCAGTGTACCTGTGACAGGGAATTGGGAATTATTATTTTTGTTTCTACCAGAAGCTGTCAATGAGACTTTATACAAGTGGGATTACCAACTAGGTTGCTTTCTTCCATAAAATAGCAATATGTAACTTAACGAGATACTTGTGACATTTAATTAAATGTATAGAATACTCAGATACCCTAGAATGAAATATGGTTTTCTACTGTTTCCAAGGTGGAGATTGTTTTGGTGTGGCAGGCATGGTTGGCTAGACATGACAAGGTGGTTAGGCATAGCCCATTATTTTTGGAAAGATTGTCTTACTGTTAGTAGTTCACTCATGGAAGTCCTGGGGATAACACAAACAGATTTTTAGTCCCTGCCCACCACCACCAGTACAAGGAGAGCCCTGGGATGGACCCCTGGGAGTCCCTCCTTTGCTTGTTCTCCTTTCCTCTTCTCCTCCACAAACCCAACAAACCTTTTCTATCCCTCTACCCTTTTCCACCCAGGGTCCCATCTCCAACTGGGAGGGGTGATGTCTGGTCTTTTAGGTTTTAACTGCTTCAAAGTATTCAGAGTGAAGTGTCTGCAAGATAAAGGAAACATTTTCCTTATAACTAGAAAAAAAAATACAGGTATCATTGAAAATTTAAGAGAAGATGAGGCTGAAATAGCATCCTGCTCCTACAATTTTTTAAAAGTCAATACATAGATTATTTTCCAATGTTCACTTAGATATTTTCTTATAGAAGCAATGTTTTTATGGGAAAAAGGACCGTGTTTTTAGGCTGATTTGCAGGCCAACCTATTTTTTAAAAACTACTTTTCAAGTATTATACCTAGAGAAGAGGACTATAGACAATATTTTGATGGGGGCTCACCTTCCAACTTGGGCTTCTGAAAACTCCTTCTCTGCTGAATATCTCCCCCTTCTACTTGCTTCCTCTTGTTAGTTGGGGGAGTGCACTCTTTATCCCCCTCCTCTCCAACTCCAAGCTCTCTGATGCTGGTACTTGTGACTGGGGAATGACTCCATTGAGCAGGGCTGGGCAGGAGTGAGGAGCTGATGGGAGCCAGGTTCGGGTTCTGAGGATTAGGGAAGAGACCATCTAAGGGGACAGAATGAGGGCAGGAATGGGGCCCCACGTAGGGAGGAGGTGAGAACCAGTGGAAGGGCCGAAAGGGAAGGGAGAACAGAATTTCTTCTTATGTCTCTCCCTTCTTTCCCTCTCCTGCACTCCCACCTCCAACTCTATCTTTCTGTTGAGAGTGTGACTGCCAACCAACAGGCTTAGAGGGCTATGAAAAGAGGAGAGGGGTTAGGGGATGGGACGAGGGATGATGGCAGAAGTATGCAGGGGGCTGATGAAGTAAAACGAGAATAAAATCACCAACAAAGAGAGAGAATGGACATTTCTGTAATTATGCCCAGTGAGGACAAGCATTCACATGTGAAGAGTATTTGCCAGTACTTGAGACTTTTTTTTATTTTTTAATTTTTTTTTGCCAAAGGGTGGTGCTAACCCTTTTCCCCATAGACAAAAACCTCAAGTATTTTCTTGAGTGTAATGCTAGAATAGGCAGAAATTTATGCCATTTTTCTTTTTGGAAATGTGAGTTCTGCTTTAGTAGTTCAAATACTTTTACGAAATTTCCCCTCTAGGAACACTTTGATTGGTATTTGGTCGGTGGAGTTGTTTTCAACAGCATTTGGCCATTCATCCTGCCTCCAAATAAAAGGTTGATTGAAGTGAACTTTTGAGTTTTAGAAACATATATCAACAAAAACCCTTGCAACTGTTAGGGAACACAGACAAATATTTTTTGCTTTTAGTGTACTAGGAGCATTACTTAGAAAACAGGAGGCAACCTTAATCTTTTAGTAGTTTGAAAAATATGACCCATAAGATGTCATTCTCCTCTAAATAAACAGAAGAGCAGCTTTGTGAATGTACAAGATGAGAGAATTTGGGAGAATGTAAGAAACTTTCACCAGTCTACAAAACCTAGTGCTCTTGGGTGCATCTTGCCAACTCAGAATCTTTTCAGCTGGCCTTCAAATTCTACAGCAGTTTTTCGCTGGGGTGTGATAATCATATCATGCCTCTAGTGTTGCAAATACCCTCTTTTCCCTTGTCCTTCAGTCATCTTTTCCTGTTTGCTTTTCCTACCCTGACTTGCTGACATAGATACCTATAAGCTACCTGGAAGCTGAGAGAATTTTCGTTTTAGGGCAGCTATGAATTATAACAGAAAGATGCATTTTTGTCAGAGCTGTGTTTAAGTTTTAAATATGCGACTTCAAATGATTTTGTATTACTTTTAGTATAAAATACTGTATATTGCTACAAGCTTGCCCTCCATATTAATCTTTCACCACCCTTCTCCTGACCTCTGTGTTCTGCCCTCCAATTTGAAATTTTTTGTCTCTCCAACTAAACTGTGATCTCTCACCTCTGGACCTCTGCATATGATGTTCCCATGCCTGGGCCATTCTTTTCCTCATCTCACCAACTTCCCACCTTTCCCCCAGTACACATTCTTGGCCTGCTAATTTTGGGGGTTTCAGGTGAAAGATGAGTTCTCTGAGAGGCCTTCCGTGATTTACCTTCCCCTCGAGACTAGGTGCCTCTACTATGGGCCTGTACACCCATAACTTCCTTTGTTGTCACAATTTATTCTGATTGTCTATTTAAGTCTATATTCTTTGCTAGACTGTAAACTCTTAGTTAAGGTAGAGATTAGATCTATTTCGTTTACTTTTTGTGCTTAGCCTGTGATAAGCATTCAACAAATATTTCTTGAAGAATAAATGCATTTAGACAATGTAGCATTGTTTATGGTTGTTTTTGATTTTTGCCTTTTCTCTTTGGTCTGAGGACATTTACACCATGCGGTATTGTTCACTCCCTAGTTAAAGGTAACTGTGGGAAGACTCTGTAGCATCAGGTCCTACATAGAGTGAATGCTGCGATGTTAGAAGCATCTGGGGGATGTTCTTATGCAGTTAGTGGTGCTTTTCACACTGGGTGTTACACTTACAGGAAGCTCAAGGCATTCAGATGTGACTGCACATGATGTTTATATTAGAAGAGCTCTTGTTTGTAAAAGGTTGATCACTTCATAGAAAACCCACCAGATAGAATAATGACCTTGGTTAAATAAAGGAGGTAATATATTGAGAGATCTTTTAAAATCTCTTCCCTGTTCAGTGGTGAGTAGTGTGTTCTGAGGGGCCTCTTTGGGTTATGGGTTGTAATCACTGTGAGTGGCATCATCTTTTACATTGAAGAGCAAATATATATATATATATATATTTTTTTTTTGAGACGGAGTTTTGCTCTTATTGCCTAGGCTGGAGTGCAATGGCACGATCTTGGCTTACTGCAACCTCCACCTCCCAGGTTCAAGCAGTTCTCCTGCCTTAGCCTTTCTGGTAGCTGGGATTACAGGCATGTGCCACCATGCCTGGCTAATTTTGTATTTTTAGTGGAGACAGGGTTTCTCCATGTTGGTCAGGCTGGTCTCAAACTCCTGACCTCAGGAGATCCACCCACCTCAGCCTCCCAAAGTGCTGGGATTACAGGCGTGAGCTACTGCGCCCAGCCCTGAAAAGCAAATGTTTTATATACTGGTCTGAAGTTTCCTTTCCTAGGTCTTCATCAAGTTTTGGTATCAGAGTTATACTGGCTTCATAAAATGAATTGGAAAGCACATATAATACTAGAGATATGATCTCTCATGTAGACCTTGCTTTTTACTTCTTTATGGTTTTTTTTTTTGGTTATATGCTTATTCATCTAGTAAGTGTGTGGGCGTATTTTTAGAGCAGATTTTTTTAAAAAGCTGGATGAGACAGATGGAAGAAGTTATCTTTGTGAACTTTTATTCCCCTGAGTAGTGCAGGTAAAGAAACAAGTACTTAAATTAACATGTGACCTCCTAAAGTGTTTTGAAAGGAAGTCTTTTAAAAATTAATATGGAGCAAACTTGAAAAGTAAAATCATAATAAAAACAGCTTGTCCTTAGTGACATCATTGGGGGATAATTATATCATGTTAATTATTTTTTAACAATTTTAGTATGCACAACTATAATTACATAGGCTATTTTACTTATAATTTAGTAAGGATATTTGTCAGTTATTACTCAAGAAAGCTGGAGGAAAATGAATTTAGTAAGAAGAGTTGATGTTCAAAATTATATATAGGTATAGTATTAATCATCTACAGGAATAAAGTATATACTTTAACACTCCACCTCCTGTAGGATCTTCTTTATTCCCCATTTGATCTCTGACCAGGGGGCTTCCTTTCCTTTTTCACAACGACTTGAGCTGATCGCACTACTACTGAGTGAAATGAAGATGAGGACCAAAAATTAAAGTCTATCCAATTTGTGAGTAATATTACCTCATGCTTGCATAATGATTATTTTACTTATTTTTTTCTGATTCCAAAACACATATATTTAGAACATTTAGAAATATAGAGAATATAAAGAAGATGATGAAAATGGCAGCAATTCACTACCCAGAGATGGCCATTGTTAATGTTCTGTTATTTATCACAGTGCCTGACTGGCACAAAGGAAGGACTCAGTAAAGATCAGGTTAATGAATGAATTGAACCCTATCTTTTTTTTATTTGCAAAACATTAAGATTATACCATATGCCACTTTTTAAATTAATAGGCTTTATATTTTTAGAACAGTTTCAGATTTATAGAAAAATTAAGCAGATAGTACAGAGTTCCCCTATTCCTCCTTTCTCCTCCAGTTTCCCTTATTGTGAGCATTTCAGATTAGTATTGTACTTCTGTTACACTTAATGAACCAGAACAGATACATTCTTAACTAAAATCCACATTTCATTCAGTTTTCTTTAGTTTTTGCCTAATGTTCTTTTACTGTTCCAGGATCCCATCCAGGATACCTCGTTTAGTTTAGGCTCCTTGGGCGCCTCTTGCTGTAACAGTTTCCCAGACCTTTCTTGTTTTTGAGGACCTTGACAGTTTTGAGGAGTACTGGTGAGGTATATTGTAGAATGCCCCTATATTAAAATTTGTCTGGTCTTTTTCTCATAACTAGACTAGGGTTATGGGTTTTGAGGAGGAAGATCACAGAGGAAAAGTGCTATTTTCGTCCCATCATGTCAAGTGTACGTGCTATCAGCATGATTATGACTGTTAATGTTGACTTTGATCACCTGGCTGATATGATGTTTGTCAGGTTTCTCTATTGTAAGGTGACTTCTTATTCATCCTTTCCATACTCTTTGGAAGACAGTTGCTATGTGCACCCCACACTTAAGGAGTGGGAGTTATGCTCCCCCACTTTAGAGTGGAGTAGTACATAAATTATTTGAAATTCTTCTGCACTGGAGATTCATCTCTTGTCTCCCATTTATTTATTTATTTATTTATTTATTTATTTATTTATTTGAGATGGAATCTGGCTCTACCACCCAGGCTGGTGTGCAGTGGCGTGATGTCGGCTCACTGCAACCTCTGCCTCTGGGTTCAAACAATTCTCCTGCCTCAGCCTCTCGAGTATCTGGGATTACAGGTAGGCACCAGCACACCCAGTGAATTTTTGTATTTTTGGTAGAGATGGGGTTTCGCCATGTTGGCCAGACTGGTCTCAAACTCCTGACCTCAAGTGATCTGCCCGTCTCAGCTTCCCAAAGTACTGGGATTACAGGCACAAGCCACCGTGCCCGGCCTCACTTATTTATCTATTCAACCATTTATTGATATAAGTATGGAATCGTGCATACTTATTTTATACTTTGGGTTATAATCCAATATTACTTTATTTTGTTGTGGAAATTGTTCCAGTTTTGGCCACTGGGAGCTCTTTCAGTTGGTTCCTGTGCCCCTTTCTTTTTTTTTTTTTTTTTTTTTTTGAAATGGAGTCTCGCTCTGTCGCTCTGTCACCCAGGCTAAAGTGCAGTGGTGTGATCTTGGCTCACTGCAACCTCCACCTCCTGGGTTCAAGCGATTCTTGTGCCTCAGCCTCCCAAGTAGCTGGGATTACAGGTGCCTGCCACCACACCCCACTAATTTTTGTATTTTTAGTAGAGACCAGGTTTCACCATGTTGGCCAAGCTGGTTTCAAACTCCTCACCTCAAGTGATCCGCCCACCTTGGCCTCCCAAAGTGCTGTGATTACAGATGTGAGCCACTACGCCCGACCTCCTGCGCCCCTTTTGACATGTCCCATCAGTGTCTGTGTGCTTGTGTGTGTGTGTGTTTTCAGCACTTCCTTACTTTCTGACACTACAAGATCCTTTAGGCTCATCTTATATATTTCCTTCCCCAGTCCTAGAATCAGCCATTTTCTAAGGAGCCTAGGTTCCTTTTATTGAAGATTGGTACTAGAAATCAAGATGTTTGTGCTAGGTATGCTCCTTGTTACTGTGATGTCATTTCTTTTAGGTCCTCTTAGCTGACAAAGCAAGGAAATACACGTGTATGTATTAATAATAACCTGATTTATATGTTTCTATATATAACCAACTGTATCTGTGTAAAGTGAAACATGGGCTCTTACTGATGTCTCCAATTCTAATTCATTACCACATGGATCATTCTAGACTCTTCGCCTTGCTATTCTTGCTACCTTTTCCCCTCCTTTCCACTCCAACAGTGAGAAACCTGGCACCCACCATTCATCATCCATTTACTTAATTGTTCAATTACAGTAAACATGTATAGCGGTATAAGAATTGTTAACCCATACACCCATGGCAAACAACTTTATTGACTAGAGTTCAGTGTTTATGTTCAGTTCCTTTTGCCTGTAGTCTTGCAAATTCTGCTCATTTCCAAAGCTACTTAGGTCAGCGCCTTTTCCCTTTCCCCTTCAGTGAATTTATTTCTTAGATTTGTAATACAGTTAGATTACGTTGTTACAGTTTACATTCTTTCTTGAAATCTCCTAACCTCCTAAATGACTTCTTGAAATTTGCAGGCATTAAGGCTCACTCTGTGTTTTAAAGTTCTATAGGTTTCAACAAATGCATGATGTCATGTATCTGCCATTATAGTATGATACGGTATAATTTCACTACCCTAAAAATCCCTTATGCCTTACCTGTTTATCCCTCGCCCACTCCTGAACTCTATCTTTTTCTAGCTTGAGAGTTCATTCCTTTTTTTTTTTTTTTTTTTGAGACAGGATCTTGCTCTATCACCCAGGCTGGAGTGCAGTGGCACAATCTCGGCTCACTGCAACCTATGCCTCCCTGTTCAAGCAATTCTTCCACCTCAGCCTCCCTAGTAGCTGGGACTACAGGTACGTGCCACCATGCCCAGCTAATTCTTTTTTGTATTTTTGGTAGAGACAGGGTTTCACCATGATGCCCAGGCTGGTCTTGAACTCCTGGGCACAAGTGATTTGCCCGCCTCGGCCTCCCAAAGTGCTGGGATTGTAGGCGTGAGCCACCATACCCAGCTGAGAGTTCTTTTTAATGCTGAATAATATTCCAGGGTATGGAGGTGTCACAGTTTGTTTATCTATTCACCTATTGAGGGACATTTTGGTTGCTTCCACTCTTTGGCAATTATGAGAAAATGTGTTATGAACATTCACTTGCAGATTTTTGTGTGGACATAAATTTTTAGCTTAATTGGATAAATACTTAAGAGTATGACTGCTGGATCTTATGGTAAGACTATCTTGGTTGCACCACTTGCTAGGTGTGTAACCTGGGAGCAAGTTTCTTTACCCAGAAAATGGAACAGCAGTATCTACCCCATAGGTAGCTCAGCCTATCCTGATGTGACATGATCTGATGTATATGTTAGGAAAGATTTTATTTTAAAAAGGTTGGTCACTTAGTGGAAAACCCATCAGGTTGATGGGGAGCTTGGTTAAATAGAGAGGTGACCTATCGAGGGAACTTGTTAAGTCTCTTTGCTGTTCAGTAGTGAGTAGTGAAGTACAGCAGTGAAGTTGCTCAGGCACCTGCAGATCACATTCACTGTGAGTAGCACCATTTTCTAAATTGAAGGGCAAATGTATTGTATATTGGTCTACAGTTTCTTTCCTTAGTATCTTAGTCATAAAGTTTTGGCATTGGGGAATACTTCTGTTTTACTACAGTTTTGTCACTAGTAGATATAAATACCATTAGATGACATTTTTGCCATTTATCAGGAAATTTTTTAGATTTTTTAACCTATTAAAGAAATATACAATGAAACAATAGTATTGAAACATCTTTACATTCCCAATATAAGCTTTACATTAATATTTTAATGTATTACTAAGTTTGATTTACTAGTATTTTATATAGGACTTTTGTCTCTCTACTAACCTTAAACTGATTGCTTTCTGTGCTTTTAGAACTAGGGTTATGGTAGCTTTTACCAAATATTTGAACTTTTCCTCTTTTTGTATGCTCTGGGATAGTTTATATAGAATGAGAATTATTTATTACTCAAAGGTTTGAAAGACATGTATAAAACTATCTAAACTTGAACTTAATAAATAAAAAACATTTCGGCAACTTTCTTTCCCCCTGCTTATTAGCTTATTCAGAATTCAGGTTTTTCATTTCTCAATTTAGTTTTAGAAATTTATATTTTTCTCAGCAACTTTTCATTGAGATTTTCAAATTTATTTGCCTGGTGTTTTATTTTGTTTACATGGCACTTTATTTTTCAAAATATCTTTTTAAAGAGATAAAATGATTCTTGTTATCACAAAACTTAAATTATATATAAAAGTACAAAGAAAGAAATTAAAAGCACTTGAACTCTTACCACTTTTGTAAAGTATTTCATGATCTTTCTAAAAATTTTGTTTTTGCTCCTTTTTACTCTGCCTAATTTTTGTATATTTGTGCTTTCTCTCCTTCTTCTTGATTGCATTTACTAATGGTTTATCATTTACTGGATTCCCCCCCCTCTGAAAAATTCCAGCTCTTACACTTACACTTATGTAGCATTTATATATTCCTCCCCTGCCTTTTTTTTTTTTGGAGACAAAGTCTCACTCTGTTGCCCATGCTGGAATGCAGTGGCATGATCTCAGCTCACTGAAGCCTTCATCTCCTGGGCTCAAGCAATCCTCTTGCCTCAGCCTTCAAAGTAGCTGGGACTACAGACATGCGCCACCATGCCTGGCTAATTTTTGTATTTTTCTGTGGAGTTTCATCATGTTGCCCACGCTGGTCTCGAACCCCTGGGCTCAAGCAGTTTGCCTGCCTGGGCCTCCTAAAGTGTTGGGATTACAGGCGTGAGCCACTGCACCTGGCCTTTCCCCGCTATTTTTAAGGCTTATGATTTTTACCCACTAAGTTGTACAATGGAACTCTTTAAAAAAAATAAAACCGTATGTGAAATCCTGGCATATAAAAGCCAAGCACTTGTGATTAAATCAAAGGGGAGTGAGGAGAAGGGAATTTCCCACTCTTTTTCTTTCTTATCAGAGGCTTGTGAATCCAGAGAGCACTGTTAGAAAACCATTGTTCTGATACACTAATTTCTGCTTTTATCTTTATTGTTTCCTTCCTCCTTTTCCCCATAGACTTGTTTTATTGTTCTGTTCTGACTTCTTGAGTTTGGTGTTTATTGCATTTACTTATGTTCTTTCTTATTTAACATCGAAAATATTTAAGTCTATGAATTTGTCACTCCATGATGCTGGTCATATCTTGTAACATTTTATATAGGCTGTTTTCTCCTAAGTGGTAATTATAATTTTTGAGTTTCTCTTTGACTCATAATATATGTAGGAGTATGTGTTTTTAATGTTTAAGTGTAGAGGGGTTTGTTTACTCTTTTTAATATCAAGTTCTGGTTTTATTTCACTGTGGTAATAAAATAAGATCTTTCTAGGCCAAACACGATGGCTCATGCCTGCAGCACTTTAGGAGCTGAGGCAGGAGGATCTCTTGAGCCCAGGAGTTCAAGACTAGCCTGGGCAACATGGTGAAACCCTATCTCTACAAAAAATTTTTAAAAATTGGTTGGGCACAGTGGCTTACACCCGTAATCCCAGCACTTTGGGAGGCCGAGGCGGGCGGATCACTTGAGGTCAGGAGTTTGAGACCAGCCTGACTAACATGGGGAAACCTCGTCTCTACTAAAAATGCAAAAATTAGCTAGGCATGGTCGTGGGCACCTTTAATCCCAGCTACTTGGGAGGCTGAGGCAGGAGAATCACTTGAACCTGGGAGGCGGAGGTTGCAGTGAGCCGAGATCGCACCACTGCACTCCAGCCTGGGTGACATAAGTTAGACTCCATCTCAAAATAAATAAATAAATAAATTAGGGAGACATGAGCCTTTAGTCCCGGCTACTTGGGAGGCTGAGGTGGGTGAATCACTTGAGCCCGGGAGGTTGAGGCTGCAGTGAGCCGTGATTGTGCCACTGCACTCCAGCCTGGGTGACAAGGCAAGACCCTGTCTCAAAAAAAAAAAGAAAAAAAAATTTCTAATTTTAAATTTTTAAGAAATTATTGATTTTCCTGTAATTCAGTGTTTAATCAATATTTATAAATTTTCCTTGGTAGTTTGTAAAGTTTGTATGCTGCTTTTGTTGTTGTTTTTTTGTTTGTTTGTTTTTTTGAGACGGAGTCTTGCTCTGTCGCCAGGCTGGAGTGCAGTGGCATGATCTCGGCTCACTGCAACCTCCGCCTCTCAGGTTCAAGCGATTCTCCTGCCTCAGCCTCCCATGTGGCTGGGACTACAGATGTGTGCCACCACGCCCGACTAATTTTTGTATTTTTAGTAGAGATGGGGTTTCACCATGTTGGCAAGGATGGTCTCGATCTCTTGACTTCGTGATCTACCCGCCTTGGCCTCCCAAAGTGCTGGGATTACAGGTGTGAGCCACTGGGCCCAGCCTGTATTCTGTTTTTAGGTTACAAAGTTTAGTTCACTTCTTACTTCTGTTATCTTTTCTGTTAATTCTATTATTTGAATCCTCTATATCTGCACTGATCATCGTAGTAGCCATTCTCTGTCTGTGGCTATTAAGCATTTGAAATGTAACTAGTCTGAACTGAGATATAAGTGTAAAATGCACACTCGGGGCCAGGCACGGTGGCTCACACCTGTAATCCCAGCACTTTGGGAAACCGAGACGGACGGATAACCTGAGGTTAGTTCAAGTCCAGCCTGGTCAACATGGTGAAACCCCATCTCTACTAAAAATACAAACATTAGCCAGGCATGGTGGCGGGCACCTGTAATCCCAGCTACTCAGGAGGCTGATAGGGGAATCACTTGAACCCAGGAGGCGGAGGTTGCAGTGAGCCGAGATAGCGCCATTGGACTCCAGCCTGGGTGACAAGAGTGAAACTCTGTCTCAAAAAAAAAAAAAAGAAAGAAAGGAAAGAAAAGAAAAGAAAGAAGGAAGGAAGGAAAGAAAGAAAGAAAAGAAAGAAAGAAAGAAAGAAAGAAAGAAAGAAAGAAAGAAAGAAAGAAAGAAAGAAAGGAAAGAGAAAAAAAGAAAATGCACCCTGGGTTTTGAGGATGTATGCCAAAAAAGCAAAATAGCCCAGGAATAATTTTTATATTGGTTACATATTGAAATGATATTTTTGGTTAAATAAAAAATAAATACTATTAAAGTTAATTTCATCCCTCTTTTTAGTACTTTTTAAATGAGGCTACTAGAAAATTTAAAATGAAATGTGTAGCTTCCATTCTGTTTCTGTTGGACACACTCCAAACCATTATTTATTTTTGTCTACTTCATCTATCCAAGACTAGTAGTAACATTAAAATGTTTTTTTTAGTAATTTCTGCTTCTCTCACAGTTTTCATTGTATGTATTTTAGTGCGTTACTTAGCACATAACAGGTCATATCTATTGTGGATTGTACTTTACATCAAATGAAATTACCACCTTTGGCCTTTTAATAATAGTTTCTTTAATTCTATTTCGATATGAATTATTGCCATTCTTGCTTTTAAAAAATCATTTTGCCTAGGATGTTTTGTACACCTCTCTTCTTTTATTTTCAGCTTCATTTATTTCGGATATCTTTTAAATAGTAATTAAACTTGTGTAATTTTTTGATACAGTACAAAAATTTTTGCTTTTAATACAGAAGTCTAACTTTTCACTATTGTCATCTTATTTTATGAGTTCCACTTTTATGCTATTTTGCTTTTCTTTTTTCTATATTTTATTATATTGAATATTTTAAAAACCTTTAATTCTACTTTTATTACATTTACACTTCAAAAAATCATAATTAAACCCATTGTCTTTAATTATCACTGTCAAGGATGAAGTAGTATCCATTGACCCTATGTAAATGTGTAATTTAGTATATATTTTCCTCTCTATTCATTTTCTAACTAGGAATTAGACTATTTTTACATTTTTTACATTGTCTCGCCATACGAATTTTTGTTTTGGTTTTGTTTCTATAGAGTTTCACCCTTCTTGCCCAGGCTGGAGTGCAATGGCATGATCTTAGCTCACTGCAACCTCCACCTCCTGGGTTCCAACAATTCTCCTGCCTCAGCCTCGGGAGTAGCTGGGATTACAGGCATGTGCCACTACGCCCGGCTAATTTTGTATTTTTAGTAGAGATGGGGTTTCTCCATGTTGGTCAGGCTGGTCTTGAACTCCCAACCTCAGGTGATCCGCCCGCCTCGGCCACCCAAAGTGCTGGGATTACAGGTGTCAGCCACCTCACCCAGCCAAGAATTATTTTTGATATTAATATTTTTATAAATTTTAAACCATGTAGACCACAGTGATTTCTATTTTTTTTTTTTTTTTCCGAGACAGAGTCTCACTCTGTCTCCCAGGCTGGAGTGCAGTGGCGCAATCTCAGCTCACTGCACTCTCCGCCTCCCAGGTTCAAGGGATTCTCCTGCCTCAGCCTCCCAAGTAGCAAGGATTACAGGTGTCCGCCATCATGCCTGGCTAATTTTTTTATATTTTTAGTAGAGATGGGTTTTCGCCATATTGGCCAGGCTGGTCTCAAACTCCTGACCTCAAGTGGTCTGCCCGCCTCTGCCTCCCAAAGTGCTGGGATTACAGGCGTTACCCACTGTGCCCGGCTGTGATCTAGATTTAACTTGTTTTGCAGTTTGACATTTATCACCACCTCTTTCTCTTTGTGGATCAGAACATATACTTCAGAAGATTTTCTCCTTCTATATGGCCAAACCAACATCTTGACTATGCTTGGAATTCTTAGAGCACACCATTTTTCCTTTAAAACTTTGTACACGTCTCATCTTCTGATGCTTATTTTGTAGCAAGGCCATTTTGATTTTGTTGTTCTTGTTGCTGTTGTTCTGTAGGTGTCTTATTTTTTCTCTCTGGGTGCTTGAGAGATGTTTTCACTTTCCTTGAAATTTTGAAAGCTCAAAAGGATATGTGTAGGTGTTGTTATTTATACACACACACACACTGATACATATATATATATGTATATATATTTTAACTATGATTTTCAAAGTGTAAATGTAATAAAAAATATTCAATATAGTATTTTGAGACAGAGTCTTGCACTGTCACCCAGCTGGAATGCAGTGGGTTAATCACCGCTCTCTGCAACCTTGAACTCCTGGGCTCAATGGATCCTACTGTCTCAGCCTCCCAAGTAGCTACAGGCGTGCACCACCATGTCCAGTTAATTAAAAACTTTTTTTTTTTTTTTTTGTAGAGACAGGGTCTTGATTTTTGCCCAGGCTTGTCTTGAACTCCTGGGCTCAAGCAGTTCTCCTACCTTGGCTTCCCAAAATGCTGAGATTACAGGTATTTATTTATTTTTTTAAACAGCTTCATTGAGATATAATTCACATACTATACAACTCACACATTTAAAGCATACAACTCAATGGCTTCTAGTATATTCACAGAATTGTGTAACTATCACCACAGTAAATTTTAGAACATTTTCATTACACCGAAAGAAAACCTGAACCTCTTAGCCTTCACTCTCCAATCCCTCTTCCTGACTTTCTTTATCTACTTTCTGTCTCTTTAGATCTGCCTATTCTATACATTTCATGTAAATGGAATCATACGATATGTGGTCCTTTGTGACTGGCTCCTTTCACTTAGCATAATGATTTTAAAGATTCATCCATGTTGTAGCACATATCAGCATTTCATTTCCTTTTATTGCTGAATAATATTCCATTGTATGCTACATTTTATCTATCCATTCATCAGTTAATGGATATTTGGGTTGTTTCCACTTTTTAGCTATTAAGAATAATGCTGCTATGCCAGGCATGGTGGCTCACGCCTGTAATCCCAGCAATTTGGGAAGCCAAGGCAGGCAGTTTGCTTGAGTCTAGGAGTTCAAGACCAGCCTGGGCGAAGTGATGAAACCCCATCTCTACTAAAAATACAAAAATTAACCCAGCATGGTGGCATGCACCTGTAATCCCAGCTACTTGGGGGGCTGAGGCACGAGAATCACTTGAATCCGGGAGGCAGAGGTTGCAGTGAGCTGAGATCGCACCACTGCCCTCCAGCCTGGGCAATAGAGCGAGACTCTGTCTCAAAAAAAAAAAAAATGCTGCTATGAATATTTGTGTAAAGTTTTTGTGTCAGCACCTGTTTTCATTTCTTTTGGGTATTTCCTAGTAATATAATTTCTGGATCCTATGATAATTCTCTGTTTAGCCTTTTGAGGAACTGCTAGATTATTTTTCTAAGTGGCTGCACTGTTTTACATTCCTACCAGCAATGTATAAGGTTTCCAATTTTTCTACATTTTCAACAACATTCATTGTTGTTCTTTTCGCCTGTAACCATTCTAGTGGGTGTGAAGTGGTATTTCATGATTTTGATTTGCATTTCCCTGATGGCTAGTGATATTGAACATCTTTTAATGTGCTTATTGGTCATTTGTGTATCTTCTTTAGAGATATGTCTATTCAGTTCCTTTTCTCATTTTTCAGTTGGGCTATTTGTCTTATTATTACTGAAATATAAGAGTTTTAATATATTCTACATACAAGTCTTTCATCAGCTATATGATTTGCAAAAGCTTTTCTCTCATTCTGTGGGTTATCCTTTTGCTTTCTTGTTGGCCTTCTTTGAAGCACAATAGCTTTTAAATTTGATGATGCCTTGTTTGTCTATTTTTGTATTTGGTTGCTTTTTTTTTCTTGGTGTCATATCTAAGAAACCATTACCTAATCCAAGGACCCAAAGATTTACACCTGTCTTTTTCTAAGAGTTTCATAGTTTTAGCTCTTATATTTAGGTCTTTGATCCATTTTTAGTTAATTTTTTTATATGGTGTGAGGTAGGAATCCAACTTCATTCTTTTGCATGTGTATACTCAGTTGTCTCAGCACCATTTGTTGAAAAAACAACTTTTTCAACATTTAATTGTCTTGACCCTCTTGCAAAAATTGACCATAAGTGTGAGGGTTTATTTCTGGATTCCCAATTCTATTCCTTTGAACTTTATCTCTGTCCTTATGCCAGTACCATATTTTCCTAATTGCTGTAGTTTTGTGGTAAGTTTTGAAGTCAGAAAGTGTGAGTCCTCCAAATTTGTCTTTCTTTTTCTTTCCTTTTTTTTTTCTTTTTTGAGACAGAGTCTTGCTCTGTTGCCTAGGTTGGAGTGCAGTGGCATGATCTCGGCTCACTGCAACCTCGGCCTCCCAGGTTCAAACAATTATTCTGCCTCAGCCTCCCAAGTGGCTGGGATTACAGGCACTAGCCACCACACTCAGCTAATTTTTGTATTTTTAGTAGAGACAGGGTTTCTCCGTGTTGACCAGTCTGGTCTTGAACTCCTGACCTCAGGTGATCCACCCGTCTCAGCCTCCCAAAGTGCTGGGATTACGAGTGTGAGCCAACACGCCCGGCCATTGTCTCTCTTTTTCAAAATTGTTTTGGCTATCTGGATTCCTTACATTTCCAAGTTAATTTTAGGATTAGCTTTTCAATTTCTACAAAAAAAGCCAGCTGGGATTTTGATAGGGGTTACATAAAAGCTTTAGATCAGTTTGGGGAGTATTGCCATTTTAACGATATTAAGTCTTCTGATCATGAACATAGAATATGTTCTATTTATTCGTAAGTGCTTAATTCTTAATTCTTTTACCTGCTTTATTTCTTTTCTTTTTTTTTAATTTTTATTTTTGAGATAAGGTCTTGCTCTGTCACCCAGCCTGGAGTGCAGTGATGTGATCTCAGCTCACTGCAGCCTCAACCTCCCTGGGCTCAAATGAGGCCACCTTAGCCTCCTGAGCAGCTGGGACCACAGATGTGCACCACCATGCCTGGCTAATTTTTGTATTTTTTGTAGAGGCGGGGTTTCATCATGTTGACCAACTCCTGGGCTCAAATGATCTGCCCGCCTTGGCCTCCCGAAGTGCTGAGAATAATCCCAAGCATGGACCACCATGCCCATCCTACATGCTATCTTAAATGGAATTTTATTAATGTCCTTTTTGTTTGTTCATTGCCACTATATAGAAATACAGTTGATTGGCTGGGCGTGGTGGCTCACACCTGTAATCCCAGCACTTTGGGAGGCCCAGGCGGGTGGATCACCTGAGGTCAGGAGTTTGAGACCAGCCTAGCTAACGAGGAGAAACCCTGTCTCTACTAAAAATACAAAAATTAGCCAGGTGTGGTGGTGCGTGCCTGTAGTCCCAGCTACTCAGGAGGCTGAGGCAAGAGAATTGCTTGAACCCAGGAGCCAGAGGTTGCAGTGAGCTGAGATCGCGCCACTACACTCCAGCCTGGGAGGCAGAGTGAGACTCCGTCTCAAAAAAAAAAAAAAAGAAAAGAAAAAAGAAATACAGTTGATTTTTTTACATTGATCTTATATCCTGCAAAGTTGCTGAACTCTTTTATTAGTTTTAATAGTTTTTTAATAGATTCCTTAGGGTGTTCCATATACAGGATGTCATCTGCAAATAGAAATAGTTTTACTTCTTCCTTTCCAGTTTGAATGCTTTTTATTTCATTTTCTTGCTTAGTTGTCCTGGCTGGCATCACCTGTACAATGTTCAGTATAAGTGGTGAGAACAGACATCCTTATCTTATTCCTGATCTAAGGAACGTGGGGAAAGTGTTCAGTCTTTGACCATTTATTTTCTTTTTAATTTTTTTTTTTTTTTGAGACAAGAGTCTTGCTCTGCCACCCAGGCTGGAGTGGCACAGTCATGGCTCACTGCAGCCTCAACCTTCCAGGCTCAAGTGATCCTCCCACTTGAACCTCTTGAGTAGCTAGGACTACAGGCATGCACCACAATGCCCAGCCAATTTTTTAAAAATTATCTTTTGTAGAGATGGAATCTCTCTATATCATCTAGGCTAGTCTCAAAACTTCTGCCCTTAAGTGATCCTCTTGCCTCGGCCTCCCAAAAGGTTGGGATTACAGGCACGAGCCACCATGACTGGCCAGTCTTTAATCATTAAGTACAATGTTAGCTGTGGGTTTGTGTTGATGCTTTTTATTAGTTTGAGGAAGCTTCCTTCTATTCCTAGTTTGTTGAGAATTTTTATCACGAAAGGCTGTTGACTTTTGTTAAATGCTTCTTCTGTGTCTAGTGAGATGATCATGTGGTTTTTTTCCTTTATTCTATTGTTATGATATATTACATAAATTGAATCTTAGATGTCATTTATTTTTGCCTTTTAATTCAGCTTCCCATTTCCTCATTCGTTAGCATTCAAAGGACCCTAGTGGAACCCATTAAATCACATATGCAATAGATACAATGCAGAGCTTGGATGTTGATGGTGGTCCTTTGTGAAATATTCAATTTCCAGGACTTTGTATCTCATCAAAAGTCCTAGCGATGGCTATTTAGGATTTTTTGTTTGGTGGTTTTTTTTGTTTGTTTGTTTGTTTCTTTTTGAGACGGAGTCTTGCTCTGTCTCCAGGCTGTAGTGCAGTGATGCAATCTCAGCTCACTGCAACCTCCAACTCCCTGGTTCAAGTGATTCTCCTGCCTCAGCCTCCCAAGTAGCTGGGTCTACAGGGGTGTGCCAGCATGCCCAGCTAATTTTTGTATTTTTAGAGAGACGGGGGGTTTCACCATGTTGGCCAGGATGGTCTCAATCTCCTGACCTCATGATCCGCCCGCCTTGGCCTCCCAAAGTGCTGGGATTACAGGCGTGAGCCACCCGCCTTGGCCTCCCAAAGTGCTGAGATTACAGGCGTGAGCCACCACGCCCGGCCTGGCGTTGTTAAATGACGTGAATATAAAACAAATTTTTAGGTGTGCTTATCCAACTATATAAATTCATAGCAATATTTTGATAGTATGTATCAGGGGTCCCCAACCTTTTTGGCACTGGGGACTGGTTTCATGGAAGACAATTTTTCCATGGACCGGGGGTGGGGGGATGGTTTGGCGATGATTAAAGAGCATTAGATTTATTATGCACTTTATTTCTATTATGATTACATTGTAATATATAATGAAAAAATTATACAACTCACCATAATGTAGAATCAGTGGGAGGCTTGAGCTTGTTTTTCTGCAACTAGATGGTCCCATCTGGGAGTGACAGGAGTCAGTGACAGATCGTCAGGCATTAATTCTCATAAGGAGCACACAACCTAGATCCCTCACATACACAGTTCACAATAGGGTTTGTGCTCCTATAAGGATCTAATGCTGCCACTGATCTGACAGGAGCTGGAGCTCAGGTGGTAATGCAAGTGATGGGGACCAGCTGTAAATACAGATGAAGCTTCACTTGCTCATCTGCTGCTCACCTCCTGCCATGTGGCCCTTTCTTTAAAATTTCATAATTATCAGATCACTGAGGAAATAAAGGTTCCTGTGTGTGGCCCAGGGGTTGGGGACTCCTGATATATATGATACAGTTTCATATTACACGCACAATTTTTGGAGGTGGAAAATTTTAACTATATTATTTATACGCTTTTGGGGGATGACAAACCTTTTGTGCAGAATAAAATGTGTAGCCAGTGTTTCTGGCAGTTGTAATCATTATCAATGTATTTTGTCTTTGAAAATTTGTAGAACCACCCCCCCTCTGCAATTTCTTCCTTCAACATAACATGATTTGTTTCATATTATGTATTTCTATCATGTCCCTATTTTATAATATATGTTCACATTAATTGCAGTTCCCTTCTCTTGGAGACATTTGTCTTTCTCATGTGGGTTCCTTCACTTGGTTGTATTGTCATTTTCATTGATGATGCATCTGCTAATTAATATTTCTTTGAATGCCTGCCCTTTTGTTCTTGATTTTTGCAGTTCAGCTCTATTTTTTATTTCGGCTCTATTTATTGGTATTTCTTTCTAGCTTCTATTGGCCTGTGACCTTCTGTGACTTATTTATAATATTACATGTTTATGAAATTGACAGTCCAGGCCGGGCGCGGTGGCTCACGCCTGTAATCCCAGCAGTTGGGGAGGCCGAGGCAGGCTGATTGTCTGAGCTCAGGAGTTCGAAACCAGCCTGGGCAACATGATGAAAACCCATCTCTACTAAAATACGAAAAATTAGCCGGGCTTGGCGGCATGCGCCTGTAGTCCCAGCTACTCAGGAGGCTGAAGCAGGAGAATCACTTGAACTTGGGAGGTGAAGGTTGCAGTGAGCCAAGATGACGCCACTGCACTCCAACCTGGGCAACAGAGTGAGACTCCATCCCCCCCCTAAAAGAAAGAAAGAAATTTACAGTCCATTCTCTGCCATCAGTAATAATTAATATGTAAATGTTTACTTAAAATGATTTAGAAAATAGTTATTTCTTATGGCTAATATATGTCATAGTTTTCTAAATTCATAGCAAGGTCTTGGATTATTAGAACATGTTACCTACAGGTATATATAAAATTTTAGTTATTATTTATTCTGGTAACATATACAAAATATAAATTTTACCATCTTAACTATTATAAAGTATACAGTTCTGTGGCATTAAGCACATTCACATTGTGCCACAACTATAAAGTTTTTTTTTTTTTATTATACTTTAAGTTTTAGGGTACATGTGCACATTGTGCAGGTTAGTTACATATGTATACATGTGCCATTTCTTAATCCTTCTGATTTTCCTTTCTCCCTTAGTACATCTTTTCTGTTTTATCAACTTTCCTTTTCTTTTAGATGCTGAAGAGTTTCTGGCAGAAGGTTTGCGGAATGAGAACCTCAGCGCTGTTGCAAGGGATCACAGAGACCATATTCTACGGGGCTTTCAGCAAATCAAAGCCAGGTTTGTATAAACTGGTTCCATTAATCTTCTTCATAAGCTTTAAAACAATTTATAATCAGTAAAATAAAGTCACAAGGTAAGACATACCTATCATAGTTCTTTATACTTGGCAGAAACTTAATAAATATTTACTGAATTGAACTGGAGGCAGGCAAGCATAGTTAGTGTAGTTTACCAAAATAAAAATGTTTTGATAATTATGTATGTATCTTGAGGTAATTATTCTGCTTTTAGCTTTGGATTTTTATGTTAGCCTTTATTGACCACTTTTGCATTTAACTAAAAAAATGGTGAAAGCTAAACATTTATGCTTGTCCAAATTATTAACGAGAAAGTGTTAGGCAGTATGAGATAATGTTCATTATGATTTTTGGTACTGATTTTACTTCCACATCTCCTTACCTCATAGAAAACTTAAATGAGACTTATCAAGTTGATTCTTTGACTACATTGGGATGTTTTATTCCTGGACTGGGTTGAAATATTATGTCATTTTTTAAAAATAAGAGGCCCTGATGTAATTTGTGCATTTTAGAATGTGAGCATCTGAGAGATGCAAACACTTGCTTGGGGAAAAAATAAAAATTTTCCTTTATAATATATTTTCTGACCACCTATTGCTTGAAATGGGTAACTGAATGAGAACAAGGGATAAGTGAGTGTTCCTTTAGCCTTTTCAAACCTGGTGGCAATGTGATTCAGAATGTTTAAACTGAATATTCTTAGAAAAGGAAGAGCATCTGCAGGGTTATGGTTGGGATTTAATTTGCGTGGCTGACAGTTCTTAGTATCTGCTCTAAAAACCTCATTGAAACTCCATAGAAGCAGAGAATTTTATCCTTCGGAAGGGCACAGCCAGAATCTATTCCATTCAGGAATGTGAGAGAACCTCATGAGATGCCCTGCTGGATCTTAATCGATCTTTCCTGCTGGCTAATTAAGCATCACTTTTACTCAGCAACTGGGGACTGTGTAATTATCAGCCTGGGTTGCCCTGAATAATTGAAACAAACAGAATGCAAAAGATGGGAGTTTTTTGAAAAAGTGGGAATATCTATAATTTTTGGTAGGTTGAAAGAGTGTTTAAAACAAAGTTCTCCATAATGTTATTTTATTAATAGATAAGTTTAGGCTTAGTTACATACCTGGAGACTTAGTAACCTATAGTTTTTTTTAATTTCACAAGTTTGCCTTTGTATTTTATGATTACTCTAAGGGTGGCTTGCGGAATAAAGGTGGAATTATTTTAAATTGGGAGAGGAATGCCCTAAATATAATGGTGTATTTGGTGATTCTGTTGGTATAAATCTCTGATAAGGAATGCAAAAATACTTTTACTGCAGCTGTGGGTACAAATACACAATGAGGAGGAATTCTTTCCTGTATTTGTACCACAGCATTGAGAAAGGACTAAATTTCAATCTTAAGTTGGTAATAAAAGGCAAATTACGGTAACTCATTACTGTCAGCTGCATATTATTATACTTCTTAATCCTCTTTTAAAATACATACACACATGCACACACATGCATGAACACACACGCAAGCTGAATTTGTCATGGGATAGAGTCAGTTTCTTGTTCTCAAATTCTTGTTCTCAAAGAACTTTGTGTGTGGTTTGTGGGGTAGACATTCAGGAAATCATCAGCGGGAACTTTAGGAAATATCTGCATTGTTGATGGGAGCTTTCTGTTCATTGACTTGTTGCAAGAAAGATGACACTTTATTTAGAATTTCATAATTATCAGATCACTGAGGAAATGAGGAGCCAGAAATTAGATACTGTACAAGAAAATAGAAAAACGAGGCTTTCCTTTGGCAAGCTGTTTGAAATTGCCTTACATCCACCCATTCAATCATCATTCTGTTAATGTAACCCTTGTTTTCCTGAATCCTCTTCTTCAGCCATATCACCTCTATTGTGCCATTTATAGCTGCCACATTTACTTATGTTGTGTGGCAGTTATATGTCCCCCAAAAAGCTTGGCATAAAAAGAAATTTAGAAGTCATCAAACTTGAGAGTTAAACATGTATGGCAGGCTAAACGCAGTGGCTTACTCCTATAATCCCAGCACTTTGGGAGGCTGAGGCCAGAAGATCGCTTGAGGCCAGGAGTTTGAGACCAGCCTGGGCAACATAACAAAACTCTCTCTCTACAAAAAATAAAAAGTTAGCCAGGTGTGGTGGTATATGCCTGTGGTCCCAGCCATTTGGGAGGCTGAGGTAGGAGGATCACTTGAGCCTAGCAGGTTGAGGCTGCAGTGGGCCATGATCATTACATTGCACTTCAGCCTGGGCGACCAAGTGAGACTCTGTCTCAAAAAAAAAAGAGTAAAAAATAAACATACGGCAAATACATGAACCATACAGTAACACAAAAATAATTAAAATTAATGAAGATCATTTAAAAGGGTTTCTTTTTAGTCATTTTTTTGTTTGTTTGTTTTTCGCTTTTTTAGACAGAGTCTCACTCTGTGGCCCAGGCTGGAGTGCAGTGGCACAATCACAGCTTGCTGCAGCCTCGACCTCCTGGGCTCAAGCGATCCCCCGACCTCAGCCTCCTGAGTAGCTGCACATCACCATGCCTGGCTAATTTTTTACTTTTTGTAGAGACAGGGTGTCACTGTGTTGCCCAGGCTGGTCTGGAACTCTTGCACTCAAGCAGTTCTCCTGTCTTGGCTTCCCAAAATGCTGAGATTACAGGCCTGAGTCTCTGTGCCTGGCCTATTTTTAGTCAGATTAAAACAATAATATTTTAGGAGTTTGATAAATTTGGGGGGGGTGGTAACCTATCTAAAACTATAATTTAGCACTTCAAGTCTTATTTGGAAGGTAGATAAATCTCTAGCAAGATAATCTGGAAAAGCCACTACTAGATAAATGTAAATTATATATTTACACACACATATATATATATTTTACAACTTCCTAGTCTCTTTGTTGTTTCCTTGCTTCCTTTAATTCTTTCCTCAACGTGTATTGCTCTAGAAACAAAAGGGTGGAGAGAAATAAAAGTAGCACTGTCTGTGATTCTTGGTAAACTTTAGGGGCTTAGCTCTTATTTTTATGGCTGGCTTGGCATTCACTGGTATTTGCCATGGTTGTGGACTTGCTGTAAATGGAAGCATCTGACTCTATCACAGCTATTATAATGTGCTTTTTGCTATTTTTTGTTGTCTAGAGTGAATGACCACAGGAAAAGACAATTGTGTCAAGAATCCTGGGTGTTCTCCAAGTGCTCATGTTTTTCAGTACAAATCACTTTAGCTATTCTGTTTTTAGACTTAGAAACAAAAAATAGCTATCTTTTTTTAGACTTAGAAACAAAAAATAAAATCCTATCTATATTTACATACTCTTTTCTTTTTGTTTGAAAGTGTTACCAATGAAGGCTAATATTTTCCATGTAACACAAAATAAAAACGGATAGCAATTTCTGTGATTCCAAGGAAATGAAGCCCTATTGTGGTATTTGTTGTCCTAAGCTGTGATTTTCATTGCTTTTCTTAAAAACTAAACAGCTTTCACATTCCAAGTCTAAGTTTTCATTGAGCCCTTTGGAGAGTGGCTAGTATGAAAGCCAGGCAAAGGCACTTCCTGCTTTATTACGATGGTCACTGCAGGATTAGCACCAGATGTGAGACACCTGGAATGAAGCAGTTGTGATCTGTGCTCAGACACTTGATGGCATTCTAACGCATTGGGAGAAACAGTAGAGCATTTTTTAAATGTTTGATTCAGTGGAGGCCATCTGACTGCAAGAATACGTTGAGAGTGGGGGAGGGGTAAAGAAAAAAAAAATATATATATATATATTTTTTTTGAGACCGAGTCTCTGTTGCCCAGGCTAGAGTGCAGTGGTGCGATCTTGGTTCATTGCAACCTCCACCTCCCAGGTTCTGGCGATTCTTGTGCCTCAGCCTCCCAAGTAGCTGGGATTACAGGCATGAGCCACCACACCTGGCTAAAGGTTTTTGTATTTTTGGTAGAGATGGGGTTTTACCATGTTGGCCAGGCTGGTCTCTCCTGACCTCAGGTGATCCACTCACCTTGGCCTCCCAAAGTGCTAGGATTACAGGAGTGAGCTACCACGCCCAGCCAAAAATAGAATATTTTTATTATTGAGATATGGCTTAATTTCTCTCTCAATGGCCCTTCTTGGATAAGTAGTCATTTATGCTCCCTGTTGGAAGTGAAGGACAGAGCCAATGGAAGCAAACTTGGAGTATTGTTTCCTTCTGTGAAACTTAGTAATGCTGAAGGAGTTCCAAAAAGAGACCAGTAGATTTATATCATATTGAGATGGAAAGAAATAAAGAAATACATTTTGTGTAACAGGGTTATGGCACAAAACTCAGGACATTTAAACTACAGGCTGAAAGAATATCTTGAACGTGTCTCATTTGTGGGTGGCTAACCTATAGCTCTGTGTGAAACATGATATACTAGTAAAATCTCATAAAAATAATTCTGACTTTCTTTGGGAATTTCATGTTTTCTTTTCAGCTTAACGTGGATTTAGCTTTAAAACAAGATTTAGCTTAAGAATGTATAATTCTGATATTTTTGTATTATAGGAAGAAAGACAAGGAGTTAGCCTGATAAAACTCTTGGGAGCAAGAGTTTTGAAGTAGTATACTGTAAATATAATTACCATTAATTATATAGAGAGTTTTACTTTTCTTAAATGTTAATTATTGAGCTTAAAAATCCCCAAAACAAAACACATTCAAATGAAGTATGCTTATCAAAAGAACTAATGTATAATGTGCTATTAATACATTTATGTTATTCACAAGTTTCAAGATTTACTCATAACATCTTTTTCTGTTTTTTAATTTTGCTACTTGTACTGGAGCTTCAGTGCCAATGCAGAAAAAAAAAAAAAAAAAAAGGAAGAGGTAGTTGAATGATCCGTCTAAGTTTAAATAGCTCTGAAAAGGCTCAAAAGTCATAGCAATAATTTGACCACATCTGGAAGGTTAATAACTCATTTCTTCCTTTTTCAGTCTTATCCCTCCCTCCCATCCTTAAAGGAAGAAAAAACAAACCCACAACAACTTCAACATTATTACTCAACTCATCAGTTATATCAGTCAAATTTTTGCTTAGTTCTCTGTTATTCAGTGGATGAATGTTGAGATTTCACAACTGAGTTAAAGAGTTTTGTGAATCTACTTCTCTAGGAATGAGAGGTTGTATTTATTGCTGTTTTAATCTGGAATGCCCTACAGGTGAGAAAGATAGAATATTACTTACTGTTGATCTCTTGGCTTAACTTTTAAGACCTGGTAAGGAAGATCATCTTATGTGTTTTTTATGGCAAGTCTCTGTCCTTTCAAAATAGCTTTGAAATGTATAACTCTCCTTATAATTTTATCATAATGATTATTTTGTTTATTCTTTCATATGTGAGGCTATCTGGAAGTAGAACAATTTTTCTTAAATAACATTTTTTAATGTAATAATGACCATAGTCCTTGGTGGTTCAGAATAAACCATACCTTTTATATTTTCATTTTATATCTTTAAGATTTTAGATTGAAGTTCAGAAAAATGTTTTTGATGTTGTTGTTGTTGTTGTTAGTTAGTTAGTTTTTTGTTTTTTTGAGACAGAGTCTCATTCTGTCACCCAGACTGGAGTGCAGTGGCATGATCTTGGCTCACTGCAACCTCCGCAAATTCAAGCAATTCTTGTGCCTCAGCCACCCGAGTAGCTGGGACTACAGGCGTGCACCACCATACCTGGCTAATTTTTGTATTTTTAGTGAAGACGGGGTTTCACCATGTTGGCCAGGCTGATCTTGAACTCCTGGCCTCAAGCAGTCCACCCACCTTGGCCTCCCAAAGTGCTGGGATTACAGGCGTGAGCCACCGCACCTAGGACAATGTATTTTTAAGAGAGTTTTTAGATCACTTGCAAAACTAGATCATGTATAATTCTTCCCAGTACTGAGCTCCTCAATCAAGAGTGAAAAGGAGTTTGGGATTGTGAGCTAGAACACAGGCAGGTAACTGAACTTGCACCCTTACAGTCTGACTAACCCATTAGAATAATAAGCTGAGCCGTACTCTTTAACTGTATAGTTAGGTCACTGAAATTTGCTTTACTCCTGATAGAATTTTAGCCATCGTTATCACTTGGGCACATTCCTATTAGCTACTCAATATGGATTTGTCTTGGTTTCAGAAAATCCTGTGTCCTTTTTTTTTAATACGTGAAGCCTCACTGTCTGTAGATGGACTTAATTCATACATTGTGTGAAAAGATCATCTGTATGAAATTACTGCCTTCATTTTTATCACCATTTGCTTTGGCTTTGATTTTAAGTCTCATTTGATCTGGAGCTAGCCTTTTGTCCCAGAGCTATGCTATTTTCTCTGTTTAAGGAAAGCCAATGAAAAAGGCCTCTCTGTATTTATCTGTTTGTGGATTCCAGGAACCTGTGGCTTGGGACCTTACTGATGATGGTTTTCTCTAATTTGCATGTTTTCTCTTGTTTCTGATATGGACCCAGCCTGTATCCACTTTCTGTGTTACAGGGAAACTGGAACAGAGGGGAGGGAAATGCAAGAGCACTGGGCCAAGTGTCAGGAGCCAAGCCCTTTGTTCTGATGTTACTTCTGTAACACTGAGTCACTTGAAGATTCCCCTAATGATAATCTTATGTTTTCTTTTTAGGTTGCTTACCCAAAATGTTGTTTGGAATTATTTTTTTAAATAAATGTTCCAAAAATGCACACATTACCAACCAAACCTTAAAACTTCTATTTGATTTCTTTTATGGTACCCCCATGACTTTTTAAAAAATTTGGAATGTGATGCAGGAAATTTCATTTCTTGGGATTTTATTTTATTTCATGATTCTGTTGAAAATGAGTTGAGCATAAAGTGGGTTTTTATAATCACACCATGTGAATCATTTCTTCTTTGGATTCTGGATCTTCTCTCCTAGTGTGTAGCCTCCTCTAGTCTCCCTGAAGTACAGTGCTAGCAGGGTTGATAATGAAATGCAGTCCTGCTTATCACACTCAGCAAAGGGCTCAGAGAAGATGGGAAAAAAATCAATCCCACAGGAACTTCTCGAGTGCTAGACATCCATATTTAGCCCCCAAGCATTTAAAATGGAAATGAGATATCTTAGGGTTTTAGTTTTTGATTTACACAAGATGTCATTGCCTCCTTGGCAACAGGAATATTTTAGAGACCAACTGCTGACCTGTTTGGGAAGATCTCAGCCTATCGCCCCAGGCGTGATGTAGTTTCTTCATATTTCTTTCAAAACTCTCAGCAGTGCTTTGCAGTAGCTTTGATTCTTTGGGCTTCGAAGGGTGTCCCTTCCAGGGCCCATCTTAGGAAAGAAAAAAAAAATAGTGTAGGGGAACAAACAGCTCATAAAAGAGGTGCTATCCCTGTGGCAGCTCTTACTGTAGTCAGACAATTAATAGAGTTTACAAACCAGTAGTACTACAGCATGGCAAAGCCAAGAAAATTCCAATTTGATGCTGGTGCCTTGTTGTTGTTACAAAATCCCCACTTGTAGTGAGCCATTCTTAAATCGTCCAGCTTCTGGTAGTTTTTATCACAGTGTGGTTTATAAAAGATATGTTATAATTAAATGCTGAAACTCAAAGCTCCCTCTTGAGTTTGTGAGCCTTGTTGAGGTTCTCATTATAATTTACAGAAAACTTTATGGCCACATAATCTCCAATTAGCTATTTCTCCAAGTTATATTAGTGAGTGACTCTCATTTGTAAATTCTACCATAACCACAAGGCCCAAACAATTTGGTAATTTAGACCTTCTATCACGTTTACCAAGTGCCTTTGTTCTTTTGTTGATGAGAGAACTGGTATATGAGAAATTACTCAAAGTAGCAGAATTTGTTTAAATATTAGGATTTAGAATTTAGAATTTTATCTAGCCAAGCCATCAAAAAAATGAAGTGGCATCTTTCAAAGATTATTGGTTTTAAAAAACTGTAAACAAATATTGAAGTCTAGTTAATTATATGCATGCTGAATTGTTTGGGGATGGAGTGTTCTAATTTGAGCAGTTTGTTTTGGAATGTATAAAAAATAATATGGATGGAAGGATATATGACAAAGCAAATAAAATGTGAATCACAGCATATATCCACTAGATTGTGGGTGTACATGTGTGTTCTTTCAACTTTTGTGCAAAGTTGAAAATTTTCATAATATAAAGGTTTTTTATTGTTGTTTGTTTGTTTGTTTGTTTCCTGAGACAGAGTCTCACTCTGTCACCCAGGCTGGAGTGCAGTGGCGTGATCTCGGCTTACTGCAACCTCTGCCTCCCGGGTTCAAGTGATTCTCCTGCCTCAGCCTCGTGAGTAGCTGGGATTACAGGCACATGCCACCATGCCCGGCTAATTTTTGTATCTTTAGTACAGACAGGGTTTCACCATGTTGGCCAGGCTGGTCTCAAACTCCTGACCTCATGATCCGCCTGCCTCGGCATCCCAAAGTGCTGGGATTACAGATGTGAGCCACCAAGCCCAGCCCCATAATATAATGTTATAAAAAATATTTGATTGGTTTGACTTTGCATTTCAGGAACCATGGATTTTATTCACTCTGGTTTCAGAAAATCATAGACTGCCTCCATATGGGATATGGTTTTTAAAGATGATAATTTTCTAGGAATAATCTTATTATTTTTGGGTAATACTGAACTAGGGGATAATCCTCCAGTTTGTTATTTCTGACATAAGTAACAGGAAGTAGCTAACTTTTGTACTTCTTTAAAACTTCTAAACCAGCAATTATTAGGAGCTAAAATTCAATTCGAACATTCTACCTGGGATATCCTGAAATTTTGATTTTTTTTAAAAAAAGGAAAGGTAATTTCTGACTTTTCTCATAAATTTGATAAAAGGAAAGCTAATATGAGATTGGTAGTCCAGCAGGAAATGGAACTCAATTTTATAATTTAAAAATCATTTTATGGTATTAAAAATGACAGAGGTTAGAAACAAAGCTCTTATTCTTTTATTGAACTAGAATTGAAAGTGGCACAAAATCATTTTGGCCCTAGTGCAGTAAATGTTATCACTAAAACATGTTCAGGGGATATTAGGACAGTCTCTCAAGCACCAGAGACAAAAGTTCACAAAGCAAGAACTGATTTTTCTGTCCTTATCTTGAAATTATTAAATGTACAGGAGACATGAAGGTATCTTAGTTCTAAGAGGACTGGAGATGAAGTATATGTTGAAAGTGATAATATTTCCATTCTGGAGAGGTGAGATGGAGAGAAGAGATAGTGGCATGGGTGTCTTAGCAGTTACAGGCACGGTGGAGGGAAGAGAGTGCACAGGGATAGGAGGGTTCATGAACCAACACAGAGCTGAGAAATCCAAGACCACAAAAAATTATACTCATGCAATATTGTGAGCTGATGATGAAAATGGTAAGGAAGCAAGTGATACTATTCTTTAAAAGAATTGTGTGAAGATTATATTTAACAGGGAGATTAAACTGGGGCTCTCAGCAGCTACTTTATTTTGCGAATCTTGTAGGAGAAAAATGTTAAGTCCATTTGGGAAAAACCAATCATTTTTGAGTGTGCAGTGTGATTATGCTTCAGAATTTTGCATAAATGGAGCAGGTTGGTAGGCATATGTTTGCTGATCCTAAAATGGTTAAAATTCAGAATAAGTAAGACTCTTGTGAAATTGAGTTTTCAGGTTCCAGCCAGTGTTCTATGCTGCCATATGGCATAACTAGAATTAATTGCTGTTCTCAGTCTCTTGTTCTTCTACTGAATATTTAGGTGCCCTGTTTGAAATATTAGTGGTTCCACAGAAGTATTTAATCACATGAGATAGATGTTTGACATGTTCATGAAAGCAGTGTATGTAGCTAATAGTTGCTTAGAAGAAAAAGCCCCTCATGAGGTTTTCTAGCTTCCCTTCCCTGCTCCTGCCCCCATCCCCTAACTTGTTTTAATTAGAAAAATGGACACTGGATAGAAGGGTTAGCAAGGAAAGGAAGAAAGATTATCACGACTTTATAGGGGAGACAAGAAAAGATCAGACAATAAATTGCTTTCGCTAGTCTTTAGATCCTCGATACTCCAAGTATCAACATGGAACAGCAACCTGGAAACTTGTTAGCAATGCAGACTCTCAGGCTCCATTGAATGAGACCTACTTAATCATAATCTCATTTTAATAGGATCCTAAGTTTATTTGTACAGTATGCACATTAACATTTGAGAAGCACGGTTTTCACACATCAGATTCATTTTAAATTCAGTTTCTCAGAACTTAGAATACATATTTCTGGAGATCATAAGCTCCTTAAAGGCATGAATGGTCTTATAGTCACCAAAAAAAAAAAAAAAAAAGGTCTAGCATGGTGCTGGCATGTTGCATGAGTTCAATGATGTGAGTAAAATGCATGGTGAAAAACTGTTATAAATGTATTTTTAGGTCCTAGACTAGACCTGAGAACAACAAAAGACCCTCTTTATTAGGAAACTTACTATTTAGTAGCCAACCCTACATATTCTTTCCTAGAAATAAGGATGCTTTCTTTTTACTGAGTGTTAGGAGAGACAGAACCAAGGCATCCATCTCTTCACGTGTCTCCTCTAATAACATATCTCTAATATTCTAATTGGAACTGTGACAAAAGGTTACAGGGCTACTGACCATGTATTGGAGTTCTATCACAGCATGGATGCCAGGCATTCCAGCCATCTTTGAGACCTATCGACAGCCCTCTACATTTGGCCGGCAGCATCCCTATTCAGCTTTGCACTTCCTTGTCTCTACCATTTCTCCTCTTTCTTGAAGACCTCTTTTCTAACTCTTTCCCCTGTGTTCCCTAGAATCTACGTCCTGTTATAACCAAACCCCACAATATCCTCCACCTCTTTTCTGCATCCTAAAGGATGGTTCTCCCACAGGACCCTCTTTGCTTGCAGCCTTTTTAAATAGAATCTGCTCGTTTTCCCAAAGTGCTGTTGGCATTCTTCAAGCTCCCTGCTGCTACTTCTGGACTTTCACTATTCAATCTTGCTTCAGACCTCTCCCCTTTTAAAGTTTGTCTTTGTGGCTTTACAGTACCCTGTCCTTTTTTCATCTTTTGAGTTCAGAGTCCCCCCACACAGTATTTGAGGACTGAAGCATTGGCTCATAGTTGTTATCTTCACTCCATTCTTGATGTAGAGACTTCCTCTTTCTTAAATTTAGCTTTTCCTTCTTCATTATGTCTCTCCAATAATTATATAAATATACTCAAATTTCTCCTAATATTAATAAAATCATTGTGTCCTACACAGTGATTCCCTCTTTAGCTACTGTCTTTGCATCTATTTTTTTTTTTTATTTTGTGCAGGCAAACTTCTTGAAATAGAAGCCTAGAGTAGCTATTTCTGGCTTCCTGGTCTCTAGTCACTTCCCAGTCACTATTCAGTCCCCTTTAATCCAGCTTCTGCTCCTATTGAGCAACTTTCTCCAATGTACCCAGGTCTCCAATTGCCACAGCCAGGTGCTACTGTTAAGTCTTTGTCTTATTTGGTCTTTCTGTAGCATTTGACACTGCTGATCACATCCTTTTTCTCATAAATGTAAAAAACTCTCCATTGATTCTCATGAATTCTCCTGGTTTTCTTCTTCCTTGTGTTTATGCTCTTTTTTAGGCCCTTGAGCTCATTTTTCTACCCTGCCCTCTTTGCTCTTGTTCCTCAGGGTTTTCTCTTTCCTCACCACGTTCTCCTTAGGAGGCAGTTACATGCATGTCCATAGCTCCACAGCTTCCCCTGTGCATGGGAGACTCCCAATTCTACAGCTCAGCTGCAGTTCTCCCTCCAAGGCACCAGACAGCATATTGCATACCTCCTTCTGGGTGTTCCTCAAACTTCACAAAGCTGGGCATACCCTGCTGGATGCCTACTCAGCAGCCACCATCCCTTCTTCCTTGACAACAGAATCATGATCTATAAGCCATTCTGCTTTGCCAGTGCTTGGTCTAGAGTTTACATAAAATATTGTTATGGCCAAATAAATGTAAGAAGACTTCTGATAGATTCTCACAGGATAGTCTTATAGTTGGGAGATAGTAATACACTGAAATGCAGTAGGACGTTACTCTGCTCTAAGGTGTTAGAGCAGAAATATGGGAAGAGCCTGGCTCCTTCATGTCATCGTTGGGCCCTGCACAACTCTAGAATCTCCTGTCTTCAGACCTTTTGTTTTGTGGGAAAAATTAACTTCCACTTGTTTAGGCCCTTGTCAGTCAGGTTTTCTGTTATTTGTGGCTAGAAGAATCCTAACTGCTTGAATGTCCGGAACTGAACTCATTATCTTACATTCTGCTCACCCCTGAAGTCTACTTCTGCTTTCTCTAGGCCTGGGCTCCCAAGGCAAAATCCTGGGAGTCATTCCTGATTGCTCCCCCTTCACTCCCCAAACCATCAACAAGGCCTGTTGATTCTTCGTTCTAAATGTCCTCCTCTTTCTCTTCCCTTTGTCACTAGCTAAACTTTAGTCTTCATAAAGTCGTACTCAAGCACTGCAGAATTCTCCTTTCTGGTTCTCTGCCTCCAGTCTCTCCCTGTTCCAGTTTATTCTGCTCCTCCATTCCATGTTGAAAGAGCAAACTTTTTAAAAAGGGTAATTTATTCGCTGGCATGGTGGCTCACACCTGTAATCGCAGCACTTTGAGAGGCTGAGGCAGGTAGAGCACTTGAGGTCAGGAGTTTGAGACCAGCCTGGCCAACATAGTGAAACCCCATCTCTGCTAAAAAAAAATACAAAAAAATTAGCCGGGCATGATGATGGCGGGCGCCTGTAATCCTAGCTACTCGGGAGGCTGAGGCAGGAGAATCATTTGAACCTGGGAGGCAGAGGTTGCAGTGAGCCGAGATTGCTCCACTGCACTCCAGCCTGGGCAACAGAGCGAGACTCCATCTCAAAAAAAAAAAAAAAAAAAAGGGCAGAGATTTAAGAGTTGAAGGATATTCAGTTTCCAGGTGGGAAAGGAGTTGGGACTGACAGGGAGAGATGTAGGAAGAGAAAATTAGGCTTTAATTGTGCAGCCTGGCCTTGGGTCACTTCTGTGCAAATAAACAGCTGTCTTCCGAAGTGTTTTACTCTGTGCTTAAATACATACACATGAAAATGAAATTATTTTTGAGCCTTGTAAAATATAGCAGTACTTTGAGTTTTATTTTGTGATTATTTTTCTAAAATTTTTTTTTTAATTAAGGAAGTTGACTCTCAAGGCCTTCATTAGATGAGGTATCACTGACTGGGAACAACTTCCATTTTTCAGATGTTATCCCTTTGAGCTGCACTGAACTGACACAGGATGAATCCTTCATTAGAAGAGGATTATCTACACTCTGTGTGACTATTTAGTAAAACATTTGTATTTGTCAGACTACTTTTCCAAAGTGAGGGTGCTTGAGTAAACCATTCACTTCCTCCTTCTCAAAACATCAGTCACCATGATTGATTTTTATGTTGGTAATAAAGAGAAATGGAATCAACTAAAAGCCGGGTGAGGATTATAGACCGGAAGCAGATAATTTACTTAACAAATATGTATTGGCTATTTGTTTATGTCAGGCACTATGCCAGGTGATCAAGACAGTGTCAGATAAGACATATTCTTGTTTTTCAAGCAGTTCTTGGGCCAGTGAGCGGCTAGAGTCATCTTAGCTCCTCCATAGACCAGCATGGAGCCCACTACCCCCAGATAATCTGCTCTAGAAGGTTTGAAGGTTTGTTTTCAATTTATTACATGCCTGCAGTTTCACCCCTTAGAGATTCATTTGGGTTCAACGTCCTTTTTTAAAATACAAATTCACCTGGAGGGTGAAGATACTTTTGGTTGTTCAGTCATGTGTACTAGACCTGTTCAATGGTTTCCTTCCAACTTTTGGTTAAGATGGCTTCACTGAGGACATTCAGTGAAGTGGTTTTTTGAACCACTATTACAGGCAATGCACAGTGCTAGGTATACTGAGGGTTATAGAAGTAACAGAGGATGCCTTTTCTCAGACAGAATGAGGACTTTAGAGGTTCGTTATCTCTGCAGCTTAAGAATAACAGTCATAAAGACTATACTTTCAGGGATCATTTCTATAGTTAGTTGCTAGAGAAGTTTCTCTGGACATGTGGAGCACCAGAAACCATGAGAAGGAGATGTAGTGTTCTCTCCGGAGCATGAAGCTGGCTCTTGGTGTTGCTTCGCTGCACCTGCCATTTGCCATTGACAATCATTCTTCTCTTCCTCTGGGAGAGTAAGGAGGAGAGGACACAGTCTGAGTGGTTCCCATTTATGTGGGTTTTTTAAAATTATACTTTAAGTTCTAGGGTACACGTGCACAACGTGCAGGTTTGTTACATATGTATACATGTGCCATGTTGGTGTGCTGCACACATTAACTCGTCATTTACGTTAGGTATATCTCCTAATGCTATCCCTTCCCCTCCCCCCATGTGGGTTTTTTTTTTTTTTTAAGAATAATAGTCACAGCTAACATTCATCACACACATACCATGTGCCAGGCTCAGTGTCAAGAGCTTTCCTTACAACAGGTGTGTGAGGTTGATACTGTTATAATCCCTATATAGCAGATGAGAAAACTGAGGTTCAGAAAGGTAATCAACTTGCTCAAGGTTACATAGCTATTAGGTTCTAGAATTGGAATTTGAACCCAGCTAGTATGACTATTGGGAAAGCACTCTTATTGAGGCTCAACCTTGTCATAGAAAGTGAATAATGCAACTTCATTCATTCACTCATAGTTTCTACAAATGTTTATTGAACATATACTATGTGCAAAGCATTTTTGTGGTGAACACAACATAGGTCCCAGTCCTTCTGTAACTTATTTTTGAGCAGAATAAACCAAATCATTATACAATACACTTACCTTGTAGGGTTGTTGTTATGTACATAAAAGTGCCTAACACAAACATGTCACATAGTGGATAGCCAACAAATATTCCCAAGAAATTTATAACCTCATGGGAAAGATAAAAAAATCCTGCACAAATAACTGTAATTCAAGATATATTGTGGCAAGGTTTTAGAAGAGGCCATATTTTATTTTATTTTCCAGTTTTATTGAGGTATACAAAACACTGCACATACATAATACTGTAAAAGCCCAGAGAAGGAAATCCCTTCTGGTGGGCTTGAGAAGCCTTCATGGATGAGTTGGCATCATGACTTGGCCGTGGGGTGAATGGGATAGGTTTTTGGTAAGACACATTGCATGCAGAAATACCATGTGCTAAGACACAGAGGTGATAAAGTTTAGGCATTTTTGGGAACCAAAGGGTGATTCTGTTGATTAGGTAAAAGAGAGTAATGGGAGGTATGGCTGAAAAGACAAAATGGAACCAACTCCTGGAAATAAGAGTTTTGATTGGGTTTGAAGAGGACAGATAGGTAGTTTGGAAGAGTAAAGCATGAGGCAGTGATAGGTAAGCTGAGGAGGGATGCTTTAGTAGTGGATAACATTTGGGTCTTTGGCACAAGGGCTGAGGCCACTGGAAGGCAGAAAATGGTTGCAAAGAAAGAGCATAAGAATGTCAAAGGTTGCCTATGTTCCCTGTACCCAGAGAAGGAAGACAAATCTCCTTTGCCATACTTGATTTTATTTTTCAGTATCATTGGGTATAATTTGTATACAAAGCACTGTAAATAAGGAATGCATACAATTTGGTGCCCTAACCACTTTTCAGAATGTTATGTCAATGGGAAAATACATTCTATGGATATATGCTTCAACTTTCGAAATATGATTGGTCTGAAAATTAAAGACTGTATTCACAAATTTTCAGATCTGTTAACAAGATTTAATAGATTTTCAAAGCTGGCCCAGACAACTTTCAACTTTGTTTCATTAGGAAAATGTATTCCAAGGTCCAAACAACTGGAAATGAACTTTTAGAATACAGTCAATACTTGAATTGAGAGCTGCCTGTCTAGAATTTCCTTAATGGGCAACCACTGGTAAATATCTGTTTCCTTTATCGTATTTTCCAAAACTGCCCCATCATCAGGTTTTTTAACAAAAACCTGGGGATTTTGTTAAAATATATAGATTTCTAGGCCCCTACCCTGGAGATGCTAATTCACTAGGTCTGGGGTGGACCCTGAGAATTTGTGCTTCAATAAAAGGTCCAAGGGATTCTTAAGATCAGGAAAGTGTGTACAAATCTTTATCAGAATACCCTGTTTTTTGTTTTTTGTTTTTGAGGTAAGTGACTATTTTGGTTCTCAACTGAATTTTAACAATGAAGGGAAAATCTTTCCAGCAGGGCTTAAGAACTGTCAGTAGCTGACAACATTTCAGCCTGATTAGCTCCTGGGGTGAGGAGATGGGGATATGTTCATATGCTGCTCTGTGCTTCCTTGTGAACTGGCAACATCTCAAGATGTTTCTGATGCTGGAGAATCCCTCAAAGTGAGACAGAACTGAAAGCCCTGGTCCCAAGATGAGCCAGGTAAAGCCTGGGATTGACTGGTTGATTGTAATCGAAACTCTGAGGACCCCTGACCTGTACTGATATAGCCACAGAGCTGGTCACGTAGTCATTAGCTTTTAGATCAAAGTCCATTCCATTTTTTTATGGCTTGGATAATTGGGTACTTTATGTAAGGGTTTAATTATGACAAAGTAGTAAATGGGTAAGAATGATACTTTAGGCCGGGCACGGTGGCTCATGCCTGTAATCCCAGCACTTTGGGAGGCCAAGGCGGGCGGATGACGAGGTCAGGTGTTCGAGACCAGCCTGGCCAATACGGTGAAACTCCATCTCTACTAAAAATACAAAAGAATTAGCTGTGCATGGTGGCGGGCACCTGTAATCCCAGCTACTCAGGAGGCCGAGGCAGGAGAATTGCTTGAACCCGGGAGGCAGAGGTTGCAGTGAACTGAGATTATGCCACTGCACTCCAGCCTGGGCAACAGAGTAAGACTCTGTCTCAAAAAAAAAAAAAAAAAGAAGAAGATACTTTAGTATAGAATCTTTACAATTAGGGAAAAAAATCAACTTGAGGGCAAAAGCAATAATCTGGATTAAGTAAAATGGTACGAATTTAGGAAAAGTGTGAAATAATTTTAAAATGATTTCTGGATTTCTGTATACATCTCAGTTCTTAAATAGAAGAAAGTGTACACATAAGGATAGGCATTTTATGAAAATGTCAGTAATTCATTGTAGTTCTTAGAGTGGTTACCAGTAGAAGCTGGCTTTCTAAATTCTGTTATTTATTGATTCACATTTTGGTGTAGTGTGAATGAGTGAAATAATGTTATATCTTTAATTAGGATTCTGTTGTTATTTTTCAATTAATCTATGTCAGTAACTTTAGCATTTGTATTAAATCATTTTCTTCATGAAAGCTTCTAATGAGGAAACAAATTGATTGTATTTATATATTGGATTCTTGCCACCGCAATGTGTATTCAGTCGTGTCTTTTGAAGTATATTTTTACTGGTCATTTTGTGGTTTGTCTTTGAAGCCAGGCTTTGGGGGAAAAAATTCTTCATTTGGATGAAGGTTTCAATTTAACAAAGCTTTCTTATTTTTGTCTCTCTTCTTTTTCATCCCTTACTTTGATTTTCTTTCTTTTTTCCCCTCTTGACTTTGTGTGAGTGATTTAGAGGAAAATGAAGGCACCCCAGCCCCACCTTTTTGGAATAAAATCCATACTTCATAGCATTGCCTGGAAGTGCCTTGCCCTTTGCCTGCCTCTCCAAGCTTGTCCCTACCCCTCCCTGAAATGCTCTCTTATACTGAATGAGTCTCATACTGAACTCAGACAGCCCTTCCTGCTTCTTACCTCCATTCGCTGATTTAGCAAACATTTATTGAGCACAAGCTCTATGCCACTGCCCCTTGAGGGCTCAGTGACAGAGAGACAAGAAGATGCTAATACAGTATTATAGGTGCTACTGAGAGGCATGCACAGATGTGCTGTGGGAACCCTAACATAGGACACTTAGCTGAGCCTCAAAGGATCATGGAGGGTCCGCTAGGAGAAGAAGGAGGCATGAAAGGAAAGGTTTGCTGGCAGAGGGTGCTTGAACAAGTAGGCAGGAGTGTGAACGGGAGCCGGGGAGGACCTGAGAGCTGAGGTGAGCCATGGAAGGATTTCAAGCAGGAGAATGATAGGACCAAGCTGGCCTTTTAGGTCATTAAGATAATGAAGGTGCTAATGACTAACAGCTGACATTTATTGGAGGTTTACCAGGTTCTTTACGTGCATTACCTCTGTTAGTCCTCCCAAGAACCAAATGAGGCAGATGTGGTTATTATTTCTGTTTTAAAGATGAGGAAACTAAGGCTGCAGCAAAAGTCTCAGCTAGAAGATGGAGGAGCTGGGACTTCAACCCAGACCTGTCTGCAAAGACTTTGCTCTTCATGCTCATTCCATTCCCTTTTTCATCAGCACTGAGGAGAGTAGGTCAAAGGGAGGAGGATGAGGGCAGATGGACCGTTTGCGATGTGGTTACATGGATGTGGGTGAGGCCTTTTGAAAGCTCAGATGAACTCAGTGTCTGCAGAGATGGAGAGGAGATTGATTAAAAGGTTATTAAGGGAGTAGAATCTACAGGTCTTGGTGACTAATGGGATATATATAGTAATAGAAAAAGAGGTATAGGGATGATTCCCAAGTTTCAGCTGGGTGGATAGTAATATCATCCATTGAAATAGGGAACACAGGGGTAGGAGAAGTTTGGGACCTGTGGGACAAAGGACAGTTCTACTCCTGAAAGAGAAGAGTAATGATATCTCCTGCTTTTGAATGTTTTAATGGACTAAAGTATTTAATATATGCAGGCACTATAGTGAAGTCTTTGGCAATTGGTTTCTTCTCTGGTCAGCCTGAGCTCTATTACCTATCCCTCTAGTCCTCTAGTCTTCTCTGATTCTCTTGTCTTTTCATCCCACAAGCCTAGAAAAATCCTAATCTTGGATCATCAGTTCAACTGTTCATCTTCTCTGTTTGTATATCTGGAAAGCTATTCAGTTCTGGAGAAAAATTGCACAATTGGATTGTGCCATAGTAAATGTTTTTATTTAATTTTTTTTTTTTTTTTTGAGACAGGGTCTTGCTCTGTCACCCATGCTGGAGTGTAGTGGCACAATCATGGTTCACTGCAGCCTCAACCTCCTGGGCTAAAGCAGTCCTCCCACCTCAGCCTCTTAGGTAGCTGGGACCACAGGTACAAGCCACTACACATGGCTAATTTTTTTTTTTATTTTTTCTAGAGATGGGGTCTCACAATGTTGCCCAGACTGGTCTGAAATTCCTGGACTCAAGTGATCTGCCCACCTTGGCCTCCTAAAATGCTGGAATTATAGGCATGAGTCTCCATCCTGGCTGCACTACAGTAAAGTTTAGTCTTCAACCTCAGTCGAACCCTTAGTGATAACTGGTAGTTATTTCACATGCTCCACATCAGCAACCTTTTTCCTTAATTTTTTTTCCTCCGCAAACCCTTGTCAGTCTTTACCTCATCATATTGCTTCTCACTCTTTCCATGACGTCACAGCCTACTTCACAAGAGAAAAGAGAGGCTCTCAGGTTGGAACCTACTCAGTATCCTACCCTGTCCCTTACTCAACATAACTGCTTTGGGGTGCTAGGCTGGTCCTTTGCCACCTTCTCTTCTTCTGGACCTGGCCCCTCTGCCTGACCTCCCTCTGCATCTTGGGCCTGGCCTCTCTGTGACCCGACCCTCCCCTTCCAGGCTTCTCTCTGATCTCGAATCCTCCCTTAGCAACTCTTATGTGCAGGCAGTAAGACATTCTGGCATTAGTCAGACATGGGTTCTTCTGGTCCCAGTTTTTACCATTTGCATGTTCTGGGCCAATTACATCACTTCTACACAATTTGATTATTTCGGCCAAACTGGTCCACAGTTGGGTTTTCTGTGCTCTTAGTCCCTCACAGAGTGTCTGGCAAATAGTGGAAATTTATTCATCTCTACTACTGAGAGAACAAATGCAGTATTCGTAACTTGAGATACAGAGACTGTGTTGGCATGTTAATGCTGAGATATCCACCTTGCCTAGATGAACTCTAATAACTAATCCAGCTTAAAAATTTTTTACATAACATTTGCCTTCAGGTGAATAATATGTCCATGTTCATAACAAGGAAAATATCAAAGGCATGATAGCCGAGTTTTTCCAAGGAGGTTTTAAATGTTTTTGTAGAAATTGTCTCATTTTTAAATGAATATCACATTTTTGAACTTGCCCCTGATTCTGTACAAGATAAACTGTGGTGGCCCCACAGTGTGGACTTTTAAACTCCTATGGTGCGATCAGATAACCTCTCCATGCTTCATTGTTCTCATCCGTAAAGTGAAGGCTAGAGTAAATGATTTTAAGTGTCCTTCCAGCTGTAAAATTCAGTGAGTATATGGGCCACAGTCACACATTCACTCAGCTACCAGTTATTCACTAATCAGATAATGGCGTCTCAGTGGTCGAAGAGTAGCTGTTAACCTGAAGCAAGCAAAAAATAAAACAAAATTAGGTTTTTAAGCGTCAACAGTGACAAAAATGACAGAGCAAGGGCCAAAGAGACAACAGTTTAGAATACAGTAATCAGCTGGAGTTATTTGTACATAAGCAGTACCTTGTTTTCTCCAATACACAAGTTTGGAACCGAAAGGCGTCTCTGACTTTCCTCTTGATGCTCTCCTCCTAGCCAGTCTCTAAGTCTGTTATCTAATGTCTTGTCTTTTCTCTTGCTCTCAAGTAGCTTCCTAAACTATCTCCCCACTTTTCTCCCTCCCATCCATGCTACACATCTCTGCTGGATTTGATGTGGACATCATTCTTTATCCTTAAAGACAAACAAACAAACAAAGAAACAGACCTTTCAATGACTCCTTTTTATTTACAGAAAAAAACCCTCCAACTCTGACCTGTTGTTTAGTGTTTTTATTTTGCCATAATGTATTTGGCTAGCATTTTTCCTTTATTAGTTCATCGAATTATAGTTTGTTGCCTATTACATGGAGGAAGTATGGGGATTGTGTAGACATACTAGTGAGATTTGCTGGTGAAAAAACAGTCCTCATGCTAGAAAGTAGGGGAAGGAATGTTAGAATGTGGGTTTCCAGTGTTGCAATCAGAAAGCTTAATCACTCACTGATCAAAAAGAGTTCTTAGGTTTCTTAATGTTTATACTCATGGTGGGTGTTTCATTGACCATAGCAATGATTCCATGTAGCAAAAGTGTTATAGGAGACTCTAGTGTTAAATAGTACTTTAATTTCTTTTCAAAATTTAATTTCTTTTTTGCTGTCCAGGAATGGACTTAAAAATTGTGGTGGGGGAGCAGGTGATGAGTTATACTGTCAATCTCAGATAATGTTGTTTATTATTTAATATAAGTTTGATTGTGATCATTGTATTTAGTAGGTAGGTGAACATTGTATTATCTACCTAGATGGGCTTGTAAATATAGACTCAAGACCACAGAAATATTACATCCCCCAAAAGAACCCGGGACCTTCTTGTGATATGTTCTTCTATTACATAATTGAGTTATATGCCTATTGTCTGTTGTTACAGTAGTATTTATCATATTAGATTGTCATCTCATTATATACAAAGAGCTAATATTTTGGACTAGATTGTAAGCTCCTTGTAGGTAGGCATTAGGTCTTGTACTTTTGGTGAGATTAAGGAATTGGGACTAGAAGGATCACCAGCTCTTCCACCAAAGACCTTCCTTTTGCTGCCCAGTTGTTTCTAAGGCTGGTACCTGGACCCCTGGGTCCCAGGCCTTGGATGCCTCCACTGGGGACTTCCACCAGATGGTGCTGTTTTCCCATTTCTGTTGTTGGGTGTCACTGGCCATGTTACTCTTTGCCACTAGTCCATACCTTCTGCAAGGTAGTAGATGGGACACTTTCAGAAGATAATTTGGAAGCAATGTGAATCTTTCCAAGTGAGAAAAAGAATTATAGGAAATATTTAGTGTACAGACTCTTAGCATTGCTCAGCAAAGCCATTTCCTTGGGCATAAATAAACTTCTACCATGTGGCTGACTGCTCAAGATCAGTTGCAAGGGGTTTTCCTAGCCTTATCAACTTGCATGGAATCCATGCCCAACTAGGTGTCCGTCTGAATCCTAAGATTCCATTTTCAATGCAGGATAACTCTTCAGTGTTAGCCTTTGCAGTCTGTTTGGAGACAGCCATTATCAGAGAACAGAGATGGTCAAGAGAGAGATAGAAGTCTTTGGACACTGAGTATTGCAGACAGCCTATGCATTCAGAAGGCATTGCTGTTTTAGTACAAAAAGGAAGTTCAGGCTGAATGCAATGGCTCACATCTGTAATCTCAGCACTTTGGGAGGCCAAGCAGGCAGATTGCTTGAGTCCAGGAGTTCAAGACCAGTCTGGGCAACATGGTGAAACCCTGTCTGTACAAAAAAAAAAAAAACAAAAATTAGCCAGGCATGGTGGAGCGTGCCTGTAGTCCCAGATACTCAAGAAGCTAAGGTGGAACGATGGCTTGAGCCTGGGAGGCAGAAGTTGCAGTGAGCTGAGATTGTGTCACTACGCTCCAGCATGGGCAGCAGAGCAAGACCCTGTCTCAAAAACAACAAAAAAGAGAAGTTCAAATTTGGATGTCCTTAAGTCATTAAGAAGAGATTTGATTTTGTTCAGCAGGAGTTTACCAAGGCAGAGAGTATATGATGTGTTTTAAATTTCCATAAGTCACAGGTAAAATAACACTTTTAATACTTCAGTTGCAAAAAAAAATTCATCTAGATGTTCTAGAGTTATAACATCACAGATGTTGGCCTTTCTGGGTAGCTAGTTTTATAATGCCATTACAACTCTATTCACCTAATTCAGTGGGTCATATCATTTTTGGTGGGTGTGGGGCAAGGGTGAGTTATTGACACTAATGAGGTCTATAGACTCTTCTCCAAGAGAAAAGAAAACAAGTGTTACATTTCACCCACAATTTTAGAGAGTTTAGGAAATCCCCTGAAGCCTAAACTATGGACTTCAGGTTAAAGACCTCTGTCTAACCACTCCCTAATATTCATATTAGGGTTGATTCATGCCCATAGGCTATCTAACAAAACAACTGTATCTTCTCTTAAGTACCAGATTTATTTTTTTTTATATATTACAGCCAATAGGAAAGCAGTTAATATGGAATTTAAGAGCTTGGGCTCTGGAACCAAGTAGACCTGTGATATGGTTTGGCTCTGTCCCCCCACCCAAATCTCATCTTGAATTATAAACCCCACATGTCAAGGGAGGGACCTGGTGGGAGGTGATTAGATCGTGGGAGCAGATTTGCCCCTTGCTGCTCTCATGATAGTGAGTGGGTTCTCACAAGATCTGGTTGTTTGATAAGTGTCTAGTGCTTCCCACTTCTCTCATGTTCTCTCTCTCTCCTGCCACCCTGTGAAGAAGGTGCTTGCTTCCCTTTCACCTTCCACCATGGTTTTAAGTTTCCTGAGGCCTCCGCAGCCATGTGGAAGTGTGAGTCAGTTAAACCTCTTTTATTTATAAATTACCCAGTCTCAGGTAGTATCTTTATAGCAGTGTGAAAATGGACTAATACAACCTGGATACAAATCTTGGTTCTGCCACTTAGTAGCTATGTGATCTTGGCCAAGTTGTTTGACCTTCCTGAGTTTGAGTTTCCTCATGTGTAAAATGAGGATAATAGTAGTCCTGGGCTGGGCATAGTGGCTCATGCCTGTAATCCCAGTGCTTTGGGGAGGCCAAAGCAGGAGGATCACTTGAGGCCAGAAGTTCGAGACCAGTCTGGGCAACATAGTGAGAATTTGTATCTACTAAAATGAAAAATAAAGGAAATTAGCCAGGTGTGGTGGTGCACACCTATAGTCCCAGCTACTTCGGAGGCTGAGGCAGGAAGATTGCTTGAGCCCAGGAGTTCAAGTTTACAATAAGCTATGATTGCACCACTGCATTCCAGCCTATGTGACAGAATGCAACCTTGTCTTAAAAAAATACTGACCTCCTAGGGTTTTTATGAAGATTAAATAAAATAATACATGTGCCGGGCATGGTGGCTCACGCCTGTAATCCCAGCACTTTGGGAGGCCAAGGCAGGCAAATCACCTGAGGTCAGGAGTTCGAGACCAGCCTAACCAACATGGAGAAACCCCTGTCTACTAAAAATACAAAATTAGCCGGGCATGGTGGCACATGACTGTAATCCCAGCTACTCGGGAGGCTGAGGCAGGAGAATCACTTGAACCTGGGAGGCGGAGGTTGCGGTGAGCCAAGACTGCACCATTACACTCCAGCCTGGGCAACAAGAGCAAAACTCCGTCTCAAAAATGAATAAATAAATAAAATAACACATGTAAAACATATACCTAGCACAGGGCCAGACGTGGTGGCTCATGCCTGTAATCCCAGCACTTTGGGAGGCTGAGGTGGGTAAATCACTTGAGGCAAGGAGCTCAAGACCAACCTTGCCAACATGGGAAAACCCCATCTCTACTAAAAGATAAAAAATTAACTGGGTATGGTGGCACACGTTTGTAATCCTAGCTACTCAGGAGGCTGAGGTACGAGAATCGCGTGAACCCAGGAGGCAGAGGTTGCAGTGAATGGAGATTGTGCACTGCACTCCAGCCTGGGTGACAGAGTGAGACTCTGTCTCAAAAAAATATATATGATGTATATGCATATGTATATGTGTATATCTAGCACAATGCCTAACATGTAAGTGCTAATAAATGTTAATCATTTTTTTATAATTGGGAAATAGAATTATTTTTCCTTTCTTTTTTTCTTTTTCTTTTCTTTTTTTTTTTGAGACAGGGTCTTGCTGTGTTACCCAGGCTGGAGTGCAGTGGTATGATCATGGCTCACTGCTGCCTCAACCTCACAGGCTCAAGGGATCCTCCCACTTCAGCCTCCCAAGTAGCTGGGACTACAGGCATGCATGCACCACCATGCCTGGCTTTTTTTTTTTTTTTTTTTTTTTTTTTTTTTTGTGGAGACAAGGTTTCACCATGTTACCCATGGCTGGTCCCGAACTCCTGGATCCAAGCAACCTACCTGCCTTGGCCTCCCAAAGTGCTGGGATTACAGGTGTGAGCCACCACACCTGACCAGTATTTCTAATAATATGAGGATAGCTACAGTTGTTTGTCTGACCTGTTTCATCAGGATCTATCTAATTAGCTGACTGAGGGAATAAAGCTCTGAGTACTTTAATCTCAATAACTATGTTCTTTGGTTAGCTCCATGGCCAAGAATCTGATATTCTCTCCCTTGCAATCTGTTGATTTAGATTCAGTAGCCCTATTTTCAGCAGAAGCCTGACAATGTTTTCTGTGAATTGTTTATTTTTTACAATTTCAACTTTTATTTTGGACACAGGGGGTACATGTGCAGGTTTGTTACAGGGTATATAGTGTGATGCTGAAGCTTGGGATACAAATGATCCCATCACCCAAATAGTGAGCATAGTACCCAATAATTTTTCAACTCCTACCCCTCTTTCTCTTTCCCCATCTCTATTAGTCCCTAGTATCTATTGCTCACACCTTTATGTTCATAAGTACCTAATGTTTAGCTCCCGCTTATAAGTGAGAACATGCAGTATTTGGTTTTCTGTTTCTGCATTAATTTGCTTAGAATAATGGCCTCCAGCTGCATCCATCTTGTTGAAAAGGACGTGATTTCATTGTTTATTATGGCTGCATCATAGTCCATGGTGTATATATGCCATATTTAAAAAAATCTAATCCACTGTTGATGGACACCTAGGTTGATTCCATGTCTTTGCTATTATGAATAGCACTGTGATGAACCTACAAGTGCATATGTCTTTTTGGTAGAATGATTTATTTTCTTTTGGATATATACCCAGTAATGGGATTACGGGGTTGAATGGTAGTTCTGTTTTAAGTTCTTTGATAAATCTCCAAACTGCTTTCCACAGCAGCTAAACTAATTTACATTCCCACCAACAATGTATAAGTGTTCCTTTTCTCCACAGCCTCACCAGCACCTGTTGTTTCTTGACTTCTTAATAATAACCATTCTGGCCAGGTGTGGTGGCTCACGCTTGTAATCCGAGCACTTTGGGTGGCTGAGGCGGGCTTGAGCTCAGCAGTTTGAGACCAGCCTAGGGCAACATTGAGAAACCTTGTCTCTACAAAAAATACAATAATTAGCCAGGTGTGATGGCACGTGCTGCTCCCAGCTACTGGGAGGCTGAGGTGGGGAGGATTGCTTGAGCCCAGGAAGTTGAGGCTGCAGTAAGCCATGATCACGCCACAGCACTCCAGCATAGGTGACAGGGCGAGACCCTGTTTCAAAAAAATATAATAATAATGATAGCCATTCTGATTGGTGTGAGATGGTTTTGATTTGCATTTCTCTGATGATTAGTAATGTTGAGCATTTTAATATATTCGTTGGCCACTTGTGTGTCTTCTCTTAAGAAGTGTCTGTTCATGCTTTTTGCAAACTTTTTAATGGCGTTGTTTTTTACTTGTCCGATTAAGTTCTTTATAGACTCTGTGAATTTGGGGTGGCAACCTAGAACTGTGTGTTTGCAGTATGAAAGATACTGAAATATATCTGTAGACGAATCATATCTATTATAGTCATCATTTCATCCATAGTACCTGGGCAAAGGGCTTGTCATAGAAGACATTCAATAAATATTGAATTGGTTGACTGAGTCACTGAATTATTTTAGAATAGTAAAATATCTTTAGAGAAAGACTCAGTTAATTTTGATGATTGTTTTAATTGTTAGATTATATTTTCAAGACTTTCCTCCTTAGTTTCTCATTAGAGGTCCTGTTCTGAAACTGATTGTTGGTGGTGGAAACTTGTCCACTTGTCCATTAGCTTTCTTATGATGGGTAAGTTATTTAATCCTTGATGCCTCAGTTTTCTTATTTAGAAAATGGGCATAATAATAGGGTTAGAGTGTGAGGAAATGGGTTAATGTAAGAAAAGTGCTTAGAGCAACATCCAACAAAATGTTCAATAAATCTTAGCATTGTTATTAGCACTACTGTTATTACTACTACAGTGACTGCTGCTTATCAAGATTCCCTCAATACTGTGGGTTCAATTTATTTGTACCTTTCTCCAAACTAAAGTTCATTTTTTATTTTTTACTTTTTTTTTTTTTTGAGAGAGGGTCTCACTCTGTTGCCCAGGCTGGAGTGCAGTGGTGCAATCATGGCTCACTGTAGCCTCAACCTCGCAGGCTCATGCAATCCTCCCACCTCAGCCTCCTCAGTAACTGGGACTGCAGGTGCACACCACCACACCCAGCTAATCTTTGTACTTTTTGTAGAGACAGGGTTTTGCCATGTTGTCTAGGCTGGACTCAAACTCCAGGGCTCAAGCAATATACCCACCTTGGCCTCTCTTAGTGCTTGGATTACAGGTGTGAGCCACTGCATCTGACCTAAAGTTCAGTTAAAACATCTTTATTTTATATTTATTTATTTATTTATTTATTTATTTATTTTGAGATGGAGTCTGTCTCTGTTGCCAAGGCTGGAGTGCATGGCGCGATCTCGGCTCACTGCAACCTCTGCCTCCTGAGTTCAAGTGATCCTCCTGCCTCCGACTCCCAAGTAGCTGAGATTACAGGCATGCGCCACTACGCCCAGCTAATTTTTTTGTATTTTTAGTAGAAACAGGGTTTCACCATGTTGGTCAGGCTGCTCTTGAACTTATGACCTCCGAAAGTGCTGGGATTACAGGCGCAAGCCACAGTGCCTGGCCAAAACATCTTTAATTTGAAAACACAAATAGCATACTCTACAATTTAATACTAAAATTTTAAGACTGTTCTGTAGCTTAGAGAAAATATTGTGAAATTTTATTCTTCCATTTTCACTTTTGGAGGCATAAGTGAAGATGGGTTTATTTTTACTGAATGTAAAAATGATCATCATCAATATGGTTGCAACATTCTCTCTCTGCTCGTTCTGTACTCATCATTTTTCAGTTCCAAATATCATTTGCATCGTCCTGATGATATTGAGTATGGATATTGCAGAGGAGTGATAGCTTCCCTTTCCTATTGAAGCTGAAGCTTCAAAGAGAAGATTAAAGAAGTGTTTGTTATCTATCTGCACAGGCCTGATATGAAATTCTCAGAGGCTTTTAGGATAAACACAACTCTGTATGTGTGCATTTATATGCTTTTTCTTATGTATACTTCTATTGTGGTCTTTGTATTTTGGTTTAAAATTTCTAGTCTCAGACTTGTTGGACTCTCTGGCTAACAGAGAATTGTTTTCAGAAAAAGGGTAAGAATTGGAAGATGTTGGCAGGATTTTACTAAATCCCTCCTGAAGAGTATAGAATTCTCTATTGTGGAATTATATTTCTAGAGAACATGATGAAGGCCACCCAGGGAATATCTTTAACAAGACAAGACCAAGATCTTAAAGGTGTCCAGCAGGGACTAATCTGTGGTGCCCTCCAGTGAGGGATGTGATTGCTCACCTTTTGGGCTTTCCTTTTAGAAGTGTTCTTTGTGAGCTTTGGAATAGAGGTGTGGCTTTTTTAAAAAACAAACTCCCTATAGGGTTAATCCATAAATAATATTTAGAGAAAGAAGACAGGGAGAAAAGGTAGGATAGCAAGATACCTTCTGAAAAAGAAGGGAACTAACATTCCACTTCATACTGTTCCACATCAAATTCTACATATAATTTTTATTGTCAGAATTTTCTTTTTTTTTTTTTTGAGACAGGATCTCGTTCTGTTACCCAAGCTGGAGTCCAGTGGCGTGATCACAGCTTACTGCAACCTCAACATCCTGGGTTCAAGCGATCCTCCCACCTCAGCCTCCCGAGTAGCTAGGACTAGCATGTGCCACCACGCCCGGCTAATTTTTATACCTTTTGTAGAGATGAAGTTTCGCCATGTTTCCCAAGCTGGTCTTGAACTCCTGGGCTTGGGCAATCCTCCTGCCTTGGTCTCCCAAAGTGCTGGGATTACAGGTGTGAGCCACCACACCTGACCTCAGATTTTTTTAAATTGACAAATGCAGTGAAATATATTTAAAATGTACAGTATGATTATATATATATATATATGGATATATATCCATATATATATATACACACACATACATATACACACACATATACATGGTGAAAGGATTACCATAGTCATACTAATTAATACATTCATCACCTTACATGGCTTACATGGTTACCTTTTTTTTGGTGAGAATGCTTAAAATCTACTCTCTTACCAAATTTCAAGTATGTAATACAGTATTATTAACTATAGTCACCATGCTGTACATTAGATCCTCAGAATTTATTCATCTTATAATTGAAAGTTTGACAGAAATACTTAATTATAGTATTACCAGGAATAAAGCAGGTTCTGCTATTTAACATCAACTAGATGGACCTACTACTTTATTTGATACTGCTGAGTTCTTAAGGTATAACTACTATTGGCAGAAGCAATACTCTTAGTATATATGACTTATAAGATCATATTTCTTCTCGACTGACAAGAGAAACCAGGAAGCCAGGGCACTTTAAAGTAGGTAGAGAAAAGGACTGAAAATCTGTGTTAGTTGGAGTGGGCATCATGGGACAGGGAGACACAGAAGTGGCTGAGATCATCAATAACATACTTTGCCTATTTAACAATTTACCTAGAGCACCTTTTAACTGCCACTGCATGACTAGGATTTTTTCTGGGCCAATAAATGAGAGCAACAGCAAAGTTCCTGCTGTTGCCATCATCAATATTTTGGAAAGAAGAGAGAGAGTGTACGTACACATGTGCACATACATGTATGCACATACTCGAACCCTAATTTCTATTTATATTAAATTAGAAGTTGGGTAATGATAGGAATTGGGGGTTAGGGAAGTGCCTCAAGAGAAGATGGAAAATAGCAAGAGTAGATGGAAAATTGCTCAGCCATTTGATGATTTGCTTGATTAGCTATGTTTTACAGAAAGGAGTTTTATGGAAAATTCTTCGTGGTGGCCAGGTACAGGTGCACTGTCTGCTAGGTGGAGATTGACCCATCATACTATTATTCACAATGTATTTAAGTTTCAGCCAGTTTCAGCTTACATATGCCCCTGCATTGATATGGACACTCCTTCTTCCCAGGTTTTGAAGTGTTCCACTTCCCACCCCGTCCTCTGCCCCTTCCTACCCCGTCCTCTGCCCCTTCCTCTCCCCTTTGCTACTGCAGATGTCAAAGCTGTCCTGGAATTTCCTCACCCTCTAACCCAAGTATCTTACATTTCTCTTCACCTGATTGCCAACCCAGGAACTGTTCTGGAAAAGGAAAGGAACAAGGAAGGACAAATTGTCAGGTTTCTTCTCCACTTTCTTATGTCTGATAATGTTCCCCAAATTAAACTGTGAATTATGGCAACATACTTATTCTCCACTGACCTCTTCTGTCTTTATTTTCTGAAAATTTGTCACACACTAAAGAAATAACCAATATACTCACTGGGCTGATACTCTTCCCTGAAGAAGCTAAGCCTAATTTTAGTAATGTATGTACTAGAAGACACACCATTATCACCTATCACCTTTTCTGCATCTTTTTGGGGGGTTTATGGACCCTTTAAACTGCAAGCTTGTCCAACCTGCCTTATTTTGTTGTTGTTTTTCTTTTGTTTTTGTTTTAGGCTTTTAGCAGGGTGAAGCCATGATTTTTAGTTTCTACCTCTAGTGATAAGTGGAAAAGAGGGATGAGGAAGGGGCTTTAGTGGCCCACCAGAAACAGAAACTAAGAACCCATGAATGTATTCTCTCCCTTGGGCACCCCTGCAAAAGAATTCTATAAAAAACTGTGGACTCCCTCCCTAGGTTAAAAAAAAAAAAAAAAAGCTCCGACGCACATCTACACTCCTGAGAGGTCAAAATGAGGATAGAAAAGCATCCCTTATATTTGGTGGTGTGAAGGTTATTATGTCTATAGCAAGAGTTAATATGCAATGGCTCTGAGCCTGACTGGAGGATGTTGAGTGAGTGGGCAGTGAGGGAATAAAATGAGCCAAGTGTAGACAGTGCTTTTGAAAATGTCACTGTGATGTGACGGGAAACAGGACAGCAGGTGGAGGGATGTGAAGGGGTGAGGGAGGATTTGCTTTATTTTTATATGAGCATAAATGCTGATGGAAAGGGCCAAACTGAGAGGAAGAGGTTGAATACAGACAAGAGAAAAATTGATAAAGAATAATGTAAAGTTCCTGTGAAGGCAGGAGGAAATGGGATCCAAAATACAGTAGCCTTTCTTGGGTAACCATCATATATAACATTGTTTTTGTGGGGAAAGAAATGCAATTTAGTTTCCAAATAAGTGACTTACAAATGATCCTTTCCACCACTGCTATTTTGTTAGTTTAAGACTTCAAGGGTTGCTGGATGCAGTGGCTCATCCCTGCAATCCCAACACTTTGGGATGCCAAAGTGGGAGGATTGCTTAAGCCCCAGCCTGGGCAACAAAGTGAGACCCCATCGCTACAAAACAAAAACAAAAACAAAAACAAAAAAACAGTAACTGTTTTTCAGTCTCTCATTGCAAGGTTGTTGAGAATTAGTAGTAATGTGTGTAAGCATCTAGGTGTGGTGGCGTGTGCCTGTGGCCCCAGCTACATGGGAGGCTGAGGTAGGAGGATCCCTTGAGCCCAGCAGGTCAAGGTTGCAGTGAGTGACGTTCATGCCATTGCATTCCAGCTTGGGTGATAGAGCAAGGCCTAGTCTCAGAAAAAAAAATAGATAAATAAAAGACTTCAAGGGTTGTCAGTTTTGCCAATTATTTCCCAAAATAATAGAGGAGATAGGATGGTACAATGAACTGCAAGAGCCCCATTCTTGGCTCAGACACTAAAATGTTAGACAACCTTAAGTCAATTGCACTAAAACGTTAGACAACCTTAAGTCAATTGTTCATGTTTCACTTGTTGTTGTTGTTGTTTGTTTTGTTTTGTTGAGATGGAGTCTCGCTCTGTCACCCAGGCTGGAGTGCAATGGCGCGATCTTAGCTCACTGCAACCTCCGCCTCCTGGGTTCAAGCGATTCTCCTGCCTCAGCCTCCTGAGTAGCTGGGATTACAGGCACACGCCACCATGCCCAGCTAATTTTTATATTTTTAGTAGAGACAGGGTTTCACCATGTTGGTCAGACTGGTCTCGAACTGCTGACCTCATGATCTGCCTGCTTTGGCCTCCCAAAGTGCTGGGATTACAGGCGTGAGCCACCACACCCGGCCCATGTTTCACTTGTAAAATTAAGAATTTAGGTTTAAAAGGCAAAGCCCAGGAGTTCGAGGCTGCAGTGAGCTATGATTGTGTCACTGTACTCCAGCCTGGGTAACAGAGAAAAAAAAAATTAGGCTTCAGAGGCATTTGAGATGTGTTGGTGTTGGTGGTGGGGTTTGACTGTTATAACAACTGGGAATGCCTCTGGTATTTGGTACCTAGGACCAGTGTAATACACAGTCCTGTAATACACAGGCCAGATTGTCACAACAAAGAACCATCCTGCTGAAAGCCCGTAGAGCTCTTGATGAGAAACCCCAGGCCACCGCTAGGTTCCCTTTTAGGACCTTTCCAGCTCTAAAGTCAAAATTACGTGAGGAATTTCAGTGAATTAAATGCATCTTTTAAGCCATTGAGACTCTTTCAAATCTCAGGGATAACCTTTTGTTTTTCTCAAAATTAGTAGTGACTTTGGCTGGTTATAGACTTTAGCAAGCTTTTTGGACCAGGTGCTATAGCTATGGTAGGCCAACCAAAATTGAGAAATACAAGTTTGACTTATTCCCTTTTTTTTTCCCCCTTGTATTTCAGGTACTATTGGGATTTTCAGCCCCAAGGTGAGTCCTCTTTGACCACGTATGGTTTTATGCTAAAAATGTGTAAATGGGATTGTTTATTCCTGTCTCTTCTCTACAAGCTTCTCCACAGAGTGGCATTAACCATTTCCAAGGAAAGTTAGTGGAGTGTTTAATTAACCTTCACCCTGCTGCGCTCCCCTGCCCTGCTTTTTAGCAACAAGAAGCTCTATGCTTCCTCCTTCTGAGTGGACTGTTGCTAGATTATTTTATAAAACCAAGGCTATAATATGCTTTAATTCCTTGAGCTTTGTTAGGTGCCAACAGGATCCAGTAGCATTCAAATAAAATGGTAGCCAAGTCCATAATAAAAACCTTGGGAGGGTTCCAACTCAGCTAATCCTTCATTTGCTCCAGAAATAAATTCCAGTATGTTACCTCCTCGATCACAGTGCCCTTCCACACAGCCTGCCTGTCTGGCAGCAGAGAAATGTCAGAAATGGAGCAGTGTTGAAATTCCCACTAGAACAGTGTTATCACATTTTAATATGAGCCTTGCTGCAGCCTCAGTGCTTCTAATTGCTTTCAAACCATTGTTTTCCTGCTTTTGCTTGATGAACCCAGCATCTGGCATGATTCTAAAAAGTACTACAGACAGCTGTGTGCAAAATTAAAAAAAGAAAAAGGCCAGGATTAAAACACATTTTTAAAAGGTTCAGAATTGAAATATTTTTTTCCGAATTCAAACAGTTTGAGGGGATATCTTTTAAAGTATTTGCCTTCCTTCTTTTTAGTACTCTGGTTGAGAATGTCAGAAACATCAACCTGAATATTATCTTAATTTATTATAAATGGAGGGGCTTTATTTTCTCAGATAATCACAGAGTTTTAGATCAAACTTACAAATAGCTTTATAAACTATTTTGCTCTATAACTTTCTTAACCAATTGTAAACTTTTTAAGTACTTTTTATTCTCTTAATGTTGTCACTGTATCCAACCTCAGTGAATAGTAATACCTTAAATAAATTAAAATTGTGAGTGATTATAAGTTTTATTAAAATTTTTATTTTTCTGGCTCATGCTTTTAGTGTATTTCAAGTTTTTATAAAGCTTTATTTTAAAGCCATCTTTAAGAAATAAAAACCATACATTTTCAAAGCTTCTTGACTCTCATAAGTTAAAGTTGGAGCACTTACACTATTTTACGTAATGTGATGTGCTGTTACTACATATCTCACTGTCCTAAAGCATTTATAGCTGAAAACATAGATTGAGCAGTGGATAATTTTATGTAATAATGTAGCAATTTGCTTCGCAAAATGTGAATTGCACTATTCAGGGGATGGCCCTATAGTTCAGGGTTTAACAGATGTTAACCAAAATCCACAGGGGGAAGCACATGATTGTGAACTGGCAGAAATGAATGGAACTGTGAGGGTAGAATTAATTACCTAAAGGAGAAATAAAGAGTTAGTGTCAGAGATGTGGTATAGGAATAGGTTGAGAAGAGAAAATAATTTTGGAGCTTAACACAAGAGACTATATGGGACTAAAAAAGACAAAAGGCACATCTTACCAGATTCTTGAAATGCTGGCATTGCAGTCATCTTTCAACATAAAGCAGCTTCTACCCATCCTTTCTCTCTTGGAGAGAGGACAGAGGTAGAGCAGCCAAGGAGACAAGTGAAAATAGTTTATTTAGAACAGAAAACTGTATTTGCTTCTTGACAATGATTAAATATATGTGGCAAAGTCTTAGTGCATTTGGAAGTAAATGTAAGGAAAGATGACATAGAAAAACTCATGCCCTAGCCCCCAGTCTCATGACTTCTCACAGATATTTTCAGGGGTAGGAGGAGTTAGTGAGAGGGTATCTTTTACCTTGCCCTTTTGATCAGACCTTAGCTGATTATGTGCTTCAGAAGCTGGTGGGATGGGTAGGAGGAGTAAGTGGTTTAGATAAGGTACAACAGGACAATTTAAGATTATGAAAAGATTAGAAATATGTAAGAAAGAGAACAACTAGCAGAAGAATCTTAAAAGCCCTGGAAAACTGGGTGGTGTTGGGATGGGAGTGAGAAAGAACAGAAATGCTGGCCCCAAACTTTCTGAGCATTTTTATCTGTGACAGGACCCTCTGTACAAGAAGATGATGGGATGAATTTTATTAACTCTGCATCTGCCTAAAAACACACTTGAGTTCTTCAAGATATTTGAACTAAACCAGGTCTGGTGCCTGGAAGGAAAATAGTCTTTAATTATAAAAGATCCATTATTTGTATATCCTTTTAGTAGCACACATTTTAAAAATAGCAGCCTTGGCCGGGTGCGGTGGCTCATGCCTATAATCCCAGTACTTTGGGAGGCTGAGGCAGGCAGGTGGATCACCTGAGGTCAGGAGTTCGAGACCAGCCTGACCAACATGGTGAAACCCTGTCTCTACTACATACAAAAAATTAGCTGGGAGTGGTGGTGCATGCCTGTAGTCCCAGCCACTTGGGAGGCTGAGGCAGGAGAGTCGCTTGAACCTGGGAGACGGAGGTTGCAGTGAGCCGAGATTGTGTCATTGCACTCAAGCCTGGGCAACACGAGCAAAACTCTGTCTCAAAAAGAAAAAAAAAAAAAAACCAAGGCAGCCTTATCAAGATATAATTCACATACCATAAAATTTACCCATTTAAAAGGTACAAGTTAGTGGTGTACAGTATAGTATAGTATAGTATAGTATAGTATAGTATAGTATAGTATAGTATAGTACAGTACAAGTTGTGCAACCATCACCACTATCTAATTTCAGAACGTTTCATCACCCCAATAAGAAACCCTGTATGGATTCTAGAGCCCATTATCTCCAGAGGTCGAGAGCCCATACTCTTCGTGACTGTTTTTCACTGTCTCATTGCAAGGTTGTTGAAGATTAGTAGTAATGTGTGTAAGCATCGAGCTTAGTACCTTGACATAGTGGGAAAAAAAAAGCCAGTAGTTTCTATTTATCATAATGGGACATTAATGGTAATTCTTTCTCTCACATTTCCACCTGCGTTTTTTTATTGGTCCACTGTCAACTTCCTGAATGATATTTATTTTAAAAAGGAAACAGGGAAAATAAAACATGATCCAAAGAATACATTACTTTAATGTAGAGGGGATATAAATGGAAGGGCACTTTTAATGAGCTTAAACATAATTGGAGAACATGAAAGAGGCTTTTTATTTTTACTTGACAATAAGACATAATATTGCTTTAATAATTCATGTCCTGCTTACTCAAAAAAAATTTCTACTTAATTTTTTACTTAAAGTTACAAAGAAAAGCCAGCGGAGTTTTTGCCATGGAATTTTTATAATTTCAGTAATCAATATCTAAAAGGTGATATCGATAAGGGAATATTAATTTTGCCCTTAGATTTGATGGCAATATCACTTAAAGTTATTGAGCAAACTGATTTCCTTCATTTTGCTTCAGTTTCCCCTTTTATAAAATGAGTTAGTGATAGTTTTAATAAAAAATTTGATTATAAGGTATAATGTTTATAATTCAAAATTTATTTGCTATAAAAAAATCTTCATGAATATTAGATTGAATTTCCCACCATAGACCCAGAATCTAAAACAAATGACATAATATTTAAATAAAAATCTAGGGAAGACCATGGGAATATTATATAGAATAATATCTTTTTTTTATCCAGTGGTCACTCACATTACATTTGTGGTAGTGGTAAACATGGGCCAGTGGAATCTCTTGCCAACTTAAAGATTCTTTGAGTATCTCTATGAGTGGTGTAAAAGGTTTCTGAGAAAATTATTCAGTATATTTCATTATGAAAAAATTCTACTTTGTGAAGCTTAAAAATCTCATTTTGAAATGGCAAGCCTATATTCACGTCAAAGTAAATCGATGCCTAATAATATAGCCTGGCAGGCCAGGCACAGTGGCTCATGCCTGTAGTCCCAGCACTTTGGGAGGCTGAGCAGGTAGATTGCTTGAGCCCAGGAGTTTGAGATCAATCTGGGCAACATGGTGAGACCCTGTGTCTACAAAAAAAACAAAATTAGCTGGGCATGGTGGCACAGGCCTGTAGTCCTAGCTGCTTGGGAGGCTGAGGTGGGAGGATCACTCAAGCCTGGCAGGTTGAGACTGCAGTGAGCCGAGATCGCGCCACTGCACTTCAGCATAGGAGACCGAGCGAGACCTTGTCCCAAACACACAAACAAAGAAATAAACAAATAAAAATATAGCCTGGCAAAAACAAATAGTGCTAAGTGAATAAGGAAATTATAAAGCCATGTTAACTGTAAATTAAGAGATTTAAGAGGTTTACCAACGAATGTATAAACTTTGTGCATTCTGAGTCAAGCAAACTATTAAAAAATGACATCTATGAGAGAATTAGAAATTTGAACACTGGTTATTTTATGTTATTAGGAAACTACTGGATTTTTTTAGGTGTAGCAGTGGTATTATGGTTAATTTTTTTAAAAACAGTTCTTTATTTCAGAGAGAGGTGTGCCATGATATTTAAATATATAATGTCTGACAAATAATATGGGAGAGGAGAAAGAAACAGGGTAAATATAGATGAGATGAGATCGGCCATAAGTTGACACTTGTTGAAGCTGAATGATGTATATATGGGAGTTTATTACACTGTTTTGTCTACTTTTATACATGTTTAAACTTCTCCATAATGTAAAGGTAAAAGAAAAAGGTTGAGATTGATTAAAAATGTAACATTTTTCTTTTATCTCTATCATGAGATCTAGTATATTAATGCATATATTGCTTTATGCATCTGGATATAAAGTACATAGAATAGTGAACTGATTTTTTAAATTGTTGTTCAAGTTAATGTTTTATGATAGAAAGAGCCTAAGCTTTGAAATCATACCTGAATTCGAATCCCAGCTCCTCTACTTAGAAACTTTGTTAGCTACGGCAAATTACATCAATTCTCGAAGCTTCAGTTTCCTCATGTATAAAATCTCACTAATAATATCTACTTCACAGTTACTATGAGTTGTAATGAGTTTTAATGAGATTATAACTCATAAGGAGTGCTTGCCACATGGTAGGCACTTACTAAAGTGGTAACAAATATTATGTCTCAAAGTAGGGCGAGGCAAGTACATACATGTATAAAACCTTGATAATAAAATTTTCATGTATCTTTTCATAAAATTCATTCATTCATTATAGCTGAACACTGGTGTAGGGCCATGAAACTCACCATGTATATATTTGTAAGGTTTGTATTTATAGAGAGCATTTTTATTGGTGGTAGCCACTTCAGAGGCTAGATTTACAAGCTTTTTGCTATATGGTGTCTGAGACATGTTGAATGGAAGAACAAATGTTGCTTAACTTCTTGTCCCTTATGGTCACATACTTGGAGCATGTAGTTATGACAACTACAAGAAGCAAAACATTAAAGCAGCAAAGAAACACCATCTTTACACTTTAAAAAAAAGAGGAAGGAAATTTCCTTTGAAGTTGAAGAGAAGTGTTTTTGAATTAATGGAGTGTACAGTGATTTTACTAAATTTTATTTATGAAAATACTCTTTGCATTCATGCCAAAAGGTTTTAGCACAGTCATAAGTAGGATTTATACAAAGAAACACAGCCCAAATTTATGACGTGTTTGCAAATGTAAGAAAAAGTCTAAATTTACAATATTTATAATTTATTGTTAAGTATCTTTCCACCACTATTCCTGGAATGCTGATATTTTATAAACACAAGCACTGGTTTTGAACCTAGACTATCTCAACCTATACTACTTTTTAAAAAAAGAAATATTCCAGCATGTTTTTCATGTCTTTTGGGGATTTAATAAGGGGGAAATGAACCCAGGCTGAATACTCCTGCCTTTGGCTTTGACTCAACCTTTTAACATCAACAGTCTTGACAGCTGCTTTTGTGGCTTGACTTCCTTCAGGCATTTTCCCCCTTTTTCTTATTTGCTACATTTTATACAAATTAATCTGTAGCAAGTGGACACACACACAAACTGTTTTTGAAGTTAATTACTAATTTTGATACCTTTTCAAATAATTTACTTCCTATACATCTACTGGTAGGGTGGTTTTTTTAGTGGAATAATGCATTTTTAAAAGGGCAGAATAATGCATTTCAAAATTAATGCAGCAATTGTTTTGCAATGACTATCAAAGATTCTTCTTTTTTCTTTTTTTCTGAGACAGAGTCTCGCTCTGTCACCCAGGCTGGAGTGCAGTGGCACGATCTTGGCTCACTGCAAGCTCTGCCTCCTGGGTTCAAGCAATTCTCCTGCCTCAGCCTCCCGAGCAGCTGGGACTACAGGCGCCCGCCACCACGCCCGGCTAATTTTTTGTATTTTTAGTAAAGACAGGGTTTCACCGTATTAGCCAGGATGGTCTCGATCTCCTGACCTCATGATCCATCCGCCTCAGCCTCCCAAAGTGCTGGGATTATAGGCGTGAGCCACTGCACCCGGCCAAAAGATTTTTTTTTTAACAAAAAGACTCACTTTTTTCCTTTCTAAAGTTAACATTTCCCAAGATTTTTATGTCCTTTCTAAAAGTCCTTCCTATTCTGTAGTAGATGATATTAAGATATAAAAAAAGAACTAAATTTTATGCAGGTAAAAGAAATCATTGGAATCAGGTAATGCTGCCTTCTGTATTCCCTATACAATGTATTATGTACAAGGATGTTCATGATAGCATTGTTTGGAATAGCAAACAGACAGCCTAAATGCCCAGCAATTGGGGACTAGTTAAATAAACATACACCCATTTAATGGAATGCTATATAGAGTTAAAAGAAAATGATACATATATATGTAATATGTATGTAATACGTAATATGGAAGGTTCTCCAAGGAGTATTGTTAGATGAAAAGGGTAATTTGAGCAAACTAGTGTGTATAGTTTGTTTCTGTGTGTGTGTGTGGCACAAGCACACGTGTTTTTATTTGTATATAGAATATTTTTGGAAGGATACATATGTATCTATTAACAGTGGTAATCACTGTTGAGGGGGATACTGATATGAATGAAAGAGAGAATATTCTTTGGTACTATTTGAATTTTCACCATGTGCATGTATTATTTTTTAATGTTAAAAACTGGTTAAAATAAAAAATGAGATAAATCTATATTGCTGATATGGAGCAGTTGTCAAGATAAATGGTTAGGAAGAAAAGCTGGATACAGAACAGAACAAATGTTACCATTTGTTTAAAAAGAGGAAAAAAATACATATGCCACACACACAGAGACCCTTGTTATATTAGATACAAAAATTCATAGAACACCCAAGAAATCTCACAATGGTTGTCTCTGGAGAGAAGGATCAAGAGAAGAGAGGATAGATGAACTTTCATTATATGCCTTCCTGTAACATTTGAAGGTTTTGCTCTGGGCATACTTAACTTTTTTTATTTAATAAAGAAGCTTTCCAAAACAAACAAAAAAACAGCATGGTAGTAATCTATTTTTCAGTAGAATCATGATTAGCAGTTTCTTACCCACTCAAGTTTTCATCTATCTATCTATCTATTTATTTATTTATTTATTTTAGTTTTTGAGACAGAATCTCGCTCTGTCACCTAGGCTGGAGTGCAGTGGCTTGATCTCGACTCACTCACTGCAGCTTCCATCTCCCAAGATCAAGTGATCCTCTCACTTTGGCCTCCCCAGTAGCTGGGACTACAGGCATGAGCCACCATGCGCAGCTAATTTTTGTATTTTTTGTAGACATAAGGTCTCACCATGTTACCAGGCTGGTATCGAAATTTTGGGCTCAAGAGATTTGCCCACCTCAGTCTCCCAAAGTGCTGGGATTATAGGCATGAGCCACTGCTCCTGGCCTATTTATTTTGAAATGTTAATTAATGGGAAAGGCCCTGATGATGGTATAAAACAGCAGCATTCTCTGTTGTTTAATGTTTGAGAACGTTGGTATATATAGGTGTGTTGAGTTTACTTATCACTTAAAAGTGAATTTTTTTTTTTTTTTAGACAGAGTCTCGCTCTGTCACCCAGGCTGGAGTGCAGTGGCACGATCTCAGTTTACTGCAACCCCCACCAATAGGTTCAACCAATTCTTATGCCTCAGCCACCCAAGTAGTTGAGATTACAGGCATGTGCCACCATGCCCGGCTAATTTTTGTATTTTTAGTAGAGATGGGGTTTTGCCATGTTGGCCAGGCTGGTCTCGTACTCCTGGCCTCAAGTGAAAAAGTGAATTTAAAAATAAATTATATGGCCAGTCATGGTGGGTCACATCTGTAATCTCAGCCCTTTGGGAAGCCGAGGGAGGCTGATTGCTTGAGCCTGGGAGTTCCAGACCAGCCTGGGCAATACAGAGAGACCCCATCTTTATAGAAGATACAAAAATTAGCCAAGCATGGGGGTGTGCACCTGTGGTCCCAGCTACTTTGGAGGTTGGGGTGGGAGGATCACTTGAGCCTGAGAGGTCAAGGCTGCAGGGAGCTGCAATTGCACCACTGCACTCTGGCCTGGGTGACTGAGTGAGACCCTGTCTCAAAACAAAAACAAAACAAAAATAATAACAATTTTAAATTAGTATTGTATAATACTCATGGTGACTGATAATGATATCTTTTCTTACCCCATCTTAGTCTTTTTAGAAGTTCACAGAACTTCAGATTTTCGTCTTCACATAGATGTCAAGGAAAATCAAGTCACTGAAAATTAATGACTGCTTTAAGTTTGTTTGATTAGCCCAGGGGACTTTGGTTGAGGAAAAAAACAACTTATAAATGATTTCTCTTAGAAGGTATTATTCCTGGACTAACACAGAAAATCAGGTGAGGAGTACAGTTTCTGAGCATAGAATTTTTACATAAGAATTAGTGTTCATCAAGACTTGTGCCTCTAACAAACTTTCATGTTCTAAACACAAAATATTGAGAGAAAAGTGTAGTCCATTTGAATACAAGCTTTTTTGTTTTTTTTGCTTAAAACTTTTTTGTGAGTAAGTAGGTTAAGACTTCAGACCTGAAACCCAATGAATTTGCTTGATATTTTGAGGCTAAATAATGTAATAGGTGGACCCAATTCTATTAGAAAGCATTTATTTTTCATTTGGCTTCTCATCAACACATGCTTCTCTCAGAAACTTGTTTATGAAGATGGCTAAGTATCACTAGCACAGGAAAGGGACTGCTAAGTTATAGGCAAGGGGATTTATATGACATATAAAATAAAGATTCCAGTTTCTGCTGACTCTTGTGAGGCAAGTAGTGGAAGAACCAATCTTGTGAACCCTATCGGTCCTTGTCAGCTGATGTGAATTTAACACACATTTGCCATCCTGGAAAAGTTATTGATCATGATTAATCTCTAAAATGTATTTTCCTAAACTTAAAAAGTGATACCACTTACCCTTAAGATTTATGCACTTTACTTGTGTTAGTGATGCCTCAATTAAAAAGTAATTTTTTTAAATAAAGAGATACTTTTTCATGTGAAACTTTTTTTCCAAGGAACCAAATATTGAACTGAATTCTTGACAGTGAGAGGTTTTGGCTGTTGATAATGATGTTACATACATGTTGTCAAATATGTGAATGAGAATCCCTGTTTGGAGTGGGATGTGGCATGGGGAGGTTGAATCTTGTCACCATTTGCCATTACAGCTTTAGTGGTATTGGAGGTTTATGTTATCACAAAGAAAACTTACCCTTTCTTCAGTATGTTAAAAGCTGGCTCACATGTTTAGGCCTGCTAATCTTACCCATAATCCATTCTTTACTATGTATTATTTTATTTTTACTCCTTGGACTTTTGAAAAACATTTCTTATATCTACCTGTAGCCTGTACAACATGTCTTCTTCTTCTTCTTCTTTTTCTTCCTCTTCTTCTTCTTCTTCTTCTTCCTCTTCTTCTTTCTTCTTTTCTTTTCTTTTTTTTTTTTTTTGAGACAGAGTCTTGCTCTGTCACCCAGGCTGGAGTGCAATGGCGCGATCTCGGCTCACTGCAACCTCTGCCTCCTGGGTTTTAAGCAATTCTCTCTGCCTCAGCCTCCCAAGTAGCTGGGATTACAGGCACCTGCCACCACGCCCAGCTAATTTTTGTATTTTTAGTAGAAATGGGGTTTTGCCATGTTGGCCAGGCTGATCTTGAACTCCTGACCTCAGGTGATTCACCTGCCTCGGCCTCCCAAAGTGCTGCAATTATAGGCATGAGCCACTGCACCCGGCCATCTCATTCTTCTTTAATGGAAGATATTGGAATCCAACTAGCCTTGTAGTTTCTCTCAAGAAGTTTCTTAAGTAATGTTGGCTTACCAATTGGGGCATAGTAGACCCCAAAATGTATCAGGATTGTAAATAAGTGCTAAGGCCTACTACAACTTGCTGTTTGGGAGAAAGGAAAGATGGGACAAGAAAGCAAGATGAACCAATAGTAATAAAATTGCTACATTTATGTGGCATTATATATTTTTCAAAGGCTTTTCCTGCTCTGAGACTTAAAGCATGATGGTGCCAGAAAGGAAACACATTCTTTAACCAAGCCAGGTCAATGCTATATTTAAGTATCCAACAGAATCAAACAGAAGGTGCTGGAAAAAAATCAGTATATTGATTTCACTAAGCCTGAGGTGGCTGTTCTAAATTTTGCAAGCATGAAATTCATACCAAAAAGTGATATTTTGAAAAAATTACTACATTACTCGATAATAAATTTCAACTATGAATTGGACCACTTCTTTCTTGACCAAATCATTGACCAAATTTTGTTTTGTCTGTCAGTTCTACTCTCCATACCTAACGTGACTACTGCTATTATCACTAATAATCATAATTTATAGATTTACTTTATTAAAGTTAAAATACTAATTGATAGTATATACCATAAAGTCAACTCACTGGCTGTCATTCAATATGCCTTGCCTTTGAGTAATGATCATGATTTATTAAACATGCAGATTTTCAGGCTATATAGTTCAGTGGATTAGAACAAGAGCTTAGTAATCAGACAAGTTGGGGTGAAAGCCTGGCCCTGCCACTTATGAGTCACCTATATGACTTTGGGTAAGTTATTTCATCTTTGTGTCTCAATTTCTTTATCTTCATCTTTGGGATAATAATACATCTCAGGATTGTTTTGAGGATTAAATGAGATAGTCCACAAAAAGTCTTGACCCAGAGCTTGTACCCAGTAAGAGTTTAGCTAGCTATTATATAATTATTATTATTATAGCTAACTTTCTCCTATATGTCAAAAGATACTGAAAATTCAGTTGGATAGCTTTGTAATAAGAATTAAGGACTGAGAATACAGTGGCCCAAAGAAAACAGAACTATGAGCCAATAATTCCAGATTATGATTGCCTGGTTGCCATATGATAAGTGCATTCATTTTACAATATATTTATCCACATACTACCAAATACCTAGGTTTATATATTTTGAATTATGTCAAAATCTCATTACTGTTGAAAATATTCCCACTCAGCAGGTTCCATTTTAGTACCAGTTGAACAATACCAGTGGTAGATGGAATGTGTTAGTGTGAAGCTGGAATGACTGCTGACAGGCTGTAATTTGCTTTATGAAGTGTGGGTTGTCACATATACAATTATCTGGTTTATATTTGTTGCTGCCAGCCCTACAGTTTGTTAACATCCAGGAGTTATGCCTTTATGTGAAACCTAAGAAGGGTTAAAAATCCCAGCATTTTCTTACAGGGTGGGAGAGGAGAAGACAGTGGCTGCTTTTTTTTTTTTTTTCTCTTTTCTTGTTTCTTTTTCTTTTCTTTTTTTAAGAACTAGGATGATGCTACACACTACAGCTCACCCTACTGGTCAAAATTAAAAACTGCATTACAAAGGACCATTTTCTTGAGGGAAAAAAAGAAAAAAAGAACTTTTCAATTAGCTCCCACTGACATTTTCCTGTCCAATCCACCACTGACAGATATAGTTCATTCTGAGAATATCATTAAGCTATGCTGCCCTTTCGGTTGTTGGATTCACAGGTGTTGTTATAGTGATTATACTAAGAGTGTCTAATCAATTTGGCTCCATTTGTGATTATTTAGACTGTGCCACTCTCCTCAAATGTTATCTCTAAAGGTTCTTAAGAAGGCTGTTATTCTTAGCATGATTACATAATTAGCAAACAGTAAAAAACTGTAGTTTTTTACTAAGCTAAGCTAAAAACTGTAGTCTTAGGTTCAATTTACTTCTTGTACATTTGAGATCCAGTTGGAGCAACTTTTTAAAAGAATGATAAATGGAAACTTTCTTTACCTGACCTATCATTTATTCTGTAGACTTAATGACATTCAGTACCATTACACTCACTGCCAGGGCTTTGGGGGGAAAAAAGGAATATTTATACATTGAATTATAGATAGGTGTAGTAAAGGAAAAAAAAAAGAGAGATAGGCAGAAAGTCCGACTGTATAGAACAGAGAAGAATTTGAGTCCTTCACTATACATGGATTAATCACAAGAACTAACCACACAGATCCAAATGGATATTTAGAAATTGGTGAAGCCTCTAGGATGTTCTCTGGAAAACACAGTACATTTTCTAATGCATGAATATGTGCAAAATGGTATGTAATTTATAATGGAAGTGTTGACAGAATTTTAGTTTTGGTGCAGCAAATGTGCTCTATAATATACTTATGTGTGAGTAACATTTCATATATGGTCACATCTGTACCCAACATATATCTTTAGTTGGTATTAGATTCAATAACTTAGTTGAATGGTTATAATAAGGACCAATAAGCTGCAGTTTTGCTAACCTTACTATAGTTCAGCTTTGGGAGCTGTATTACTATTAAATTGGCCCATGAAAATCTGGCAATATTAATGCTATCAAGCATGAAAACTAACTGGACTTGGATCAGGGAGCTTTATTTATAGCATTTTAGTGAGAATTTATTAGTTTAAAGAGGGAGCTGTATTTCTTATGGGATCTTAAATATTAAATAGAATAGGAAGTCATGTGTTTCCTTCCAACAACAACAATAATTTAAAATTTTTCAATTTTAAATTAATCTAAATTTCCTTATATAATCCAGAGATACTTGGTGAAGTAATAGCAAACCCTAGTGTTTTGTTGTTGTTGTTGTTGTTGTTCTTTTTTGTTTGTTTGTTTTTGAGATGGAGTTTCACTCTTGTTGCCCAGGCCGGAGTGCAATGGCACAATCTCGGCTCACCGCAACCTCTGCCTCCCGGGTTCAAGCGATTCTCCTGCCTCAGCCTCCCAAGTAGCTGGGATTACAGGCATGCACCACCATTCCTGGCTAATTTTTTTGTATTTTTAGTAGAGACAGGGTTTTCCATGTTGGTCAGGCTGGTCTCAAACCCGAAACTCAGGTGATCTGCCTGCCTCGGCCTCCCAAAGTGCTGGGATTACAGGCATGAGCCACCACGCCCGGCTGCAAACCTTAGTTTTTAACCACGCCATATAAACAGTTGGTTGCAAATATGAATAGAGTCTTTATAATATAGCTCACAATTAATTTGAAGAGAAATAAAAGACGATGATGTAGACTAACAAAAAAAATCGAGACTTTACATATTGAATAAGCAAACATATATGTTTTCTCTGTTATTTGTTATTTTCTCACTTTTTTTAATGCTTAAACCATTTTCTGTCTTTTTAAATTTCTTTCTCATTTCTCTGGTAAAATTGTCATTATGGCCTGTTTTTGTCTCAAAATAGTATCTGCAAATTCAGGACTAAACGGATTTGCTGTGAACTAAAATAGTTACAAGGGGAACATCATCATGGTTCATTTTTCTCCCTGTTTTATTTGGAATTGAATTAGTAAATGAAGTTTTAGCAGTTTAATTCACTTCTCCATAAAGTTTATGGAGCAGCAACAGCTGGTTGAATCTGTGGCAGAAAAAGCCAACTTCTAGTGGCCAAGACTATTGTTTCAGAATTAAGGGGGAAAACTCATTAACTGTTAATGAAAACACAGGGAATAAAAACAAATAGCACAGAAACCCTAGGAAATAATTACCTTACACCTGACACAAAGCTGCTTTATCTTTCTGCTCCAACCCTCAGAAATTCACAACTTATCACTCTGTGGAGCATGAATGAAATTGAGTTTGACTCTCAGAAAAGAATAGAGAAATCATCCTGCTTATGGGCCCCTCAACATGTACTGGGTGGAGAACCTGCCATTGAATATACCAAGGAGTGTATCTAACGCCCAATTCTTATGACACTTAGGCTACAGGAGCAAATTACCTGCTAATAGCAGGTGAACCCTTGATATAGTTCCACTAGATCTTGTTTAGAAATACAAAGAGAAAGGACTGAAGGTAGTGGATGTGATTAATGGAGATATGATGTGTTAGAATATATATCTGTATAGAAATATATTGATTCTGAGGGAGTTGCAGTGGGAAAATGTGTCTCCAGTGGCAAGGGGTCTTGCTTGTGAGAAATCCACTCTAAGCAGATAGAGTTCTAAGCCCTAATTGTAGAGCTGCTGAGTGGAAATGTCTGTCACTATAGTTTGTGATCATTTATGTCTGATCCCACTGGACTACAGTTGTGGCCATTTAGAACTGCAATTGTCAGAGCTATAGACAAATCCAGAGAACACGTACAGTTATGTTTTAAAGAAAAATGATGTTCTTAAACAAATCCAAAATGACCACAATAATTGCTGTTCTTCTATAAAACTTTTCACCCATGCATCCTCAGTAGTTGTAATCATTTCAATTACATGGGAGTGTATATTTATATGGTATTATAGCCTTGTTTCTGTGTGTGCCCAAGGGAACTGGGTCACTTGATATGACACTAAAAACACTTATAACAACATCTCCATCATCAGGAACTAATTGCACTTGGGTGTAAAGCTTATTTCTAAATGTTCCCGCACCACAACCATTTGTACTACTGACCTAGGCTCTGTTTTGCTGCATTGAGTTGTATATCTATGTCGTTGTGTACTTTACAGAGGAACTGTCTCATGTTTGACACCAGGGGTGGCTGTTGAAAGCACACCTTGGGTGACTATACTCAGAAACCATAGGAATCACGTGGAAGTGACTTTTCCATCTGAAGTTAGGAAAGCAAGTGCCAAATCCAGGCAGGTGTTTTGGGTAAGACTTTAAAAACTGAGACTGTGAAGGCAATGTGATACCCTGGATTGGATCCCAAAACAGAAAAAGTACATTAATGGAAAACTTGTGAAATCCAAATAGAGTCTGTAGTTTAGTTAATAGCAATATACCAATGTTAATTTATTGGTTTTGGCAGATAGACCTCAATTATGTAAGAAGTTGACATTGGGGGAAACTGGGTGAAGGGTATGTAGGAACTCTGTACTATCTTTGCAACACTTACATAAATCTAAAATTATTCCAAAATAAAAAGTTCACTAAAAAAAAAAGCCCTTCCTGATCTGCATGTTTTTTAAAACACTTAGAATGTGAGCATGTACTTTTTTTCTTTCTTCTTTTCTTTCTTTTCTTTTTTTTTTTTTTTGAGGCAGGGCTCACTCTGTTGTCTAGGTTGGAGTGCAGTGGCACAGTCATGGCTCACTGCAGCTTTTACCTCCTTGGCTCAAACGATCCCCCCATGTCTCAGCCTCTCAAGTAGCTAGGACCACAGGCACAAGCCACCATGCCTGGCTAATTTTTCTACTTTTTGTAGAGATGGGGTATTGTCATGTTGCCCAGGCTGGTCTTGAACTCCTAGGCTCAAGCCATCCACCTGCCTTGGCCTCCCAAAGTGCTGGGATTATAGGTGTGAGCCACTGTGCCTGGCTAGGTTCTTTTTCTTTAATGGTGGATTTGCCACATTTTTGAAGCAAGCAGAGAACTTTAAGTCCAGAATAATAGTTTATACATAATGTTCAGTATATCCTACAAAAGTTAAATTTTGCTTGGCAATTCCAGTACTTTTTTTATTTTTAAGGATTTTTATTTGGCTTAAAATAAAAATTCCATTTAACCTTGCAGCTCACTTTCAGGTTACTAGCCAGGCAGTCCATTTAGATTGTGTTGATAATATAATTTTAGTGGACTTCCAGTGATGTAAAATTTGAGCATTTTAATCCTCAGTCCAGTATTTGAGAATTTTTCTGGTTACTATGGAAATTACACAGTGATGCTTTAAGCATAGCTATAAACTTTGTATACTGATAAGTAAACTAATAAAAGAGAGTATTTCTTCTGGCTTTGGCCAATGACTATTGTGTGAGTTTTCTACAATTTTTATTTCTCTTTTTCATAATAAACTTTATAGTTTATTTCTAAAGTCCTATATTTGTAGGTGTTCAACTCAGTTATGGACATCTACCTACCATACAGCATTTGAAGAAGAGTCTAGATATGATCATCTAATTTATGGAAAGAGAAAGCTACAGCCATTCTCTTTTTATCATTTTATAACCTCCCTGGCTTTCTAGTTTAATTGTAGGAAATAAACCTTTAAAGTGAGGCAATACAGATTCTATGTAGGTTGTTTGGTTTCACAGCTCCCTAGTTGAAATCCAAGGCCAAAACTCTACAGTATTTACTGAGATTAGCATTGGTGATTTCCTTTGGAAATTAGTATTTGAGATAATATTAAATTCAGTTGAAAATCCTATTTTCATGTTTGTGAAATGAAATAAGCAGCTGTCAGTGTCCTTTTATTAGCAGACTGTACCTCTATTTGGGGGATTTTAAGGAAAGCCATTTGCAATACAGAGCCTTTTCTTCCGGTTTCTGAATGAGCTAACATCTTCTGTCTGAACCTTTTAAAGTATCATAATAACATCAGTCACTTCTACAGAATACAATCCAATGTATATTGAAAACACACAAAAGAGATTAGCATTAATTGCATAATTCAGTATTGTATATACATTACCTTTTATCAAAGCCATTTTACAGGACAAATATTATCTTCTTAGGGCTTTTAGAATTCCTAAGAGGTCGGTTGCCTAGGCTGTAAACTAGAATTACAAAGAAAGAACTTTGTTAACGTTGCAGAACAAATAGGAATACAGTCCAGCAAAGTCTAGGTTTTCTCTATTTTTATAATACTTCTCTTACTTTTCAGAGAAAGACTATTGACCTTGCTATATTATATTATGTATAGAAGGTTAAACCTTTGGGTCAGTCCTATTTCATTTGAAATAGAGGCATGCAGGGTAAAGGTTGTAATTATTGGAGACATAGTATATATGAATATAAATTTAATTCTTTTTTTTTTTAGATGGAGTCTCGCTGTTGTCACCCAGGCCGGAGTGCAATGGTGCAATCTTGGCTCACTGCAACCTCTACCCCCCGGGTTCAAGCGATTCTCCTGCCCTAGCCTCCCAAGTAGCTGGGATTACAGGCGCCCACCACCACACCCTGCTAATTTTTGTATTTTTAGTGGAGAGAGGGTTTCACCATATTGGCCAGGCTGATCTTGAACTCCTGCCCTCAGGTGATCCGCCTGCCTGGGCCTCCCAAAGTGCTAGGATTACAGGCGTGACCCACCATGCCTGGCTGAATATAAATTTATATAGCTATGTTTTTATTTTAAGTATGATAGAGAAATTTCTTTCTGGTGGCAAGAGGTATTCCCACTATAAGCTAACAGTTCCTAAGTTTTAGTGAGAGAGTTACTTGAGTGGAAAATTTTTCATCCAGGTAAGTCAGTTCTTGAACCTATTTAACTGTTTCCTATATGTTAATGGATAGTGGCCATGTTCATCATCCAGTAAAAGATACACTTTTTTTTCGAATACTGGAAGAGATCATACATAGATCCTTTTATAAGGATGTATCCTTTTATAAGGATGCCCAAAGATTAACCTTATTTTCTGTCTTTTTTGTCCCTCAGGGGGAGACATTGGACAGGACAGCTCTGATGATAATCACAGCGGGACTCTTGGCCTGTCCCTCACATCCGATGCACCCTTTTTGTCAGATTATCAGGATGAGGGTGAGTGTTATCCTTCTGGATTTTGGGTGACTACCATACTTCATTATCTTCTGGCCTGACATCTTTGCCTTTTGTCATTTTTGTATCTAGCAGCCTTTGGTGGGTTTTCTGTACTGGTAATCACTAGTTTGCAAAGAACAACTATTTGTTTCATTGTGGTGCTGATCCTCCTTGGTAATTCAATACTTCTGAAGTTAATGTACTTAGGGAGACACTAATTCCATATTGGAACAGGAAGACATCATTATTGATCTTTTTATAAAAACCGTAGCTCAATAGCTAAGAGGGCATTTTAAGATTTCAGGGCCTAGTTTATACCATTCTTTTGGATTTTTTAGCTTCACTGATTTACATGAGAATTGAAGCTTTTATTTAATGATTGTTGGATTATTAATTTTCTGTGGATCATTTGAGACCCTTGAGCTCATCATAGTATATAATAAGATACCATTTCACCTGTACTTCTCACATACCCCTGACCATATTGGTATTGCTCAAGGGGAAGGGAAAGCCACAAGAACCACAGTGTGAATCTTCCTAGAGCATCAATTTTACTTGAATATTTGGGAATGAGAGGAGTTAAATAATTCAATTGTTAGAAACATTATTTTTATATTCAAAATTCCACAGTATATAACATAATGAAATGCAAAATATACATGAATTTTTAAGATAAGACATAAAATATAAATATTTTGGCCTGATGGCTGCCAGTTTCTGGCTCAGGCCTAGATTTCCCAAGTGTGGGGATCCGCTGTGCCTCTTCTGTCATGTGGCCACCTGAGCAGAAGGTTTCATCATCATGGATGCGCATGGTTTTCTTATCAGAGTCTCTCTCATGCCTTCCCAGTAGGGTTAAAAAGGTAGAGGTGCTACTAAATTGAACATCAAATTGGAAACACATTATTCGCTTAGGGATTGGGAATAAAGTTGGTAAATTATTCCTTACTTTTCTTTGTTAGTCTGCAATCTTTCCATTTCTTTTTATTTAGATTTCAAGAGCTTATAATTTCTGTTTTACTCTCTCTTTTTACTTTATCCATTGATTGTTATTTCATTTAGCCCTTTTGACAATTCATGTTTTTTTTCCCTTTCACTGACTTGATAACCTCCACATAAGAACTGGGGGTTGAATCACACAGAAACATTTTATTTTGTATAATAGCACAATTAGTAATACCCAAGTTTTAAAATGGGGTTTGTAATATAGGATCTGTGTATTGATTCAGGTATTACACTAAAAACATTGTTTGGATTGAAAGTTTAATAATTACATTGGTAGCTGATTAATAATTGTAGAAAATTAACAGTGCAAAACAGGAAGAAATCAACTTTTCATTTGTTTTTGATTATTCTAATGCTTGACAGAATTAGAACAATAATGCCTCATTAATCCTTAGGTCACTTATTTGGTATTTCCAACTTTCCCAAACACAACTGAGAACACAATAAGTAATCCAGAAAGGCCTCTAAGTGGAAATAGATGTGACTTATGTACCTTGCTCTTGGAAGAACCCCTAAGGCCCTTTGCTGAGGAATCTTCTTACAAGTTTCTAACCAATACAGTGTTTTGGTTTCTCAGCCCACAGTAGAGCTTCAAATTAGAAGAAGGGGTACTATAAAGGCATCAATTAACAATAAGATTAAGGTAAGAAACAAGAACAAAACTTTATATAGAAAACAAAATCTATAAATAAAATTTATCTAAGAATAATTTTTTTTAAATAGCAGTTTGGGGTCATTTTCTATGATAGAGAAAAAGAGTGCATGCTCACCTAAGTGCTCAGTACCTTAATAAATTAAAACTTCTTTAGCCAGCATTTATTGTTTATTGAGCACTTACTATTTGCCTTGCATCATCTGTATGGTAAGCACTCTGCATATGTCATCATTTGATCCTCAAGACTGCCCTAAAATGTGGATATTAGGTTTACCCTTATTTTACAGACAAGGAAACAGACTCAGGGAAGTTAACTTATCTAAAATCACACAGCTGGTACGTAGTAGTGCCAGGATTTACACATACATAGTCTGGTTCTAAAACCTCTGCTCTTAACCACTCTACTATCCTTACCACTATCCTTATCTGAGATATCCAAAAAAATAGATTCATACTCCAAACATTTTGGCAGATTCATACTCCAAACATTTTGGCTAAGACCATACAGATAAAAATACTATGCTTAAAAATATTTTCATTAAAATAGTTGAAATTTAGGAAAAACATTTGTGTTGAAAGAGGTAAATCTGGAAAACTCCAAAGTGCAAAACTCATAAGAGGAGTTAATTATATTAGTAATATTAAATTCTTACTTAATAAATTTTTGTTTTTAGTTCTATGCATGAAATTAAAGAATTCCCAAAGTGACATAGTCAATGGTAGAGGTAGGAATAGACCTATTTCTATGTTAAAAACTTGATTGTAAGATGATGTGATACTGTTTAAATGTGAGTTTCTGCAAAGCATTGAATCTAGCACAGTGCCTGAGTGCCTAATACATAACAGGCACAATAAATGTTCATTTTCATCCCCTGAAAATTAAAGATACATACATTTCCTGTGAAATTAAAGAGAAAGTTATAAAGGTGTCAAAATTTTTAGCAATCTCTATATCCTATTTAATTAGTTTTTACCATTATAGAGAATGGTAACACTTGATATGCTACTTATTCATTTTTTTAAACAAATGTTTGTTTAAAGATTCCTAGTTAACACCAAGACACTGTGTTAAGCTGCAGGTGAAAAATGCAGTGAGAAAGCAGATACAGTCCCTGCCCTCATGGAGCTTACCATCTCACTGGGAAAACTATTAATAAGTAGACAAATAAAAAAATATAAAGTTAGTGTCTTTATAGATAGCTAAGTCAATTATTTATGAAGAAAAAATATTCCTCTTTATTTTTTATTATTATTTTTTTTGAGACAGAGTTTCGCTCTGTCACCCAGGCTAGAGTGCAGTGGTGGGATCTCGGCTCACTGCAAACTCTGCCTCCTGGGTTCACGCCATTCTCCTGCCTCAGCCTCCCAAGTAGCTGGGACTATAGGCGCCGGCCACCGCGCCTGGCTAATTTTTTGTATTTTTAGTAGAGACGGGGTTTCACCGTGTTAGCCAGGATGGTCTCGATCTCCTGACTTCGTGATCCACCCGCCTTGGCCTCCCAGATATTCCTCTTTAACATTCTTTGTAATGACAGTTATTTTAGGCTTCTCGAATTTTGTCTTCATTAGAAAATGTGAAAATATTTCAGATATTTTGTCTTCCACTGTCAGCTAGAGTAGTATCCTAGACTTGCCATTATAAAAGGATACACAGTCGGGCCCATCCACCCATAATTTTAGTGATGAGGGGCAGTAACCATGCTGCATATTGTGTTTAGGTCATGACTTTGTGAAAACTACAAAGAGTGCTAGAAGAATATAGAAGCATGCTGCATATTGTGTTTAGGTCATGACTTTGTGAAAACTACAAAGAGTGCTAGAAGAATATAGAAACCTGGCCAGGTACACAGCAAAAAATGAAAACCAAGGTTACAGGCTAACCCATGCATAAAAATGAGAGCCTGTTGCTACCTAATTACAATTCCTTCTCCTTTTCCTTTGTAAATGCCCACAATTTGAAGGCAGAGAGAGACACCCACAAGAGCACAGCCCCACCATCGGGAACAAAAACTTGCTAACAAGTAATAACATTTAGATTTCTGAACTAAAAGCATAGTTTTTACCATATGGAAGGAAAAAAATGTAGTAGGAAACACTGACCACAATACTTAGTACAAGAGCCAGGCAACTACAAAGCTCAAGATCTGATTGTTTTCAGCGTCCAAATATACAGTGGATTTTAATGTATTTATAAACTTACTTTGTTAGTATAATGAAGAATCCCTGCATACCTACATTATTTTTTAAAGTGGATTGGGGAAAGTGATCATTCTGTAAGCAGGATATAGTGACTCCTTCTGGAAGAAAAAGAAAAAATAAAATTATTTTAGAAGAAACCTAAAATCTATGATAATGTATTTATTTGTTATATATGTTTACGTTCTAATTAAAGAATGGGTGAATGGATATTGAACAATTAAATCTGGATAGAAGTGAGAATATTTTAGAGCTTCTTTGTGCATCAGGATGTTGAAGGTTAGAGAAGATTCTTATTCTTCAGCAAAATGAGAAACAACTGGAAAAGGAAAGACCTGTAACTATCACTGGAAAAGAGTAGTAATGAATAACTGAAGAGACTGTTGTTGATTGATTTTATTACATACTTGTTGATTTAAAAGGAACTGCAAACATGTTAAAGTACCAATAGTAGCTATTTTCAACTCCATGCCATTTCTGAAAAGAACATTTAAAAATATAGAGAATATTCTGGAAATAAAAAGAACCCTTTTTTTACAGTGCTATTTTTAGCACTTTTAAGACATTTCTCTGTTTTCATTTTAGTTCTGAAATACAAGTCAATTTTGCATTTAAGATTATGAATAATAATAGACTAGATTTTGTTGATCATTGTGGGTTTTATTTTTATAATAGTGGGGAGAAAGCATTAGATATGAATCTATTTTAAACAAAACTGTTTTAGTATTCTGAAATTAAAATGAAGGTTTAATTTACTGATTAAATTATTGTAGCCAGAGTTCAAGTTTGTCTTAAATTTCATGGTGCCAAAGTTAGTATCATGGAATCTGGGAGTTGGAAGGGATGATAAAGTCATCTAGTAATAGGAACCATTTATCGAGTGTTTACTATTCTTTACTAAGTGCTTTCCATGGGTTATCTCATTTAATTCTCAAACCAGCTCAGAGAGGAAGACACTGTTACCCATTTTACAGGTAAAGTATTCAGGCTTAGAGAAATTAATTGACTTGACCAAGGATGACACATCTAATCCACATGAGGGAATAGAGTTCCAATAGATTTCAAAGCCATTGCTTTTTGAAGAGTTCTGCTGAGGTGGATGTTTGTTCCTCTGTAGACATCTACTCTTACGGGCTTTCCAACTCATTTTCCTTATTGCTTTTTTCACTGGATATAATGTTGATTTTTAAAATAAATGTGTTCATAGCTAAAAATTATCCTCTAAATGCTTTTACTGCATCCCACAAAATTTCATTCATAATTATTCTAAGTGTTTTATCATTTCCTTTATGATATTCTTTTTAACTTACATGCTACTTAGAAGCATTTTTTGTGTTTACGTTCTAGTTTTTATTTTAGTTTGTTTTGTTGTAGTTTCAAGAATTTTAAAACCTACTCTTTTATTATTGACTTCAGATTTTATTACTTTATAATGTAAGAGCACAGTGTATATTATTTTGATTCTTTGGACTTTGTTGAGACTTCCTTTGTAGCTGTAATGATCAGGTTTTGCTTATGTGCTATGTGTGCTTCAGAAACATTCATTGATTACACTCTTACTCTTTTTATTTTTATAAATAATACTCTTTAAATCTTTTATATTCCTAGATTTTCTTTTCTCTCCTGAGAGGACTGTGTGAAATCTCCAATTACAATTGTAGATATATTCATTTTTTTCCATGTTTTGTTTGTTTTGTTTTCAGGGTCATATTATTAGGTACTTAAAAAGAGCTCTAATTGATTAAAAAGACCCCCTCTTAATGAACTGAAATCCTATTCCTAGAACTTCCACTTATTAAGTTAGTTTCGCCTCTAAATCTATGACAGCACCCTCGATAGACTTTATTTTATTTATTTATTTATTTATTTGAGACGGAGTCTAGCTCTGTTGCCCAGGCTGGAGTGCAGTGGCATGACCTCAGCCCACTGCAACCTCCACCTCCTGGGTTCAAGCGATTCTCTTGCCTCAGCCTCCTGAGTAGCTGGGATTATAGGCGCATGCCACACGACTGGCTAATTTTTGTATTTTCAGTAAAGACAGGGTTTCATCATGTTGGTCAGGCTGGTCTCGAACTCCCGACCTCGTGATCCACCCGCCTCAGCCTCCCAAAGTGCAAGGATTACAGGCATGAGCCACCGCGCCCGGCCACTGGTAGACTTTATACTCAGTGAGTATAAAAAATGTTCATAAGCCAGTTTGAGATCCCCATTATTGTGAGTCAGGGGTAAGGCCTGATTTTAGTGTATAAATTATATTGTTTCACAGAGTAAATAACCTGAGCTTCTTACAATGTTTACTGAGGTATGTGAATTAATGATGCAGGGATTAGAGGTAAATGACCTCACTGATCAGGATAAATCTTAGGTGGAATCTTGCTGACAACTTTGGAGTAAAATGTGCATAATTTAGGGCTGCTTTACTTGGAGTGTTAGAAACCTATGTAGGTTCAGTCACTGGTACCCTAGCACCAATAATACATAGTATTCTAGCACCAATAGGACCCTAGTAGATTGAAAAAATTAATGGCTTAAAAACAGCAAGCCATTTGCTTCCTTCTCACTGATGGGGTTAGGCTTGTTAACTTTCTTCGTGTGTATTTTTTTAAAACTATGTAAGCTATGTGAACATATTTGGAGTTTTTAGTTCCTTTTTATTCTATGATATGAAGATAATGAAAATGATTCAATATAGTCTCTTTCCATAAATAAGTCTGTAAATAAACATATATGCATACATACATATATTCAAGCAAGCATTTTTCTCATTTTCTTTTTATTCTTCAGACAACTGCTTTGATCTTTGTTGTTAGCTAGAAGGTATATTTTTCTTTAATAAAGGCACATGACTCCTGTCAAAGCTAATGGAAGTTATGTATGTGTGTTTAGAGGCACATACTGTGGAAGAACATAAAAACTTATATCCATGTCTGTGTTTTTGGAGCCAAATAATGAATTCTACAGTAGAACACACACTTTCATGAACCTGGTGGATTTCTAAACAAGTTTGTGTTGGCTTTAGGTGAGTCCATCAGATTTCAGATCATTGGGAGAAATTAAGGACTTGGTGTTGAGTTTACTGTGATAAGGGTAAGTAAACTGTCACTCAGGATCACAGTGGCTTCCTTCATGAAGATAAATGTCTTATTAGATCTAAGAAATCATGTCGTTTATATAGTCTGGTATAAATCACAGATGAAGATGACAAACTGGGCTTCCAAGTTGACAGTAATTTATATTACTTAAACAAATGGTTACCAAGGATTATACATGTTTTCATGAAGAATTAAAAAACAGTAACAATTATCTGTCTATGAATGACCCGTTTTTCATTTTCAACCCAGCATTTTGGGCTGTTGGTGTGTGTTTAAACTCTAACTTTTCATCCAGTACCCAGTAAAGTGCTCTCACATGTGTTGATAGCTGGACATCTTCCATAATGCTTCTTTCACTAAAACAAACTCCTTGCGAATTTAACCCATACATTTGGGTTAAATTCTACATAAAATCATGGAATTTAAGAGCTGGAAGAGAGTTGGCAATAACCTAATCTAGTCTCTGTTTTAACAAAGAGAAAACTAAATTTTAAAGATGGTAAGTGGTCAGGCGCGGTGACTCATGCCTGTAATCCCAGAACTTTGAGAGGCCAAGGTGAGTGGATCACTTGAGGTCAGGAGTTCGAGACCAGCTTGGCCAACATGATGAAACCCCATCTCTACTAAAAATATGAAAAAATTAGCTTGGCGTGGTGGCGGGTGCCTGTAATCCCAGCTACTCAGGAGGCTGAGGCAGGAAAATCGCTTGAACCTGGGAGGCAGAGGTTGCAGTGAGCCAAGATTGTGCCACTGCACTCCAGCCTGGGTGACAAGAGTGAAACTCTGTCTGAAAAGAAAGAAAGAAAGAAAAAGAAAGAAAGGAAAGAAGGAAGGAAGAAAAGAAAGAAAGAAAGAAAAAGAAAGAAAGGAAGGAAGAAAAGAAAGAAAGAAGGAACTAAGTGAAGAAGGAAGGAAGGAAGGAAAGAAGGAACTAAGTGAAGAAAGAAGGAAGGAAGGTAGGAAGGAAGGAAGGAAGATACTAAGTGTCTCCATCCTACAACTAGCAAGTGATAGAACCAGTATCATACCCAAGACCACCTCTCTGAGAGTGACCTCTCCTGGCTTACACTGCATGCATTCCCTCACCTGCATGATCTCAGCATGCTTTTCAATGCAGCCTCCAAATGGCTTTGTAGAAGGTCTGATCTTGGCTCCTAGATGATTTCTTGCAAGTTTCAGTCAAGTTCTTCAGACACATGTGTCTCTCTTGCCTATATATGTTCTTACTATTTTCCTAGGATGATTTGGAAGTGGTATAGTTTATAAAGAATTTCAAAAAGGCTCCATAAATGCCAACAATTATAGTTATGAATAACGTGCATTAAGCCCCTGAATTGATTTGACATAGAACTAATTAATTATCTTTTTTGGCCTTTTTGTCCATGTTATAGATTTTAATACACTACTAATGAAGAGTTCATTATTGAATACCAATATTGAATGTCCTTATTCCATCACGAGTTTGGATGCTATGTAGAGGATATGAAAAAGGAATAAGATGTGATTCCTTAGTGAGCAAAGGAATCTTCCTGAATCTTCCTGCTTTGATAGTTTTTGTTTTTCTACTAGTCATAATTTATTTTGGCCTAACATAGAAGTCTGACTTTTCAAGTAAAAAAGAAAGGTTAATAACACTATTTAACACAATGCTGAACCACGTCTTAGTCTAGAATATTATGGCTTACTAGGGAAAGATTGTTGAATTCATAAACTATATTATACTTCTGCTCTAGGCTGCCTTTCTAACTTTGAGTGACAGCCTTTTTTATGTTGGGCCCTAAGTAGCTTAAATCCGGATACACTGGTCTAGCAGGAAAGAAAGATTATATGGAATGGATTCTCTGGCTTGTAAAAGATTGGGATTTAGAGAGGAATTGTTCCTTTATGGGAAGTTTTCACTTATAGAAGCCTTTTCCAATTTGCTGACCCATTTTGTTAGAATATAGCTTATATGGTATAGTATATTTTCACAGAATAATCTGAAAGATATACATTGTTGTCTTGGTTAATTTTATTATTATGTTGTCTCATTATAATACCCCAGATTTTATTTTAATCAACAAAACATAGGGTTAACTAGAATTACTAGCTCTTCTCTCTACAAGTGATCATTATCATCAATGAAAGACATTTGTGAATGCCCAAGAATACAGTTGAACCTAGAGATTGTCAGAGCTTAGGGGAAAAAAATTACTTTGAGTTATCTAATCTAGCCCTTCTAATGAATTCACATCATTCTTACTAATATCTCATTTAATTATCAAATATAGTGATTACGCTTTGGGTCCTCCCTTTGCCGGACATCTTTCCTGCCCAACTATTATTCCTAATTTATTCTTCATGTCTAACCTAAACTTTTCCTTCCTTAGTTTCAGGCCATTGCTCTTTTCTATACCATCTTCTGAGACTGAATAATTCCCCTAATTCATTTATATTGTTACCTTTAGAAAGTATTAAAGACTGAACATTTATCCCCAGAGTCTTCACTTTTCCAAACTACATAAATTTCAGTTCTCTTAATCCTTACCTCACTCTGCCCCTGTCATACTTCCAGTGCTTAGGTATTTTATCACACTGCTTGATATTTTCCATTCCAAGGGGATCACCTAACCAAGAGAGCTGCCCTATGGGGAGGGGAGTGCTCAAGAGTAAAATCTCATATAAACCACTAGAAGATGCCTAAGTGTTTATTAGATGTTGGTATTGGTGATCATCTGGAGAGCACACCAGTGTAGTGCTTGCTTTGGCATATGTTGGGATATATGTGTATTTTAATGCTTTAATGTATTATGGCCTGTTGTAATTGAATGTCTATAAAGTAGCAGTTAAGAGGGTTTTATAGACCTTGAAAGAGATCAGAATTCTCTAGCTCCCTCTCGTGGTAAAAGGAAATACTACTTTTGGGCTTTTCTGGATTTTTATTTTGTTTTGCTTTAGTGAAGAGGAAGGCTAAGATATGTAAGTTCTCAACATGTGAGCTTACGTAGTGAATTCAAAAATTAAAACTGTTATATGTATCTGTGCGTACGCATACGCATACTCAGATATGAGAAATTCCTGTTCTTTTATTAATTCCTTAAAACCTCAAAAATATTACTTTCTTAAAATCATTTCATATGTTCTTATTATTACACAAGTTAAAGGGAGGACAAATAAAACTATAATCTTGAGGGTTTGTATTCCTAAACAGATAAATAAAGGGAGTGTGTTAAATATGAATTTTAAGCCAAATTCACAGATATTTTTTTCTTTGCCAATTACAAATGGATGTGGTTAGCATTTCTAACATATTTAATCAGATCTCCTCTGTCTCCTACAACATATTAATTTTACCAGTTTTACAATTATTTTACAACTTATTATTGTAGCATTCCTTCTATGGTGGACACATTTCAGATATTGAAGTTCTAAGTAAGTAGCAAATAGCTGAAGAAGACACTGAACTGGTGTGCAAATGTCTTCATGTGAATTGCCTATGGAATAAATTTTTACAGGTAGCAAAAAATTATGTTTGTTTTCTAGGAGACTACTAAAAGTAACCCTTCTGCCTTGAAATAGTTGATCTCTAGACAAGAATCAATGAAAAGTTGCTATTAATGTGTCTTAGATGGCAATGCAAAAAGTGATTAAAATTAGACACTATCCCTTAGTTTGTTTTGTTTTGTTTTGTTTCAGGCTATTCAGAAACTTGAGTAATGGTTAAGGTAGATTGCCTTTATGCTCAAATCACATTCTGATGAAAATATGGGGTCCTATTTAGTTATTCTGGGAACTCTAGGAATAAATTTGAGACCATGATTTTTAATATTAAATATTGCCCTTTTTTCCTCAAAAGGGAGTACTGAATATTATACTAATTGAGGAATTGTAAGAGAAGAATGATATAGACATAGCAGAACAAAATGAAAAGGGGTCAGTCGCAGGTGAAGTGAGTGAGAATATACAATGATCAAATATTAATTAGGAAACTCATAATTTTGACTAATTTTTCTTCTTTCTCCCCAACTTTAAGAGATTATGATTATTTTTTTAAATAAGGAAATCAATTTACTTTTATTAAACTATGTGCTTCTCCCTTAAGATATGTGAATAAAATTTTAATCTCAGCTATTTATTAATATTAATTTTTAGTATTAACATTCCTATGAGCACCTGAAGACAAAATTTAACCAACCTACAGATCAAACATCTTAATAGCAAAACATTTATGGATCTACATAGGAATGATCTAATTTGTATGTATTTTTAAAAAATAATAATTTGATATAACATTTTTGAGATTTAACTATAATCAGGTTAGGCAATCTTACCTTGATTTCTTGATCTGTGTCAGATTTCTTAGATACCTGCTGGGCCTGATTTTTTTTTAATGTAAAGGCCGTGCTTTCATGAGACAGATAAAATTGTGGATTTTTATAAAAACTCTGGAACATTCTTATCTGAGTAGAGAAGCAGAAGATGGCCTTTAGTTATACCTGTGCTATTTACTACTATGCATATTTCAATTGCTTTGGTCACCAAAAAGTTGTGATTGTTCTTGGGTATACATTCTTTATTGTTTTTAAGTTACTTGATATATTTTCACAAAGCTCTCTGAAGGGATCTGTCTTTACTTGGCTATTGGGAAAAGGTTCATTCTAGAATACTTATTTTTAAAACAGAATTTATTAATTAGCTTAATATTTTGTGCTCTTTCTTTTAGCACTATTAGGGAAATTACAATGACTAATTTTTTTGAATATTAAAGTTGATAACAGTATAATATAGAAATTGTTTGCAGAAGTTTAACTTGTGTAGCTATAAGAAGGTGTCAGGGTCTCTTGGGGTATCAGAATATTTGTCAAAGTGTAGGATAGAAGGGAATTTCCTAGGAAACTGCATCTGAGTACCTGTTAAGTATCTTATTTTAAATATAACTTTTTTATCATATAATTGAAACTGAAAGTAAGGCAGTTTACTTCTACCTTCTTTGCTTTCTAGCTCTGTGTGTGCAAATGCTTTCATCTATAAAGCAAACATCTGCCTTAATTTTCCTAGGAAACATCAGGATGATTCAAGGAGCTCTTCATGTGGAATCTATTACATGTTTGCTTTCTCAAAAATAGCAAATTTACTTAAATTTGACAGTATTAGTATTTTAAATGTTTTCCCCCTAATTTGGATTCATTAAAATTCCCTATTTGTTTGGGATGAGATACATTAGAAGGAGCTAAACAGGGAAAACTTTTTACTGCTTTCATATTTGTTCCATGGATAAAATTTTAAATTTTAATGTAATTCCCTAACTCTAAATATATTAATTTGGTTAGATATGTTTCATTCAGTGTTAAGAGGCAATATATATGGCTTGTCTTACCAGCAGAAAAACATTTTCCAGCAATATAAAACGTCTCAGCTTTGTCTAATTGAGATAAAAAGGTATATGAAAGAATAATGACTTTGCCTATCAGATGCAAAGAAATTTAGGACAAATGGTGGAAAAGTTCCTATCAATTCCAGTGCAGTTAGGAAGGCTAGGTTACTCCACTAACTAGATCTGGCAAAAATAAATGAGGACTAACTTGTGAAGGCACATAAATCATAAGCTTTCAGAGCGTTTACATTTTTATTTAATGCTGGCCTTCTGTCAGCCTTTTTGTTGCTTCTTACATACTTATGTTATTTCTTACATTATTACATTTTGTTGTTTCTTTTTGTTTTTAAGAAGTTATTTAAGGCAAACAGCTGAAATTGCACAAGTGGTGATTTGGTTAATTCTGCCAGTTGAGTAAGTAATTGTGACACATTTCATAGTTTGCTTATGATTGTTACAGGGTGAGATACTGTATATTGAAATTATGGCTGTTACAGTATGAATCACTGTACAGAACATTGCAGAGGTCCTGGTCTGGCAATGCAGAAGCCACAACCTAGGTAAAAGGTTTCACAACTTTAAGTTTACTTTTCCTATCTAGAATAGGCAAAAATTGAATTCTGTCCGATTTAGTTATAATGTTCTTTAAACTCTTACCCATGTTATCACTCATAATAATTCTAACATATTATATTTTTCAGTCCAAGTGATATAAGACCATGCTGGGTATGATTTTCAATATATGGCAAAAGTGTGAAATTAAGGAAAGATTTCTATGAAATTTTTTGCACACTCTGCTAAATGAATTATTGAAATTCCAATAAAGAATTTTTTTAAAACCCTAAAAAGTAGTGTGGGTTTTATTTTTCCCTCAATTCTTTCAGCGCTCATAAATGTCTCCATGAAAGCTATATCTGCAGAGTTAGAAAAGGATATATTCTATAATATTTACCTGATCAGGAAGATTTTTAAAATGTGGCATCTTGATATGAGGTATTGACTGAGGTGGGCTGGCAAGTTTTACTGGCCTGGCAGATGCAGCAGGTTTGCAGTAAATCCTTGTGGTTAAAAATCCCTGAGAAGTTTTTGATTAAGAAACTTTTACTATCCTTTTAAAATGAAATATGCTCGTCATTTTTTAAATGATAAAAGCAGATATTTTATGTTATCGTCTAAAGTTTAGTTTCTGAAATATATTTTAATAAGTTTGTTATATGCAAGTTCCTGGATTTCCAAGATGTTAACTTAAATTATCATTTCATAGTCCAGCATATCCAGAGAGCATGTAAAAAGAAATTATAAAAAGTAAGCCTATTCAACAAAAATAATAAAATTTTATATTTTAAATCAGAAAACCTGCATACAGAGAAGTTAATATGATTATTCTTGTATAAATGTTATCGAGTTATTTAAAGCTGTAATAATATAATAAACTATGCTGAAAGGTAAAATTAAAGAAAATGTATTTTAAAACAAGAATGTAATTATTTTTTAAAAGTGCTTTTAAAAAACAAACTAAAATCATGAGGTAGTTTTTAAAAAGGCATTACAAGTTACTTTTCTACTTAGAATCAGTAAGGACAATGATTAATTTACAACATAATGTGAAGAGAGTGACAAAATTTTATTGGGAAGGTATGTTAAGAAATAATATTTTGTATAAAAATTCACAATTAAAGTTTATAATTTATTGAGAATTAAATTTTGAAGATGATGCCTAGCCCTTTAAAAAGTCAGATGTTCAATGAACATATTTTCTCCTTCCTTAGATGCTTTATTAACTAGCTTATTACTAAAAAAGCCATATATGGCCTTTCTTCTTAAATTTTGCATGAAAGCTAGTATTTTGCATGAAAACTAGATTTTTTAAAAGCCTTATATGATTATCTTTTTTTTTTTTTCCTTGAGACGGAGTTTCGCTCTTTTTACCAGGCTGGAGTACAATGGCGCGATCTCAGATCACAGCAACCTCCGCCTCCCGGGTTCAAGCGGTTCTCCTGCCTCAGCCTTTTGAGTAGCTGAGATTACAGGCATGCGCCACCACGCCCGGCTAATTTTGTATTTTTAGTAGAGACGGGATATCTCCATGTTGGTCAGGCTGGTCTCCAACTCCCGACCTCAGGTGATCCGCCCACCTTGGCCTCCCAAAGTGCTGTGATTACAGGTGTGAGCCACCACGCCCAGCCTATGTGATTATCTTTAAACTTTTTGATTTAATGAGGTAAGAGCCTAAGAGCAGAGGTTAAAAGAGATGTATGTTTCAAATTAATTCCTGGTTGCTATAGAAGAATGTGTCTATATATTCTGCCAAATTAAACTTATTTTTTTTTAAAAAATCCACATCATATTAACAAAAACTGCTCCCTTAACTCACTAAGATTCTGTGTTCTATTCCACAATTTCAAAAGAAGTAGCTAAAACAATCGGCATCATTCTTCACCTAGATAATGCTTTCTCTGCAGCTAATAGCCCCTTGTTCATCAAGGAAACGAATGTGCACGGAGGTGACATGTTCTTCACCCACTGCTCTTTGTTCTAGGGTCCCTCAGACTGATTATATCAGCCTCAGCACTGATAAATATCCCCCCAAACTTTAACACTATGTTAAATTGAGTTATGAGGTTTTAAGGTTACACTCCTCTGGCTGAAGGTTGATTGTCTCTGAGAGATAAAGGAATCATGCTCAACGATAACAGAATCCTTGCCATGGGATAATCCTGGTTATTGAACTCATAGCTCTCTTTACTTGGTTACTTGGTCACTCTTTGTTTTTTTTTTTCCGCCCCCTGGGGAAAAACTGGCTACTAAATTTGTGATTCGCCACTCTTCACCCACACCCCCAAAGATATTTTAGCAGGACCCACAACACTATAGCAGTTGAAAGAACGAGACAACTCAAGCAAATAAAACAGCTTCTTGAAATGTGCTGTCACTTAGGGTGTGCCAACTGCCAGAAGCAAGAGGGACACAATTCTTATTTGCCCTTCTGGCAGCATGAATGAAGAGGGCGGGTTGCAGAATGCTTCCCTTCTCCTTCCCCCAGCCTTCCAATGTCTCATGCATATGTTTAACCTCTGGTGGTTTGTTTGGTTTTGGTTTTTCTTTTTAGAGTTGTGACTTGGATTATGCTCTGATGGCAGAAATTTTAGACTTGCTGTCCAGGCAAAATTTTAAGCTGCAACCTTTGTTGGTGACAGTGATAGTAGCAGTCCTTTATGCCAATCTGCAGTTCCAATCCACATACCACTCCATAAATGTCTTTATAATAGTAAAAACTCCCAAATAATGGTAAATTAAAGGCTTTCTGATGAATTGTGAATACTCAATTTTTTCCCCTCTCATATAAAATTTTTAAAACTTTTAAATTAAAAAAATAATTAACTGGAATCGATAATACCATAGAGAAAAACTTAAGTTTACCTGCATTCTAGGAGTACAAGAGAAAGCCCTGTACAGGGAGAAGTGTTTAAACAAAAGCATAAATACTACCATCCTGCAAAAGATTTATTAGCCTGGCCTTCATTACCAACAACAGCAACCACTTACTTAGCACATAACTATGCTGAATGCATGGCACTCTATAAGGTGAATTAATAGTACCTGCTTTCTATAATAAATTTATTGAATGCCTACCACATGCCAGACATAGTATTTACACACATTACCTCTAATCATCATTACTACTGTGCATTGTAGGTATTATCATTTCCTTATCACAGATGAAGAAATTCGAGTATCAGAAAAATTAACCTGCCCAAGTTCCTCCACTAATAAGGGGGCAGAGGCAGGATTTGATCAAGTCTCTGTAGTTCCAAAACCCATATTATTTCTAGTATGCCACACTGCCTCACAGAAAAGGAAGTAGCATTGATTGTTTTTTGTTTTTTTGTTTTTTTTAGACAAAGTCTCTCTCTTGTCCCCCAGGCTGGAGTGCAATGGCCCGATCTCGGCTCACTGCAACCTCCGCCTCCCGGGTTCAAGCGATTCTCCTGCCTCAGCCTCCCAAGTAGCTGGGATTACAGGCGCCTGCCGCCACGCCCGGCTAATTTTTGTATTTTTTTAGTAGAGACAGGGTTTCACCATGTTGGCCAGGCTGATCTCGAACTCCTGACTTCAAGTGATCCTCCCGCCTTGGCCTCCCAAAGTTCTGGGATTATAGGCGTGAGCCACCGCGCCCAGCCACGTTGATTGTTACTCCTCCAGATTTTTGTGTGCCCTGGTAAAAGGAAAACAGAGACTCCGGAGTTACTTTAAAAAGCAGTAGCACATTAATAATGGCTACCATGAATTGAGCACCTACTCTGGCAGGCATTGTGCTAGGCACTTATATAATTTCTTATAGTTATCTTTTAAGTCCAGTATTAAAAAAGACAAAGGGCATCTAATTTCAAAATTCATACCTTTCCCACTACACCACATTGTCTTCCACTATTGTAGAGAAAAGGGGGCTCTAGCACTGTCCAATAGAACTTTCTGTAGTGATGCAAATGGTCTATAATATTTGCATTTTCTAGTAGAGCAGTCACTAACATTTGTAACTATTGAGCACTTGAAATGTGGCTGGAAGACTAAGAAACTATTTAAAATGTAATTTTTTAGTTAATTTAAATATACCCTTAAATAGCCATATGTAGCAAGTGGCTACCAAATTGAAGACCACAGCTCTAGAAAAATGACTTCCAAACTAAATAGTCAAGAGTACCTGAAAATAGTATTTCAGAAATTTCTTTAAAAACAGATGGAATGGAAGTTTGGTGGGCGAGGGAAAGTAGAAAGGAAGGCTCAGATATAGGCTGGTTGAGGAGAAGGTCAGAGGGGCAAGGTAGGTGAGTAGGCAGGAGAGCCCTCAAATAAATTTATGTGAGAAGCCCAGAGAAAACAGGATGTGGAGTGGAAGAAAGGAAGTGACCTGGCAAAGTGCTTTGAAGAAGAGCATTAGCATCCATAGTTAATGGATTTGCACAGATTGAAAGGTAAATAAAAATCAGCACTTTTTTTTTTCAGTATTCACCCACTGTAAATCATTACTTGACATTTTGATTGGTGGCTTTGGAGTAAGTTGTTTAAATGGTACTGAGATGTTTGTGTAGGACAGAAACTTACACTGCTATCATCCTATAGAAATCACAGAGCTCCTGGGTCATAAGGCTGTAAGTTTCCTCAGTACGGGGGTATCATTTATTCCTTCACAAGTATTCATTAAGTCATATAGGCCCTCTTGTTTCAAGTCAGTGTCATATCTAATCTTTCTCAAGAGATAGATTTTTCCAACACATTAAAATATTTTTTCATTATAAAAGTATTTAAGCCCCTGATAATAAGTAATGCTGTCACGAATTTGTACACTTTATAGCACTTTACACTTTAAAAACCTTGTTCAAATGCATCACCACATTTAACCCTCACAGCAGTCTCATGAGGCGAGTAGTATCCTTGTTTGATAGGTGAGGAAACCGAGCATGAGATTCATCTGGGATCACACATCTCACATGTAGCAGAGATGGAACCCAGATGAAAGCCAGACAGTTGCAGAGTATGGGTTCTCTGATCTCACTCTTGCCATTGTTGTTTCTCAGTATTCAACTCTTTGTGGTGATAATTATGGACATCGCAGTGAGCTGTAACACTTTCGTGCATGAGTATCCATTTTTCTGATTAAGAAACAGAGGCACGGCGGGGCACAGTGGTTCATACTTATAATCCCAGCACTTTGGGAGGCCAAGACGGGCAGCTCACTTGAGCTCAGGAGTTTGAGACCAGCCTGGGCAACATGGCAAAACCCCGTCTCTGAAAATAATGAAGAAAAAAATATTAGCCAGGTGTGGTGGCACGCACCTGTAGTCCCAGCTACTTGGGAGGCTGAGGGAGGACGGCTTGAGCCCAGGAGGTTGAGGCTGCAGTGAGCCAAGATTGCACCACTGTGCTCCAGTCTGGGTGTTAAGAGTGAGACCTTAGAATAACATGTTGAATTGCCTTCCTAGTAGGCAATTAGCAAAATGCAGACAGTGGGAAACTCCAGAGTCAAATATTCCTGTACTTAAATGGATAAATTATAAGGAAAAGAAAGGGATGAAGGGCAACATGTAGATTAAAAGAGATTTTAAAAACATAATAAAATGTCTTACATGGGCAAGAATTTTTTCAAAAGAAAAGAGAAATTAAAGTGCAGATGTATTGGAACCCTGGTCTGAAAACCGTGATTTATTTTCTGCTCTATCACTTAGTCTCGAACTTTATACCTTTCTGTAGCGAAACTGACAGAATGTTCCATTAGCTTAATATTCAGTGATCACTTTGGAAAATACATATTTAAAATTTTTAAAAATAAATAGCAGTTGTTGCTCTTTAGTGTGTTGATCCTAGTGTCCCTTCTGAATGACCATAAACCTTTTGCCTACGCAATTTTCTTATTATGCTGGGCACGGTGGCTCACGCCTGTAATCCCAGTACTTTGGGAGGCCGAGGCGGACAGATCACCTGATATCAGGAGTTTGAGACCAGCCTGGCCAACATGGCAAAACCCCGTCTCTACTAAAAATACAAAAATTAGCAAGGCATGGTGGCGCACGCCTATAGTCCCAGCTACTTGGGAGGCTGAGGCATGAGAATCACTTGAAGTGGGAGACAGAGGTTGCAGTGAGCCAAGGTCACGCCACTGCACTCCAGCCTGGGGGACATAGCAAGACTCCATCTCAAAAAAAAAAAAAAAAAAAAGAAAGAAAGAAATTTCTTGTCACACACCTTGTGGTCGACACTTAAAATGGCTCTTTAGGAAGAAAGCATTTTAGATTGGAGAGCTTTATAATAAATTCCCAGTATTCTGTAAATCTTGATAATACTCAAGTTTAAAGTTCTGTGGTCATCAGAATGGGGAATAATCTAGAAAAACCAGTGGGGGGATTATTAGATATGTATTAATGTCCTGCTCTGAATTCTGATCCACAATCAACCTAGGAATAAAAACAAACATTTAAGACAGTTTTCAAACATAAAAGGAAAGCACTTATAAGGTGAGCTATAATGTCCAAGTGTTTGAATTTGATCTAGATAAGCCATTCAAAACGAAATCACTTCTTCACTTACAGGGATGCTGAGTTTGCAGAAAAAAGTGTTCCAATGACAGACAACCTTGTACATGCTATTTCCAATCAATTCTGAAGCACCAGAAGATTGAGGCGCCTGAGCCATTTGACCTATAGAGCTTCCCACAAGCTCTATAGTTTCTTTTGTTTTTATCATCTCTATTTCTGTAGCTTTGAAACAAATGAACTTATCATGATTTTAAGAATAATATGAGGCAGGAAGATTTTGACAGAAGTTTTAATTAGTCTGGCCCATACTAAAACAAACAAATGCATTTCCCCCATTTATGGAGACAGTTCTGGCAAAGAGCAGGATGTATGTACAAGGATGTTCATTACCAGATTGTTTATAATAAAGGTCAAATTATTTATGCTTTACACCCCTGGAAGGATTACAAAGTGTTATAACATTAATATAACATAACTATTTTTAAATTTCCCTATATTCTACTTGGTTATAACTTGTAGATTTACGTTGTTTGCACACAAAGATAATGATGATGATGTGTGTGTACATTTTTGACAATACAAAGTGTGTTTGTGTGAATTAATGAACAGTTTTCCCTTTAAAATGAAAGCTACTTATAGTATGAAGACTTTTGCTTGTAAATATCTGGTAGAGCACTTTTGTCATGGATTCTGAAATAGAAGAAGGTCAAAGTCTGGAAAGATATACATTGTTTTCCCTTCCATAAAGATTACTCTACTAATGAATGCTTCTCTCTAGATTGTACTTTGGTAATCCCGGACACTTCCTATTTTTATTTAACACCTATGGATTCTTGTACAGCACATTATATCTAGAATTGAAATCCAAAAGAAAATAAGTATAAACTAACTGTCTGACATTAGATACTTTATTAAATAAATCTTGAAAATCTAAAATTTTTTAAAAGAAATTGAAATCCATAAACCAGCTTGGAGCATTTTCTTTAGGAAAACAGGGAGTTCTGACACTAATCTGCACCTTCATCCAACATTTATTGTGCCTGTTGTGTGTCAGACATAGCCAGGCACTGGGACTACAGCAGTGAATAAAACATGACCCTTACCTCCAAAAACAGGCACACAGTCTAGTTGGAAAGATAATATTCGAACAGTAATTTGACTACAGAGTAGTAAGCACCAAAAATGAGGAGCATAAATGGTCATATGAGAGCATAGTGGAAGGAGCAGTAACTACACTTGGAAAGAAAACTGGAGATGAGGGAAAGCCTCTCTGAAGAAAAGATATTTAATTATGTCTTTTTTTTTTTTTTTTTTTTTTTTTTTTGAGACGGAGTCTCACTCTGTCGCCCAGGCTGCAGTGCAGTGGCCTGCTCTCCGCTCACTGCAAGCTCCGCCTCCCGGGTTCACGCCATTCTCCTGCCTCAGCCTCCCGAGTAGCTGGGACTACAGGCGCCCGCCACCTTGCCTGGCTAATTTTTTGTATTTGTTAGTAGAGACGGGGTTTCACCGTGTTAGCCAGGATGGTCTCGATCTCCTGACCTCGTGATCCGCCCGCCTCGGCCTCCCAAAGTGCTGGGATTACAGGCATGAGCCACCGCGCCTGGCAATGATATTTAATTATGTCTTAAAAGAGCAATAGAAATGTATCAGGCTGACCATGGTTGGGTGGCAGTAGGTGAAAATACTCACTGTTTGGTAAAAGTATAGGGAGTGACCACACGCTGCAGGTGGGTAAATAGTTTGGTATAGTCGAAATTGGGCAAAATGTAACAAAAACCTTAAATGTAAATGCCCTTTGGACTTACCAGTTCAACTTTTAGGAATGTAATTCAAGAAAATAAGTATACACAATAACATTTAATAATGTTCATTGTAGATGTTTACAAAAATTGGAAACAGGAGAAATACCTGAGCTACTACCATGCAACAGAATATGTGCAACCACTAAAAGTGGTGTTTGTAGAATAATATTTATATAATGACTATGGAAAGATGTTAATTGTTAAGTGAAAAAATTAGGTTATAAGACAGTACATACAGTGAGCTCCCACTTTTTGAAGCTTATGTATATGTGTGCAAAGAAAAAAGACTATAATTCTCTTCACCAAAACATGTATAATTTTTATAATTAAAAATAAGCAATGAAAGTTACTTTTCAGAAAGCTTGGAAATAATATAGTTCCTGGAACATCAAGTAATTAGAAACAACCTAAATGTCTAATTACATGGGATTGGTTTAATAAATTATAGTACATCCATGTGATGGAATGCAGTGCAGCCATTAAAAATCATGTTGTCAGTAGAAGAGTCATATTATCATAGGAAAATGTTCATGATATATTAAAGGGAAAAGGCAGGATACAAAACATATGGAAAGGACATATACCAAAATGTTACCAGTGGGTTTTTCTGTGTTATAAGATTATGGGTTGCTTTTTTTTCCCCTTTGTGCTTTTCTATATTTTCTAAGTTTGCTGTTTGAACATGTTACTTTTTAAAATGAAAGGTCATTGGTTGTTTTTGTTTTTTCAAATAAGCATGCTAGAAGTTGTGACATTAAATAAGTGTTGAGTGTTAACAGCTCAGAATACATGAGAATCCACAATAACATGAGAATGTGTGAGGAGCAAACAGCAAAACAGCAGCATGTGTTTGTAAAGGTCAGAGTGTCCCTTAGAATATGCCAACCAGACCTGGGAAGACTCCCTGATCTGTCCCTGGAGCAGTGTTAGGAACAGTAGCCAGCCTCAACACTGTGGCCTATTTGGAACCTGACCCCACTCAGCATCGTTCCTCTTGTCCCTCTTTTTTGTCCAGGCCTTCCTATGTATCTCCCTCTTCGTTATGTTCTTTTTTGAAGGTAATGCTAATGTCTGATTCAACTTTGTGTTCTCACTCTTCCAGCCTCTAGGATCTGGCATGGTACTTTTCACATAGAAATGCTCAACAAATGCATTTATTCTTAGTATAATGCATATTATTACTAGTAAATACTTGTTAAATAAATTTGAAAATAACTAAATTTAAAGCTAAAGGTCACAATGCTTTCTATCATAATGCCTTGGATTTTGTGCCCTGTTTGCCCAGGGCAGCCCATTTAACTAACATTTTCAAGGATAACTTTCTAATGATCTAAGTGAGAAATTTTTATTTGGTTTTAATTGTTGAGTTTCCATAATCCATTAAATATAATTTGGACTCTGTGAATAAAATTTCTTGTATATTTTCCCAGTACTAAAAATACATTAGCTATGCTGGAGCTCATCTGCCATTTCTCTTTCTGGTGATTGATACACTCTTCTGAGGTTTTACTGCAATTTGTCCACATTAACTTGGCTTCTTTTTCTCTTGCTTTTTTTTTTTTTACTGTTGTCTGAAAACTTAACTATTTCCCTCTTCCAAGTTGTAACATGCTCTGCTAATTGTCTACCAGCGTTCATTCTACCTTATTTCTTTTTCTTTTTTGTTTTTGTTTTTGAGACAGAGTCTCACTCTGTTGCCCAGGCTAGAGTGCTTTGGTGTGATCTTGGCTCACTGCAACCTCTGCCTCCTGGGTTCAAGCAATTCTCCTGCCTTAGCCTCCTGGGTAGCTGGGATTACAGGTGCATGCCACCACGCCTGGCTAATTTTTGTATTTTTAGTAGAGACGGGTTTTCACCATGTTGGCCAGGCTGGTCTCAAACTCCTGACCTCAGGTGATCTGCTCGCCTTGGCCTCCCAACGTGCTGGGATTACAGGCGTGAGCCGCCACGCCCAGCCATTCTACCATATTTCTTACTTATAGAACCCTTATTTCACAGGGGCTATGTGCCCAGCTGAAAAGTGCAGAGGGCAGGTTTTTCTAATAAGGACATGAGACACAGTTCTGACATCAAGGTGTAAAGTGAAGTCACTAGAAGAACTGTCTCTCCAAAATAAGAAAGTTGAGAAAGCCCTTTGCCCTTCCTGTCTTCACCTTTGCTTTTGTTCTGTCACCTTCCTCCTGCCTGGAATATAGACTTGCCGCCTATAGATACAGCAGCCACTTGCTCAGAGATATTATGTCTTACCCATGGCAACAATCAATAAGTAGCAAAGCTAGAAGAACATAAATATCCAGCCCACTCTTTCCGTTATACCTTGAGTGTAACTGTCAATGAACTTCCCTTTATTGTAGATTCTAGTAATTTTCCCACCCCCAAATGAACCACATATCAAATGAAATGGGTCTAAATATATATGCATACACAAATATGCAGAATACAATTCAGCAAACATTTCAGTCTCTTCCTGTGCAAGCTCTGTGCTAAGAAATAAAGAGGAGAGCAAGACTATCCCTGCCCTCTGGTGGCTTATAAATAGATTTATGTGCAAAAGTAATGAAGGTAGAATATGCTAATTTTATAATGTAGCAAGAGAACAAAGTAATGTAAAATCCATCTTGAATGGGAAATTCTACAAAAACTTTAAGTTGGTAGTAGGCTTTGAAGTACAGTCAGCAGTTAAAAATAAGGAAAGATAATGCCAGGCAGATAATGAACTATAAGCAAAGATATGAAAGGAGACATTCAAAGGGGTTTCTTGGGTAGAATTCAGTAGTAGGCTATGGCTAGACCATAGGCTGCACAGGTAGGAACAGGAGAAGATAAAACTGGAAAAATAATTTGGGTATGGATTGTGAAGATTATGTTCAACCTTTATTTTGAAGGTGATAGGCAGCTGTGAAGTATTTTTTAAAAAATCACAGATTGACTTAGTCAGGTTCATATTTTGGGAGGAAAGGGTGATTAGAGAGAAGATTAGGAGATGCTTGCCATGGTGTTGGTGAGCAGTGCTGAGGACCTTTCAATGTCAGTGGACCTTTCAATGGAGAGATGGACTGGAGAGACCATTTAACCTTTAAAAATAATGAAACAGGCCGAGCGCGGTGGCTCACGCCTGTAATCCCAGCACTTTGGGAGGCCGAGGCTGGCGGATCACAAGGTCAGGAGATCGAGACGATCCTGGCTAACACGGTGAAACCCCATCTCTACTAAAAATACAAAAAAATTAGCCGGGCGTGGCGGCAGGCGCCTGTAGTCCCAGCTACTTGGGAGGCTGAGGCAGGAGGATGGTGTGAACCCGGAAGACGGAGCTTGCAGTGAGCCAAGATTGCGCCACTGCACTCCAGCCTGGGTGACAGAGCGAGACTCTATCTTAATAATAATAATAATAATAATAATAATAATAATAATAATAATAATAATGAGACAGAAGGATGAGCTGGATAGAAAAGATCATTGTGGAATATTGTTCCTGAAAATCTTTTAAAATAGGGTGGCTAACTATCTCTCTATCTTGAACAAGTTACATATTTATATCTAGAGAGGTAGGGAATTGGCCCAAATGATTTCTTGAGGGGTCATTCTTTGCTTTTGGGTAATTAGAAAACATATACAAATGGGTAGTTCCTTCTATACTCCAGTGAGATTCTTGGTTAGCTGAGTGTTGCTTGTTTCTCTCCATTCTGTTGGAGACTGCTAGCCATGTTACTGATTAGTATCACATCCTCTAAAAAATGTTGGAGAAATTCTGGGACCTCACATGCTAAGGGTGCTCATTATCTGGATGCCTGTCATTGGCTTGGCTGGCCTAGGCCTGGAAGCATAGATTTCCACCAGAAACAGAAAGAATTTGACGTGTAATGTATTCAATAATCACAGCCTTCTGCTGCTCCTTGCCCAGCATAACAGTTAAATGAGAGTTTTGAAGTATCTAGGAATTTTATTCATTATTGTTCTTTTAATTACCACTATTACTGATAGTAAGAAATGCTTTTTCTTTAAAAAAAAAAATTGGTGGAGGTAGAGATGGGATCTCACTGTGCTGCCCAGGCTGGTCTCAAACTCCTAGGCTCAAGCAATCCTTCTGCCTCGGCTCCCAAAGCATTGGAATTACAGGTGTGAGCCACCACACCCAGCCAAGAAATCCTCTCTCTTTTGATAAAAACTTGTATGATTTTTTTCTCTCTGATTGCGTTTTCTTTGCCTTAGTAAGATTTTTAAGAGAAACTTACTTTCTTTTTTATATTGCAGTAACCATTAGTATTTTTAGGAGTTATAAAGTTCAGGCCAAATAATTTACTTTTATTTAACATTTATAAGTGTGCTGGGCACTATGAGTTTCTACTATGTTATAGGTTTTTATAGCAACTTATTTCCAGGAGAGTAAAGAAAAAATTTACTTTTGAAAGACATCCTTGTCTAGAAGTATCAGTTTAATCTTAAGATAATATTACTGATTTATTATACCTCTCAGAATAGACTTAGGGGCTTTTTAAGGTGTACAGAGAACCAATAAGATCACTTAATTAATACTTAAGGCTGAGTTTTTCCTGATGACATGTTCTTGAATTGTTACTCTGTTATTTGTGGTTCATGAGAGACTGTTTCTTGGTAATAATAGATATCATCAATAGGAAACTCATCCTTTTTTCCTTTTAGCTTCATTTTTATTCCTGGGTTATCTTGCATGCCTTTGGATCTCTTGCCTCATGAAATATCCTGGTAATTTTGTTTTCAGGGTTTTTTTAACCTTTGGATTACTAAAAGACTATGAGATTATTTGTCCATTTAATAGATGGTTATCATATTGGTTATCACATAAGGGATATTTTAGATACTTGGTCATAAGCTTTCTTATCAAGCCTTCAAAATTTTTATTAAAAGAGAGGAATTCATTTATTTGTTTGTTTGTTCGTTTGTTTGTTTTTTGAGACACGGTCTCACTCTGTCACCCAGGCTGGAATGCAGTGGTGTGATCACTGCTCACTGCAGCCTCAACCTCCCAGGCTCAGGTGATCCTCCCACCTCAGCCTCTTCTGTAGCAGGGACTACAGGCCCATACCACTACACCCAGCTAATTTTTGTATTTTTTGAAGAAATGGGGTTTCACCATGTTGCCCAGACTGGTCTCAAACTGGGCTCCAGTGATCCACCCACCTTGGCCTCCCAAGGTGCTGGGATTACAGGTGTGTGCCACCACACCTGGCCCAGAATTTTAAAATTACTGGTCCAGTCAAGCTATGGAGCAACATCATTGACTACCATGATCTACTGCTGTTTCTTATGTCCAGAATACTCTGATGGAGAAAATAATTGATTTCTCCAAGTTTGTCATTATGTTCCCAGTTGAAAAAGTCTTCTCCAATTCTTTCTTTCTTTTTAAAACTAGAGACAGGGTTCTCTGTGTTGCCCAGGCTGGTCCCAATCCCTATTCTTTTACATTAATTTAAATGTCATGCTAGAGGCTCTAATTAAATTGTCTACTCCAGGACTATAGAAAGGGTGTGGCAGGTGAAGATTGTCCCAAAAAGGATTCCTCTGGAGATGAGAAGACCTTGGGATTTATGGCTGAAGTGCTTCTGCAATGTACCTTTAAATCTGTAGGGGACTAGAAACAACTGAGATCCAGCTCCAGTTTCATACTCCTGATCAATTCCTTTTGCCATTCCAGTCTATTTCTTCTGTTTTGTTCACTCTCTCAGAAAACCATCCTCATAAAGCCCAAAACCTCATGTATTCAAAAGTTATTCTTACTGTTATGTGTACTTCTTTAAAGGTTCATTTCTCCTTTTTGTTTCCACTTCAAGAAGGTTATTTACATTAAGTTGGGAATTCTCGAGCCTTTGAATAAACTGAAGCTAATAATAGAAATATTAATTTTTAAGAAAGCAAATATTGTTTTTCCCTGAAGCAAGGTCTTGCTCTGTCTTGCCCAGGCTAAACAGTGGTGCAATCATGACTCACTGCAGCCTCAACCTCCCATGCTCCAAGCGATCCTCCCACCTCAGCCTCCAGACTAGCTGGGACTATAGGCACATGCCATGCCTGGCTAATTTTTAATTTTTTTTGTAGAAATGAAGTCTCACTATGTTGCCCAGGCTGGTCTTGAACTCCTGGCCTCAAGCAGTCTTCCTGCCGTGGCCTCCCAAAGTGCTGGAATTACAGATGTGAGCCACCATGCCCAGTCACAGAAAGCAAAGATTTTTAAAAGGACAGTTACAAATACAAATACAACCATTTGTATTATCCCTACATTATTCCAAACACATGAGAGCCTAATTGTGACGGTGATGACAGCAAATTGTGTAAGTAGCTTAGTGTGTCAGAAAAGCCAAGTGAATGAAAATATCAGTCTTGATGTAATTATAAGTGGGACCTCTTAAGTGGGCCACCCAGCGTGAAATCAAAGTGAGCCAGCCTCCTGCTTTGGGTATAAGATAATTGCCCTCTGAGGTCAAAAAGAAATGATGTTCTTGATATAGTATTGCACCATTAGGTGTATTATTGAATTTGGGTTGGTGAGAGTAGAGCTTTTCTCTGAAACATCTGTTTGCTGTCAGGGCAGCATGGCAAAAGGGATGGACCAGTGGTCTGTTTCAACATGGCAATTCTTGCAAAAGAATGTAGAAATATGAATGTCTTCCTAGGGGCTTATGGGCTTATGAATTATGGTGCTTTACATGAAATCTAAAAATCAGTGGTATTGTTCATGTGTCATAATGAAAGTTTATTTGCGCTTTTCTGGTGTCATTAAGTCTTTTTACAGTATTACACTTTCTAAATCTTTTCATTTTATTGATACTTCTGTTTTGCATTATTTTTCTCTCATACCTGTTGATTGCATTTTTTTCTTGATTTAACTCCATTTTATTTTATTCTTGAAGTACTTCAGTTTCTACCTCTACCCTTTGATTGCTTCTCTGTTTTTGCTGATTTTTGTATGATGCCTTCTAACTTAATGTCTCATGAGAGTTTAATATTTGTTCTAGTTTCAGCCATTGATAAGCATAAAACACATATCCATCCTGAAAAACTCAACTAGATTCTTATTTGAATTATTTCAGACCTCGAAGTGACCTGAAGTTACTTCAGTTCCTTTTGTTTACAGATAAAGATACTAAGATGTAGAAATGTTAAGCAACTTGCCTATTATCATTTGTTTTCAAGTTTTATTTAACTTTTGGTACATGAAAATTATTCATATCCAAGTATATTTATTTCAAAAGGAAATTTTTATGAACATTTTATATGACCAGCTTACTGGTCTAAGTATAGAATTATGCTTTGCTAGTCCAAACCTTTGAGCACTTTCATTTCTTCATCTTTAAAATTGTTCCTATTACATAACTTGATTTCTTAATTTAATTCAATTTTTAAAACGTTTAATGCCATGTTTGTGATAGTTCTACTTCTGTTTGGGAATTGACCCCTAAAAAAGAAATGAAGGTCAACTGATCATCATTTAAGTTTAGTCTTTATTTTATGTTCGTCTTTTTTATATCAACATTGAGATACTTTTTTTCCTCAATTATCATACAAGGGATTGGTGATTTTTCATAGGTTTATTTCCATTGGGAGTCCCTTCTCTTCATTCAGCCTTGTCAACAGATGAATGCCCATGAACATCCGTCTGAGCATAGAGTCAAGGATCATCATTCAGTATGGCTCGGAGAGGCTGGCACTTTTCGCTCCTGCATGAGCATCTGGGCCTCAGATTGTCATGGCCAGGATGTGACTGTCAGCCCTGCCCATGATCCAGGGGCTGGATACCTGCCACATGTTGGATGTGATAAGGGAGAAGATGAAGGATCAGATTGGGATTTTTTTCCACAAAGGCTACTAGGGGAGATAAGATCTGTATGAAATAAGAATGGTATAAAAGAAATAGTGATAGATACCATAAGGCAGATATGGTTTCAGTGTTATGCAAGTTGGGGAAAGAGAGAGCTGATTTTTAGCAGTCTGATCAATAGCTCATCTTAGCGTGGTGGTCTCTGTCATGTGAACATTCTTTTGAGGTTCATATTCAAATGAACATTAGGTGGAATGTCTGCCAATTGCTTTGACTATTCTTCATCTATTCATTTATCATTGAGGACCTACTATGTGCACGACCTTAGACTAGTACTGGGGACACAGAGACGAAGTTGACAAAACCCTTAGCCACATAGAGCTCATATTTTACTGGGGCCGATATGTTATATAATGTCAAGCCATGGTAAATGGTCTGAAACTAAACACAACAAAAAAGACTGAAAGGCAGAGAGAGAATGACTAAAAAGGGTGACAGTAGATCTCTTTGAGAACAGGGTGATCAGAGGAGGCCTCTGAGCAGAAAACTGAATGAAATGAGAGATCAAGCCATGGGTTGATCTAAGGGACGAGCATTCCAGACACAGGGAATAGCAGATGCAAAGGCTCTGAGGTAGAACCCATCTTTGAGTGTCTTCAGGGAATAATCAAGAAACTTATGTGGCTAGAGCCACACCTGTGTGGCTAGAGTGAGACAGAGTGTTAGGAAATGAGATTGAAGAGACAGAAAGGACTAAGTCACTGAAGCCATAGTAAGATATTTGGATTTTATTTTGCATATCATGGGAAGCAACTAGTGAGTTTTAAGCAACAGACTGGCATAATATAACTTACATTTCTAAAAGAATTCTCTAACTATTCTTTGTAGAATTGATTTTAAGGGGGATAGGAGTGGAAGAGGGGAGAGACTAGGGTGAGGTATACTGGATGATCCATAGGCGATGGGAGGAAAATATTAGCATATATGTATATACAGGTTGAGTATCCCTTATCCCAAATGCTTGGGACCAGATGGGTTTTGGATTTCAGATTTTGGAATATTTCCATATACCTAAAGAAATATCTTGGGGATGGGATCCAAGTCTAAACATGAAATCCATTTATGTTTCATATATGCTTTATATGCATAGTCTGAAGGTAACTTTATACAAGATTTTAAATAATTTTGTACATAAAACAAAGTTTGTGTTAAGTACTTATGAGTAGAAGTTTCCACTTGTGGCACCATATCAGTGCTCAAAAAGTTTCAGGTTTTGGAGCATTTTGAATCTTGGGCTTTTGGATTAGGGATGCTCAACCTGAATATGAGAAATAAATTAAGCTTTTGTAATATTAATGAATTATTAGTATCATATATAAGATCTGTAAGTATACACAGTAAATGGATAGTTGTGTCTAATAAAAATTTACAGTTGGGGAAATCAATTTTTAAAAGTTTGAAAATCACTGTTCTACATGAGAGATGATGCTGGCTGTTCATTGGCTTCCAACGTCTTTTCTTTGGAAATTGTCATAATTATTTTTGTCCTGTTATTCTTTTTCTTATCACTATGTAGCAGTGGTTCTTCATTGCCATAAAAATGAGCATGCACAGGGAAGCACACATGCATATTTGCATATAATTTCAGAGTGTTCACAGATACCACATTAAGAATCTTGACTGTAGAGGATCATTTCAGAGCATGCTCAACCCCAGAGATATAACATTTATCCATTTTTCTGAATGTTCCAGCATTTCTATCCCTGTTTTTGTCAATCCTAAAATTATTATATGAGTACTAATTTTTTATTTACTTCTTAAACCTGGAATTCTGACTTGCTAGTGAGGGCAGTTTGTTTTAGTTATATTTTGCTATCCATCCATTTGTCATTGAACTATCTTGAGGCTTAGAACAATAATGCCAAATCCAGTATTTCTCTCACAGTATAGGCATCCTATTTCTCTCTGTTTCCTGGAATGTTGCCTGGGATGTCAATATTAATATATATTAACAAAGGCCCTTATGATAGCCAACAGGAATTAGAAACAATGTTTTTATAATCCATGATGTGATTTTTAACATGGATCCCAGCCATCTGGCTATGTGTTGCTTTCATCAAAGAAACTGACATTCCTCTGTACTTTCGTGGTTACACCTCAGGTTCTTGGGTAGAAGTGGGAGTTGAGATCAGGCATTTTTCAAGTATTCCTCGGATTTTTTTTAAAATAATTTTTGTACTTTTCTAAGTGATGGAACATAGCAGATTTTACCTGCCTTTTAGAAACTACCTAATGGCCCAACATTGTGGGAACCTTCCAGCCTATTTTGTTATGTCTGTCCAACCCTAGTAACAATTGACACCATAAAATGTTAATTTTTAAGAGATTTCCCTCTGTGTACACTGTGATAATTTCCTACTTAAAGAGTTTAGCCACCTACTTTTTTTTCCCTCCCTGTTTGCTGAGGCCTTTGGTTTCAAAGTATAATTAAAATTAATTGCTGATAATAAAATGCAGGATACAGGTCCACTGTGATGGTCAGATGAAAGATTACTTTTTTCTTCCAATGTTGTTGAATTTTTGTAAGGGAGGACACAAGAAGCTCCACCAAAATAAACAGGTGATTTGACTTTATCGGTGTTTTCTTTCCAAGTCTTTTGTCCCTTCTACCTATAAAGCCTGTTAATGTTTGGAGGCAGTAGGGATATGATGCAAAAATGATATAAAGGAAAATCGACTGTCATTTTGTTTCTGAGAGAACATGATGCCCCTGTATATAAACTATGACATAAAGAAGTGAGAACAATTTCTTCTTTGTTTACTCTTTGCTGTTTAACTTTTTGCAATTCATCTTTCTTTTTCAACAGTCTAAGACAAGATAATGAAAACTATCTGTGATTTCAGTTTATTCCTTTTAAAAATTAACTTGAATTAGAGACGAATATTCACAAATTCATTTTTTAAAGTCAACTCATAAAGTTTCCATCAACCTTAGTTTTGCTTTTAAATCACATATTTTATTTTTAAAAATGTATCCCATTATTTAAACTTTCTTATTAAAGTCTTTGCTTGGGATTTGTTGTACCAAACTTAGCGGACATGCCCCACCTCCCCACCATCACACACATAGTCCCTTTAAAAAGTACAGAGCCCTATGGTTTAAACTGATTATACTAACTCTATTGATATTGCCTGTGTTTGCTTTATAACCTGAAGTTTGTAAATTATTAGGAGAGAGTCTGAATCATAATAGATTGATGCTGAGAAGTCAGAAAATTTCAGAACCTTGTGGGAACTTTCTAGTTTCCACTCTTTTATCTCCTCAGAAGACTTTTTCATGAAAGACAGGGATTAGTGACGACTTTCTAATGCAGAGTTGGTCTTTAGTTTTTTTGTTTAAAAATGACACTTTGAACATGTAGTGCATAATGCATTGGAAGGTCTGTTGCCAAGCAGCTTGAAACCTAGGGGGCATTGTTGAATTTGAAGGAATAGTGGGTTCAGGGAAGGGACCAAAAGAAAACTTGAGAAAAATAGAGTAAGACTGAAAGTGTTCTATGATAATTAGAATAAAAATTGGATATCAGAACTTCACGGGTCAGCTTCTGTTCACACATTTAGCCTTCACCTTGCAAAGAAAGGGATGTATCAGGTAATTAGGTCAAATCAATGATTATATATCTTTAACTCAAGTGGAAGGGGCTGTAATTGTGATGAAATTTGTCTGAAGGGGAACGCATGGGGAATCTTGTCAAAGGTCATGAGTTCAAAGGGGAAATTAAGTTCAAGGTTCGGTTCCTGTTCACACCAGCCGCGCCCTCCCACCCCCCCACCGCCCCGCCACCAATAGTGCATAACAAGAAACCAAGCAACCCATATTTCTATAAACAAGTTATTTTATCATTTTGGAACAAGAAGATTTTTTCTCATCCATATCCCTTTAGGAATATAGAATTAAAGTAGTTATACCTCCTTAATGGAGCATTTTCTCCTGATGTAGACAGAAAGAAAACCTCTGGTATTATATTTCTGGCTTGTTAGTTTCTTCTGCTTTGTTACTGATCACACAGAAGACACCCAGCTGCATGGAATGCAAATAAACAGCCCACCTCCAAGATATCATATGGCCAAGTGTCTCCTAATGCAAATTCCTGACTTGTTTACAGAATAACAATAAAACGTTATAAGTTTAAGATTGGAGGCAATGAGGAGACAGCTAAGAAAGTTGTTTGGGGGTCTCTCTCTCTCACACTCTCTTTTCCTGAATTCAGTTTCCCCTTAAACTTGACAAAGTGGAACAGAAATTCACCCTTGTCTTGGTCATTCTTCTGAAACAAAGGGTCTATTCTCTCTTTTAATGCATGTAGAACTTCCATTAAGGTTGACCATAAGCTCTTGCATGGGATGAAAAAAGAAATAGCCCTCAAATCTTTTCTTTACCCTGGTATTATTTTTAAAGGACAAACAATAAGAACATAGTTTCACATAGTGTTATAGAAACCCTTGCTGAGGAGACACAGCCTTTAAGACCAAAGGCCTTTAAACATTCTGGATTCTACGTCATCCTAATACATTCTTTTCTATAAAATTGTTCTAGTAAGTGTTTTAAGAAAGAGAAGTATATGCAAGAAAACAAATTACTTAATTACTTAAAACAAATCAAGAAAATTCTTGCAGATATTAAAAGTTTTTTTTCACCCAATCAGATTTTACCTTTGCACTTCATATAGTGACACTATTACTGATTGGAAAACAAGAAGCATAACCGGTAAAAGGAAAACTGGCAATCTGCTTTCTCTACAGTAGTTTGTGTGTTTGGACATGTAACCACACATGCACTGGAGCCCAAACTGGGCTAATGGCTAAAATCGTATGTTAATGTTAAATGTGATTCATGTAACAGAATACAGAAGTACTTCAAATATAAACACAAGTAGCCAAACCCCAGATGCTTGTGTCTTCCTTAGAAAGATTTTTGTAGAAATAGATTCTTGCCATAAAATAGGACAAGAAAGCATTTGATGAAATCCTACCCATATTTTTGCTCATGATTTTCCTTGTATTTATCATGGCTGGTGCTTGGATAGGCTTATTATCCTGGGGTTTCTTCTTGAACAGCTCTATCTTTTTGTGTCAGAATATATGTGATTTCTGTCTGTAAACTCTAAAGTACTTGCCGAATTTTAACAGAAAAGTAATCTCTGACACAGATCGTGATTGATAAACTATTTTGGAATAACCAGGCCCGTGAGTGAAGATCCTAGGAGGCAGGTGCCTCGCTTAACTGAATGGGTTTGGGAGGGAGGAATTAAAGGGCAGGGGCAGTTCACACTTTGGTTAAACTCTGGCAACTAAAATTTCTACCCTGGTAAAATTTAGAAGTTCAAGGAATAGCACTGCCATGATATTAATGACCTTTGGGGGCATATAGAGTTCAGAGTTCATTTTCTATTTACAACATCCCTTGCTGCTCCACCTCTTACCCTTATCCTTCCCTCCTCCCCCGCAAAAAAGCAATTATTTAGGGCATTGTGACACTCAGCCTGGCTAATTTTTATACAAAAAATAGAGTCAGTGGAAAATATAGCAGTTACGTATTGGTAATGGATAGAACTGGGGATGCCCAATGTGGGGAGAGGGTATCTCCTGAGCAGTTCAAAGTTCATTCTTTGTTCACATATAATGAAAAGTCTTCAGTGATCAGGTATTTAAACCCAAATCAGCAGTTCCATATCCGTAACCTGAGCTGAGTGTTCCTCCATCTAATGGCCATGCTTCTGTCGTTTGCAGTGAGTTGGGTGACACTCGATTTGTACTCCGAGACGGGAACAGATGGGCTTTCATTGTGAGACTCCGCCTGTATGCAAATGTGAACGGAGTTTCACCCGATCCCGGGGTCTGACCTGACCGTGCACATGCATTTACTCAACGTGGCTCAGCCTGGGGGGGCGGCGAAGGGGGAATAAAAAATGGCAATCGGATAGTACCAGCGGCAGGTCAAGTTTACCATCCGTCTTTCAGTGGGACTGAGATGGCAACACAGTTATTTAGTTTCAGTGTTGATGTGTGTTGCAATAAACTCCATCATTTCACCTGTTTATGAACCCAGCCTCGTATGAGATCTCTGTGAAATCAAACAAAGCTGGCAATCAACTCTCTTGTTTCCAGCAGAATAGGGGATTATGGACTTTTTTTTTTTAAGCATCTTTAATTGTTCCCCTGCCTTACATACATAAATCAATATTTTTTTCTCTTGCCTTTTTATTTCTTACATTGAAATTATTATTTTCCGATTTGGAGGAAACAAAATACATTTTCCCCAAATGCTTTTTGTTTCAAATTAAGAAATATGATTATTAATGTCAGAATAAACAACCAGCATTTTAGATGTCGATTAACTGTTTTGCATGTATATAGCAATGTACAGTCTCTAATAAATCTTACAATTAAATGTGCAGCCCTTCATTAGAGTGAAAATATGAACAGCTGTAATCATACACATTCTATTGACAGAAATTTAGTTTCATTTGTAATTTTTCACATTGGGAGAGAATGAGAGATGAATTGGAACCACAATTGTTTCTGTAACTGTGGAGTTTTTCTTCACATGTACAGAAGGACAACAAACCAGTGTCTCTGACTTCAGGGTCTAACAGCAGTGATTTGCCTCAATTTTCTTCTCTCATGAAAGTAAATTTCTCTTGGGAAACATATAAGGCTTTGGCTAGAAAACCCGTAGGACAGACACCCCAAACTGTAGCAAATAACAAATTGATGCATTTCTTCAGTACATCTGTTCGTTAAAGGGTTTTGTTAACTGATGTCTGGAACTGGCATAAAAGAAAGAGTTGCTAAGAATATAGTGAAAGTTGGTGCATGCAGCAAAAACTGCTTCTGATAAAAGATATTGCTTTTGGTAATGCAACCATATTGCTCAGAATGGAAAGAGGGTCTTTCGAAGTAGTATTTGTGCAAGTGCAGGCAAAACCAAGACAGGCTTCCCTCAAAAATGGTGCCAAATTGTCATTGCCCAAAGATTCCTTTCCACCTTCCCTTATTCCAAGCCTCATTAAAGGTGCAAGGCCAACATACCAAGACAACATTTTCAAGTAGTTCTAGAGAGTTAGGCTTGAAATTATTCCAAATAGAAATAAATGGTCAGGACTAGAACTAGCATTTGTCTACTAGGCACCTAGTAGTAGCTGACAGACATAATAAAGAATAAAGAGTTGCATGACAGTATAGCAGGTATTTAAAAATGTCATACTCTTCTCCTTGGCTATTGAAAATGGATTTGATTATCTTTCTTGGTCTCTGAATATGTATTTCCAAATAGATGGGAGGTTTCAAGAGAGTATATATGTGGACATATATGTATATATATACCAACACATATGTATATATTTATATCTGTGCATAGAGACCCTTCCTTATACAAACAAGGTTTTATGTGAATGCAGGATTTTGTGTCCACATAAGCCTTTGCTCATGGTTGAATTATTACAGGCCACCTTAAGTTAAGGATATTATTTATATCCTTAGAAAATTTACTTGAGAATTGTCAAGGCCATGCTTACTGGGGAATTCAAAACATTTATTTATGTTAGAAGCAGGGGACTCATACGTTCTAAGTTTAACAAGAGGCTTAACAAAGTTATATTCTGGCATGAGTAAGCTCCTAAAGACTTTTTTTTTAATATAGTGGAAAAGTAACATGAAAATATTTACAATACAAATATCGGAACCAAGTTATTAGAACCACTACTTATGGTTGTTTTTTGCTTTAGTAAAATGATGCATTTTTTAAAGTGTTATCTAAAACCTGCTTGAGATTTGGAAATCAGCAGTTTCTTTTTTTAGTGTCATATTGAAAGTAATACCATGAATTGGGATGAAAATGCTAATTTTTTAAAGTTCTTGAGGAAGAAAAAGCCCATACACCGTCAGTTACCCCGATCAGAGCTCTCAGGTATCAAAAAAAATGATACTTTTCAGGTCTTTATGAAATCTATGAAAGTTTATTTTTCTCAAGTGATTGTGTCATGAAGTACTTGTCAAGGAGGAACTGAGCTCAAATAAACAATAATAATAATAACAAACATTTATATGGCTTTTATTATGTAACAAGGACTTTTGTAAGTGCTTTATGTATATTAACTCATTTAATCCTGGCAAAAATCCCATGAGGCATAGTTCCTATTTTTATCTCCATTTTACAGATAAGGAAAACGAAACTTGCCCAAAGGTTAAATAGCTTCTCTCCAGAACAGAAAATGAAAAACTGTGAGAAATTAGGACTCAGACTTTTAGAAAGACCTTCCATGTAATTGGATGAATGATTTGTCTTTCTATGCCTATTTCAGCTGTAGAAAATTATGATGTCTTCTATAAAAATCACATTTATGAAATATGCAACATGTTTGCTAAGCAACAAAAAGGAAATATGTAATATTTCCACTCCTTTTAAAGCCTTGCAGTATTGGAGATCACTGTTCTTCAATGATGGCATGATGTGGGACTTCTAAGAAAGTTTTGCAAAGTCTTCTCATCAAAACTCTCTTGTGGTAAAATATCAAATCCAAAAGTAGGTCTAGTTTAAGTGAGAATAAGTTGTATACTTTTCTTAAAATTTGACCTTGTCTAGTCTATGACTATGTTCATTGACAACAAAATTAGGTTCCTCTGGAGCCTTTTATTATTTTTCTTATTTTACTCTAAGGATAGCTCAGTTGTACTTTTGGAAGGATGGGTGAAGAGAAATTAGGCAAATACAAAGGTATTTTTCTTTCTCCTATTTTTAAAGACTAATTTTGCATTGTATCTTAGTGTACCAGGGTCTTGGTCATAAGCCATTTACTTCACAATGAAAATAATGGCATTTATAGATCATAATTAGCTCTGAATTGTAGTCCGCCTGGAGAACTCAGCAAAGGTGTACATCGATTGGCTTGAGAGAAGGGATTGGGGGAGCCACCTTGTGGCTGGAAGACGACCCAGCAGCCTCCAGGACTTGCTATGTTCAAAGTAGAAAGGAATGGAGATGAGGCTAGAAACCAGAGATAAATCAGAAATATCAATCACTAAATATTTGCGGAAAGTGGTAAGGGATATAAATAGAATCTATAACTACAATAACACTGAAGCTGTAGTTGTAAATATACATTATCCTCTTTAATATGACATAGAGTAGATTGAGAACTGAGAAATTATTAAGACCCCCACACAAAAAAATTGGAAAAAAGAATGAAAACATTTAAGTTAAAATTATGTTCATTTTGTAATTCAATAAAGAAATCCCAGAGACATATTTTTAAATTTAATGTTGTTTTCTAAAGCACAGAAAAAGCCCCACAGACATCTGTTTGCATACATTGTGTGTCAGGCAACATCAGATCTGAATGGAATTTATCTAAATTTTATATGCATGGCTTGATGTAAATTGAAATAAATTGTACAGCATACTCTGCGTGGACATATTGGTTTTTCCATAGCTGCTTGAACTTTTAACCCCAGGGCCTGAGCCGGTCACACGTTGACCTGTCTGAACTCTGCTGGTAGATCCAAGTGTGGAAGGCTGACCTTGCATCCATGGCAACCATAAAGTAGGGTCCATGACTCTTCTCTCCCTTTCTCTCTCTTTTCTCCACACTCCAAACAAAACAAAACAAAACAAAACAAATTAGTATATTCTCGCACAGTCAGTCAGTGTAATCTTGGAATAGTTCTACCAAAATGCATTTTGCCCCTAACCTAAGCTCTAAGCAAAGCTTTTTCAGCTTGCTTGTCAGATGTTAATGAAACTTTGAAATGAAAGCCTTTATAAAAGTTAATGGAAAAGACCCCTTCCTGGGACACATTCAGTTTGCTTGTCTACTACTATAATAAAATATACTTCACATACTCATATATTAAGTAATGTTGCTATAGGTATGTTAGACATGCAGATGAAAATTATACTTGTCTGGGAATTCAACATAATCCTTCGTGGGTGGATTAAAAAAATACTTACATAAGGTTTTACCGCTACCTGCAAAATCCCTATCAGATCTAATATTTTCCAGTGTCATGGAATGATGTATCCGAAAGGAGTAATAAGCATTAGGGATCTAGAGTTAATTTCTCTATTATAGGTTGTAGTCTCCATTTTAATGAAGGTACTTTTACACTTTTGGTTTAATTTAGATGATCTTTAAATTCATGTACCAAAAATTATCACTTTCACAATCTTGATGGTAGTCTAAAGGTGTTATTGATTCATTCTAAAATTGAAATTCTGTTCATAGGATGTATTTGTGGTTCTTCATTTATTAATGCAAGAAGCATTTGTTGAATACCTACTATGGTAAATAACTTCAACTAAGTACTATGGGTGATTTTTTTTAAAAAAGGTGTGTAACTGGTTATAAGGAATTACAGTTTTGTTGCAAGATATATTATTTAGAAAGAGAAAAACTAGAGAACAATTAGACAGCAGTGACAAATGCATAATTGTTTAAAATTGTGTACCAACTGACAAGGAAATGTGGCGTAATGGAGTGACCAACTGGGAGTGGATTTAATGAAGTAAGTCCTCTTATGAACAAAGCCTTGAAAAAGGTGGTTGTCCAGGACCACTAAGTAGACATTCTAGGTGTGGGAGGTTTCATAGAATAAGCAAAATCTGGGGTTGTGTTGGTAATGTACAAGAGTTAATAAAGAAAAAAAATGACCAGAGAAAATGGGATATGTTATACTGGGAATAACAAGTATCTTTGAATGCTCATGGACTAATCTGCCATCTTTTCAGATCCTGGGGTCTCTATACATACTTCAGTTATTTGTTTCTGAAGGTTTTGCAGCAACAAAAATTTTTAACACATTTGTCAGATTTGAGTTGTAGAGGCCTCTATTATCCTGTTTTAGAAAGAATAAAGAAAATTTTAACTTCTAGAAGCTTTATGTATAACTTGAAAATCTCAAATGTTCCACAACTTGTCTTTGGGCAACTACAGGTAACAGGATTGATAGGAGAAGAGTCTGGTGAAACTAAAGTTTTCATTTAGAGAGCCCATGAGGTAGTTTAAAAACAGCAACAAAAAAGCCACAACAATTTTTTTTTGGTCAGGCCATATTGAAAATAAAAAAGGCAATATAATGTAAGCAAGAATCAGGAAATTCTCCCAGTCTGCCTCTAGCAAATTCTATGAACTTGTGAAGTTACTTTATCTCTGTAGGCCAGAGTTTCTTCATGTGTAATAATAAAAATATCTCACATTTACTGAATCCTTACTTTATAGCAGGCACTAGTGTTCTAAACACTTTCATTTAATTCTCACAACAACCCTATCAGATAAGTACCATTATTGTTCCCAGTTGACAGAACTGGAACTCAGGGAACAGGAAAGTGAGGCACTCCATCTTTTCCAGCATCACTCCCAGCTAATCTAGCTTTAGACTTTACGTCCTTCAGCCACTAGACCAGAGGTCAGTAAACATTTTCTATAAAGGGCCAGATAGTAAGTACTTTAGGCTTTGTGGTCCATACAGTCTCAAGAGCAGCAAATGCGCAAATATATCATAGTGTGCAAGTGGCCTTAGACAATACGTAGATGGATGATTGTGGCTGTGTTCCATTAAAACTTTTATTATAGGCCAGGTGCAGTGGCTCACACTTGTCATTCCAGCACTTTGGGAGGCCAAGGTGGGAGGATCACTTGAGTACAGGGGGTTGAGGCTGCAGTGAGCCATGATTGTACCACTGCACTCCAGCAGCCTGGTCAACAAAGTGAGACCCTGTCTCTTTAAAAGTAAACAAATAAATAACAACAACAACAACAAAAACTTGACACTGACACTTGAATTCCATATAATTTTCACATGTCAAGATATGATTTTTCTCCAACCATTTAGAAATATAAAAATCATTTTAAGCTTCTAAGACCTACAAAAAATGGTGTGGGTGAGATTTTGCCCAAGTCATAGTTTGACAATCCCTGCACTATACTATATTGCCTCTCAATATACAGAATAAGGAGTTGAACCTGATGGTCTCTAGTTCATTACTACTATTAAAGAAAAAAATTTTCCCAGTCAGAATGGATTTTATTAAAAAGACAAAAGATAACAGATATTGGTGAGAATGCAGAGTAAAGGGAATTCTTTTTGTTAAAGAAATTTTTTAATTCAATGACTTCCTAGCTCCAATGGTAGGGTTACTACTTTGAATTCAATACTGTGTAACTAAAGAATTGAAACCTGCCTTGGAAAACAAGACTTCCCATAGCTTGTCTTTGGAAAACAAATACTACATCTAAAGTATCTCAGAAAGATGAATAATTACTTCTGTTTAGTTGATATTTTGAGAAAGATGTTTCATTATATCCTTTAAAAAGCCACTTTATGTTAATGGCTGTTCCTATCAGGTTGTGTTGCTCATGTTTAGTCTGAGTCTCTCGTGATACAGCAGAAGCCCATTAGCTCTAATTTTTAGAAGTGGAGATGAGCTTGTCTCTGTCTTCTACACAATTCTACACTACCTTCTATAACTTCTACATCACCTCCTGCAGCTGAAATTAAGAATTTCCCATCATTCTCCCACACTTTTGTTCTTTGCTTATCTACATTGCTTTCTGTTCTTCCAGCTATTATTGTAACTTTCAAAGGAATCTACTCCAAAATGTCTTTATCCTCTTGTATGATAGAACCAGGAATTAGACAGGTTAGAGACTTCCTTTCCTTATCTGTATTTAAAAGTTGGATTTTCCAAAAATGCATATACAAAAATGTCTGTAAGTGTCATTATTACATAAAATAAGTGTTTTTTATAGAGGTCCATTATGCTTAATTTATAGTTACTTTAGTTATATAATACTTTGGTATTACATTAGATGTAGCAAATCATCCCTTCTTTTAAAATCAAGTAATATAGCTGATTGTGAATTTAAAACTCTTTCATTTTTTCTTTTAACTTGAAAACTCACAGCCATTCCCAAGTTTACTTCTGTTTCCTTAGTGTCTATTGAGGTGATGTGATAAAAACAAAATATGAAATCTCACACATATTATGATGTTTCTGTGTATAATCCCCAGTTATAACCTTAGCATTCACACTCCTGAATAGTCTAGTGACCTGTACGCCTTAGGGTTTCCCAAACATTGACAGTTTATTTCATAGATAGCAAGAAAATATCCCCTTATTATCTAGCAACCTTCTATGTGTCCTAGGTATGATAAATTCAGAGGACTGTATTTCATCTTGGAAATACCCATTGGAGTCAAATTTTTGAAGGTTTTTCCCCAAGCCTGTGTATTCTACAGATATTTTGTCAGAAAACTAATATTTTGCACATATATAGTTTTCTGACATAAGATGGTTCTATAGCCACAAAAATTGAGGAGCCTGAAGGAAAGCGGTCCCTTTAAAGTCTGCCTCCTTTATGTGTGTTCAATATGGTCTTAGCATACTCACTCAACAACTTTGGTCATAGAGCTGTAGTGAGACCAGGTGAATAAAGTGCTTCTTAAGAGTAAAATGCTCATCTATTTATATTTCCAAGACTACTGAGTAGTATTTGATGAATTGCATAGGCATTAAGGTAAAAGACTATTCATAGTTTATTTGAAGTGGTTGAGATGAGAAATGATTTGAACTAGAATATCTAGGGATAGAGAGCCTTCAAAAGAGAAAACCATACTGTGACCAGGAGACCCCCTTTCCCACCACAGTATCACAGGACAGTGGCCTTGGAATGCTCATCACCTGGTAATGTCTTAGCATAACCAGAAAGCAAATTTAAAGTTGCTTGTGAAGTAAGACTCTCCAATATTTCTTTGGCCAAGTTTGCTACCTTTAAAGATCTTTATTTTGAGAACAATCTGTTCAGTGACTAAGCTAGTCAATGTTTTTGTCTTGTTTTTTCACTTTGTACTTGTTTATATATTATTTTTGTAGCATTTCATTGATCTTTAAAAACTTAAATTTCAACTTTTAAATTTGAGCAATTCTATATTTTAAGATAAAGTTTAAAATATATAATTGCCCAAAACACAGCTCACTCTTTTAAAATTATTATTCACTGTGATTTGACTTCTTCAAATCACTACCAGTCTTATATGGAAATTCTGTGCTTACAAATCTCTATCCCTCACTGGATTCTGGCTTTTTGCAGCCCTAGCACAATGCCTGTCCCCAAGTAAGTGCTCCCAGAGTGTTTGTTGACCTAAACTGTTGAACCAAATAGTGACAAAGAGGATGGATTTTAACTGAGCATTAGAATGCACCACAGAAACTCATGGATTCTTTGTATTTTTGGTGGTTAGGCCCATTCTAAAGGAATGCTACAAGTAAACAACTATAGTAAGCTAGTATTGACTTCCTTGGGCATTTCATATTGCTTGCAATAAGGTGGACAGCAAGGTAGGGTAGAGAATTGGCGGAGTAACTTCAGCATATATACATGTGAAAGAAGTTGAGTGGCACTTCAGCTGCTCCTCACCACTCTTAAAGGTTTTCCATGAAATGGAGGGGAGAAGGAAACTTCACTTCCTGTTAGTGAAATTCCATAGCAATATAAGACACGCAAGAGCAACATAGTAGTACAAAAGTCCCTACATCTCATTGATTATCTTTAAGTGTTTGGATTTGAAGTAAGAATATGTGTTCTTCTACCCTCTGCAGAAAAAAAAAATCATATTTATTAAAGATGTCCTATCAATATATTATTATAGTAGTGATTGGCTCAATTCCTGGATATAGTTTAGTATATATCATATCAGCCACCTGAAGCACTTTCTGGGAAAATGCTCAAGAAATATAGGCTATCAAATAATATAAAAAGTGGTTTATGTTTGGGTCAGTGGGAGACTCACTTGATAAGTTTGGCTAATTAGCATGTTTTGAATTCATTTTTAAGTTGTTGATCACTACCATTGATCATTATGATACGCTATTTTACGTTGGATTATTTATTGTTGGTTTCCTATAATCTCAACAGAAAATCAAAATAACATAGTCTTCATTATATTTTTTGATAAATGATAATTTTTTAAAAATTTTGTTGTGTACAACTGAGGATGAGATATTTCCTATTTCTGTAAGCTCATTAAAGAAAGCTATGTGCCCTGATGCCAGTTGTAGCACTGAGACTACTGCAAGGTTCCTAACATGGTGGAAGAAAATCAGGAGCCAGGGGACCATAAGGAAGGTCTAAGAAATGTAGATTCAGACTGGGTGCGGTAGCTCACGCCTGTAATCCCAGCACTTTGGGAGGCCAAGGTGGGCGGATCAGCTGAGGTCAGGAGTTCAAGACCACCCTGGCCAATGTGGTGAAACCCCATGTCTATTAAAACTGCAAAAATTAGCTGGGCATGGTGGTGGGTGCCTGTAATCCCAGCTACTTGGGAGGCTGAAGTAGAAGAATTGCTGGGTTCAAGCAATTCTTGAACCCAGGAGACGGAGGTTGCAGTGAGCCGAGATCACGCCACTGCACTCCAGCCTGGGTGACAGAGCGAGACTCCATCTCAAAAAAGAAAGAAAGAAAGAAATCTAGATTCAATTCAAATACTCATGGAGTCTCTACCATGTGCAATGCATAATGCTAGGTGCTGAAGGAATATAAAGATAGGTAATTGGGAATCTCCCTGAAAATTTATAATTTGTTGGATATTGGGCTGATGGGAAGGGTTGGTGGGAATAGAGAGGAAACAAAACAAGAAGATCTTTGCTCATCTTCCAAGGAGCAGTTTCAGTAGTCTACTAAAAACAAGCCTAGTTATTAGTGATCTTAGAGTGAGTGAGTACTCAGAAACTAGAGGCTGTGGGTATATGTTACCTAAAAAAAGTTGTTTGGTGAAAAGAATGAAAGGGATAAATGGTAGGAGGAGAGAGGAGCTTTTTGGTTATTTTGTTTTAGTTTTAGGAGAGGGGAGATCTGAGCTGATTTTCCAGCATATGAGAAAGAACCAGTCTAAAAGAGAAGATAATGGGTAGAATCAGGTCCTGGAAAGGTAGAAATGGGTCAGTCAATACTATACAAGAATCAGTCCTGGCTAACAGGCAGGGGACTCATTCCTTAGAGAAAGGAGTTAAAGGATAGAAGAGAATGAAGATACGGAGATATTTTTACTTGAAGGGAGGAGAAGGCAAAGCCATTTACTAAGAGTAAAAAGCCATGGAGCAGGGACTGGCCTAGAGCTTAGGGAGACTGGAAAGTGGAAGTTTAAGGCAGCCATTAAAGAGATGTGACAGGATTAAGAGAAAACACATTATTGTTAAGCAGTAATTAATATATACAGTGAGAACCATCTCAATCTATTCAACAAACATTAATCATTAAATAGAGAATTCATGGAGGAGCAAAATGCTAAAAGATTCTGATCCACTTCATTTTTAGGCTCACCCCTCATCACTCTCTCTTGGTATAATATGTGGTTAATAAATATAATATAGCCTCCAGACCATGGAAAATCACATGCAATCTCACACTGAGCTGTCTATCCCTTTGACACCAGGACCCAGTCCTGAAGAAGTATCACATTCACAGAAGCACAACAAAAGTAGGAATTTCTGTCCTCAAAAATACCTGTAGCCCATTTTACAAGGCAACTTCTCCTCCTTTTTCAAAATCCCCAGAACTCCCTGGAGCCTCTCACTCTCCTGTCCCAGAACTCTCTCACAGTCCCATGCCATTCTGCCCTGTCTCTCTTAATCCTTGAAGATATGGGGTGGAGACTGCTTCTTTGCTCCCTGTCTTCTACTGTCAACCTAAGTATCTTATTCTCCACATTCTCCCCATGCTGCATCACAAGGCCAAAACACTTGACTGAGAATGGCAGAGCCCTCCTTGGATGATGGTGAGCCTGGGAAGGACCTGAACTAGTGAAGCCAGAAACTCTTGAGCACACAGGGGAAATAATAAGCTAGGAACACTCATAGTTAAAAACAGTTTTCTCATAACACTGCAGCTTCATGACCTACACTTATTTTGAAGAGGATTTGAAACCATGACCTGAAATACTGAGCCTACCTTTCATCTTACCTCCTACATGTGAAACTCATGCCCCAAACCCCAGCCTCACAGGATTATTCATCATCATTCCGCAAACCCAGCCCTGTGCCTTCCACCTGGAGTGCCTTTCCCATCCTCCCATCCACCCACTCATCCTTCCAGGCCATGCTCAAACTCCCTCTTCTCTAGCTGGCTTCCTAGTTGCCCCAGGTTGGACTCAACCCCTTCCTGTCTTGCATTTTACTTGATCAGTTATCATAGCTGTTGCCTACCACCATTTACCTGCATTGTATTACATACACTGGCATCTCCAAAGGATTGTGGGCTGTCAGCACATATTAGACATTCAATAAATGTTTGTCAGATTGATCCCCTAAAATGTGATTGTATGATCCAGATTTTCAAATCACACACACACACACATACATATATATTCTGTCATATCCTAAAGAACTTTCAAAGAACCTTGAAATAATAGTAGTCTCCTGTTCTATACTGTGTCTTAATGTGCCACAGAGTGACAGCCTCCCCCTCTTCCCCCTTCAATGATATCTGGAGGTTTTCCTCCCTTAGACATCAGAAATACTGAAGGATGGAAAACACTATACCAGATAGATCCAAGATAAATGTTTACTTCCTTCAGTAGTCTAGCTTATGAGTATAAAGCCAAATGCTGGACAGTACATTGACACCACAAAGACAAAACGAAATAGACAGGAACTTTAGAAAAGGTAAAGGAGGCAGCCAATAAGGGCATGCTCCATTGTGTATGTTACAACTCAGGGAAGAGAAAATGGCAGCAAAACCAAATCTACATAAGAGTTTATATCCCTTTCACTACTGAAATATGGTTTATGCTGAAATGCCAACATTCTGTGATCACCCACATGAAATGAAAATGCTCATATTTATATGGTGCTTTTCGTCTAGAGAATCCCAAGGTGCTTTATAAATTATAAATACGAATGTTCCTTATGCAATGTCCCTGATATTCTCCATACACAAAATCCAGTTTCTGATGGTCAAAATTTCCCCCACGCCTGCCATACCACTGAATATTAAACATTTTTATCAGATCACAATTTTTTATCTTTACAAAAATCCACTGTATTAAAAGGTCTACAGTTTACACTATTTGTCTTCTAACATATGCTGCATCCCTCCTACCCACTTCCCTTCCCCCACTAACATGGAAAGTGAATTCAATTAGATTTAAGAAAAAGAGTAATTGCACTGGAAAATAGAAAAAATATCTCATCCCATAGTGATTAAGCTCTTTACCTTATAGAAGGAGTTTAACTCTTTCATGAAAACAGGATCTCATGAAATAAATGAATACAGGGATTTGCTAAATCAAAACATAGTGTCTTGAAGCGAATTACGTAGTCATCAGGGAGCTTTTTGCTCCAAGGGAATAGTGTACTACTCAGTGTAAGATGCATAAGAAATATAAAATAAAGTCTAAAACAGTTAAGAGTTTTTAATTTTTGTCTTTTAACTATTCTTATTTTATAGTCAGTATCTCAAAATCTGAAACTTATTCTAAACTCTTGGATTCCTGAAAGTGAATTCAATCATCTACTTTTCTAGAATTGGGAATCCAGGGTAACCCCTTCCACATAGTCAATCAGAATCAGTCCAAGGAGAGCCTGAGTTATCCATGCTACCAAAACTGCTTTGCCCGCAGCTTCTGACTAGTTGTTTGTTGACGCTCACTCTGACTTATGCAGAAAGATAATAAAATACTCTAATGTGACAGGTTCTTTATAGAAGTCCGGAAACTTTAGATGACCAATAGCTAAGGATGACATACAGAACTGTCATTTCCAATAAATATTTAAGGTGGGGAAGATGGTGTCAACTGCAAGGGAAACTTTTAAAAGATAAACGCTGGAACATCTGGAAAGAGTCTGGAATCAAGAGGCAGGTCAAATGTGCAGGTATAGGCTGCAGTCAGCCCTGTGGGAGTGGCTGCTCAAGGTTGGAGTGCAGCAAACAGAAGAGATCTTTCTGAAAACAGGAAACAGGTTCAGGTGCCTTAAACTAAGAAATCTCCCTTCTTGGACCTTTTCCCGCTTATATTATTCAGGCATTTTATACCTATCAGAGTGGTTTGGCTTAAGTAAGACTGCGACTGCCAAAATTTCTGAAGCCAGCCCTGTTTTTATACCTTCAATGGTTCTTTGAAATGGTAAAGTTACATAGGTCCATTCCCTTATAGGCCCTTTTGTTCTTTTTAATAACCAATAAAATAAGAACCACACATTTTTATGTCACATTTACAAAAACTCTAGCAGCTCAAGGCATTGGCTTGGTTTTGACTTTAGTTTCTCATGGCAGCATGGCTTTTTTTCTTTTGAATCGTGCCTGAACTGAACCATATATATTTTTAATCATTGATGAGACTCTACTTTTAATTGGTTAATACCCTAAAAGGGTGGTAGGTCTGATTTAAAAGTTAAAGCAAGGGAATAAAAGTGAACACTTGTTTTAGAAGTTTTGTACTATCTATGATCTTGTTTTGCCCCATTCCTAACTAAGAATGATAATAGCTGTAACTATTTATAAGGTTATAAGGTCATTTATATTGTTCTTCAAGATCTGCTGGTGAAAGGCACTATATAAATAAATCTCAATGTTAGTAAATGTATATATTTACCCGTATCTACAAAACTTGTTGTACACAGGACTGATTCATTTATTTATATGTACTTAGTTTGTTACTTTTAGCAAAATTTGTGTCATGATAAATAGTTTAAAATAACCATGTTAACCAGGGATTAGAGAGACTGATTTATAGACTTAGAGTAGGTGAAAGAGTAAAATAAAACCACCATCTATTTAGGTCATGGAATCAAGTAAGTTTAGAAGTTCTTAAGTGAAATGTTTTTAGTCAGTCAACAACAGGGTAAGGCCTACCAAAAGGAGTGTCTATAAGGAAGTAACACAAGGATTTTTTTTAAATCTAGAAATATGTGAGTTAGGAAAATTAATGTCTAACTCCTTAGACAGAGAATGCTCCTTTCAAGTTTGATAAAGGTCATTTTCAGGACAGTCTAAGAGAGGTTACAGTTCAACTTCCACCAGCAGGCCTTCAGAAAAGGAAAAATGGCTTCAGTTTCTGAAGCTGTAGTGCTTTTTTTTTTCCTAATTAAAGATGATAAAATGCAAATGATTACCTGTATTCTGAATATTTTATAATAATATTTTCTATTTTTCTCTGAAAAAATGAGGAAGTTATCACTTTTTCCCAAGACTGGAATGGAGAGAATACCAGCCAACCATGATGCAGTGAATGTGTGCCAGTGTCTACTCCCAGCTGCTCACGTAAATCTTTCCTCACAGCAGGATTTGAACAAAAACTTACCACTTAACTGAATAGTTCAAATGCTACTGAGTAGGAAATTTTAGTTAGACCAGAATATTTGCAAACTTAAAGTAGATACATGTATTCTGGCAGCATATATGGTATTTTGAAACATCAAAACAATTTTAAAGAAATCTATGCTCTTATGCCAGTCGTGGGTATTACTTGTTTTAGGACTTTGAAAGTATTTCTTTTATACTATAGCTGTTTTTTTAAACAACAACAACCACCTTGCTTCATTTTCCTTTTTATTTTTGAGCTGTTTGCAACCTATTTTCCAATAGTGAGAAACAATGCAATTAATTTTCTCCAGCGCAGTCATGCATAGATTTAATAAGCATCCGAAGGTAGGATCCATCTGTAAAGTATGCATTGCATGCTAAATTACTTCTCTTCTGTGGTTTTTTTTTCTTTCCAAACCTTAATTAATTGAAGAAAAAAATGTTTATTAAAGTGGGAACAGGCTGGGCTCTGGCTCTCCATCTCTGGTTCAAAAGTTCATACAATTCCCTGAAGGCTCATCTGAATGTGTGTGTCTCCCTCTCACAATCTTTCTTTCTCTGTCTCTATAGTAGGGATAAATGCCTAGAAAAGGTGTATTGTTTTGTTCCCAGGATCAATTTTAATAATCTTGAGTAAACTAAGTTTTTCTATATACAGATTTGCATATATCGTATGTGTATATGCATATATGTTTTGCATATATTATATGTTTACATAAATAGTATATACACATAGACACATAAATGTGTTATGTACTCATTTTCCTAATGCTTAGAATTTTAAAAAATTGGTATATCACTCTCGGTGATATCTTTAAACAGGATGTAGATGGAGACCGGAAGTATAATTCTACAGGTGGATCTCAGACAGGAAATTAAAGGAATTACGTATGAAAAGAAGCTAGATCCTTATGGATAAATTTGTGCCAGACACAAAAATATTAAATATATCCAAATAGAGCAATGTTTACCCATAAACAGCGAAAATGGAAAAAAAAAAAAAAGAGGAAGTGACTCACTGCTATGAGAGGCTTTGGAAACTGAAGACATTTCCTGATCTGCAGCAAGCTTTCTGTGACCTAGGTGAAAAACGGCAAGCTTATTGTAAAAGAAAAAAAGTATCTTTAAAGATGGACTCAGAATTTTTTGAATCCTTTCAATTGCTTGCCTAGGATGTCATGACCTTCCTTTTCTTTTTTCAAAGTATGACTTTTTTCTCCTTATCATATGCTACAATTTTTAGGTCCCTGCTTTAAAAAGAAAGGAAATACAAGTTGTAGTTTATGTTCAAATTACTAGTTTCTCTTTTTAGTTTAAAGTACAATAAGTCTTCTTCCTTAACACAAGTAAGGTTTGCACTGTCACTTCCAGATTTAGACGTCTATGGAATCAGAAAGCAGTGCTGAACTTGACTGTGATCTTGCCCGATTGAAGTCAACTTCCTTTGCCCAGTTGCTTCGTGCAAAACATAGTGATCATATAAGAGTCTAGCAGAGGGCTTTCTACAGGTTGTTTCATTCTCTGTTTTAGACTTTTGTGCCTAAAACTACTGGTCTGTTAGTCATTTAAATTTTTACAAATAGCCATTTAAGTTGGGAAAAAATAAGCAGTACCAAAAGCTATTTTACTTTGGCATAGATGCAGCCTTTGTCATGCTGGCTCTTTTTGTCACATAGGTGTACCATCATATACCCTTACCATGTGTCAGATGAGCCATGGGGACATTCCTGGAAAGAACTTTAAGGAATCAACATTCCATATTTTCCTCTCAAAGTAACTGTTGCTACTATATATTGACATGTCCAGATTTAGGCCACTTTTGAAAACTTGTGAGTCAAATCACATGGAGGTGATGCTGAAGTATCATCACCACGTAACAGCCATAATTGATGTCTTGGGAACTTGAAGACTATACTATATAGGTCATGTACTATGTAGGGCATCTATTTATGTGTATAACATGTCATAATTTCCCCACACCCAAATTTCTGTGACTTTTGGAGGAATCTTGATAATTGCTTTCTACACAGATTTTGGTTTAGACTTCTGCGAAAACCCTGAATTGAATAGCTGTGGGTTTCACAAATTACATGCATGTAAACAACATACCTTTGAAAGGAGGATGTGTGGACCCTTTCTCCTATATGCTTATGTCTCTGTTGTCGTAGATTGGCGTCCTTTGTGAGCTATTCAGTGACATTTCAGAACCATTTTGCTCTGCAGAAAACCCGCAGTTGTGTTTCTTTAGCTGACACTGTGGCACTTGCACTCGAAATTGCTAGTTAGAAAAAAAAATTGTTGAGGCCGGTGGCTGTAATCAGCGTTGTTGCTGTCTGTTTCCTCAGACTAATAGCAGAGAGATCCGAGTCTGAGAGTTCAAACAGAGGTTATCTTTCCCAGGTAGCATCTCGTCCAACGAGAATTTGATTTTTTTCTATAGGACTTTACTCCATTAGATTAATGAAATTTCAATGAGAGCCTGGCGCCCCCTGAAGCTTTGTTAAGAAAACAAATGGTGATTCTGTAGGTGTGACAGCTTGCTTGGAGAGTTACCAGAAGGTGAATACATCCCCACAATCCAGGCAGCCTGGAACACATTGATCTCTATTTAAAGCACCAATCGGATTTTTGTTAATTATAAATGATTGATCTGCAGTTTTTTCCTCTCTCTCCTCTTATATGTGTGGTTCCCCCTCCTTCCCGCACTTCTAACTTCTTTGCATGCTGAGCGCAGAGCTTTTTGTTTAAAGGAACAATCATAGAGAGCAAATTATAGCAATACCCGGCAGCAATGCTGCTGTGAATGTCAATGTCAGAGCGTTCACTGTTCATCCGACAAAGGTGAGCCCTGAAGTAGATTTCAGTCTGACTCCATGTTCCCTCTTTACTTAGCTTATTCCTAAAATAAGGGATGATTTTAACAAAAAGAAAAGCATAGAATCACTAGAATAGTATTATAGATGCTATCATTATTACGTTTTAAAAGCTGACTTGTAAGCCTTGTACACCAATTCCACAGTGCTAACTCAGAACCTCGTATGTACCAGGATATGATGTGTGATCAAGCAAGCCCGTGTGGGACAACTAGGGAAATATCTAAGGGATATCCAAGGAATATCTTAAGTAAACTAAGGGAATATCTCTGACCTTAAATCTCAATTTATAGGCATTTAGGTGATTAATACACCTTTTATCATCTCTGTGGAGTAGTTTTAAAATAATGTTTAGAAGGCTTACTGAATTCAAAAACAGACACATGTATTATTCCTGATAATTGCTCACCACACATAGTTCTGAAGACCACAGAAGAACATTCCAAGCTTCTTTGTGGATCTATTTTAGTGAAAGTATCTGAGCTTTAAATGTATTTATTTATTGAATATAAAAGTACGTAATTCCTTCTAGTTATTTATAACATATACAATACATAAAGAAGTTAATTTATGCAGCTCTTGGAAAACATATTTGTAAAAATTACAGCTTAAGGATTACAGATATTAATATATTATATTGAAAACTACATAGATTTCACAATCTAACTCAAATGTAGATTTTTTATGAATGTGTCTTTCTTAAGTTTGAGCCTTTAATTAAGTTTTACGACGTATATTTTCAAGTTAGAAAAATGAACTTGCCCCAGTGTGCTTTTTTAAAAATTGTCTAAATAATCCACAAGAGATTGTTCTAGACCAAGAATCTTACAGTAGTTTATAGTTTGCAGTGACAATCCTCTTCAAAATCCTTTAGATTTGAAAAATTGTTACCTCATTTATTTGTTCTGAAACTTTGCTTAACTTCCTTATGAGTTGCAGTATCAGTAATTGTGTATGATAAATTCAACAGCATAAGAGTAATTCTGCCTTTAAAGCAGCAGCATGAAATGGTCAAGACCTGCAGTATAACTTACCATATCTCCCCATGCCCAAAATTCAGTGACTTTCTGAAGAAGCTTGCTATTGCTTTATGAACAGGTTCAAAGTCTATAATACTCATCCAAATATGAGAGGTGTTCTGACAGAACTTCCCCATAAGGTAATTATTTAATAATCTTGTAAATACTGTTGGGAAGACTAGATTTAAAGTATAATTTTGTGATGTAGTATTTTTTCTTGGTATCTTAAAATATGTATTTTTTCTTTTTATTGTTGCTTATTGTGTTTATCTCATTTTAAATTAGCAAAACTCATGAAGGCATATTTATAAATAGTTGTAACTATGACTTTTAAAATCAGATTTTGAATCAGCCAGAAAAAAAGCGATGTGTTTTTGTTTTTTTGGTTTTTTTTACAAATGTTAGCACATCAGAATAGTTGTTAACATCAATGACTAAACGATTGACCAATGACAACATTAAGAAATGAGTGATCATGACAAATTCACCAAGTTACTTTCATGAAATGCTTCCAGAGGGCTGATTTTAAAATGTTTTAATTTTATCCCTGTTGGAAGTTTTCTTTTTTCTTTTCTTTCTTTCTTTCTTTTTTTTTTTTTTGAATAGGCTAAACTAATGATTTTCATTAGTGTATTTGTGATTTATGTGATTTTAGTAGGTTATACCAAGGTTAAATAATTTAAAGAAATAAACCCTTATCTGATATAAGATAGCTAATGAAGTATATTAGATACTTGCCCTATTGCTATATGAAGTGGATCTCCAAAGCTAACAACAGCTTTCTGCAGGAACACAAATCTCTATATAAATATCCAAATGTAGCAAGATGTTGCAAATTTTTAAAGATATGCCATAAAAATAGATTAACGCTAGTATGCAGTCCTGTTCAACTGAATTACAAAGGGATATCATGGGATTGCCAGTGACATTCACATAAATAAAAAATCAATTCTTAATGATGAGGCAGACTTGTTTTAGCGCATTACCCAGGTTAAATGAGAGCGCACAAAGACATCAACTCCTATAAGACTAGCGGAATCATTGTATATTAATATGATTTAGGGAGCTACACACCTCAATGGAATAATTGTTATTATATCTATAGAGCCAGATGGCACTTGGTGTAAACAGCCATTGAGCACCTCAAACACAAGTGTGGCAGGTGATCTTTAAGATGTTCTTGCATCCTGCTCACTCATCTTATCATTGGAATCTGCGTTACTGTTTGCAGAATGATTTGATTGCCAGTACGCAAATTTTTCAGAATGGTGCTGTTGTTCAATAGGAACCTAAGAATATAGAATGTCCTCAGCAAGAGAATAGATGAAGCAGAATAGATGAGGCAGCTGTCTGGATTTGTGTGGGTTAGCACTGAATTTTTTACAAGAAAGAGAACAGAGAGAGTAATTTTTTTTTCCAGCACCAGTGGCCCCAAAATTCAGAAATTTTAAAAATTAACTCTCAAATTTTCAGTGAAGTGGGCTTTAGTAATTACTATTTTCAAAGTAACCCCATGAAGGTGGTCAACAGGTATAAAAATTTGTGCTTGCAAAGTTAGAGAAATGCAAGTTCTGAGCAAAAGTTTATGATTTTGTTTTTGTTTTTGTTTTTGTTTAAGACAGGGTCTACTCTGTCACCCAGGCTGGAGTGCAGTGGTGCCATCATAACTCATTGCAGCCTCAAACCCCTCCTGCCTCAGCCTCCTGAGTAGCTGGGATTACAGGCGCATGCCACCACAGCCAGCTAATTTTTTGTCTTTTGAAACATTCTCACCATGTTGCCCAGGCTGGTCTCAAACTCCTGGCCTCAAGCGACCCTCCTGCCTTTGCCTCCCAAAGTGTTGAGATTACAGGTGTGAGTCACCACACCAGGTCAGAAGTGTCTTTAATTTTTTGTAAAATATTTTTCTTTTCTTTGAATATTTAAAATTGACTTCTGCTAACCCTAATTATCCAGTTACAGAAATCTCATTCATTTATTCAACAGATATTTACTGGGCACCTACTATGTGCCAGGTACTGTTCTAGGCACTGGAGATATGTCAGTGGAAAACCCTGCCTTCACATAGTTTGCATTCCTCAGGGGGCAATAAATGAAATGACATGATGTAATGTAAACTATGTGAGAAATAAAATAGGGAAGAGAGACAAAGTGTGCTAAGGTACAGTGTAAAGCTTAAGATTTGCCTTTCCTTCCTCAAGAACATAAAACAGATTATCCGGGAAGAATAAAAGAGGCTGGGGAAGTTCTTGTTTATCTTCTGACTTAATCGATCTTGTGAAATTCTAGTGCATTGTCTGATAACCCACCTGCTGTTATAGCCTCAGCTCAGCAGCCAGGGTTAAATAGTTGGAATGAGTGTTCAGTGTAAGCTTAGATTATTGGCTTGAATTAAATTTAATAATGTTACATAATTTTTTAATGGTTTTGTTTCTTTCCTCTGATAATAACATTAAAAAACATACCATCTTTAGTTACAAATAATTCTTGAATTGCCCCTTTCTCTACCTTGTAACCCATGTTTAGTTTCTAATCATCAAGGACATGAAACTGGCCTCATAGACGAATTGTTATCATAGTAGATTTAGTGGACTTTGATATCCAAACATATGAAACAGATTTTTCAAGTATCTAAAATAGAGAATGTGCCTCAAAATTTTGAGATCTTATAAATCCATCTGTCCCTTAATAATAAAATTCATACTAATTCTGAGAATATTTCCATCACCCACTTCAGGGTACTATTGACTGCTTAACTCCTGGATTTTAAACTAATGTTCAGTTCTTCAGCAGATGTAGTTTATTATATAACTGCAGCCACTCTTTAGGTGAAACATGGTACATGTTCTGAAATACTCCTTTAGTTTAGATGAAAAAATAAAATTCATTTTGTAATATGACGTAGTCTTCATTCAGGCTTACTTTTGATTAAATATTAATTTTTAAATATATATATATACTTATTGGTGCATAGATAAAAATACTGAAAGGATGTGTTCTAAAGTGTTAATAATGACTACAGATTACAACATAATAGGGCTAATATTTCTTTTTTCCTTGTACTTTTCTGTATTTTCATTTTTTTCTGTAATGAACTTGCATTCTTTTTGTAATCAAGAAAAAACACTCAGTATTATTTTATGAAAGCTAACAGAGCCTAAAAATTTATACTTCTGTTTAACACAACACCTCACAGCTGGCAAGTGAATGCAGATCAGTTTTTCAAATATCAGAAAGTAGTAGAAATCAGCAAACATTAATATTTAAATAATGCTGTGAAATTACTAATTTTACCTATTTCTATTTATTGTAGTTAAACAGTACAGTGCAAAATTTGATCAGTTTATCCCTTCTTTTATTTCCAAGATATCAAATTTTTTTTTAAAAAGTAGGCAGGAATTTTTTTAATGACATGCCAAATATACCAAATTTCATAAGGAAACATGTTTTTAATTTCAGGCCTTTGAATATGATATTACTCATAAGCATGAGTATTTATGAATATATAGGAAAAAGAGTCTTGAAAACTTTATTTCTTTTAGCAGTCAACAATATTTAGCCTATCAGAATGCTTGAATAGATAAACATTCCTACTGTTTTAATTTTGAATATAGATTGTCTTGTGCTGATGGGAAGTATTGTTAATTTTAATAAAATTAACTTTATATTGTTATTTCACCACTTTATAATAATTTTACATGGTGCCCTGGGGATGCCTCTGTTTTACATTATCAGGTGTCACATTTGCCATTTGGTTGGCATAGCAGCGTTCAGCTTCACTTCTCTGTTCAATTGCCTGAAGCCACACTATTCATGTTATATTACAAGTAGCTATTTTGCTATACACTGCACAAGTTTATATACTTTTATTTTATATGTATATATCATTCTTGTATTTTCTCAAAATCACTGTTTTGTGCTATTTCCCAGCATTTCTCTTGCTTGCCTTTAGGTAGACACGGTTATGATAACAAGTTGGCTAAGATTCCTAGCAGTCTGCCTCCAGTACTAAAATGTTTAAATTTCTTTTCTTTGCTTTGGTTTTTTTTGAGATGGTCTCACTTTGTCGCCCAGGCTGGAGTGCAGTGGCTCAGTCTCGGCTCACTGCAACCTCCATCTCCTGGGTTCAAGCGAGCCTTCTGCCTCAGCCTCCCGAGTAGCTGGGACTACAGGTGCACGCCACCATACCCGGCTAATTTTTGTGTTTTTAGTAGAGACGGGGTTTCACCATATTGGCCAGGATGGCCTTGAACTCCTGACCCCAGATGATCCACCCACGTTGGCCTCCCAAATTGCTGGGATTACAGGTGTGAGCCACTGCACCCAGCGTAAATTTATTTTCAATCTGGTAGTCAGCCACTATTTTGATAGATTCTTAGCCAGTGCTTCATTGTTTTTGATGAATTATAGCTTAAAAAACCCTTAAGATATAACTTCTTATAGAGAGAGAATTATTGCTATTTAAAAATAAGGGGAAATTATTGATGACTTTCATAACTCACTGTATGTCAGACAGATCACTGAGAGATAATTAATCAGAACACGCCTTCATTAAATGTTACCACTTGTCTTAAACTCTCCCATGAATTCATAGAAATCAGACTAGCAAATAATCAATTAGAGAATTCAATATTTGTCAAATTAAGTAACACTGTTACTAAATATACAGTAATTAAATTAAAGATATACCAAGTTCCTCTTGAGTCAGTCCATGTTTTTACCAATTTTTCTCTTTTTTAAAAAACACAAGTTTATGGCTTAGCTTTGAGCTCCATCTGCTTTGAATTCTGTTACGTGTTTTTATTATGATGCTATGTAAGACGTAAGAGAGTGCTAAGACATTTTGGTTAACTGTGTCAAATATTTACTGTGAACAATTCTAAATATACATTTTAAATAGGCTTTCTTTTCCACTTGCGTTTGTATATATGTGTTGATAAGCAAGCTGGTATATGAGACCTTATGTACAGCTGACGGGTATTTGACTGATAAGCTAATGAACTCTAGAGTCTGAGCAGCATTTAACTAACTGATAAATAATAGCAAGCAAACTAATCAATTTAACCCTGTTTTAGTACTTAATAGTCAGAGAGCAAATAAAAATTAGTACTGAGAAGTTTTTATAAAAGTATGCTTTATATTGGCATTTTTATTTTTCAGAAATGCCTCCTTTTTTTTCTTTCTTACCAAAAATTTCTGTGCCTAGTAGGAACTATGTTTCTGCTTTGAATTATACCATTATTCCGTGTTATTAGGAATCATATATCACTTCCTTTCACACCTTCGAGTTTAATATTTTGTGTACACTCTTTTAGTTAGAATCTTGGAACGATATATAATAGTTTTACCTTTGGTTCTACTAAAAAAAAATGTAATTACCCTGATATTCTCTTAAAGCCTAGGTTGCTTATTAGATATATTTTTCATTTTCTATTATTATTGTGAATTTTGTAGGTTTGAGGGATGTTGCTGACTATAGGTAATGAAAATGTCGAACCAGGTGGTAAGAGTCACTCCTGTGTTCTAGCTGTGGCACTGGCACAATTTGCCAAATAACTTTGATAAAGAAATTAAAATTATCTAGATGATTTTTATTTTATTTATTTATTTATTTATTTATTTATTTATTTATTTTTGAGACGGAGTCTTGCTCTGTCGCCCAGAGCTGGAGTGCAGTGACACGATCTTGGCTCACTGCAACCTCCACCTCCCGGGTTCAAGCAATTCTCCTGTCCCAGCCTCCCGAGTAGCTGGGATTACAGGCGTGCGCCAGCAAGCCCCGCCAATTTTTGTGTTATTAGTAGAGACAGGGTTTCACTATGTTGGCCAGGCTGGTCTCGACCTCCTGACCTCGTGATCCACCCGCCTTGGCCTCTCAAAGTGCTGGATTACAGGCATGAGCCACCGCGCCCAGCGAAAATTATCTAGATGATTAAGATGAGCAATATGAAGAGGAGTTATAAGAAAGTGGGGAAGCAACTAGTAAGCTGATTTCAAAGCCAAAAGAACTCTTGCTCTTGAGGAAGAAGTCGAGTGTGTGTGTGTTTGTTATGGGATGTTGTAGATGTTAATTTGCCTGTTGAATGCTTATATAACTTAGATCCACTCAGTAATTCCTAGTTGGTTGTTTGCCTCTGGCTGAATTCATAACCTTTATTTTTGCTTTTCTAGTTCAAATACCTAGAGATCCCACATATACTATTTGAAGTGTTACATATAGCAATTGCAATGGCAATATTATAGAAAATTGCAATTTTATAGAACATTGCTTTATAAAGGAAACTTGAAGTTAAGTTTGAGGAATTACATAATGAAATCTTCTGGGAGTATGTGGTTTAGGTATAATTACAAAAGTGAAAATATATAATTTATACTTGCACAATACCTCTCACTGAAGGTTATAAAAATAAATCTTGTTATATATTCCAGGCTTCACATTTCTTATATGCATCCCTATATGATTGAAACAGCCTTCCTGCTGTGGTCTAACAATAATCCCACATTCAGAAACACCTAAAATTTAGTCTTATACAGCAGATCTTCTCTGTAAGGTAAAATGAATGACACCTCATTTGTCTTCTTGTTTGTTTCTATGTTTTCTCCTTTCATCAAGCATTTGAGGTAGCCTCCCCAACCTGTTTAAGACTTTTCCCCAAGCTGAGTCACTGCTATCAGAAATTACTGTTGCAATCATTTATTGAGAGCCCTTTATGTGCTAAGCACTGTACTGGCTGTTTTCCATATAATATCTCATTTTAATTCTCACAGTAATTCTGTAAAGTAGATATTACCATGCCCATTTCATCAATGTGGACACTTGAGAATCAGAGAGGTTAAGTAACTTTCCTAAAGCCATACTGCTCAGCTGTGGCAAATCAGGAATGTTCATATACATCTGACTCCAAAAGTAAATGTCTGAGAAAACAAGGAACAGATTAAGGAGCAATATTCAGAATTCCTGTCTCCTTTTCTCACCACAGAATTGCACATAATGGCTGTTATGATTTCTGGTGGAGAAAAAAATGAATGATAAAAATGCAGCATTTGTTTAGGGTCAGAGGATCAAAAGGGCTCATAGGAAATATTGACATAGGGGCTCCCCTTTTTTTTTTTTTTTTCAGATGGAGTCTTGCTCTGTCACCCAAGCTGGAGTGCAGTGGCACGATCTTGGCTCACTGCAAACTCCGCCTCCCAGACTCAAGCGATTTTCCTGCCTCAGCCTCCTGAGTAGTTGAGATTACACGCACACGCCATCATGCCCGGCTAATTTTTGTATTTTTAGTAGAGACAGGTTTTCACCATGTTGGTCAGGCTGGTCTCCAACTCCTGACCTCGTGATCCACCCGCCTTGGCCTCCCAAAGTGCTGGGACTACAGGCATGAGCCACAGTGCCCGGCCAGGGCTCCCTTTTTCTCTCTAGACTCAGTATGACCAGAAAGAGGAGGTGGTATCGTATAAAGGAGAGGAGGTATAAGTAAGCTTTCTGCTCCTTTACTAGAATCACCACTCCCATCTTATTCCCTTATTCAAATATGTTGCTAAATGCCTCATTTCTCATACTTAATAACATCTTGGCCATAAAGCAAATACCATAAAAGAACATTTAGAGATGGCTGTGAGGATTTGGAGAGCTTAGAGAGTAAATGCACCAAAATCATAAAACATGGCCCTCTCTGTGCGTCAGAAGAGGACTCAGGCCTACTATAAGAGAAATCTCCATATATTAATAATTGCTCTATAGGCAAATCCATACCTCAATGTCTTTCAATATGGCTTTCATAAATCTCAGCAACTAAGAATTTCAGTGTGCTGAAAACTACCAATCTGGTAACCTGATCAGAGTTTAATGACTACTATAGGAGAATTGTGTTGAATTGTGAAGAAAATCCAAATGCTTTCAGTCTTACCATGTATGTCTCCACCAATTCTTTAGCAGCCCCTGAAAGGCAGGTCCTCCCAGACTTGGCTAAAGTCTGGTTTCCTTTAAGATTTCCAACCTTCTACAACTGCTAAAATATATGCTAGTTGACATAGATATGTTCTCTAGTTAAGGTGAGAGCAAAATTGTCAAAGATGTATAGATCCCTGCGTTACTTATAAAAAAGGGATATATTGAATATAAGTGTATTTTTTCTCACAACATGCCAACTGTGCTTTTTGGAAGCTGTTTTTGAACATGATGACAGAGTATGTCTGAACATAGAAGTCACCTGTGTACTCATATCCAAATCTCCTTCATAGATCATCACCTTTGAAATTGGCAGAACCCACCATAGGCCCATGTGCCTCTGAGTACATTGAAAAGAATGACATTTTGTAAATTACCTATGCTAAAATGGCAAACAGTTTTTCCTCCATGTTCTAATAACTACTCATGAGTGGTCTGTTTCAGTGTTTCAAACCCACCATAAAGTTTTTATTTGATATAGAATGTCTTAAGAGAAATTGGCCTCCAGAAATTATTTCTTATCTTTATTGGTTCTATTCGTGACCTACTTTTTAAAAACATTATTATAAAGGGTAGCCCCATTAAAATCAGAACAACTACAAATGTTTGCCATAAATGGAGTTGAATTGGCCAGTCAACAAGTTGGCAGCTCTTACTAGGAGAAGGGACTGTGTGGGATTTAGCAGGAAGGAGGGGGAAGCAAGTGGAGAGATAAAGGAAATCTTAGCAATATGAAAGGGAGGGAGCAGCTCCTTTACCTGTGAGCTGAGTTTAGGCTGGGCAAACAATTTCAAAGTTACATCCCAGGCATTCTAAGAGGAGTAGACAGAGAATGGCATTGAAATAAACTGAGTAATCATGGTGTTCCAAGAATGACAGGTGAGAGTCTGGGACATTAATCAGGGAGGGAAGTACAGTCTGATCTCAGAAGAGGAGGCTGGCTAGAGTCCCACTTCTGCCCTGGGGAACTAGCTAGGTACAAGATGCCCAGACAGAAGGGCCAGTTAGGCAGACTGAGAGCACATTGTCCTCCTTATTCCTAAGTTATTTCCCACCCAGAGGGAAACAGAATGGAGCAGCAGCTTGTATCCAGCCGTCGCTCACTTCAGAAGAGGAATCTATCCACCACCACTAAGATCTTCAAGAGTTAGTGAGATCCTGCCCCCTGCCTGCTGCTAGATTATAGTTAGAGTGAAATATAGCCAGTCAGCCAAGTCAACAGACATATGATCTCTGCTGTATGGTTGATTGGACCAAGGCTGATGCATCCATAGATGGCAGAGGTTATTATAAGCACCTAGAGTCAGAGTCTGAAAGGGTTAAATAACTTGCCCCAGGTCACAGACCAAGAGGAAGTTGAACTGTGATTTGAACCCATGCAGTCTGATTCCAGAGTTTATCCTGGCTTTAAGCACTATGCTATGCTGCCTTAATGATATATGCATCTAAATTTTATTATTATTTTATTTTTCTTATTACATCTGAATTTTAGATACAACTTTAAACATGTCTTCCCTTAGGAAACTTTCTCCAGCTCTGTATCATAGTCTACTCTAATCACTTTTCTCTGCATTCTCTCATCAGTTATGCTGGGTGGCAGGGGGAAGCTTGTTTGTCTTGACTCACAGCAGGAGTCTCTTGATATTACCTATATTTTACAAATGCCCAACACGTCTAAGCCACAACTTCATTGGTGTTTCTGTATTCAGGTAATTATTAAATTATATTCTGTCTCTGAAATAAGAGTTTGACTCTCCCAAACATCTTCTTAACTAGAAAATGCACTAGTTTGTGACTATTTTAGAGATCTCAAAGTACTTGCTTTTTTTAGCCAAACTGAGAAAATAATTACATGGAATTACATAATTGCTAAGAGTGGATGGCATTTTGTAGTTATTGTTCCCTCAGATGGGTGGGTTTGCATTTATCAGAGGAGCACAAAAATGTGCAATTTTCCTTACCAAAAAAAAAGGGCAGTTTCTTTTTTTCTTTTCTTTCTTTTTTTTTTGAGACCAGATCTTGCTCTGTCACTGAGGCAGCAGCAGTGCAGCGAGACGACCTTGGCTCACTGCAACCTTGACCTCCTAGGCTCAAGCAATCCTCTCACCTCAGCCTACTAAGTAGCTGAGACTACAGGCGTACACCACAATGCTTGGCTGACTTTTTACTTTTTCGTAGAGCTGAGGTCCCACTATGTTGCCCAGGCTGGTCTTGAACTCTTGGGCTCAAGCAATCCTCCTGCCTTGGCCTCCCAAAGTGCTGAGATTACAGGCATGAGTCACCTTGCCCAGCCAAAAGCAGTTTCTTAGTTTTGATAGTTATACTGTGGTTATGCAATATGTTAGCTTTGAGGGAACAGGGTGAAGGATAGATGAGAACTCTGTACTATTTTTGCAACTTTTCTGAAAACTTAAAATTATTTCAAAGTACAAAGTTAAAAAAAATAAGGCATTAGTTTGGGTAGAGGTGAGGAATGAATGGAGGAAAATAGAGGAAACAGAATTGGCCATGAGTTGATAATTGTTGAAGCTGGATGATAGCTACAGGAGGTTCATTACATTATTTTCTATACATTTGTACATGTTTAAACTTTTTATAATTTCTTAATCTAATAAAATGAAACAGAAAGGCATAAAAGAAAGTATTAAGTGCAGTTCAACTTTGGGTAAACATAAGAATTTTCCAAATGATATTGTTAGCTGAGACAAACTTATATTATTTTGGGATTTCTGTTTTCTTTACCATTCTTATCGGTGCATGAAGAATCAAGTAAATGCTTGTGTGATTTTTTTAACTGTAGAATATGTACTCTTAGTTACACTTAGCTGTTGTTCTTCAGGTTTTCCTTATTGCTGCAGTACTAAAAATATATGCATTAGATAAACTAGGATTTTTAAAAAGTTGTCTTGCCTGTCCATAAACTAGTAAATATTAATATTTATTTTTTGTCTGTTTTTGTTTTATTGTTTTTCTAAACAATATGAGTATGAGGGCATGCCTAATGGCATATATTTTCTCATTGATTTTATAATAAACTTATACTGTTCCAAAGATAATAAATTATACTAGATCAACACTTATGGGTAAGAGAAGTTTTCAGTGCCATGTTAAAACTTAAGCCATGGATCACTAGATGGTGGCCACAGTGTTAATTTCTTATTTTCTAAACCTCTCCTTTTAAAGATACCTAAATTAGATTTTCCTTACAAGTAAATTCCCTTAATTTGTTTGGAAATATAAAGGTTTTTCTTTAAAGCACAATTTGAAAGCACGCTGCCTCTGCCTGCCAGCCTAAATGAGCAGCATTTGATGTGCGATCAGGCAGTCTCCACTTGGAGAGCATCACAGGCACTAGGAGCAGTGAGAAGAACCCCATCAGGGAGTGCCATGACAATGACAAAGAGCTTCATGGTTTCTTATTGGGCACCAGTAGACTGAAGTGCTTTAAAACTTGAGCTCTGGGCCAGGTGCAGTGACTCACGCCTGTAATTCTAGCACTTTGAGAGGCCGAGGTGGGTGGATCACGAGGTCAGGAGATCAAGACCATCCTGGCCAACATGGTGAAAACCCATCTCTACTAAAATACAAAAAATTAGCCGGGCATGGTGGCATGTGCCTGTAATCCCAGCTACTTGGGAGGCTGAGGCAGGGGTATCGCTTGAACTCAGGAGGCAGAGATTGCAGTGAGCCAAGATCACGCCACTGCACTCCAGCCTGGCAACAGAACAAGACTCCATCTCAAAAAATAAAAAATAAATAAAAATAAAAAAGTAAAAAAACCTGAGCTCTGGGTTTAGACTGCCTAAGTCTGAGTACAGGTTCTGCCTTGAGTGTTTATAACAGCTTTATTCACTGAAACTGAAAAGAACCCAAGTATCCATCAACTGGTGAGTAGATAAACAAATTGTGTTTCTATTCAGCAATAAAAAGGGATAAACTACTGATACACACAACTACATGGATGAATCTTAAAGGTTTTATGCTAATTAAAGAAAGCCAGACATAAAATATTAGATACTATATGATTTCATGTATTTGACATCCCTAAAAAGTCAAAGCTATAGACACAAAAATAGATCAATGATTGGCAAGGCCAGTGATAGAAAGAGTGGATTGACTACAAAGGGGCAAAAAGGAGCTTTTCAGAGTGATGGAAATATTCTATATCTTGATTTGGTAGTGGTTATACAACTACTATATATATATGTATATATTTGTCAAAATTCATTAAACTGTACATTTAAAAAGAATTGTGTTTTTTGTGTGTCATTTTTTGTTGTTGTTTTTTGTTTGTTTTTGAGACAGAGTCTCACTCTGTCACCCAGGCTGGAGTGCAGCCTGTCATCCAGGCTGGAGTGCAGATCTCGGCTCACTGCAACCTCTGCCTCCCAGGTTCAAGTGATTCTCCTGCCTCAGCCTCCCAAGTAGCTGGAATTACAGGCGCCCACCACCACAGCCAGCTGATTTTTGTATTTTTAGTAGAGACGGCGTTTCACCATGTTGTACCATGCTGGTCTCAAACTCCTGACCTCAGGTGAATCCTCCCACCTCTGCCTCCCAAAATGCTGAGATTCCAGGCATGAGCCATAGCGCCTGGCCAAGAATTGTATTTTATGTAAATTATATCTCAATAAAGTATTTAAAACCAAACATACAAAATATGTTTTCCAGAACTCTTTTTGATTTGTCTAGTTTCCATAAACAAGCTTATTATTATTGCTTTAGATCATTTTTCTTTCTAGAACCAAGCAATATATGAGTTCTTTCCATGAGAAATAAGTATATTTTCTTCTCTGTCTGCTCTCTTCTGATAAAACTGTATGACAACAGGGCCCCAGGGAATGAAGATAGCAAAGGGACCTTGGGTTAAATGCTGGCCTTAGGAGACAAGCTCTTAGAAGGAACTGTGAGCACAGGAAAGAAGGATTTAGGGAAAATGGAAGCTGGCCCAGGCTACGAAGAGAGAAAGACCCAAGAACAGAGTGTTGGTGGGCCATAGGAATGGAGGAGATGGATGAGATGACCCCGTTGGGGAAAGGGAAGCTAAGAGAGTGGAATGAAATATACTTCTTTAGGTAACACAGCCCTCGAATTAACATGTTTACACATTCATGACACCCAAGTGGCTTCAATTTCTCGGCAGTGGAATTTATCACATAATTAGGCTTTTAGAAAAAAATTCATTTTTTTCCATTAAAAAACCTGACAAATGGTCCACATGTATCATTTGGACACAGGTCACATTACCCAGATAATGAACTCTTTCATGTAAAATTTCCAGTAGATTTTTAACATGCAAAGTCCTCCTCATATGTTATCCTGCATTGATCCGATTGGAGCTGTTAGTGTCTAGTGGATCAATGATCAGCAAACTAAAAAGTCACTTAGTGACTATGACACCCATGGCAGTGTTAGAATCTATTGTGTCAGGAATCCTTGTTTTATTAACTCTGTAATTACCTGTTCAGCTGAACCGGTGAATTTTATTACACATTTTCTTTCACCTGAACAAGACCTTTGCACTTCTACCAGCGCCCTGAGGATCTTCTCTTTTTTTTTCTGCTCCATGTCTTTCTCCAGTGCTCTTTGGCTTAGCTGCCATCTATTTTGGCAGAGAAGTGTGTGGGAAGGAGGCCTTAAGAATACCGTCACCTTGCTTTGGAAGCTGTTAAGTGGCCTCATCCTCCAGGATAGTTGCTTCAGTTGAGACACATTTAGTACTCAGAAGTCAGGAGTATAACTCGGCTTGCAATATATTGGTGTTTTCCTTAAACAAAGAATCATATGCTGTATGGCCTGGGAGTTAACAACATGGACTTTGGAGGCAGGTCTGGGAAGCAATTAGTAAGTTATGTAAGCTCCCTCAGCCCAGGTTTCCTGGTGTGTAAGAGGGGAGGATAGGAATAGTTCCCTCCTCATAGTAACACATGGATGTCTTTCCAGTACCTGACTCAATATGTCTGAAACTTTGTTTTCTCCCCCCTAAAATCTGTACCTTTTCTTCTTTCTCTTGGTAAATGGTGCTCTCATCTTTGACTTCCTGTCTCTCTTACCCCAGCCCAGTATCCAGCCACTCACCAGATGCTATCAATTCTTCATCGTAAGTATTTCTCCGATACTTCTGTTACTCTCCATCCCTGCCATCTCCACCAAGCCATTACAGATTCTCATCTGGACTATTAATCATTCAACTTGACTTCCCAAAATTCACTCTTGGCCATTCTTCAAAGACTTTTGCTATCCTTAGCATTAGGTTCAACATAATTAACACATCTGGAAGACTTCACATGATTCCATCCTTTTCTCCACTCTCGTTGAACTGTTGTTGTACTAGAATTATATTCTATTATAATTGAGGTCTCGTTGTGCTAGAATTATATTCTATTATATACATGTAATTTATTTTTTCATTTATTAACTCATTCAACTAACACACACCGGACATCTACTACTATGTGTCAAGAACCATGCAGGTAAAGAAAGAAAAAGAAAAAAGAACAGCGTAGGCACTGAAAATTCAAATGTGAAGAGAGTCCGTTCTCTGCCCAGGATGAGCTCAATGCCTAATGGGGGATAGAGATACAAGAAAATGATTATGGTAAAATGTAACATGGGAGCAGAGAAGAGAGAACAAAGAAGTTAGCACAAAGAAGGCTTTGTAATGACAGTGACTATATTATGTCTGGAAGGATAAATAGGAATATGTGTTTGTGTGTAATGTTAAGTTAGATGTTTCATGCTAGAAAATATTTTAGAAATATGATAAAAACCCAAAGCATAATTCTTATTTAGAGTATGTAAAAGGTGCTTAATGGTTTCCCACATCATAGAGATTACTTATGTAATAACCATTACTATTCATAATTTCCTTTAGAACAAATAAAGCTGAGGCCAGGCACAGTGATGCCCAAGCCTGTAATCTCAGTGTGTTGGGAGCCGAGGTGAGGGGAGGATCACTTGAGGCCAGGAATTCAAGACCAGCCTGGGCAACATATTAACAAAAATAAAAATAAAAAATTGGCTGGACATAGAGGTATGAGACTGTAGTCCTAAGCTACTTGGGAGCCTGGGCAACAGAGCAAGACCCTGTCTTTAAAATAAATAACAAAGTTGATTAAACACCTTTTTATTTTCATTGAGTGATTTTCTATGACGTTTGTTAAAAATTTTTTTCACTGGTTTTTCATGGCTAATCTAATAACCCCAAATTTCCATTTTCTTGAAACCTGTCTCAAAAAGTGGGAATTGAAAAGGCTGTTGATGACAGAATATGGTCAGAATCAACCAAAAAATAAATTAACATCTTCAGAATTTGAGCCTTTTTCTAATCAGGAATGCTCCATATATTAATCGTGTAATCAGACCTTTTTAAATGTTTAATTTCAGTATAGATAAATTAGACTATCCGCAAATGACAGAGGGTCTGTTAGTTTGAGGTTTTGTGGCTTGACTAAGCACAGATTAGGTATGAAATATCTAGTTTTCTAGGAATGCAACTTTAATACTCAGCTGCTGCTGAATGTCCACTTGATAAATTTAACTATAAATAACACTTTCTTTTACAAATAGAGCCTTCAGATTGTACTTTGTTTTCCTAACCTTTGGAAAATTGAAAGCATTCTCTTAATTTTTGAAAAATGTATTAAGTAAATGAGATCATTTCTGTAATATAAAAGAAGTATTCTTAAAAGAGAAACTTAAATTTCCTTTTAGGCCTATGATGCTTATTGACCATATTATTGTGCAGACATTTCATAGAAATATTTTTTACCAAAAGGAAACTGATTCATAATCACAGACACTATTTCCATTGTTGGAGGTCATCTCCTGTGTCTAAAGTCTGTCACATAAAGATCTCAATGCACTTGTTACATAAAGTATTTTAGTGTTCTTAGTTTTAAGCCCAGTGTCTAAGATACAGAGAAACGCATACAACTAGCTCAATCTGTGCTTCTGAAAGAAACATATGTCAATTAAGCAAAATTGAATTGCTTGTAAGACCTCTGAAAGTACTGATGATACCTCAGTTGTGAAGAGCAACGGGAACATTACACTCTGCTTCCTTCACCTAAAGAATAGAAATAACAAAAGTTACCTGACCCAGGGTGAAGTTGACCTAGAACTCCATAGACTGTTTCATTTGAAATGATTAGGGAAGTACCATGTATGGAACAAAAGAAATTAAGCTGAAAAAATGTAAACCACAAGTTAAGAGACCTCATCATTATAGCAGCATCACCCCTTCTGCTTCCTAATTCTTCCTTACTGATGCAGACTGTGAAGATATAAAGATGAATAAGACCTAGTCCCTGCCTTCAAGGAACTAATAATCCAGTGGAAAACAGATGTGTACAACTAACCATAATCATTAAGATATATTAGTGTTTTCAGCAAAGTGCTAAGTGGAGGGAGAACAAAATAAATGATTAATTTTGCCCAGGGGAATCAGGGAAGACTTCACAGAGGAGAAGACATTTAGCCAAATCTTGAAGGATAAGTAAGATTTAACCAAATAAAGAAAGTAAAGATTCCCTAGAAAGAGAAAGTAGCAGAAAACAAAAGCAAATTATATAAAAATTCTTGGCACATTGGAGAATATTTAGAGAGAGTGGCTGGGGGGGTAGATTACGGTTAGTTGTGAATCATATGGTTATTTATTTCTCTCTTGATCCAATCCTGTCACCTACGGTTGATAGTTAGGCTTTATTTTTTAAGACATTGGGGACTGATCAACCTTAGTATTTTGTGGTGGGCATGTTTCATTGCTTGCCATTGCAGTCAGACCCTCCCCCTTCTTATAAACTCTCTCATCCCCTTCATGTTATCTCCTATTATGTGTGGTATTAATAAGATATAGTGGTCCCTTTCCACTATCAAATCCTTCTTCACCCACCTCTTGTGTTACTAGGGTCCAACCACATGATTTAGGCTTGACCAAATGGATATTTCCTCTTTGAAGACTTTGAATCTTAATCAAGTGATTCAAAGATATGAGGACATCTGGTGATGATACTCATAGCAGCAGCAGCAGCAGCAACAACAACAATAGTTGGGATTTTTGCTGTGGTTCCTGTCCCTTGCCCTCAGGAGCTCCCTTGATTCCAACCTTGACTCAGCTTCTGCTTTGCAGCTAAGAACCCTGACCCAACAATGTCCAAAACCAAACTCATCATTCAAGTTCAAGAAGTTACACACTGGGAACATGGAATTACAAGTTCAAAACTTCAAATGAAAGGCTTTTCAGAGATGAAAAAAGATTTAAGATCCCTTGTATTAAAGCTGAGAGTTAAAGGTCAAGAGATAGATAATCCAGGGAGAGACTATAAAGGAAGAAAACAAGAGGACCAGAGATAATATCCTGAGAGATGTCAACATACGATGAAGCAGACAGAGGAGCTAGCAAAGATCCCCCTAAATGGATATCAGAGGTAGGAGGAGAACCCAGGGAGGAAATAATTTCAAGAAAGGGCTCAGCAATATCAAATACTGCAGGGAGATCAGAGAGAATAAGGACTAAGAAGAGGTCATTGGGATTGACAATTAGCAGGTCACTGGGTACATTCGAAAGGACAAATTAAGAGTAGCTTTAAAGGTGGGAGCCAAAACTCCATGGTTGAGGAAGTAATGGGAAGTGACAAGTGGAAGCATCAGTACAGATTGCTTTACTGGAAGTCTGGTAAAGTGAAAGGGAATGAAACAGCCACAGGGATTTGAAGTTGAGAGAAAATTGAGTCTTTTCTCTAGCAAAAGAGTTGGTGGAGGAGGAGGGATTGAAAGTATAAGACACAGGAAAGATAGATGATGGAGCATTATCTAGGAGAAGGAAGGAGGTGATGGCAGTTGTAGCAAGGTTGAATGGTTGGCCTTGGAAGGGAGTAGAGCCTCTTCCTTTTTGGAAACAGGACTGGAAGAGGGAAGAAAAGATGAATATTAAAATCACTGGAGCCAGGCACTGTGGTTCACACCTATAATCCCAGTTACTCAGGAGGCTGAGGCAGGAAAATCACTTGAGGCCAGAAGTTCAAGACCAGGTGGACAACATAGTGAGACCCCTGTCTCTTTAAAAGAAAAAAAAATTTTTTTTTTTTGAGAAGGAGTTTCACTCTTGTTGCCCGGGCTGGAGTGCAATGGTGCGATCTCAGCTCACCGCAACCTCCACCTCCAGGGTTCAAGCGATTCTTCTGCCTCAGCCTTCTGAGCAGCTGGGATTACAGGCGCCTGCCACCACACCTGGCTAATTTTGTATTTTTAGTAGAGACGGGGTTTCTCCATGTTGGTGAGTCTGGTCTCAAACTCCCGACTTCAGGTGATCCACCTGCCTCGGCCTCCCAAAGTGCTGGGATTACATGCGTGAGCCACCATGCCCGGCCAAAAAAAATTTTTTTTTTTGATGCAGAGTCTCACTCTGTAACCCAGACTGGAGTGCAGTGATGCAATCTCTGCTCACTGCAACCTCTGCTTCCTAGGCTCAAGCAATCCTCCTACCTCAGCCTCTGGAGTAGCTGGGACTACGGGCCCGTGCCACCATGCCCAGCTAATTTTTTGTATTTTTAATAGAGACAGGGTTTCTCCATGTTGGTCAGGCTGGTCTCAAACTCTTGGATCTGGTCTTAAGTGATCTGCTCACCTCGGCCTCCTGAAGTGCTGGGATTACAAGCATGAGCCACCTCGCTTGGCCTAAAAATTTTTTTTAATTAGCCAGGCATGGTGGTGTACGCCTATTGACCTACCTACTCAGGAGGCTGAAGCAGGAGGATCCCTTGAGCCTAGGAATTTGAGGCTGCACTGAATAAGCTATGATTGTACCACTGCACTCCAGCCTGGGTGACAGAGCAAGACCCCATCTCTAAAAGTAAACGTTTTAAAATAGAATATAAATCACCAGAGTTCTTAAACCTGGAGATTCCTCAAGCCTACCCTTAGTGAATTAGAATATTAGTGCAAGGGGCCCCTGAATCTGCATTATTAACAAGCTGCAGGTGACAATTATTCATACTAAAATTGAGAATCACTAATAGAGACTATACAAAAGGGGAGATAGAATTGGAGCTAAAGAATGATAAAAGAGCCGGGCACGGTGGCTTAGCCCTGTAATCCCAGCACTTTGGGGGGCCGAGGTGGGTGGATCACCTGAGAGGTCAGGAGTTCGAGACAGCCTGGTCAACGTGGTGAGACCCCGCCTCTGCTAAAAATACAAAAATTAGCCAGGCGCGGTGGCAGGTGCCTCTAATCCCAGCTACTAGGGAGGCTGAGGCAGGAGAATCACTTGAACCCAGGGAGGCGGAGATCGAGCTGAGATCATGCCACTGCACTCCAGCCTGGGTGACAGAGCAAGCTCCATCTCAAAAGAAAAAAAAAAAAACAGTGATAAAAGTTTGGCATATATAGCCCTTGGGAAACAAGAAATGGAATCAAGCAAAGGATTTCTGAAGAATACTAAACGTCCAGTGGAGGTTGAAAATTATAAATAAATTAAATATGTCAGTTACCTAAGCATTCTGTTTATTTCTGGTATGCTTGATGGCCCAGGAGGCACAGAAAGGAAATGTTCAGATTGATGCAAAATGTTGGGAATTGCAGGAGTGTAATAGATATCAAAGGGAAAGGGTATCGAGTGTGGTTGATCCTGGAGTTCATGCTGATTAGGCAGGAAAGTGAAATGGTTCTAAATCCAGTAGAAATAAACATCTTTACATAGAGAAGCTCCATTCCCAGGAGGTTGGCTGGATTGAAGGAGTGCAGTTGGCACAGCAAATTCTGAGCTGCTCTTTAAGAGTTTTAATGATCAAACCTGCTATACTTTATCCTTGTTGCCTTTCTATATTTAAACATATTTTAGTGCTGCAGAAGTCATTCCCAGTGTCCCAATGACTTGTCAACTCATGTTAAGACATTGACATTGAAATTTATGAAAATAAGATCCTCTTCAGCTGGGCACAGTGGCTCACACCTGTAATCCCAGTACTTTGGGAGGCCAAGGTGGGTGGATCGCTTGAGCTCAGGAGTTCGAGACCAGCCTGGGCAACATGGTGAAACCCCGTCTCTACCAAAAATACAAAAACTTAGCCAGGAGTCGTGGTGCACACCTGTGGTCCCAGCTACTTGGGAGGCTAAGGCAGGAGGATCACTTGAGCCCAATGGGCAGAGGTTGCAGTAAGCTGAGATCGCACTGCTGCACTCCAACCTAGATGACAGAGTGAGACTCTTTCTCAAAAAATAAAAATAAATAAAAATTAAAAATAAGATCATCTTTACTTAGATAGTTCTTTGTCCCTAGAATCTGGAACTGAGAAAGAAGACTTATAATGGCAATCGCAACAATTCCTAAGTCTTAGTTCCCAAATTAAAAAGGAAGAGGAACACGATGTCTCACGCCTGTAATCCCAGCACCCTGGGAGGCCAAGGTGGATGGATCACCTGAGGTCAGGAGTTCGAGAGCAGCCTGGCCAACATGGTGAAACCCCGTCTCTATTTAAAATACAAAAATTAGCCAGGCATGGTGGCACACACCTGTAATCCCAGCTACTCGGGAGGCTGAGGCAGAAGAATTTCTTGAACCCAGTAGACAGATTGCACTGAGCTGAGATCGCACCACTGCACTCCATCCTAGGTGACTGAGTGAGACTTCATCTCAAAAAAAAAAAAGGAAGACAATTTATTTTAAAAACATCTGAGAATCATTACTGCTTTTATAATATTTAAATTTTCTACATGAATTAAATAGCCGAAGTACATAGTTATCTATCATTCATCTATCCAGTAAAATGTTATGTATTTATGATGCACAAGCATTATAACTAACTTTGAGATTCAGAAGAAGTATACCCTTCCATGTTTTTTTTAAAAGAGGGATGTCAATTTACTTAGGAAGTCAAAACATAAATTGATAAAGTAGCAATAGATAAAAAGCAACACTTCTCAGACAAGAAGTAGAAGTGGTATGGGAGGCATGTATCAGAATCCCCTAAGGAGATTTTTTGGAATATAAATGTCCTCACCCAAGTCAAATCAGAAGATTGGAGAAAGTATGCTTGGTTTGAAAAGTTCCAAAATTATTTTAATACAGTTCCCACCAGCTCTTAAAAATCACTGAATAGAGAAAAAAAATCAAGAAACAAGAATAGTCCAGGTGCAGTAGCTCATGTCTGTAATCCCAGCACTTTGGGAGGCTGAGGCAGGAAGACTGCTTGAGGCCAGTAGTTCAGGATCAACCTGGGCAAGACCTCATCTCTACAAATGATACTAAAAAAAATTAGTCAGGTGTGGTGACACACGCTGTGGTCCCATCTACTCAAGAGGCTGAGGTGTGAGGAACGCTGGAACCCAGGAGGCCAAGGCTGCAGTGAGCTGTGATTGTGCCACTGCACTCTGGCCTAGGCAGAAGAGTGAGACCCTGTCTCAAAAAAAAAAAAAAAAAAAAAAGAAACAAAGAAACAAGAATATTAATATCACTGTCAGGTTTATTGAATGAATATTGCTATTTTGTTGACTTTAAATAAATATATATATATAGTTTCCAATTTAAAAACTGTTGGTACTCGTAATATGGTTATAATAGAAATATAGTGTTTAGATTCTTAGGCCAGCCTAAAAAAGTGTATGTAATTGCTGATGTGGCTAATTATAGGTCACTAACCTTTTTTCTGGAGTTTAAAAATAGAGAGGTGTGTAATAGGAGTTTATTCCTATTTTCTAGGCACAAAGCCAGCTACAGGAAATGTTTAAAAAAAGAAACAAGCAAAATTTTCCTTGGTGCTCTCCTATCTCCTTCTGACACCTCCCTTCTTCTGCTCAGGTTCACCATATGTTCATGCCCCCCTCCCACCAACCCCCTCCCCCCGCTTAAACCTGCACTACCTTTAAAAGCACTTCCAAATTCATTTGTACAAAAATTGAATTCCAGCATTAATAATTATAGTGCAAATTTGGAAACAACCTATGTATCCATCAGTGGGAGATTTGTTAAACAAATTATAATGTATCTGAATCATGAACAGTATGTCATAAACACAATGATAACAATCTACTTTTTTGGTAAAAAATAGCCTTGACCTTTTAGAAGGTGAAAAAGCATGCTACAAAACAGCATTAAAGACTTACTTGTTCACTTGACTAGCCTTAAAAAGATAAAAAATAAAAAATAGGGCCAGGCGCAGTGGCTCACACCTGTAGCCCCAGCACTTTGGGAGGTCGAGGCCGGCAGATCACTAGGTCAGGAGATCGAGACCAGCCTGGCCAACATGGAGAAACCCCATCTCTACTAAAAATACAAAAATTAGCCAGGCATGTGGCGCGCACCTGTAATCCTAGCTACTCAGGAGGCTGAAGCAAGAGAATCGCTTGAACCCGGGAGGTGGAGGTTGCAGTGAGCCGATATTCCACCCCTGCACTCCAGCCTCAGTGACAGAGCGAGACTCTGTCGCAAAAATAAATAAATAATAAAATTAAATTAATTTAAAAAATTTTTAAAGACTGACTTGATTTTGCTAAAATTAGGTGTGTATGTGTGAGCACATGCATGTATGCAAAAAAGTTATCCAAAAGAAAAGTCACAAATACTGAGATATTTTTGATGACTTTTATTTATTTATGTTTTCCATATCGTTTAAAATTTCACTATGTTTTTCATATTTTAGGACGCAGAAAATATAATAAAGTTGTTTTCTTTTTGTTGAGACAGAGTTTCGCTCTTGTTGCCCAGGCTGGAGTGCAGTGGTGCCATCTTGGCTCACTGCAACCTCCGCCTCCTGGTTCAAGCGATACTCCTGCCTCAGCCTCCTGAGTAGCTGGGATTACAGGCATGCGCCACCATGCCTGGCTAATCTTGTATTTTTAGTAGAGACAGGGTTTCTCCATGTTGGTCGGGCAGGTCGCGAACTCCCGACCTCAGGTGATACTCCCGACCTCAGGTGATCCTCCCGCCTCAGCCTCCCAAAGTGCTGGGATTACAAGCGTGAGCCACCGCACCCGGCCTCATTTTTTAATAATAAAAAATAAATTCTTTATTAAACTCACAAATCACTTACTTTCCATCCCCACTAGATAAAAGCTCTCTTTAACTTAGTGCAGCTTATCACAGCTAGATGTAGGAGGAAGCTAAGCTAATTAATTTTGTGCCAATTTGTGAGTGATTGTTATCTCCACTAACTATCCTTCAGAACATATTTGTGTTCTCAAAATATGAATGAATCTCTAAATGAAGGCATTTAAGGTGGAATAATGATGGAGCACAATAATTTGGGCGATGTGGGTTACATAATTTTGTACAAGAATATGACCTTATAGCAGGTTAACTCTGCCTGGAAATACAGGTCCCTCAGGGTCAGCTTCCTGAAGCTCTTCCCACTTATGCCACATTCTCTAGTCCTGGTGTAGACAGATAACAGTCTCTAGTGTATCTAGTGGACTAGTATAGATCTCTAGTCCTGGTGTAGACAGATAGTTGTTACACACAGAAGTTATTTTTTGTTTTTTTTTCTCAAAGTGGTCAAATTTATTTATTTACTTTTATCACTTCTAACTTAAAATGTCCTTTCTTCTCTAGAGTTTTGTTCAACATTCAGTTCTTTTCTGGTTTTTCTATAATTTGACTTCCGTATATTTACCTTTAATTCAGGTGGAATTTATTTTGATTAGTGTGAGACAAGAATCTAAATTGATCTTGTTCCAAATTACTATTCTCTTCAAAATCATTTATTCAATCACCCTCTTCTACTTGTGGTGCATTATTTATTATATATTAGTATATTACATCTAAAATGAGCTCTTTATCCTATTCTATTGATCTATTTTTGTACCAGTACTAGGACTTATGTAGCTCTAGAATGTTTTAAGTATCGTTAGTGTCAGTCATGACTTTTCTCTTTCAAAATTTCAAAATGCTATTTTCACCCCTTTATTTTTCCTGTAAATTTCAGAATTGTTTTATCAAGTAACTTAAAAATCTTACTGTGGTTTTAGTTTGTATAGCATTACGGTTAAAAATTAACTTGAGGCCGGGCACAGTGGCTCACACCTGCGATTCCAGCACTTTGGGAGGCTGAGGCGGGTAGATCATTTGAGATCAGGAGTTCAAGACCAGCCTGGCCAACATGGTGAGACCCCGTCTCTACTAAAAATACAAAAATTAGCTGGGTATGGTGGCACCTGCCTGTAATCCCAACTACTCTGGAGGCTGAGGTAGGCGAATCACTTGAACCCAGGAGGCGGAGGTTGCAGTGAACAGAGATCACGCCACTGCACTCCAGCCTGTGCAACAGAGTGAGACTGTCTCAAAAAAAACAAAAAAAAATTAACTTGAATCTCTCCACTTCGTACCAACTCATCCTTTTCAGTCTTCCAAGTATTTTCCGCAGCAGCTCTGTGTCAGATATGACAGCAATGAATACACATTATAGGTGGTAACTCAAGGGTTTGTAAGTCAGGATTGCCTGTACTCAAGTTTTAGAAAATTGTCATTTAGGACTTTTGACTAGTAAGCACAATATGTAACACAGGTGTGGGTTTTTTGTTTTTTTTTTAAGTAGTCTTTTGTCATGTTATTATTTCAGGTCAGTATTTGGAGGGTTAGCTACTGATTGTTTGGTTGCCCAGGACTGATATCCTTTGCATCTTCTTCTCATTTTTATAATTGGCTTATTATATTGCATGAGGCCTCTTCAAGTTTTCTTTCTTTTTTTTGAAACTCTAAAGAGTAATGTCTGTCTTTCGAGGATTTGATGAGATTCATTTTGTAAAGCATTCCAAACCTTACACTGGATTATTACATTAACTACCTTTATGATCTCAGAGAAGTCATTTAAGTTCTCTGATTTTAGCTTTTCTCATCTGTAAAATGGGCATAATACAAACACAAGATAATAATGTAAAGGTACCTATAAGCAACCTCTGTATAATCACATGAGAAATGGTGTGCCTTTCCATCTCTCCCTTCCCTCCATTTATCTGTTGGTATCTATTTTGTCAGGTCCTCCCCTGCTTTGGTTCTGTAATTACCCTTCCTAACGGAGTTCCTAAACATCTCCCATGGCTCAATACTTAAGAGCAAGTGGTGAAAAGAACAGAAATATAGTAAATAATTTTGTAAGCAATCTAGTATTAAATTAATTGATATTAAATTAATCACAAATCATTTTAATAGTAGCAAATTAAACTAAGCAAGTGTGTTTGCTCTTTTAAAAAAATGGGTTTAGAAAATTATCATTTTCTAAGTTATTAATGATTAATATAGGGCAATAATTTGGGTGTTGACCTTAAGGACTTGTGTATAGAGTATCTATTAGTACCAAGTGGTAATTTGAAGTATAAATGCTGATTGTATCACCTTAGAGCCAAAATCATTGATTAAACAGGCATATTCAACATTAAAGTGTGTGTGTGTGTTTAATTAAAATTGATTTTGGAAGAATTCTCCAACTACTGTTCCTTTTGTTCAACATTATTTTTTGATTGTGAGAACAAAGTAAAATTGAGGTATTGTTTAAGTTAAATCATGTATGTTGAGAAGTATCTAATTTTGTCTTTTTTTCTCTAAGGCCTAATAACTTATATATCTACTTCATGTCTTAATTTCACTTAAAGCTAAAAAAGGCTTACTAGTGTTCATAATTCAAAAGTTGGAAATTTATCAGAAGATCCTAAATGCTGTAGGAACATTCAGAGCCCTGAGTATAGGGAAAGATGTGGAAAACAAATTTGAGGAAAATAATTATTGGCTTGGCATCACATTTTTTTCATGATAAAATGATATTCTATGTGCTAATTCTGCCATCTGCTATGTTCTATGAGGGCTTTCCTTCAAGCAGTGAAAGCATTTCGTGTTGAGTGTTAGTCTAGTCACAGAAAGAAAGAAAATTCGTGTATATTTGGACATTTCCACTTCATTCACCCAATAATTCTCTCTAGTAATTGTAAAATAGAAATATCATTTTTAAATTTCAAAAAAGAGAAAAAGAGGAATAAGAAAAGGAAAACAGGGCCGGGCACGGTGGCTCATGCCTGTAATCCCAGCACTTTGGGAGGCCGAGGCTGGTGGATCACGAGGTCAAGAGATCGAGACCATCCTGGCCAACACAGTGAAACCCTGTCTCTACTAAAAATACAAAAAATTAGCCGGGCGTTGTGGCAGGCGCCTGTAGTCCCAGCTACTCGGGAGGCTGAGGCAGGAGAATGGCGTGAACCTGGGAGGCGGAGCTTACAGTGAGTCAAGATTGCGCCACTGCACTCCAGCCTGGGTGACAGAGTGAGACTCTGTCTCAAAAAAAAAAAAAAAGAAAGTAAGAAAAGAAAAAAAGAAAAGGAAAACAGAATTTCTAAAATTAAATTGCTTTCCAGCCACAGCCTTGATTTCTTGAACTAACGGTTTCAATAGTGTATTTATTGTTATGTATAGTATAATTCGTATTTTACAGGCAACAACTATCCATCTGTTCTGATAGGTGGAAACTGTCTTTAAATAATAAAGGAGCTCCTTTCTGACACAAATGCTCTCTACCTTTGAACTAGAAATATGCAGGATGATGTTTGCACCAGCCTAACAATTTACATTAAGATCTATTTGATATAGCTTATAAAATCTATTATTTTTGCCAAATACTTCAGTTGAATAGACTAGGCTAGTGTGTGTGTGTATGTGTGTGTGTGGGTGTGTGTAGGTGTGGGTGTGTGTTTAGATTATCTCGGAAATATTTCCAGCTCACTCACAGGTTAATAATCATACAGTGATGTCAGCCAAACCAAGTGCTGACAAGGAAATGAGAGCCCTGTTCAGGAGAGAATGAGTAAATATCCCAAGAGAGGAATCAAACAGCAAGCAGTCATTTTTCATAAAGAGAAAAATCACTAAACTAAAGAAAAGAGGTTTTAAAAATAAGTTAAGTTGAAAACTTGGACAACCTAAACAGACATGCAGATGTGAAGATTCTAACAGGGGAGGCATTTGGAGCATGGCCAGCTCCCTGTTCCACCTGCCACAGGAGTTTGCCTTTGGGCAGATACAGCTCCCAAAGGTGTTTTCTCCCTAGTTTCATGGGGGGAGGGAAAGAGAAAGGTTACAGTTCGGGTGTGTTAGACACACCTCTAGCCAGAGTGGTGTTCTGAGTTATTCACATTGTTGATGACAACAATACTAGAATAAAATAAAATGTGAAAACTGTGTGCTGATTTTTAAGTACCACGTCAATATGCTTAAAAAATAATTTGAGGTTTTGTGTGTCTTTTCTGAACACAGTAACCACACACCACAGTGTCATAGCTTGCTTGCTTGCTTGCTTGCTTGCTTGCTTTTTTTTTTTTTGAGACAGGCCCAGGCTGGAGTGCAGTGGTGCGGTCTCAGCTCACTGCAACCTCCGCCTCCCAGGTTCAAGTGATTCTCCTGCCTCAGCCTCCCAAGTAGCTGGGATTACAGGCATCTGCTACCATGCCGGGCTAATTTTTTGTATTTTGAGTAGAAATGGGGTTTCACCATGTTGGCCAGGCTGGTCTTGAACTCCTGACCTCGTGATCCGCCTCCCTCAGCCTCCCAAAGTGCTGGGATTACAGGTGTGAGCCACCGCACCCAGCCATAGCTTTCTTACTAATTAAAAATTCCCAGATTTAGAGCCTTTGGAGCTTCAGTATGAACTAACTTCCCAAATTAAAACTGGATTCAGGTACGTCTGTTAACAGATTGGAATTCATTAAATCCCACCACAGACAAATCCTATAAAAAGTGTATATTGTTTCAAATAGCTGGAAAGGAGAGCAGCCTTCCCCATCACTCACCAGAGCTGTGGCTCACCCCAGTAGAGTCATGTTTTTAGCAAGGTTCCTGTGGGAGACCTGTTTATGAAAGTGGCATTTGTGATTCAGACTTCAGCTCCCCATGCCAGCTTCGGAAAGTCAAACAGATGTTTCCTCGTTGACTGCAGCATAGCTCATCACTTATCCCAAGAGGAAAATCAGAAGAGGCTGGGGACAAGTACAGTTCTGTCAGCCACAACCACAAGAAAATGGAGATGGAGGGTGTGTGTGTGTGTGTGTGTGTGTGTGTGTGTGTGTGTTTTGTAGATTTGATTAAATGTAAGTTTAAGTATTGCTTTATTTAAAGATAGAATGATTCATCATCTATAGAAAATTTTATCCTCTACCTAAATTTCCTTTTCTACTCCCTTTTCCCTCCCCATTTCCTGGCAAAGTTCAGTATCTTTATGGGTCTCTTTGGAGTACAATCTTTGTGCTTTTCAGTTTTGCCTTGGATTAATAGGTTGTCTGAAAGCAAAGCTTAGCTCCTGATTTGTTTTATAAGAATAATAAGACCAAAGTTACTTTTCATTCACACATCAAAACACATGCATACCAAGAAAACAAATAAAATGTACATTGAATCTCATATACCACAGTAATGTGGCCTGGGAATTAAACTCATTAAATGGATTTCAAAGAACTGGGTAGTATGTAGTGGAAAACAATTTTGCAGTAAGCCTGAACTAACATTAGGTAGAACATAGTAAGACCTCTTTATTTCTGATCTCTGTGTGTGTGTATATATATATGTATAAACATATATATGTATACATTTTGTATATATATATAAAGTAGTGTTGCTGATTTTTAAGCTAGATATCAAATGCTTTAGAAAATACAAAAAATCAATTTTAACCATTTCCATGTTTTTGTTTTGGACATTTATTAGATATAATCTTGCCTAATTGTAGTCTAAAGTCAGATTTTTAAGTTAGATAAAAAAAAAAAAGCTGATGTCTCTTTGCTTGGATTGAATTCCTCTAGTCCTAGGCCCTAAAACAGTAGAAGGGTTGCGGCTGGTTTAGAAGTTTCTCTGCAAATGTACGTCTCTGTCTCTCCCTTTCAGACACTCTCGTTTGCTCTCCTTTCTTGCTCTGTGCAAACGCAGAGTGGTGTCTGTGTTTCAGGAAAAGAATGTGTGTTAAAAGAACTAATGGTCCGACTGTCCATCAGACTGGGCAGCAATGGAGGTCATCTGGCGGTCAAAACCAAATAATTTCAGCCTGTTCCTAAAGCCCCTGAAGCTGTTGACTCGATGACTGGAGTTCACCGCCTCTTGTTGCTTCTGTATCCTCTGAAACCTGGGACCTTTTTTTTGGAGACAAGAACGGACATATTTTCTCCATAGCAACTGTGTGCACAGTGCCCACCATTCAGCATTTGCTCAGGTTAGCTTGGCTAAAGTATACAGTCAGTGCTCCCTCTTGATACGTGTCTGCCCTGAATAGAAGATAGATCAGATTCTAAACCTAGAGGCCCCCAAAATATTGGAAGAGTCAGGATACTTGTGCATGTTTGAAGCTCATTGTTATACAGAAAATTTAAATATTTAAAAATAGAAAATATTTGTCTGCTTTTATAAAGAGACCCAATGTTCTTAATGCAAAACTTTCTACAGGCACATATTTTAAGGTGACTTCCAAGTTTCCACATTCATATGGAACAGATGGGAATGGAAGTAGTTTCAGTGTGCTGACAACTCCATTAAAAATGTTTTAAAATCCATAATCCATAAATCTGAACCACATATTGGTTATACTCATAGCCCTTTCAGTATTTCTTGTACCCTATTTGTGAATACCACCACCTGCTGGTAGTTAATGACAAGCTCTCACTTTGTTTACTGAAGAATCAACCTAAAAGTCAGTATTAAGTAAAATTTAAATGTTTTTAAGTAGGTACAATTTTGAGGTGAAAATCTATTTACTGTGTTAGTTTGAAACATCCTAACCACAATTAATTTGCAAAAACTTTTAAACAGACATTTGAAAAAAAATGCACATGAAATACTGTTTTGAAATGAAAGCTATTCTTAAATGATAACAATTTTTATTATCTTTTAGCTTCTTTTTCCTTGCTGACAACATTTCAAAGTAATGTTACAGATATCCACACCTTCAAGTCTGAGTTTCATCTCTTCTACTTCTTTTGTTTGCCTGCTTTCTAAAAGAAGTGTGTGTGTGCAATGAAATACCAAGGAGGAGGGACAGGAAAGCATGGAAAATCTACAAGCTGAATAATTAAGTGTTGACTTCTGAAGATTATGTCTGTGACTGAGGGATTTACCACTCTTACTTTGGCATTGGCTCATAAAACATATGTTCACAAAATCTGTTTTATGGGCTTTTTAACAGGATAAGAAATTTAAAATTTACAACAGAATAGGAAAATCAAATCTTCATGCAATGAGATTACAATATACATTGTTTATTTTAATTGTTCAAGTTTTTACTCATCAAACAGAAATATACTATAATACTTTACAATAAAATATAATGTCACATTGCCCAAAACAGTGAATGACAGAATTTTGTGGATTAAGGATATGGATTAAGGTAATCCAAAACTGCAGTTTATTAAACTTCCCCCCCAAAAAACCATGTGTTGTTCTTATTCTGAAGCTATGCTCTTGGAGTTTTCTGGCTTTCTTAAAAATGCATCCCAGTCCAATTTTAATATATGCCTTTTGGTGAGTCATTTTTATGATCTCTTTGCTATCTACTGAGACTCTTAAAATGTACTGGTTTGAGGCCGAACTTGGACTGTGATTCCTTCTTCTTAAATATGGTCTTCTAACCTCCTGACTGGGGGCCTCCTGCAGGTGGATGATTCTCTCCAACCCTCCAATGTAAGAGGCTCTGCCGCCTCAGGTAGGCCCTCCATCTTCTTTGTAGGCAGCCACACTACTAATATTTTTAGATGTTTGCAGCATTCATGTCTCAATATGTTCAGTATTTCAGGCAATTCGAAGTTGCAGACCCTTGGCAGCAAGAAACAAACCCTCACTGAAACTTTCTTTTACTTACATAGCCTGTGCTGAGTTTTATGTGTTATCTGGAGAAGAATGAAATTGATCCAACGCCTTTCCAAGAGGAAGAATGACTTCCAGAGATTTTTCTCTCTCAGGGGAGCTTTTACAGAACTTTTTCAATATTCTTTCATTGTGTGTATGGTTTTTTCCCCCACCATAAAACAAAAGGAACCTGTAATGCCATAAGGGGGCAAGGAATAGAAAGGGTAGAAAACAACGACACCAAATCCCTTTTGATGTGGGAAACCTAAGTAACAAACTCTATTAATTAGCCTAGGAAGTTTCTTCCTGAATTTGAGAATTCTGGGTTCAGTATGGCCCTTGCTTTGGAATTTTTACAGTTTGTTCCCCCATGACTCTGATCACTGCTACCAGGCCTGAGTTATGCTTCCTGCTGCTTACATTTAAAAGGTCACCAGGACAATGACTAGGTGACCGCCCATCACACAGTCTGTGAGTACATCCTCCAATAGCATCCTCAGCGTAAAACGCCCCCTACTGCTTCCAGGATGCCAGTTCACTAATAATTCTCAGGCCTTACTCCTAGCAACCAAACTAACCCTGTAGCTCCCAAGGATTCCTGCGTATATAAGGAGAGGGTAAAGGTTGGTGCCACATTTCTTTTTAAGGCTTTATAAGGCTCTATTCAGAGTGAGTCACAGGCATGTCACTCTTCTGTTGTTCACCAAAGCATAGATTCTTTACTGTCCACAGCATTAAAGCATGGCGTATTTTGAGAGATGGTTTTAAGTCATCCTTTCAACTAATTCAGATAAACATCCTTGCAGAGCATGGCATCAGAAATTTTCCAAAAATTGTCAAGGACTGACCCCTGCCCTCCTAGGACTTGCAGACTTAGGGGTCGTTCAGATCCAAACACAACTATAATAATTCTAATTCTAAAATGTGATAATTGCTATAATAGAAGTTTTTTTAAATACTGCAGGAGAGGGAGTGATTAAATTCACATCAGGGATTCCGAACAGCATTTTAGAGTATCTGGATTTTGAGGTGAATCTTAAAAGATGAACAGAAGAAGAATGTTCCAGGCAGGGGAACAGTAGTACTAAGAACGTGGCATTTGTTTTCACCAGGTTTCTTGCATCCCTTGACCACTTGGTTGCCTTTGTTGTTAAACTGTGTGTGTGTGGTTAACCAATTAAGGAAAGGAGAAAAGCTGATTCGAGATAGTCATGGTGTGAAAAAGCTTTGATCTGGACGTTTACCTTGATTTCTTTTCACGTGGTGATTCCGATATAAATAATGTCATTAACTTCCTTTTTTTCCATCTTACAACACATTTACCTGTTTCTTTCCATGTATATTGATACACACACACACCCCTCCAGTGTTTATTCTTGGGCATTTTCCAGTTTCTAATATGATGTCCACGAGTCAAATCAATTAAATTGAACCGATAATACAACTTAATGACCCTTCTTATCTTTGCAAGTAAACTTGAGAATGGAATGAATCTAAATGCCAACTCATTAACCTTGAAAGACAATTCAGGTGGTTTTATTCTAATGTTTCTAGTGTTTGTTTATAGTTGAGCACACTTTAAATATGTCTACATTGTTTAATAGCCTCTTGTACACAATTTTTTGATGGACTCAATTGATATTCTTCATTAAAGACCAGATCCTAATAAACTCATCTCCCTTACTCTTAAATTCACATTCAAACAGGAGATTTCTTAATGGCTTCTTAAAATGCTAAGTTACTAGTTTTAAATTTATGTATTTCATGCTGCTAGCCTCGGAGTTTCTTGTCCACATCAAATTCCTAATTATTTCTTTTAGATTTGTGGGAAACAATTGTCCAACACTTCTCTCTTTTCATTTTTTTCTAATTTTGTCATCCATGCTGCTCACTTTTCATGCTATGGTTGTCTTCATTAAGAGATTGGTGGGATTTTGGTCCCTAAAGACAAATAATTTATTAGCTCTTAATGGTGATCTGGAAGGTTACATTTCAGGAAATTATTTATTTTAGTATGTTTTTAACTTGTTTTTAAGGAAGCTTCCTCCTCCTTTTACATTTCCAACTGAGAAGGGCCATCCAGAAATGTCTCCACTGCCACCTACTTGCAGTTTGGAAATTTACATGCACCTGGCTTTTCAAATAAAGCTGACCTTTTTTCCTGCCAAGGCAAGATTACTGTCAAGAAAACTGTAGGTGGCATTGTGGATTCTCCTCATGTTTTTAAAGGCATGGGTTTTGTGAAGTTGCTAGAAAAACACCTACGTTATAGGATTTTTACTAACATTCGTAGCAACAGCTTTTTCTGTAAATGTATGTCTTCTTCTATGATAATTGTATTGCTGCAAATTATGTAGGTAACAGTCTAAGTGAAAATATCATTCCTAAATGCTTTATTCATATTTATATTCGAATTACATTGCTATAGTCATAATCCTTAATAATTTCTTATAAAGCACATTATATAATGCATTCATGATTACGCTATGGAAAGCTGTTACCTAACACATTGTAAAAGGCAGACATTTTAAAAAACAATGTATGTTCCTATTTAATACAGAGAGATGAGTTATCAGACACTGTGTGTATTTGTAATTTCATAAATAATAATAAGGTATGCATAAATGGCTCTTTAATACCCAATGTTATTATGTAGAGAAGAAAGTGAACTATTCTAATATAATAATAGATATGAGAATTTTGAATTATTTTTTCTTCTTATCGTAACAGTGACCACTCTTTGCCTAATGATTTCATTTTATTGCGAATCCTCTGCTTGAAAGCTTAAAGATTTGACATTGTTCTGCACTTTTAAAATATAGGTTATTCTGAAAATCCTAGCTTGAGTCATTTTTGCAGCATGTACTGTAGAGTCCCCCATTTTAAAAAATTACGGACATTCAAGCATCTGCCTAAAATTTTAATTGTTACCCAAACATCATCTACCTCATTTTTCTCAATTTTCATACAATATAACTAGACTCAATTTTAAGTATAGTTTGGAAAGTATTAATCATTCTGAATCTGATAAATTATTTGGATCACATTGTAGGTACAGGTACCTACATATGAAAACATGATTAGTGATGAGAAATATTTTATTCTTTCTCATGAATGCAGAGTTAGGAGTTCAGAGTACAGGCCTGGTCCTTCTCCAGAACCATTCAGTACTATCTAATTTCCCATCTATACAGTTTGTCCCTAAGTGACATTTTAAAAGCAGCTGTAACTTTATGGTTTTTTATGTTCAGTGACTGTAGAATGCTTGTCTGAAGTAAAACAAGTCTTTGCTGTGTGTTCCATAGCTGGTACACAAGCAGTATTATGTTTGTACTTTTAAACAACTTCTAATGTAATCTGATTTCATTTGTATGCTACACACCCTTTTTAAGATTTTTTAAAATCTCATCTAGAGAAACTGCAAGTCATTTAAGTTTCCTTAACGGCACCAGTAATGTATATAAATCTTGTTAACATGCAGTGCATTACAGAGTGGAGTGGCATTAAAACTCTTGTTGCACAGTCATGCTTTAAGGAAGGCTTCCAGATCCTGAGATAAACTGTGTGCTTGGTGAATCCACTTCATTTGAAAGTGACTAGAATATAATTTGTCTTATAAGGACAATCTTTTCACATAATATAGAAACCAGGTGAGTTCTTGTTAAGCATATGGAAATCTGCACACACATGAAATAAAGTTTTATATTTTGTATCTTCTCTGTTAAATGCAATAGAAGAACATTTTGGACTTTGTGGGAGACTTAATTTATGGATGTCATTCAGGTGAACAGAGATCTTTGAAATTTCAGTATCAAAAGCACCATCAGAGGACTGTCCTTTTGGGAATACTGACAATTTGCTACCTAAGAGCATCACTTTAACTGGCCTCGAATCCTGACTTTTTTTTGTTGTAGGATGATAAAGCACTAGTGTGTCATGATGCGAGCTTTTTGCTGGAACTTGGTGCAAGAAGACAGGTGGGCCAGAAGGTGATTGTCCTCAGCAGATTTCTAATGTTGGGTCGCTTTTCTCATCCATGTGGCCCATTCTCAAAGCTGCTCTTCCTTTGTGAGCAAATCAACCTCTTGCATGCATTCAGGAGATATATGAACAGCTTCAGAGGCTCCAACTATCAGCTTCTCTTCTACTTCAGGAAATGAAGAAGCTGCATACACTACAGTTATTTTTAAAAGACTAATAACTTATAGGTCATGGTAGTTTTTTTCTATAGTGTTATTACCATTATTATCTTCTACAGCAGTAAAAATTGATTGTTGAGATGAGCAGTGTGAGAGACCCTCAAATTCAGGCACCAGGACTAAATCTCCCATCTAGATAACCAAAAAAAAAAAAAAAAAAAAGAAAGAAAGAAAAAAGAAAAGAAAAGAGTATATTAAGCTGCTAACCATCTTCCTTCTTTGTAAGTTTCCGACAAATTTTCTGAATGTCCATGGATGTACCACAATACATCCTTCAAAGTGAAGCTGCATTTTTAAGTTATAAGTCTTAAGTCTGTGACCATCTGTCACCTGTTTTGGTCCTCTTTACCATATTTGCATTACTGCTATAATTATAATACCTTCACACATAGCTCCACATGTAAGATTTGTGTTTGTAGTAAACTGGCTAAATACTGTTTGGATACATACTTGGGAATCCAGGTAAATGTGAAAAAGGCCAATTTTTTTAACCCCAGAATATGTTAACAGAAAATACATCTAGCGGTTAAAATGGAGAACAGTAAGTCAGGAATCCTTCAGTTTCATAACCTCAAGCTACAGTCAGTACTTTCTAGACTCTGTAGGTAATGAGACTTGTTTTTAAAAGTTAAGATAGACCTTTTAAAATACAAAAAAAAAAAATTTTAAATGACAGTAAGCTAGGCTCTCATACAGTTGTGAGGCTTAAACATTTGAGATTATCAAAATAACATTGTGTGTTTTTTCATCTCTTTATTGCATATTAGTTCTTTAGTATCATCCTTGTGCTTAATCAAGTAGACATGTGAACACTTAAAACCTCTTTGACTTTAGGGGGTATTTTGCATCCTTCTAAAATCACAAGAGCATCAGCAGTGTTTGGACCAAGTGACTATTCCATCTTAAGATGTGGCCACTCTCCCCTCCATATTGAGATGTATTTCACCATCATTAATAATGCATCATCCACATACCATTTCTAGAAATATTTTTTATTTATAGCTTAGCTTCTTCCTTCCTTACCTTCAATTGCCAAAGGAGCCCTCAGAGCCTCCTGTCCCATTTTTACCTTCCTTCTCTCCTTTCATAGGCAATGTCCTTTACAAGACTTTCTCAGCACTGATAAACAGATCAGTCCTGCTCCTTCATGAATCAAATTCTCCACAGAATAAAGGGGAATTTCTCTGCATGAGGCTTTGTACACTACCTCACAGCTATCCTGAAAACTAGGACTAGGATGCTGGTGGAGTCTAGTCTCCTTCATTGTCAATGTAACAGTGTGACTCCGTGATGCCACAGACTAAAAGGAACATTTGCTCTTCGGGGCCCTGAAAATATTTTTGTTTCTTTTTATTTGTAGACTTGATATTTAAAAGTATCTTTTGGCTAACCACTTTCACCTTTAAATATTTCATTTTTATTAATAGTTATTTTCAAATAAGAATGTCAATTATAATTAACAATTTTTTCATCATTCAGTCTGTATGTAATATCAGACCATTAATAAAGTTTACATGGGATTGATTTACTTGAATTTTTCTCTCTTACACTACTCTCTGGACCTTTTTGCCCTAGTTCTATGTGTGAACTCCTCACACACACACACACACACACATTTTGGTAAACTGAAGAATGCACATTATTAAGAAGAGAAGCCAGTGAGAAAGTGACAAATGCATGGGGATGACAAGGAAGGAGGAAACCATGCTAAGTGTGGCTATTTTATAACCTTATTTATATTGATTTAAAAATGCATCTTTGCAGAAGCCTTTTTCCTTTGCTCTTTCGGCTGCTAAACTGAAGAAGGAGAAACCAATGATAGCCAGAGTGTTAAGCAGAGAGCAGACGGTAGTGATTTAGTAAATATTGCAGTGTCAGTTTTATTTCATTTATACAATTTATTTCATTGAGAAATATTGGGTAAAATAGATTTCCAAAACAAACGTTATGACTTATATTCTCCTAGGGTGAACAGACTGCATTTTTCATAAGCTGAGGCTGCAGATCTCTTCGAAGGAAAAATTATGGGGGTTGATATTACAAACCTCCTAGATAGCTCTTAGGTGTAGATTTTGAGGTAGTAAGACTAGAATGTTTGAATATTGTGGGATGATTGTAAAACAAAAACTATAATCTCTAGCCACGTTTTGTTTAAGTTAGGGAAAACTTTAACCTTCAAATTTTTTACTGGAAAATTAGTTTCTCTGCCAGATTACATGATTATCAATGTTAGGGGAATCATTTTGAATGTAATAATTATAGAGAAAGGTCAAGATTTTTAAAAATCTATTATATTGTATCCTGTTATACCATATTCTTTATCCTAATGTGCAGTACAACTATATGTAAATATATATATATACATATATATATATTTAGTTAGTACTGGTGCAGAAAGGAAAAAAATCCTTTTTTATGTGGCTAAGAAATAAAAAAAGAACTTGCCTATAAGTAGCAGTGCAAAATGGGAGACCCAGAAAGTAGTGGAGGTCACCTTTAATGAGTGCAAACAGATGACTGCAGTCTCCACTCTTAGACATAATTCTGATTTAAGATCCAGTCATTTTGTCTGGCTTGAATTTTAATTATATTCTGTTAATTAAAAACAAGATAAGCCCAATAAGAGGTTTCAGACTCTTTTCCTCTTCCTTTCTTCACCAAGTATGAGCTTATCACCATCTGCCTTTCACTAGGTCCCTCTGTCTCTCCTGTGATGACGTTCAGCATTTGAAGGAGGAGTACTAGCCCATCCAGGGGAGGAGCTTCTGATTCATTTCAATGTGTAGAGAAGTTTCCATGAAAGGGAAAGAAGAAATCTCAACAGCTTACCCAAAGGAAAAAAGAAAAACAAAACAAAAGCCCAAGCTATAAGAAAATTCAAGTGCTCTTGGGATCATATCATAGATTTTCAGACCATTGCTGATGATGTTAGAATTGTATTTGCTTGTATTATTGAAGTTTACATCCTTATTGCTTGGAATTTGCAGAATTTTATGGTATTTCTAGGTGACAGAAGTATAAGAGAATCCTTGTCACTTAAGCAGGAATAATAGTATGTTTAAGTTAAATAAATCTACTTTTCTTCTAAGACAACATACAGAAGCAACTTTACATCTTGCATCTAGTAGGCGTTCAGTAAATATGACAGAATGAATTAATATTCCATGAACACCATTGAAAAGCTAATGTGTTGTCAAAATTCTCTAAAATAACATGGCTATAATATATTGTAGTGTGGACTTAAGTAATTCTTTTGTTTCTCTTTAACAATACATCTATATATATGTGCACTTGGGATTTATACTTTATTGCCCATGCAGACATGATTGCTTATACTATGTATCAAGAAACTAGTTTAAATTTCTCAAACATTTATGTCATATGTGGAAGGCAAGATTTAGAGATTTAAATCAATATGTTCAGTAGCAGTAAATGGCAATTAATAATGTGCAAATTTTGCATATTCCATTCTAGCTTTGTGATTAGGAGTGAAAGTTACTTTACACATTGCACATTATGAACTGAAGGGGGAAAAAAGGAAAAGAAAACATCTCTTGAAGGAAGTTTCTCTTACCAAAAGTTTTCCTAGTGTTATTTTTATAGCCGAGTGAGAGAGAATTTACAGGGAGTTGAAATCACTGAAGCTAATTAGTTGAATGGCCCTATTATTTATCCAGGGACACGTAGTACAATAATTGCTATTGCAGGTTTGAAGCATCTCAGGGATATTAATTCCAGAGCTTTCATGTCATCTCAGTACAGTAAAACTTCCTAATGGCACCCTGAAGGTGCATAATCTCATTTTAAAACTACTTTTTCTTATTTTTTTCTGAAGGAACTGGCAGAATCTCCTTCCATAAAAGCTGAAAAAGGGGAAGAACTCATAATATTTTCCTCATAAGAAAGCAGTTATATTTTCTTCTTATTATTATTTTTTACTGTGTGACCTTTCCTGCCTTCTGATGAGGGGTTTGCTATGGCACTTTATCAAAAGTTTATCTGAACTCTGGTCCTTTCCTCCCCTTGGTGGCAGCCAGAGCATCTCTTGATCTCTCAGAGAGAGATAAGGAAGGCATGAGGTGGCATTGGCTCTGGTCCCTTCCACAGTCGTATAGAAGAAGAGGTCTATTACAGAACACAGCAGGGTCCAGGTTCAGTGGGGAGAGATGAGTCCGGCACCTATGCCTAAGAGAAGTATCCTGTAGCCATCCTAATCCGTACCTAATTTGGATTCCCTTGGAGAAAACAACAACCATAATATCTCTATAAAATCACACCAAGAAATGCCACGTGTAATTTTAGAGAGAAATGAAGCCATTGCTCATAAAACTGCTAGCACTGTCTTGAGTCAAGAGTAGTGTGGATTGTTTGGCAAATATCCCATGCTCATCTCTGGAAAACCATCTCTGTTCTTACATTTATCTTTCCTTCTCCCTCCTTCCCCTTGCTTCTTAATTCTAGGCCTTGCCACAACTTGAAGGCCCAGAAAAAGACTCAGAAAAAAAGAATCCAAAGTTTTAAGGGTTAGACTTCTAAGTGTCCCCCTGGAATCTTAGAGGGGACTCGTAGAAACCATTTCATCCTTGCCTCAGCCTTAGCCTCTCTTTATACTCCCACCTTGCAAATCTCCAGAGAAAGATTGACAGCCCCCCTTTAGTAAGAGCTAGGATGGCTCACAACCTGAAACCTATCATGCTTACTTCATGTTGCAGTTCTTTAAGTGAAGAGTGACCAGAGGACCACAGTGACATGTTCCCACTGGGGACCAGAATGATGTCACTCAATCTGTGGTCTTAAAACCTAGACAACAATTTGTATCCAGTTTTCAAAATCTGAAAAGCAAATACAACTCTTACTATGCCATTAAACCCGAGAGAAGTTCTATAGCATCTACTCCAGCAATAAAGCAGCAGAGACCTCCAGGGAAGCTGATGCAATTAGGAAAACTTGACTTAAGTACAGTATATAAATCAAAGTTCCTCCCTCATATTGGCTGTGGTTGTAAGTAGCTGGATCTGTACACACATGAGCACATACACACACACACACACACACACACACACACACACACACACACTAGCTTAGAGCTTTGGCCATTTTTATCACACAGTCTGATTCCTTTATTGAGGTTTCCTTGAATTCCTTTAAATCCAATGTAAACTTATCTGAATAGCAATTCTATTCATTAAGGTCTTAAGTAGAACAAGACACTAAAATGGAATGTACTATCCTCATATTCCTTCTCTAGAGTTCATTTTAAGGATTTTCCTAGAAGTCACTGGTTGCCTTCTCAGATATATATGTAAAGTACAGGCAAAGTAACAAGTTCATGGATGAAATCCAGCGCAAAACAACATATACCAGAAAATTCTATAGAGCTGCTATGGGACCTCTCTCTTGCTAAAAACAGTACTATCTCTTTATCTGACTTTTGGTCTCAAGAAGTGCTACTGAGTGAGAAAACTGGGATTAAAATCAAGGACTGTGTCTTCCTGTCCTATAACACTCATGTGTGTGCTCTTCTCTTTATTTCTCTCTCTCCTTGTGTTTCTCTCTCTCTCTCTCTGCCCCATTCTCGCTTACATATATTATTTACTCAAGAGTCTATACCAACCCTTTGGGGGCTGTTAGAATCTATTTTATAGTTTGTTGGTCACTGACCTGATAAGTCATAATCGCTCAGAAAGAATCATCACAATTTTATCAGGTGAGAGCAGCTGCTGCAGAGGCACAGTAAATTCTTAGCGTTAAAATCTGTGCAGTTATTTTTTTCCAGAATAAATGTTAAATGAATACTTAATACATGCATCACAAGACTATCTATTCTTGTTTAGAATTTAGCAATGGTGTTTGGGAAGAAATAATTAGCAAGTGTCCAGAGAAATAATTTAAAAGATAATTTTGAAATTTTACGTAGTTCTATGCATATTCGACTTTGAAACCTTTGTAACTTCTCCATGCCTGATTTTTCATTTGTAAGAAAAGGTAATTATTTTTGTTGTGTGTTTTGAATGTGTGGCAGCAGGTCAGGAGGTGATACATGAAATTTCTAATCTTTAATGTCCTTTAGAAAATTCATGCACATAGAGAATTTCATGTTTTAATCAATTTTATAGCTGAAATGCCTTTGAAAGCTATTATGGTGGAAAACAAAGAAAATCCCAACCAAATGTTTTAAATCACTAGGATATCTATATCTTTTGCCCCAAGATGGACCTTAAAAAGTCATTAAAGATAAATGAATACAGCAATTCATTTCCAGGCCAAGTTTCTCTGTATTAAAGTTCTTTTTAAAAAACATTTTCTTGTCCCTTTCAAGTTATAAACTTGTGACAACAAGGCTTTGCATAAAAATGCTGACAGACCCTTAACTATAACAATGTGAATGGTGCTACTTTCACTTTAATTTAACTTGATTTAAATGAAAAGAATGTAGAATAAAAGAGGGTGTACATTTGGAGGTGATTCTATATACTTGGTTTTAACCAACAGTCTTTATAAGTGTTCATTAAGAAACTCCACTAGGCATGTTTCCTGCTGCAGAATAGACTTTAACGGAAGAAATAAAGCTGTGAAGATTCCGTTTTCACTTTGTTTCTCGTAAAGACAGTCAGGATCCAACATAAACAACAATTTACACCCAGCATTTATTCTGGAAATTACAGTATCGTGCAGTTAACGCACACATATAAATAATGTTTTATGGGATGCTGTGGAGTCCTTTCAGGGTAGCGGATGTTTAACCGAATTAAAGGATTTTGAGAACTCAAAGCTCTCATTTTAAGCAGGTTTAAATGGTTAATATTACAAAACACGAGTTCAGAGGAGCTGGCCCAAATATATTTTTAATGCATAGTTATTTTATTTTCATGATTTCCCATTTTGGTTTTATTACCATTTGGCACCTTCCATTTTTATTAAGTTACTTGTCTCCCTGACTGTCTCCCTCAGGACTTTGCTTGCTTTATGGTGACATTTCTTAATCCACTTTTTACTCCTCTATATATCTGCAGGTGTGGAAATATCAGAAATGGAGCTATAATTCCTGAGAGATGGAGTTATATAACAGAGATGATTATAAAAATAAAGAATTATTACTTTAAATAATGCCAAAACACTATTTTTTTTTAGAAAAACGAGAAGATCGCATATTTAGACTAATTTCTAACCTTTCGACTGATGAAAGGGGCAGCTTAAAAAAACTATCTATGGCCAGGCGTGGTGGCTGACGCCTATAATCCCAGCACTTTGGGAAGCTGAGACGGGCAGATCACAAGGTCAGGAGTTTGAGACCAGCCTAGCCAATGTGGTGAAACCCCATCTCTACTAAAAATACAAAAATTAGCTGGGCGCGGTGGTGCACGCCTGTAATCCCAGCTACTCAGGGAGGCTGAGACAGGAGAATTGCTTGAACCCAGGAGGCAGAGGTTGCAGTGAACTGAGATCATGCCACTGCGCTCCAGCCTGGGCGACAGAGTGAAACTCCATCTCAAAAAAAAAAAAAAAAAAAAAAAAAAACTGTCTATGGCAGCAAAATATATGTATTTTTTCATTTACTGCAATTTCATAATATGTTTTATATTAAAATGACTCCAAACTGTTATAATCTCACAGCTTATAACATAGATCTCATAGATTATAACAGTTTGGAGTCATTTTAATATAAAACATTATGAAATTGCAGTAAATGAGATGTAAATATTAGGGAAAGAAATTGAGGAATGAGTATGTGAGAAAAGGCAGGAGATATTTTAATGGCAGCATGAGTGAGGGTAAGAGACTGGATAGGATGCTTCAGGCAGAAAGCAACAGCTCCAACCAGCAAGCTTTAGAAAATGCTCCTAAACTCCTCTCTTACCCTTCTGAGCTGTAACAGATCTGTGTCATTTTCAAGAGATGGCTCCCTATCAGTGCTGTTAGGTCTACATCTTTCTCACTCACTTATAAGGCCTCTGTGCCCTCCCAGATAGGCAATATGCATTAAAAGCTATCAGTGAGTCATAATTTTTAGTAAAATTCCAATTGTGATTTTAAATTTTACTCAAATTCTACTTTTAAAATATAACCTTAGGAAAGAATTGTGAAGTGGTTTTTGCGGGGGGCTTCCGGGTTTTGTTTTTTTTTTAAGACAAGGTCTTGCTCTGCCTGGAGTGCCGAGGCATGATCATGGTTCACAGCAGCCTCGACTTCCGGGGTTCAGATGATTCTCCTGTCGCAGCCTCCCGAGTAGCTAGGACTACAGGCACACGCCACCAGGCCCAGCTAATTTTTTGTATTTTTGGTAGAGACAGGGTTTCATCATGTTGCCCAGGCTGGTCTCAAACTCCTAGGCTCAAGCCATCTGCCCACCTCAGCTCCCAAAGTGCTGAAATTACAGGTGTGAGGCACTGTGCCCAGCCAAGAATTGTAAAGTTTTAATATTCTTCTTTTGTCCATGTATTTTCTATAAGGTACTATTTTCAATACTATTATAATGTTAGTTTAGCCGTAGCTAAGGTTAAGCTGGTATTTCTATTCTAAATCACCTTTTTAGGTTTTTGAAACTTGACCTTTTAAATTCTAATGGGACTAAAGCTGAGTAAGCTAGACCAACTGAGTGTGATTAAACATACATAAAGCCATTAAAAACTTGCTTTGGAGGCCACCTGAATAGTCTAATAGAACTATTTTGCATTGACAAGTTATTGTCTATTAGAGGATCTCAAAGTGTTTATATTATTTAATTAAATGGGTTTTTTTTGTTTTTTTGTTTTGTTTTTAGTAGAGACGGGGTTTCACCGTGTTAGCCAGGATGGTCTCGATCTCCTGACCTCGTGATCCGCCCGCCTCGGCCTCCCAAAGTGCTGGGATTACTGGCTTGAGCCACCGCGCCGGCCTAATTAAATGTTCTTATCTAAACTTGGGGTATGTTAAGACATAACATGATTTTTTTTTAAAGGCCCTCTATTAAACCCTGTTCATTGATAGAAATTAAACTTATCTTGAACTCAGATACTACCACCACTCCCAGGGAGCCCTTCCTGATCACACAATCTAAGGCAGTTTCTCCCTTTGTTGATTGATATCACATGTTGACTGCATAATTTTTTTTTGCATTTGTCATTTGCTGTCTTATATTACTATGGTATTGCTGTAATCACATAGGCTCCTTGGCGGCAAGGATTATGTCTTAAATTTCTTATCCCCTACAATTTGTTTGTTTGTTTGTTTCTGTTTTCTTTTTTGAGACGGAGTCTTGCCCTGTCTTCCAGGCTGGAGTGCAGCGGCGCAATCTCTGCCCACTGCAACATCCACCTCCTGGGTTCGCGCGATTCTTCTGCCTCAGCCTCATGAGTAGCTGGGATTACAGGCACATGCCACTATGCCCGGCTATTTTTTGTATTTTTAGTAGAAATTGAGTTTCACCATGTTGGCCAGGCTGGTCTCGAACTGCTGATCACAGATGATCCAACCGCCTCGGCTTCCCAAAGTCCTAGGATTACAAGCATGAGCCACCTGTGCCCATCCTCCCCTATAGTTTTTCATACAGTACCGTATACAAAGAAAATAATAATTACTTGGTGAAGAATTGGCAAAAGTAAAAACTAAGAAGACTACCTGTTCCTGCGCAGGCCATCCTTGGAAGAATAAATGGGTAAAAATATAGCTAATCAGTTCTACACTATGAGGTCTGTTCATTGGCCTCTTTTATCATGACCTATTTGCCTTAATAGAAATAGTGTTGTTGATCATTCATTCATCGATTCAGAAATTTCTTGTTGAGTGCCTACAATGAAAGAATAAGATAGATGAGTTTTACATTTAAGGAGAGTAAACTTGAGGAGTTTTACATTCTACTGGGGAGACCGACAATAAAGAATTAAACCAATAAATAAAATAATTACATATTGTGATTAGTGTGATAAAGAAAATAAGCAGGTCATTGTAATAGAGATATGCCTTTCTTCTGCTTTCCTCTTTCCAGGAAATTCATGAAGAGAGATTCCAGGAAAGAAGTAGAACAGTGTTGCAAAATTAAAGTGTAGCTGTTATGCATCGAGTATGCATCTATAGTATGCGGTTTGCACTTGACACCTCCCTGCTGAGTTTACTGGGGGAAAAAGGATGAAAAAATATATATATAAACACTTTGAAAAATTAAAGGTGGTGTATGTATTGTTACTATGACTTACTATCTCCAACTGGAAAAATACACGTGAAATGATATTTAGTCAAACTTTGGTCAGCAACTAAAACTTTTGTGAGGTAGGAAAAGACGGTTACCTTTAAATCATTGAGTAAAGAAAATGAATGATAGAGGAAAAGAAATCAGAAGTATTGGATAGAAGGAAACAAATTGTATTGGGCTTAGCTTGCAAATTGCAGCCCCATAAAAGAGACAGCATAAGATATGCTGCATAGTATTGGCAGCTTCCTCTGTAACTACTACTTCTTTAGCCTCCCTGAATCCCTTTTTCTAGCTATTTGCCTTCGTTATCATGTCCATGCTTTCATGGTGCTTAGTTAATAGATGTCTAGTTGTGCTGTATACAGGTCTTCCCAATGGAATGTGACTAATAGGAAGGCAGGGTTTGGTCTCCTACTTCTTTGGTAAATTGTGTGCATACTTGGAAGTGAAATGCACACAGTGAGTACACAGAGACTTTTGTAAAGTAAGTGAATTTGTGTATATGTATTAGGTATAGTGACACTTTTCTGCAGATGTGGAGGTATTTATTTATTGTGCACTAGAATTGATGGTTCAATTCAGATAGTTGGGTTAGAGAGAACTTTTGAGACTGCGAGAGGTATGAGTCAGGGGGATGGGAAAGGTTGTTTAATTTCCTTCTTTCTAACATTCATTCATACATTAATTCAACAAATATTTACTAAATGCCTTCTGGTTAAGACTGTTCTAAGCATTCCAGGGATAGACAGAGGTGTCAAAGGCACATGAGAGATGACGTGGGAGATAAGTTATGCACCCAAGTAACTGAAATTCAAGAGGCTGTGTGATAAGTACTGTAAGTACATAGCAGCTCCAAGGAGATCAGTCAGTTTAGATTAGAGTGATGAAAAAGACCAGCAGGATTGGGTGATTAACTCTCAGAGATCTCTGCACTGTTAGGAGACCTGAAATGTGGTCCAAGCTGTAGCTTGATGTCTTTGGGCAGATCACTTAATCTCTGCATGCCTTAGTAAAAGGAGAAATTAGATCATTTAGTCTCTAAAGCTCTTCCAGCTCTAGAACTCCATGAAGAACCGTATTTGAATCAGGCTTTGAAGGATGACTATAAAAATAAAAAATAAAATAAAGCTTTATGGTTTGAATGAGAGAACCTCTGCTATGCTATGATTTTAACAGGTAGAGATAGGGGAAGATAGAAGTGAGAATAGTGAACTCCAGGGCAACGGGGCTATACCCACAAAGGTGTAGGTGTGGGGAAATGTAGAATGTGTTCAGGAAACACCAAATAGTCCGGTCTAACAAGGGTTACTTAATTGTAGGAGGATGATGAGAGGAGACAGTAAAGGTAAACCAGCCTAATTTTTGGAAACCTTTGAATGCTAGTCTGAAGTATAATATTCAGCTTAATTAAAGATTTTTAAGAATATAACCAATATCCTTTGCTTTAGATACAGTACGGATAATGAAATTACCTAAGTCTTCCATTTTATATGTGTGTTAAAATGTACAGAGCCCCTACAATGTGCCAGGCTCTGTTCTAAGTGATTTATGTATTTTAATTTATAGCAACCCGTTGAGAAAGGCATTATTATTGTAAATTTTTGTGGGTTTTTTTGTTGTTTTTTGTTATTGTTGTTGTTGTTGTTTTGAGACGGAGTCTAGCTCTGTCACCCAGGCTGGAGTACAGTGGCACAATCTTGGGTCACTGCAACCTCTGCCTTCTGGGTTCAAGCGATTATCCTGCCTCAGCCTCTTGAGTAGCTGGGATTACAGGCATGCACCACTACACTGGCTAATTTTTATATTTTTAGTAGAGACAGGGTTTCACCCTGTTGGCCAGGCTGGTCTCGAACTCCTGACCTCCAGTGATCCACCCACCTTGACCTCCCAAAGTGTTGGGATTACAGGTGTGAGCCACCGCACCCGGCCTCTTATTGTACATTTTATAGATGAGGACATTGAAGCACAGAGAGGTTAAGTAACTTTCCCAAAGTCACACAGCTAGTAAAGTGTCAGAGCTGGAATTCAAACCCATTTGTTATAACTACCATAGAAAACTTATTATAGTAAGTGCTGTCTTCATTTTTCTCTCTTTAAAGTCACATGTTATCTAGAAGCACATGTAAAAATTGAAAGATTGAGTGAAATAAGCCAGTATGGATCAGTCGTTCTAAAGCATAATAAAGGCACTTTTAAACAATCCCTGTTGGAGCAAAAGTCTACTTCTCGTAATCAACAGCAACCTGTCACTATCGTAATTTTAAAAGACTTAACTATTTTGTCAGAATGTGTTCCTTAAAATGATGCTTTTACAAAAAGAAAAAAGAAAAAAAAATCAGATTGTGGGTTGTGTTTTAGAAAGACTACAGTCATTTTTGGTTGTAATCTTATATCCCAGAAATTCAAGAGGGGCAGCTGCTCCAGCCAAGTCAAGGAGGAAGATACCTACTATTTTCCAGGTTCCTACCATTTTAGATTCTATAATTTTGGAGCTGCCAGCAGTACTTCAGGCAGATGGTTTCCCAAGTGTAAAACTGTTCCCCAGGAAGGAAAGAGAGTCAGGTTACTCCTTCCTCATGAGCCAAAATTCTGAAAGTAAAGGGGTGTGTTCTTTCTCTAACCTTTGGCCTAAGCATGACTTTGTATTGAGTTACTACTCCTAGAAATCTTCTGTTTTCATTTTCTACGATTATGGTCCAGGTTTTAGACTCAGGAACAAATGGCAAGCATCCATGCATCATTTGGAGGTTCTAGAAGAAAGAATGAAAGCCCATGACACTATTCAGCTCTTTTATTTTGTTTGGATGTAAATATAAGTTTTAACTAATTATTTGACTCATTTTCCCTGTGAACGCATCTTCTTTTAAGTGGATCTCCATGCTTTTTGCTAGGCAGTTTGGTCATTTCTTAGTCTGGCCAAACCCTTTCTTTGAGGTTTCCAAGCTTCCTTTGGAATATTATAACTGTGTATCATCAGCAGAATTTTCAGTTTTCTTTCCCCCAACTATTTGTTAATGTTTGCTGAAAGGAACCTTTAACAGGAAGTAAACTTGCTTGGCATGGCCCAGCTGTGAGTGAAGCTTGAGTGAGAGGTATTTATGACCTGACAGGAAGATAAAGATAAAGATAAAGATGAAGCTGACTTGGTGGCTGTTAGCAAGGGGAGAAGGAAATGTTTATGACCCCATCTGCTGGCGTTTCAATAGGATAGAACTGCCTTTATGGCGTCAATCTCCCCTGTGACTTCCTTCCATTTGGGGAGTGTTATCTTATTTCAAGATGTTCCCACCGAACACACTGTTGTCCCCTTTGTTTAGGGGCAAAGGAGGAAGGAAGGACTTTGTTACTGGAATGTGGGGATGGGGCAGTATTTATGGTTATGACTCAAGCTGGAGAAAAGGCTTCATTGGAGTTGACTGTATAGTCCAGGAAAGCTGCCATGCATTCTGCTACTTCCTTAAACATTATCCACACTGAAAGCAGAACCACATTAGCTCTGGTCATTATCAGGCATTAAGGCTAACCATTTTCTAACATTATTATAAGTAGAATTAGTGTAGCTTGATTTCATTGCACACTGTGGGGAAAATAATTTTATTCTCTTAGTTCCTTGTTTCTTGTCTTTTATTTAACATCTCTTCTTTTTCTTCTCCTGAACTTTTTTCTTTCTTTTTCTTAGAGGAGGAGACATTTAAAACCAACAGGTGCCATATCTGCTTAGTTCAAAATCTATGTACATGTAACAAAAGCAGAATGAAATGATTCCTTTCTTAATGCTAGCCCAGGTTAAGAGTCTGCAGATAGGTTGATAGTCCTTTGTGAGGTAATACATTTTTAAAGTGCCAAAAATGTAGGAATATTTTTAGAATACAATAGCTTATGCATCACTGAAGCCTGTTTTATATATATATTAATAGCATTCATTGTACTGCAAAACAAGTACTTATTCCTCGGTTTTATTTGCGCTTCCTCCAGGCCCATTAGTACAGATTAAATTTTTTATATTGATGCTCAAACAATCAGCACAATATATGTAAATCAGGGACTTTAAGTTCTTTGGCACTATTCGTATGGATATATGTTACCATGTTCAACATGGCCTTTTTTTCCCCTTTGCAAAAACAGGATTTTGTTCCTTTTTAGTGTGAAGATCCTATTTCCAAAAGATGAACTGTTTGACAAATTACACATGCAAAAAGCTCAAAACCACAAAGAGAACAACTTTCTTATTGCCATTGGGTTTGTCTGATTTATAGAACAAAGGGAAGAAGTTTTGTTTTGGGGGTAAAATACCCAATCATGGGCTTATTATATCTCTTTAAAGTCCTATTTTTATTTTTACTAGGGGAAGTCAGGGAATTTGAAAGGGCAGGGAGGGAGATGGCTTGCTCAAGCATTTTTCACCAGAGAATTCCACAGTAATATTTGTTTTAAATGGGAGAGTCCTGTAGTTAAGTTGAGAAATTAGTTATAATGTTTGTATCTGATTACCTAAAGACTGGAAGGTAATAGTGTGTGACGAGTTACATTTTACATCACAGTCCAGGTATAGTCAATTTGCAAAATGGAAATATTGTGGTGGCAATGTTCCTTCGAAGAGTTAGAGCTATCACAGAAATAAAACTTCATATAAGCATTTATTGTTATAATGCCAAGAGTTGATTCTTGATTTTTACAGAACTTTCTCCAAAAAATATTCTACCATTCCTTTTACAGTACAGGCTCAAGTCTTGGCATATTCAATAGACTAGCCAATCCAATTCTAACCGTTTTTATTCAGTGTGGTTCCTGAGAATAATTTGATAGACCTACTAGGGGAGATCCTATCACACTTACAGTATTCTAAGACCTTCTTTTGCACTACAGGTTATCAAATGGCCTTCCTATTAACAAAGGTTCAAACCACACCATCAAATGGTTCAAACCACATAACCCCTTGTCTTAGGAGTTAAGCTAGCTTCCTAACCCTTCCTTGCAGTGGTTAACTCCACTGAGGAGCTTTCTATCAGCAATAATAGCTTCAAGGTGGGAAATAAAAAATGGAGAGTGTTTAAATTGTTAATGGGTTTCATGTTCTTGTCACTGTTGAGGGTTTGTTCCCTTTTATAAACTCATAGTTTTTGGTTGACATTGCTTTTATGCGAGCCATCAGCCAGTTGGTGATGGTGTTGCTGTGTTAGACCATTACTGCCGGATTGTATTTGCAGTAAAGAAGGAGAATGGAGGCTGTAAATCTGTAACTGGAGATTTAGGGCTCTGTTACTCTGCAGTTTAGGCCCATGTGCTGGGGAGTCCATTCTCCTCCGGCAGAATTATACCCTGAAAACATGCCTTTCTAGGCACACTGATCAACGACGTTCATTCCCTGGGCTACCAAGGCACTTAATACAGCTAATTCAGTTAAAGAAGCCCGAGGGGTGAGGTGGATGAGCCTCTTTCCCTGCTGGAAGCCAGATGCCAGGCAGGTTAGTGATATTGCTTTATCCCTTCCCCCAGGTAAAGCTTCCAGGAGAAGCAGTTACTGCAAACGCAGAGAAAAATAATAAGAAAATGCTTCTAGTGTTGTTGGACTCAGTTCTCCTTCAAGCAGGAAATGCTGTCTTAACTCAACCTCATTAACCCCTTTGATACTAAGCCCATTATCAGGAATATTCAGGAAGCACATTCTTTCAGAATTCAGGATGTGTCAGGAGCCTTGATATCTTGACATCATTGTACAAAACTACCAGCAAAGAATGGAAAGTAAGAGAATAAGTGCTTTTGGGACAGGTAACTAAAAATGGAAAAAACTCCCAGTTTGGAAGATTATATCTGTTACTGCTGGGTTCAGAAATATTTTGAAAAGACACCAGAATTAAGTATATTTAGAATCACTTTATCAATCATGTATCATTTCTACTATTAGATGTTTTATAGTGAAAAGAATGTTGGAATGTTTCTTTGGCTGGTGAAAGTTTTAAGCATGGTTTTAGATCTGTTTTGTTTTGCTTTGTTAGGCCTTCCCCGAGAGAGGAAGAGTATTAAATATAGACTTATCTGCATGATCCATGTGAGGCATCTGGGTCTGCTTTTTGTGTCAGCTGAGGCACAAATGTGCATGATTTAACCATACAACTATTGAACTAGCATTGGCCTATTAAGACTTCAGATGATCTGTTCATGAGCTGTCAGCCCAAATTGAGCTTGAAGCCTGCTGTAAAAGATCTAATTTTCATAATTATCCAGAACCTTCACACCCTGCTTCCCTTCAGTACCACCCACCTCCACACATGCACACAGAGGAGTAAACACATACATATGGACACAGAGACACAGGGCAGCACTGTCCCTGGAGATTCATCAGGCCTCTTGCCCGAAAATGCAGAGTTCATCCAGGGGTCAGAACTGGCTTTGACTTCCTGTTTGAGGAGCCCCATGTGTGGTGTTCCAGCATTGCTAGAGGCTAGTGATGACTAAGTAACCTTTTCACACTATAGCCTCCCACCAAGAAACAAGGTCCCTTATGATCTTGGACCCAGAGTGATTAGGGCACAACAAATATCTTTTTAATATATAAGGTGGAACTAATGCCAGTAGAAATAGCACTTTGCTGTCTCATGGCCTCACATTTATAAAAAGAGGATAGAGCTGTTGTCTTTGAAGATGAAGAATTTTAAAGGCAACCTGATTTAGTCTCAGAGTACACTAGGGACTTTCATCGTTTAGTAGTTGCTTAAGGCTAACTTTGAGCTTTACCTGACCCAAGTCTTCAAAGGAAGCCATCATACTATGTGTGGAGTTCAGCTGGTAATATCTTTCTAGGTAATCTGGATTGTGAACGAGTGGGAACAGGCAGCACTTTCAGGTTTAACTCTTTGCAGCACTGGGATAACTGGCACATGCTTCAAGGATTAGGTCATTCTGATGTCCCTCCAGTAATTCCACTGGAACAACACTGCACAATAAACCATTTGGTTTCTGGACATATATTGCCCATGTGTGAAGGGTGGACAGGCAGCACTTTACTAGGTTCTTCTCATACAACCTCAGGTTTTTGAGGCTGCTGAGGTTTAAATCCCTTGTCTGAATATGGGACAACTGTATTTCTATACTGGTTGTCGATTGTCTTTGCCCTCAGAGGGCATTTGCTGCAACTCAGGGTTCTACAGTTAGAATAAAAGGAGTTATTTCCTGTCTTCACTGCTTTTTTGCTTTTTTTTATTTTTTTATCATGAGTGGAGACTGAGTACATTACTCAAACCTTGGCTTTTCCCTGAGGTCCGTTGTTTACAGAGAGACATTTGGGTCCCTGGGGCTCACTCCCATAAAATCTTATTATCATATATTTCAAGGCATAAACTTCAGTTGTCAGCTCAGGAGCAGTTCTGAAAGCACTGGCTGCTCTTGTTTTTCTTCTCCTTTACTCTGGTTTATTTTTCTTGCAGCTTTGGCTTTTTTTTTTCCCTTCTCCCTCATATCTAGCAATGCTCAATTCCAAGCTGGCTCGCTCCTTATTCCACTAATTAGACAAGAAGTCCAGAGAGGCCATTATTAGATTCTGAGAATCTTTATCAGAGCCCATTATGGCCTTAAATACTGCACAAACATTTTACTAACTGAATCCATGAACATTTCAGCTGATCCACCTTTGGTCTTTAACATCTACCTTCTTTTGTACCTATAGAGTTATGTTACTGATGATAGAGGTTCTCAACAGCTTATTTTTCTTTGTATTAATTTTCTTAGAGGCCATGATTCAAGTTCATTCTCTCTCTCTCTCTCTCTCTCTCTCTGTCTCTCTCTCTCTCTCTCTCATTCTAATTACTGTTGGTGGGGGTGGAGGGGGTCTGAGAAGCCTGCTTTTCCTTGGTGAGATACGTGTGAGTATGTGTAATGTCATATGTGTTAATGTCACCAGTGAGTAGGATTCATGGTTGCCTGTTTTTCTCTCATTTTCTTTACAGAGCCAGGGATTATTTGTATGGACCAATGGTCTCAGTTTTCTTTCAATGGAAGAATAATTCTGCATTATAATATAGTAACTGCAAAAGAAAGCTTTTTCTATTTCACTCTTTTCTTTCTTAATTCACTGTCTAGTGAGTTTCTGATTGACTCACAGACCAATTAAAGTAAAATTTAATGGAAGAATAGATTAACTCCCTGAGGTTTCCCTACCATCCATCACATTTTTATAGCAGGAGCTGTGAGGAAGCTCATAACTTCATGCTGTGAATGTGATAATAAAGAGGGCACAGAGAGGATTCCGATTTACTGCCAGGCTGATGTTCGCCAGGACAGAATTTACTGCCCAATCCCCTTCCCCTTTTTATTCAGGAGGAGGTCACTAGATCTGCCCTCAGCCTGGGTCTGAGATACTGAAGGGCAGATTGTCAAGTCGAAATTCTTTCCCTTTAATTGGGCTGGTGGTGGTGCGGAATGTGAATTTCACTGTCCAGAGATGGTTATTGTGTTAAATTCATTTCTGTCTTCAGGAAGCTGTGGTCACCCCAAGTGTTCATATTTTTAAAGGGTGCATTTGATTTGTTATGATTCATATAGAAAATCAGAAGTAAGGCCAGATATTTCTGTTTTCAAGTCACTAAGTCATTGTCTTTTATTTATAAGCTTTTTCAAATAACTAAAGATACCTGTCTCTACATCTTCATAGTCAACATTAATAATGTCTTTTTCTGGGCATCTTTCATTTGAAGATCTCAAAAAGTACTTTATAACCATTATTTTGGTCTTTCTGACAGGGCCAAAATAACCTACTAGCCTTCCAAACATTTCGCCAGTTCACTGTTTCTCTGAGTCATCTTAAAAATAAAGTGTGACAAGGATCACAATATAATAGTAGTCATGTGATGGAGCTCCATATCCATGCCTAAGATTAATTTTGTGCACTTATTACAATTTTTTACTTCATGAAGCAAAGTCTGTTTTTTAGGCCTTGACTATTTAAACCTATCTCAACTGGGCGCGGTGGCTCATACCTGTAATCCCAATACTTTGGGAGGCTGAGGTGGGAGGATTGCTTGAGCCCAGGAGTTCGAGACCATCCTGTGCAACATAGGGAGACTGCTGGGCATGGTGGCACACGCCTGTGGTCCCAGCTACTCAGGAGGTTGAGATGAAAGGATTGCTTGAGCCTGGGAGGTTGAGGCTACAGTGAGCTGTGATCATCCACTGTACTCCAGCTTGGGCCACAGAATGAGACCCTGTCTCAAAAAAAAACTCAAAATAAATAAATAAACAAACTTATGTCAAGTTTCATGACTACATGAAAGATAATCTTTTTGTCCCCAGAAGCTTGGTGAGATAGAAATCAATATTTTAAAATCATATTCATCTGATTGTCCTTGAAGTCAAAGCCTGTAATCCCAGCATTTTGGGAGGCTGAGACGGGTGGATCACCTGAGGCCAGGAGTTCGAGACCAGCCTGGCCAATATGGTGAAACCATGTCTCTACTAAAAATACAAAAATCAGCCGGATGTGGTGGCATGCGCCTGTAATCCCAGCTACTCGGGAGGCTGAGGCAGGAGAATTGCTTGTACTCAGGAGGCGGAGCTTGCAGTGAGCCAAGATCATGCCACTGCACTCCAGCCTGGGCAACAGAGCCAGGCTCCGTCTCAAAAACAAAAAACAAAAAACAAAACAAACAAAAAACAACAACAACAACAACAAAAGCAGAGCGAGGCTCTATCTCAAAAAAAAAAAAAAAAATCTGAACCAAACTCATCAATCTTTCCCTTCACCAGCCCAGTCTTCTTCATGTATACAAAATCTTAGGAATTATTCCACCCTTCAATGTGTTGTGGATTGGAAACTTGGGAATGGTCCTAGATTCTATCTCTCTTGCACAACTAGCATTTCATTGGTCACAAAACCCACTGACTTTACCTCTTCAAAATCCCTTAAAACCATTCCTTCTCTCTCCTCTTGCCTTAGTTCAAAGTTCTCATCACCTCTTTGTCGGATTGCCATGATCATCTTCCAGTTAATCTCCCTATCTTTCATCCTCCTCCAATACATCCTCAATGCTAATAAAAGAATAATCCCTCTAGAATGCAAATTTTGTAATTTTACTGCTAAAAATACTTAAATGACCTCTCATTGCTTGTAGCATAAATTTAAATGCTGTACCATGGCTTACACAATCTTTAGTAAGGCAGCATAGCTTCATGGCCTAGAGCAATGATTTATAGGTTTGGAACAGTATCATGGGATTGACAATTTTCAGTTTTGACCAGAACATTTTTAAGATCACTACCACCTTCTAGCTACGTGATTTCACAAACAAAAAAAGAATTTTGATGTCAGAAAATAGGAAGAACACAAGTTAGGAATAAAGTCTCTTATATTGAATAATGATACAACTTTATGGAAAAAATCACTATGTAGTCCTTATTTTCCTCATTTTACCATAGCCCTGAAAATCTTTATGACATTCTCTTATTGTATTTGGGAACCTGAAATGATTAGGGCACAACAAATACCCTTGTAATACGTAAGGTGGAACTAACAACAAGTAAGTGGATGGTTTCTGGAGTCAGAAAGAACTGGATTTCAAATCCAACTTCATGACCTAATAGTTGTATGATCATGAGTGAGTCACTTATCCTCACCAAATTCAAGTTCCCTTATTCATAAAATAGAGATAATGGTAGTACCTACCTCTTACTGTTGTTTTGAAGATTACATGATACAATGCATAAGAATTGCTTGGCCCAGTGCCTGGCACATAGTAAGAAATGTAACTACTTGACAATAGAGTAGATATTACTATTTTGACTTCCTGACCTCATTTCCTGTGACTCTCCTTACAAGCATCCTATGTCTACAGATATACTAAATGACTTATCAAGTGTAAAACACACTCTTACACACCTTAGCAGATACTTTTCTCTTTGTCTGGAATCCTGTTTCTTACTTGTAAGTCTGGTGAATTCCTTCTCTTCCTTCAAGATTTAGCTCAAACTTCGCAGTCTCAGTTAACATCCTATTCGTTCCTCCTCCTCCATTGGCAAGCAGTCTTCCATAGTCTCACAGCATTTTATAAATTGCCAGATTTACACCAAGTACTTTAAATTTGTTTATGTAATCTTATTAAGTGATTAAGTAACCTAATATGATAGAGAAATTTATATTTGGGGATTGATTACTTTTCATTCATTAATACAAGGAATATTTATCAAGAACCTACTGTGGTATATAAACCTCTACATAGTGTATATTCCAATAATAGTAATGTAATATTCAAGATTTGGAAACAATTACCCTCTCTGTGCTCCCAAAGAATCTCGTAGAAACCTTAATACAAATGATAAATTGCATTATAGTTATTTGTTTACATTCTGTCCCCTTCTCCTCTAGACTGAGTTCCTTCACAGCAGTTATTTTACTCATCTTTGTCTCTCCAGTACCTAAAACTTTGAAGGTGCTCAGTGTATGTTTATTGAATAAGTGAAGGAATATCGGAAAGCATTTTCAACTTTAAAGAGCTTTGCTTAACCTTGTTAACTCTATGTATGAATGTATTTTTCTCCCTTGACTTTGAAATGTTACAATCATCACATCCAGTGTAACTATTTTTAAAAGGCCCAACATCTTTTCAGATGGTTCCTCATGAATTTTATCCTTCAAATTGTGTCTGCCACTCCACCCAAAATCCTGGGCTGGCTTTCCTCTTAAATCAATGGATCATTTCTCAAAGAAAAGCAAGTGTGGTCCCTTGAGCTACATACCAGACTTGTAGGAAAGACAGATCTTCTAGTATTCTCTGGTATATTTGACTATAGGCTCCTGATGAGTAAAGCAGGAGAAAGAGCTATGATTACTGGTCCAAGTACAAGCAAGACTTGCCTCTGGGTGATGTTATTCTGGGAGTGGAATAGCATCATACACTTGCTAAGTTCTCAGCACTGTGAGTTGGAGTTGGGAGGTGAACACCAACATTCTTTGCCATCCTCAGCTTTGCTGCACTACTGAAAGATTTCATGGCATTAAACCTCTCTCATGCTTGTCCTACTTTAACACAATTTCCAGCAGCATCTTGGATATTCTTCTATTGTCCACTTATCAGTTACCTTAGCACAGAATGAAATGACTGTGTCTGCATTCAGAGTTTTGTTGTAGTTGATCTTGTTCTGCAGTTTTCTACTAAATGGAGTCTGTGAGCAACTTTGATGAACTCACTAAAAAAAAAAAAGTGAAAGCTAACTTTTGAGGCTGTTCAAACTTGATAGTTGTCTAGCAAGTTAGGACAATTTGTTACTTTATGGACCTTCAACCATGGTGATGCTGAATGCTCCATGGTCACACATTCTGTGGTGTTCCCTAAGTATACACATTTATGTTCATTTCTCACTTTCTTTGTAGATCTCTGCCACCTCCCTATCTTCAGGTCCCTTTGCTGCTCATTCCCCTTTTATATATCAACAATACCAGATATTCCCCACTTTTCCACATCTCTCTTTTTCCAAATATTGTTCCATTAGTCTTAGAGAACTCCTATTCATCCTTCAAAACCCAGCTCAGTCTTTGTCTCCTCTGTGAAGCCTTCACATATACACACAAGGAAAAACGTAACATTTCTTGAGCTCCTATTAGGATTCTCATGCTAGGAACTAGTTCGATACTTTTACAAATCTTGCCTTGCTTTATCTTCACAAAGCATTTTAAAATACATTGAGATCTCCATTCTCAAAACATAAAACCAAGGCTAAAAGCTTTATGGCAAGCAATTGAAATATCCAGAATTTAAACCAGGGTCTGCATGATTTCAAAACTCATCCTTGTTCTGCCATATCATGCCACCATAAATCTCCTTTATTCATTTTGTATTAATGCATACATTTGTAATTTTGCTTTTTACTCATCACATTCTGTGGTTATTTATTTGACTGTCTTTCCTACCAGAAAAAAAAAAGTGCCTTGAAAATAGAATGTATTTCTTATTTATTTTGGTACCCCCACAGATCTCAGAACATTACCTGACATATAACAGATGCTGAATAAAGGTTTCCAGGGTTGGATTGCATCTGATTAAAATTAAGTTGAACTGAACAACATATTACCTTGAATTTCAGAATTTTGCATTTCTGATGATATCTGGGGCTCAGATGCCATTTACCTCATGCCAGATGACACATGGCCTCAGTTTTCTTCACAGGTGTCCATGTCTAGCCCTGTACCAATTTCATCCTAAACAACTGCCCATATTCCCATTAATGTGACATAATCATTAGCATATATAAGTTCCTAGAGAACTGCTTTCTATCTCATGTCTTTATTGTAGTCAATGGAGTATACTCAGTCTTTTAGGAATAATTAAAATATTCTGTGACTCTAATTAAAGTAGTCTGGATATTTTTAAGAAACCTATATTTAAGAACAAGCTGAGGGCTGACATCAAGTTAATTGTGTTATTTTTAGTGGAGCTATCATTGGAGACAGCAGCATGGCACCCAGTGCCTTTTTTTAATCCTCATATCTGAATATAAAATGTTAAATAACCAGCATCTTGAGCTCTTAAGAGGAAAGGCATTAAAGCATAAATAAATAAAGCTGTTATGAAAGCTTAGAAAATTATCTAAATGCACTTGAGTAAGAAGTCATGTACTTATTAAATTGCTAGTTATAGAGATAAATGCCCTTAAACCTTTCACTGCCAAAAAAACCAAACACTCAAACAACTTGGAACTCTTGTCATATAAGCATGGGGGATGCAGAGAGAGAAGCTGTTGGCTTGTATTTCTGCCACTCTAAGTAAACATTTTTTTTTTCTCAAGACACAGTCTTGCTCTGTCACCCAGGCTGGAGTACAATGGCACAATCTCAGCCCATTGCAACCTCTGCCTCCTGGGTTCAAGCAATTCTTCTGCCTCAGCCTCCCTAGTAGTTGGGATTACAGGTGCGAGCCACTATGCCCGGCTAATTTTTTGTATGTTTTTAGTACAGATGGGGTTTCACCATGTTGGCCAGGCTGGTCTCGAACTCCTGACCTCGTGATCCACCCACCTCGACCTCCCAAAGTGCTGGGATTACAGGTGTAAGCCACCACACTTGGCCAGTAATCTTATTTTACCCATATTTTATACAATTAGTACAGTAAAATTTTATAGTATTATATTTTATCTGTTTAAATTACAGACTATTCTTGTTTTTACTAGAAGTCAGAATTTGTCCCCTTCTTTCTAGTTCCATCACCAAACCTTTGCCAAACAGGGACAACACAGTTCAACAAAACCACACATTCTAGCACTGCCATCCTTTCTCTTTTCTATTGATGTAAAGAATCATCAATATTTCCTTTTAACACCCTCCTTCACCTTAATCTCAACTGAACATTGAAACCCATTGCAAAGTAGCCCCATTTAATTTTCCATAGCTGAAATTGAGTTTTTTCAAATGTGAGATCCAGAACTGGTGACCTCCCCAGATTGTGGTACCCATTAGCCACAACTGCCACAGAGTTCCTATTGGAGATGGAGCATTTCTTTTGTAAAATTTACTCAGGAGACACTTGCCAAACCAAGCTCCTCTAGTATCTTGCTGTTTTCCATGATCAGGATTGGCAGAAATGCATCTCTCGAAAACAGTCCAGGCACAGTGACTTATATAAGAACACAATCATGGTTATGAATATCCACTAGACATTCTGATTCTGGATAATCTGTGAACCTAAGAAAAGGAAGATCAAGCAGTGAATTTATTTGGAAATAATAGAACTGTTGGTTGGGTTTTGTAGGCTGAAGTTCTGTAGTTAATCATTATTCTGCGAAATCCTGAATGATGTTGTTTGTAGCTTTCCTATGCAGGCAGTGTCCCCATGGGAGTCCTACTAACGGTCTTTTGTCAGGCACTATCAGCAGTATTGAGCCAGCCTGAGCACCCTATTATTAATCCTTTTCTCCTAGTGACATGACAGCAATCGATGTCTGAACAAGCTATTGAAACTGTAGCAATCAAGTGGACTCTGGTTAATCCAATGGGATACTTACTCAGAGCCTACGAGAAGGGCAGGGAATTTTTTCTAACTCCATACTGTTCCCATATCCATATACTTTATGCTGCCAATATTTGGGTAAAGGCTGACATTTACCCAGGCCTGTAAAATACACAATGGAACCTTTACCGTTGACTCAAATACATTTGTATCACCTTTACAGCCATCTGTTACTTCTGTAAATAAACTTGTGATCATTATATAAATATTTGTGCCCATGTAAATGTAAAGCAAGAGCATTGAAATCTTTACATAAAAAGGTACCCACCTGGTGGTATCTTTGCACTCATAGAAATCAATCAGCAGTTACAAAGAATAGTATATAGAACACGAGACTATCAGATTTCCTGTCCCTTATTCCAGATGGAAAGAAGTCTAAAATGGTGGTGCCCAACCTGGCATACAGATTCCTGAGTCCCATTTGCACAGATTATGATTCAGTTAATCTGAGGCACGCCCAGGAACTTGCATTTTTAGGTTCGAAGGTGACTGGCCTACAATAGCAGTTTTCAGGCTATATTCCTAAGTGCTTTAGTGTTTCCTAAGAGGCACCTATGTGGTTTGTAGGGTGAAGAAAAGGGGGTTAAGAAGGAAGAATACCAGGAAGGAGAGATCTGTTCTTAGCTTTGCTAGCAAGTGCCTCACTTTTGGCAACTCACCTCAGCTTTTGACTTCAGTTTCTCAGATTATAAAATATGTATCAGTAACGTGTGCCTTTGTTTTTTTTACATAGGTATTTTGAGAAGAATGAATAGGAGAGTATAGAGAAAATAGGAATTATAGAAGATAAAGCCAACTTATCCATCAGTGTAAGAATCTATTAACACTAGGTTATATAGTCCCTGCTTAACCCTGCAGTGAGGTGAGGCTTCCTACCTCATGACCACCATTATTCCCAAAGGCTGGGGAGGTGGAGGCTCTCTAAGGTCTAAAGGGTCTTTCTCAGGCTGAACTTAACCCCCACTGTCATTAGCTTCAGCTTGTGGGTCCTAGTACTCCCACTACTCCCTATTTCTATGGGACAACCCTTCAAATATTTCAGGACAGTTAGAAGGTCTCAGCGTAAAATTCCTTGCTTTCTTTTTTTTTTATTAACTCATTTTCTGAAACCCTCTCAACTACATAGAGTATTTAGTACCCTTCTACTTGTGTAGTACCCTTCCTCAAACTATGCCAGTTGTTAAGTTAATTTGCTTTTGCTTTCTGCAAAAGCAGCCTTCTTTCTTCAGGCTGTGTAAGCATGTATGCTTTTACAACAGCTATTGCAATAATCCCTACACATTATTAGCTGTTTTTTGAAATAATGGTATAATTACTGGTCTGAGAGACCCTTAGTGTGAAGATCTCTCTCAAACATGGAAGCATAATAGAATAATTTAAGGGAGTCTGTTAAAAATGTAAATTTCCAATAACCTGACCCAGAAATTCATTCTGATATCTGGTGAAACAGGGGCAAGGCTCTAGAGGTATCTTTAAGGTGCCCAGGTGATGCAAATGCAGCTGATTTGTAAACCACTGTGTACACTAACTTGAAAATACTATGGTTTAAACAGACTGGGACAGAGAGATGTAAACACTGCCTGCATCTATCCTTTAACCTATCCCTGAATTAAATGCCCACAGCCTTCTTTCTTCATCATCTGTATCACATCTACCTCCTAAACTGTGCAGATTACATGAGATAATATATGTAATACATTTCATTATCATAAAGGACTATACAATATCTTTTTTATGCAACTGTGCTTTTATGCAAAAATCAGGTTAATATGTCATTATGCCTCTATTCTATTCCATTTCATTACATGTCTGTCTAATAAAGATTTAGGATCTTACTTATAATTATATATGCTTACTCACTCATAAAACAATTTTTTTTGAGACAGGGTCTCACTCTGTCACCCAAGCTGCAGTGCAGTGGCATGATCGTGGCTCACCGTAGCCTCTATCTCCCCAGGCTCAGGGGATCCTCCCACCTCAGCCTCCCAAGTAGATGAGACTACAGGCACACACCACCACACCTGGCTAATTTTTTGTATTTTTTGTAAAGACAGGGTTTTGCCATGTTGCCCAGGCTGGTCTCACACTCCTGGCCTCAAGCGATCTGCCCACCTCAGCCTCCTAAAGTGCTAGGATTACAAGTGTGAGCCACTGCAACCGGCACATAAAACAAGATGATTATCTTCTTTGTGTATATGTTAGTGTAAATCACTTTTTGCCAGGCATGATCTTCCCTCTCCCCCATCAAGCAGTTCTGGAAGAATCTGCAGAAAGACACCTTTGAGTTTAACACAAAACAAAGCTTTGTTGATGCTTTAACCTAGTATGGACAAGAAAAGACATCCTGGAAGGCTGTCATGTGGACAGCAAGTTCTAAGAAACAGGTTACACAAGAACATTGCCTGGTTTATTATTTTTAATTTAATGAACATTGTTCCTGTAAAAATTGCAGGGCAGATATTACAGGAAATCAACATCTTTTTTTAGCCCTAGAGCAGACAGCCCAGTAATGGCCATGGCTGGACAAGTATGCCTGACCTGCATTCTAACCAAAGGGGCATTGTTGAAAAGTGAGAAGGATTTTTCAGTTCAAGGTCTGAGCCTGGATGCTCTGCCCTTCTAACAGAGACTGTCAGCATGGAGGCGAATTTTGAAACTAAGTTTTGTGATGTGTGCACTTTCCACTAAAAACTGGACCAAGCCCAAGACTCATTTCTCAGGGTTTCCTATCCAAGCACAAGATGAGGAATGGTCTTTGGTCATTACCACTTGGTTTGGAATAGCCCAGAGGTGAAAGAGTTGCTATTAGATTTCATTAATCTGAAGAACACTGTTTAGGTTAAAATGTCTTCTTGCTGTTATAATTGGAGAGGGTGACATTGGTGTTTAGCACCAGCCAAAATATATAAACTCAAGATTAAGGAGAAAAAAGTTATGAGTTGAACCTGTGAGTTTAAAAAAACTGCAAATATTTTATTTATTTTTTATGTATATTTTATTTATTTATTTATTTTTGAGACAGAGTCTCACTCTGTCACCCAGGCTGGAGTGCAGTGGCATGATCTCAGCTCACTGCAACCTCTGCCTCCTGGGTTTAAGCAATTCTCCTGCCTCAGCCTCCCGAGTAGCTGAGATTACAGTCACCCACCACAACGCCCAGCTAATTTTTGTATTTTTAGTAGAGATGAGGTTTAACCATCTTGGCCAGGCTAGTCACAAACTCCTGACCTCAGGCGATCTGCCCACCTCGTCCTCCCAAAATGCTGGGATTACAGGTGTGAGCCACCACGCCAGGCCCGCAAATGTTTTATGATGACAAAAAAAGGTTTAGTACTGCTAACTTAACTGATGCTTCTAGGTAGTTGATGATCATCATTCTCTTGCTTTATTTCCAAGTCTACGTAATAAAAACAAAAATAAATAAAATTTTCATATTAAAGCTTCAGAACCCTAAGTTGAAAAAAGAGATTCATACTTAACCGCAGGTCTTTTGGGTGCCTACAATGTGTCAGACATGGTGCTAAGTGTTGGGTGTAAAGAGAGTAGGATCCAGACCTCACCCTCAGGGATGCACGACCAAGAGTACAGAGACTCACTCCAGACCTGAAGGCAGTGCTGAGAAGAGGCAGAGAGGTCTCCTCTCTGAGCTGAGCATCAGATGTTAAACTGTGGTGTCTTTCCTTATCTGCCCCAGCTCTTACCCCACCTGCCTGTAGAGGGCCCTGTGCCAGCAAACCACAGGGTTCTATTAGGAATCCCACCACAGTGTCAGCTCCTTTAGCCCAGCTCTGTGGTGCCTAGTTCTCTCTTCAGTTTTCCAAAATGCCTAGGACCTGGCCCAAAACCCCAGGCACTAAACAAAAAGGCTTAACTGAGCTCTGGCAGTCACTAGCTGTATAGTTTGAGCAAATTACTTAAACTCTGTATCCCTCAGTTTCTTCATTCATAAAATGGGAAAACGCCTACATCATAAGGTTGTTTTGAAACCTGAATGAGTTGATACATGTAAAGCACTTAGAACAGCAACTGATACATAAGTGGAGTCTAATAAATGCTCACCAGGCTATTTCCTCAGTTCTAACACAAAACCTAATACAAGGCTTAAATTATTCAAGGCCCACCTTTGCTATCTATTGGGTATGATTTGAGAATTTAACACAATACTGCAGCAATATTTGAATAATGCTCCAAAAGCAGAAACCAACCTATAGAAGCATCTATGATTAGCTCTGGTCAGATGTCAGAAAACATTTCAGGCTATTCAAGTGTCAGTGCTCTCTATGGGAGGTTTATTAACAATACAGATGTTCTATATTGCGTTTTTTAGTGAGACACAAATACACGGTGTGAAAAAATTAAGTATTTTAGAGACAGACTTTTTATTGGTGTATTAGAAAGATTTCTCATGCTCATTCAATCTCTCTATCTCTCTATCTCTCTTTGTCTTTCTCTCTCTCTCTCTCACACACACCCTACCCCACCCCCACATCTTATATAATTATGTTTCCTGCAATCTTAACAATACTGAATTACATCAGTGTTTCTCTATGCATAAGCCTGCAACTTAATTGTAGATATTAAATATATGTCATAATATCTCTGCTACTTATTAGTGATCAGGATATACACAGAAATACACCTTGAAATGAATGAGAGACTTTGTAGCTCCAATATTTTTATTTATTTAACCAACATTTACATAGTGCATATTGTGTTCCAGACACAGTTCTAAGCACTATTTAGCAGTAATTCATTTTATCCTCGTAACAACCTTATAAGATAAAACTGAAACACAGAGAAATTGATCAGTTCGCTGAAGTCTCACAGCTGGTAAGGGTTGGAACCTGGATTCAGAGCAGGCTCTCTGGCTGCAGAGTCCATGTTCTTCACCACCACTCTCTACTAGCCAGTCAACTTCATTTCTTTCAGACCCCACAATAAAAATAAAAATGAGCTTCTCTTTGAGACTATGTTATGGAATCTCCCCTTGATAAAAAATTCCAAAATGCCAATCCTCTCTGCATTCTATAAAATTCTAAAATTCTTTTATTTTCCACTAGAGGTAAAGAATTCTAAAATTCTTAACACAAGGTGTTAGTGCTCAATTGGCATTAATTAGTGGCTATGATGATGCATAAAATTTAGGTTTTAAAACATTTTTCAGTCCCTTTCTGTACTGAGCTGGAGCTTGAGTGATGGGGTGCCCAGACAGAAACCAAGAAAGATCCAAGAATCTTAGGACAGAGAAGGAGCCATGAACTCATGTAGTCTAGCCTACCCATTCTGCAGACCAAACTGCAGATAAATCAAATGACTTGCTCATCATTGCAGAACTACTTTGTGTCAGTGCTAGGACTAGCGCACAGAACAAGAATAAACAGGGGCAGTTTAGGAAATAGTCTTTCTGGAAACTCTTAATTTTTCCCAAGCCCTAGAGCTCTTTTTTTATACCATGTTCCCTCTCCATTCACAGAAACTGAAGTAAAACTTGAGATATCATGCCAGTCCTGGAAGTCAGAGTAGTGAAAAGTCCAGAATCCAAGTTAAGTAGGGCTTGAAGAATTCACCTGTGCCAGAATTCAAAGCAAGCTCAATAACCAAAACTAGAGAGCCAAGCTAAGGTCAAGCCAAGAGGAAGATACACTAAAGGGTGAGGCAAGACAGGAAGCTCAAGTCCAGGCAAACTGGAAGGTATGGAGTTAGGAAGAGGTAATTGGAATCGCAACAACCTGCCCATTTCAAACCCCACAGATGTTTAAGAATGTCTCAAACTTGGTGGAGGGTGCGAGCTCACCCTAAATAGCACATCCCTTTTGAATAAATTAAGCATCAAGTTTACCATGCAGACTGTATGGAATTTTTCAAGATCAAAACCACCAAAATCAAGTTAAATGTCCACTTCAAAAAAAATAGGCAAGATTATGAGTTACTGCAACTCATCTGATAGATCTATGCACAGTAAGCTTGTTAGCATCTTACTTTATCTGCCAGTGAAGACTGGAGGACTGAGCTGATTCAGCTGGGAATTGAACCTGTGGTTCCAGGAAGTCTAGATATTTCAAACCTCATACTTAGTCCATTAAGATATCCCCTCCAAGAACATAATGTAGTTAAAGTAGACTTAGATATCTTTAATACAGAGAGTGGATTTTATTTCCACTTTGGGAATTTCTGATCCATAATAGAGATATAGATGAAACTTACCTACAATAGTGCCTATAGAAAAATGCATGCATGTCAACATATACTGTCACTTTTCTGATTTATGATTAAGAAGGAAAAAAAAAACGTATCTTGGGGGAAGTGGATTACAAATACTTCTGCTAAATGGAGGCTTTATACATAACTCCCTTCTCTTATTCTTTCTAAAGATCCATTCTTGCCTGTCTCAATAAAATAGAATAAATTATACTTACTCAAACAATCTGAAGAGAGACCACGGATTTCACACATCTGTCAGGTGGGTCAGTTTATTTGGGGGACAGTAGGGGAACATCCTGTACCATTACAGGCTGTCAGCCACAGAGAATGTTTACTAATAAGCCTAGCCATTAGGTTGGGTCAGTGATGGATGGTCTATGTTCCTCTGCCCTGGCCTGGCATGTGCTGTGCTACTCACTGACCAGCAGCAGCTGTTGTACTAACCGCCTTGTTAAGGGTCTCCCCAAGTGACATCAGCTATACATCACCCTGGCTGATACCTTTGATTATTTGGACAGCTCCTGGCATGATGAATCGTTGGGATTGATCTGTCTTTTCTCGCACGTCCTAGTCAGTGTTCTTTACTCATCTCTCTCAACTCTTCATTCTTAAGTCCAGGGCCCTTATTACTGCACTTTCAGATGTATGCATCTCCTACCCTCTCCAATTTAAGGGACCTGCTGGTTTCAGTATTCATAATAAGGAATTGAGATGAGGCTGCGGAAAATAAGTGCATCATAGTTAGAACAGGCAGGCAGAGGAAACAGCAGTCACTCTTGCAGCCAGAAAAACAAGGAGAAAAAGCTTTTTTCCATGGGCATCTAGGGCTCAGCAACCTTCATTACTTAGGTCATGGGCCCTCCGCATAATCCATGTGGTACAAATTAAATTTGAATGCTGTTGGTAACCTGAACAATGCTTTCTATTTATAAGATCCTTTTCTCCCAAAGAGTGCAAATCATTTCACACACAGTATTTCAAGCATCACCATACGTAAAAGAAGTTTTATCATCTTGATTTCAGAGAGGGAAAAAATGAGCACAGAAAGCCTATATACCCAAATCTACTTGATAAATAAATGTGTGGCAAGATCAATAACAAGACCTAAAATCTCTGACTCCCTGCTATATTCAGTCCTTTAATTCATTGATTTTTAAAATGTTGAGTAAGCACCTACTGTGTGTGCCAAGAGCTGGGAATACAGGGAGCCTCTATGGGACAGCCGTTAACTCATTCAATCCCATTTATATTTAAATCAGTTTTAGTGAGGGAGAAGCATATTGAAATATACTACTTTACTTTAGAGAATTTGCGTACATACTAGAAATACAAATTCTATTTCACTTTACCATGAATGAACCAGAGGCCATAGTAGACTGCCCTTCTCTATTAAATTTTAAATTTCTGCCCCCTATAGTTATTTGTAGTCCTTTCCAAATCTGTTGAAATTGAGTAGATTCAAATATGGCTATGTAAAAGCAGTAGTTCTCTAATGTGTTCTGGTACACTTGGCAAAACTTCATTAAATATATGTTTAATTCTATCATACAAACTGTACTGACACAAAATATGGCCACATTATATGTATGCAATATAAACTCTCAGCCAGAAGCACACCCATCTCCCCTCCCCCAAAAGGCCACTAAGTATGGCTTTTTGAACTAAGCATGATCAGTGGTCTCCAAAAATTTCCATTAATATATTTATTTACCATTTGTTCTTTTTTGGCCACCTAAAGTGGTAAAATAACACAAGGTTTAAGAGAAAATTTAAATTTGATGACAGTTCCTATCCATTAACTAGGCATAGGTATGATACCACATTGTTCCAGAAAGAATCTAAGACAAGAACCAGTTTACTTTGTTAAGAATTATTATTCTATTTGAAAAATGGAATAGTTCAGTCAATAGAAGAATAGTTGTAGAGCAACTATATTTAAATCATCTTCATCACTAGAAAAACACTGGCTTTATTATGTCATTTCCTGACTGAAAACTTTCAATAACTCTGCATAGCTGAGGAGACCTCCTAGCCTCTCCAGTTTAAAGGACCTGCTCATTTCAGCATTCATAATGAGAAATTGGAGTGAGGGAAACTAGGGAAAACTAGATTATTAGAACTTGTCAGCCTGACCTTTGAAATCTTTCAGAGTTTGTCCTACACCCATAGGATAAATGTTTAGCTTATTTCTTAGAATACACCCACACCTACATATCCACCAAAAGCTCCAGGCATCAGTCAAGTTACTGTTGGCTAAGAACACATTATACTCAGTGTAGACTTTCAAGCTCTTGCTTGTGCTGTTTCCTTTCTGGAAAGTTCCTCCTCCTCCTCCTCCTCCTCCTCTTCCTCCTCCTCCTCCTCCTTCTCCTCCTCCTCCTCCTCCTCCTCCTCCTTCTTCTCTCTCTCTCTCTCTCTCTCTCTGTCTCCCATCTCTCAGAGTTCAGCTCAAGGTACTCTTCTCCACAGTCTATACACACTGCCTTCTCTGAGCTGTAGGTTTTTATTTTGGTACCTATATACTTTTTTATTGTTAATTAACAATTTCAGATATTCAGCTAGAGGCCATCTGCTTTTCCTCTCATACTTCTCACATACAGTGCCGTGCACATCTGCTGTTCCTTGGTACCTTGTACTTGTAGTCATAGAACATGCCAGTAAAGTTCTGAGTGAATAACCCCAAGCAAACTGTTAACCATCGGTCACTATGAGCTCATAAAAACTGGTTAACTTGGCTTATTTTCAACAATTGCTTATTTTCAAATGCATGTGATAGTTCTTCTAGACTTGATTGATGGAAATTTGCAGGCATTTCTGTGCTTAGACTGATTTACCACTTCTGTGGCTTGGTTTATATAGATACATATCCACATGGGACATTTGCCCACACTTCAGTTTTCAGCAGTTCACAGATGATGCCAAAAGGGCATTTTCATATACTGCGCAGCATATAATGGTAGTAATGTGGAAATTTAGGAGCAACTAGGAAAGTATCCAGAATATAAGGGAGTGGACACATAATTCAGAGAAGTGCTGTGTTGCTCATAATTGAGCACCAGTGTCTTAGTTGTGCCAGAAAACCACTCCAGAGAAGTCAGAAACCTAAAATTGGAAGGGCCCTAAATTTCCACATAATAATTTTTATCTTACATAGATCTTTGTTAAGCATAAATCTACTTCTGATTCTTCAGACCTTAGTTGCTATAACTCAGTTTCCATTTACCAAGTGAGAATCAGCAGTTTTTAGAATGCCAGCATCTCCAAAACCACACAGGAATTGAGCTTAAAATCTGGTAGCATTTTAACACTGGAAAGCTTGACTTCAAACCATGCACCTTTTAAGAGGGCTTTTTTTTTTTTTTTTTTTTTTTGAGACGGAGTCTCACCCTGTCGCCCAGGCTAGAGTGCAATGGCATGATCTCTGCTCACTGCAACCTCTGCCTCCCAGGTTCAAGCGATTCTCCTGCCTCAGCCTCCCGAGTAGCTGGGATTACAGGCACTCACCTCCACGCCCAGCTAATTTTTGTATTTTTAGTAGAGATGGGGTTTCACCATGTTGGCCAAGCTGGTCTCGAACTCCTGACCTCGTGATCCACCCGCCTCAGCCTCCCAAAGTGCTGGCATTACAGGTGTGAGCCACCACACCCGGCCTTAAGAGGACATTTTAGGAAGCATTAAAATTATTCTACAGCACTTTGGGAGGCCGAGGTGGGCGTATCATGAGGTCAGGAGTTCAAGACCAGCCTGGCCAACATGGTGAAACTCCATCTCTACTAATAATACAAAAATTAGCCAAGTGTGGTGGCAGGGGCCTGTAATCCCAGATACTCAGGAGGCTGAGGCAGGAGAATTGCTTGAACCTGGGAGGTGGAGGTTGCAGTGAGCTGAGATTGTGCCACTGCAATCCAGCCTGGGTGACAGAGCAACACTCCATCTCGGGAAAAAAATATATATATAATTCTTCTATATGCATCTCCTATTTTAGCTATGTACATTTTTCAGCTACAAAAGCAAAGCAAAACAAAACAAACAAAAAAACCCAAGTCAGTTCATCAATATCTCTTGAATACAGTTTTTCTTAGAGACAGAAAGAGTGTAGGAGTATGAAGGAAGAGTAATTAATGGAAAGAAAACTTCTAGAAAATCCTAGATGATAGCTAAAACTATTATTGATTTGTATTAGCGTGAGGAACCCTTTTTGTCATATTTGCCTAGGGTTTCCTTTAGACCAAGCTCTTTTTACCTCAGCTCCCTACGCTTAGGCTCTTTGTGGTTCCCTCTACTTCTCAAAGCCTGTAGCTAACTGTAGCAACTTAATTTCTGAGAGAGTGGTAAGAGTTCCAAGTTACCCCTTAGACATTTCTGGCACCACCAACCACCATTGTTGTGGTTGACTGGGCTTATTATAATAATAATTCTTTACATTTACATACCATATTTCATCACAGAATCACTACAAATTATAGATGTTAACCAATTGGGCTTTCTCCCTCCTTTATCATCAGGAGGAGTGGGCAACAGAGACGTCTAGACAGAGAAACTGAGTTAGGGATATTTCAGTATTGATAAGTGAGTTTAGGGCAAGAGCCCTTAAAACATGCAGTGCTCTCTGTGAAGGGCAGATTTTTAAATTACGCCACCATCCCACTGTTGAACTGGAGAACAGAACTGAAAGAGACTGCAGGCAACCTTGTGGATTTCTTAAAGATACTCGGCAATTCTGATCCCACAATTATTTAACTTCTTGAAATTGCTCCTGTTTTAATTTAAGTCAATTTCTCTTGCGGCACGAACAGAATTAGCTGGTTAGTAACCTCCTTATAAAACATTTGATATAATGCACTATACAGTACTTGAAGGTTTAAACCAAAACACCATTTAGCCTTATGAGCTCCAGGCTAGGAAATACAAATTCTTTTAGCCATGCCTATGTAATTTCTCTAGGATTTTTAAAAAGTAATTCTGTAGCAAACTTTACTCAAGGAGAAACTGTTTTAGTCATTCTTCCTTTGTTTCCTAGTGTTTCAGAAGTTGACAAAGGCATTAGTTAGTAACAAACTACTTTGATAGTTTTTTGTCAACTTTTTTATTGCAATACATCATATATACAGAAAAATGCGCAAATCATAAATGTAGAACTCAATGATTTATTTATTTATTTATTTATTGAGACAGAGTCTCACTCTGTCACCCAGGCTGGAGTGCAGTGGTGCAATCTTGGCTCACTGCAACCTCCACCTCCCAGGTTCAAGCGCTTCTCCTGCCTCAGCCTCCTGAGTAGCTGGGATTACAGATGTGCATCACCATGCCCAGCTAATTTTTATATTTTTAGTAGAGACGCGGTTTCACCATATTTGTCAGTCTGGTCTGGAAGTCCTGACCTCGTTATCCGCCTGCCTTGGCCTCCGAAAGTACTGGGATTACAGGCGTGAGCCACCGTGCCCACCCTGGTGATTTTTTTTAACAAAGTGAACACACTTATGTAAGCCCTACCCACATCAAGATATAGAACATTACCAGCACCCCTAAAGCTTCTCTTTCTTTTTTTTTTCTTTTCTTTTTTTTTTTTTTTTTTTTTTTTTGAGATGGAGTCTCGCTCTGTCACCCAGGCTGGAGTGCAGTGGCGCAATCTGGGCTTATTGCAACCTCCACCTCCTGGGTTCAAGCGATTCTTGTGCCTCAGCCTCCCAAGTAGCTGGGATTACAGGCATGTGCAACCACGCCCGGCTTTTGTATTTTCAGTAGAAACAGGGTTCCACCATGTTGGCCATGCTGGTCTCAAACTCCTGACCTCAAGTGATCCTTCCACCTCAGCCTCCCAAAGTGCTGGGATTACAGGCGTGAGCCACTGCACCTGGCCTGAAACTTCTCTTTATGCCCCGTCCCAGTTATCTCCACCAAAATAACTACTATTCTGACTTCTATCACCAGATTAATTTTGCCTATACTTGAACTTCATATGAACAGATTCATACTATATATACTTTTGTGTGTCTGGACTCTTTCATTTAGCATTATATTTGTGAGGATTGTCCGTGTTTTTGCATGTAGCAAAACACATGTAGTTCCTTTGTTCTCATTACTATATAGTATTTCCTTTATTCATTTTATTTCATTCTATGGTAGGTAAACGTATGGTTTTTTTCTGCTTTGGAAATATTGTAAATAATGCTGTTGTGAACAATCTTATATCAGACTTTTGGAGCACCACTATGTTGGCATTTCTGTTTGGTATATAGCTAGGAGAGGAATTGCTGAATTAGAGGGTATGTGCGTATTCCGCTTTAGGAGATTCTACCAAACATTTTTCCAACAGACTTGTACCATTTTTACTCCCACCAACAATGTGTGAAAATTCCAGTTGCTCCTCATTCTCACTGATACTTGGTATTGTCAGTGTTTCTTAATTTTAGCAATTCTGGTGGGTGGCTGTAGTAGTTTCTTCAATTGAAATAAACCAGCTGCCTGGAGGGATTAGGTCTCTGAAAATATCCTTTTTTCCTGCTTCCATTGTACATTTGCCAGTGGATCACAGGAACATCTCCTCTGTGAGGAACAAAGTGGTAGCCTAGCCCTCATTTGCATGACTTTGAACTGTTATCTGTGGCTGCTGTAGCTTCTAGCCAGAGCAGACTGGGAGACACCGTGTGCAGCCAGATAACCTTTTCTTGTTCATTAAGGGCCCACTTAGCTCTCCATGGGGGTGCAGCAGACAGCCTAGAAAAGCAGGTAATGACTTTATGACTATATAATGCTAATTTCATCAATAATAATTCTAAGAGGAAAAAACCCAGAATTTAAATAACTGGGTTATGGTACCAACACACAAAAGTATGAAAGTCAGGTTGAGGACAGCTGTACTTGTTTTTGCAACTAACATTAACTGACATGACCCTATTCTCCATAATATGTATTCAGAGAGACTTTTAAACTGGATGCTGAAATCTAGAGGGGGAAGGGTTTAATTGCCTTGAAGTGTTTTGAAAATACTAACCAATAAACAGTCATATTAGAAATAGGCAGAACTGGTGCTTTATTTGAGGCTGGACATATAAGAGTTTCAAAAAGGTTTGTGGATGATAATTCCTCTCCTTTTGTCAGCAAGAAGTTCAAGTTCAGTGGCCAGTTTTTTTGCCAATGAGAAGTGAATAGTACAACTGACTTTTAAAATCAAATGTCACATTCCACATGGTTCCCACCTGGGTTTTAGTTTCTCAACAATGGAATACAATTTTCAATAAATCTAGAGATAAAAATTCTGCCCAAGTAACCTCATTAATATTGAGGGGACTCTTCTCTATTGGAAATCTGTGTGTTTTGTTCAAAAAATTGGAAGCAAAGAACTCTTTCAGGTTAATTCTAGAGATTCCAAAATTAAACATATACTATTAGATAAATACTAATAGGAAATTAGGTTGTTATATTTTTTCTATTTCTCTTTCTTAATCTGCCTTTCTCTTTATTCCCACTGTAAAATGTGTGCATGTTTATTCCTTTCTACTCTTCATGTTCTGATTTCACATGGCCACCCCATGAGGGTTTTTTTTTTAACAATCTGAAACCCCCAAAATATTGAATTATTATGGAAACAAGGTGCAGTATTTCAAGCATCACCCTACAATAGAAGTAACAGGATAATGATTTTCTTTCTCAGTTCAGATATTAGAGGCCCAAGTATTGATTGCCTGTTTCTTTTGCCTCCTGTGCTCTGATGAAACTACACTTTTGACACAAAGTCACAATAAAATGTGCCCTTTCCAGTATGAGATCTCTGTAAATGTCATTCACACAGTCATTGTTTTCTAATTCTTTGCATTTTCATCAGAGTAGCACACAAGCTCTTCGTTGAGTGGAGACAGAGCAAGCAGTGTTTAAATTTAGAATTCACTAGAACAACCAAGTTCCATTATTTTGCTAAGGACAGTTACAGTCTAATAATAGGACTCCTTTTCCATAGTGTTTATGAAATTATTATTCTTAGAATTGATTAAGTGATGAGGACTTTGATAACTAGAGGTTTCATGAAATGCTGTTGGGAATATTGATGTTGGGTTTGCCAGGCAAAGAGAGGTTGTAAAATCAGTGTGAATGTCAGTGTTTATGGATGAGAAGGGTTGGTTGGTAACATAAGCTGAAGCCAAGCTGGAGACCTAGAGGAAATGGCTGCTTCCCTAACCCAACTCTGCCAGCTAGTCTTCCTCCTGACCTGCAACATTCTTACTGTCTCAGCCCCAGGTCTCTGATCCTAGCTGTTAGCAAATGATTTGTGATTTTGTTTAAGGATAAATATCAGTGGTAGCCTAGCTTGAAGCCACCAAACTCATTTCATTTGTGCCCTGCACCAAATCTGATCCCAAAGGTGGCAAGCTGGCACATTAACACAATGTGATACTTAGTACCTTCCTCCTTCTCTATGAAATCAGTTTATCCAACAATATCTCATACAAATGACCTGCAAAAACAAGCCATACACAAAGCTTTCACTAACATCTTGATAAATGTAATTGGTGCACCTATGGCTTTTCAAGATGTTCCTATGCTGTGACCCTCTGTTTCACATAATGTAGCCTTTTAATTTATTTCCAATAGCTTCCCAGTCAGTCAGCACTGGCATCCTTTTTCAAACCTCAAATCATGGTCTGATAATCCATTTTGGTGCCTTTATTAGCCTCAAAGGTAGTTTGAGCTGTTAAAATTTTTTTTTAACAAATTTCTTTTGGATAAGAGATATTGCAGTGGACTCCATATAATTTTTACCTTTACCTAACCTTTTCTTATTTATTTATTTAGAGACAATATCTTCCTCTGTCACCCAAGCTGGAGTGCAGTGGCACAATCTCAGCCCACTGCAGTCTCGACCTCTTGGCTCAAGCTATCCTCTCACCTCAGCCTCCCGAGCAGCTGGGACTACAGGTGCACACCACCAGGCCAGGCTAATTTTTGTGTATTTTGTAGAAATGGGGTTTTGCCCTGTTGCCCAGGCTGGTCTCAAACACCTGAGCTCAAGCAATCCACCCATCTCGGTCTCCTGCAGTTTTTATCTGGCACCATTGCAGCTGATCCCATCTTGACAGCAATCCTACTGGAAATCTATTCAGAAACCCCTCTTCTGTTCATCTTTGCATCATCCTGTCTGGGAGATAAAGTTACCCAGGAGACCACTGAGAGGGCAGGTCTCACTCTTTTTTCTTTTTGCTTGCTTTCTATTGATTGTCCCTAGAAGAAAGGTAACTGATTTAAGGGGCCTGAAAATGATTTGGACAGACTATAAAGAAAATAAAAATGAGATCAGTATGAAGAAGTCAATACCACACACCTTTTTCAAATTTGACAAAAACATTTAAGTTCTGAAATATTTCAGGTAAAAAAATAAAATATGTGATAAGAGAGAGGCTTACCTGAGATGTACTTTAGGAAATCTGGACTTCACTTCTTTCTTATATTCCCCCTTTTCACTCTCAACACATGAAACGCTGAAAATGGAATTTTTGCTTCTTGTATTAGAAGAATTCAACATTTAAATTTCTTAGAAAGTTTTGAATCTGATACTTATAATATTTGCCAATCTGTCCATGAAAGAACATGCATTCTAGAGAATGTCTGACAAAAGAGAGGGCAAAATTTTATCTCTTATGAATATTCAGGCCAGGTGCAGTGGCTCACACCTGTAATCCCAGCACTTTGGGAGGCCGAGGTGGTTGAATCGCTTGAGCTCAGGAGTTCGAGACTAGCCTAGATAACATGGCGAAACCCTGTCTCTACAAAAAATACAAAAATTAGCCTGGCATGATGGTGTGCACCTGTAGTCGCAGCTACTCTGGAGGCTGAGGTGAGAGGATCCCTTGATCCCAGGAGGTGGAGGTTTCAGTGAGCTGAGATTGTACCACTGTACTCCAGCCTGAGCAACAGAGTGAGACCCTGTCTCAAAAAAAAAAAAAAAGTATATTCACAGTATTGGGTGCTTGTGCAAAGTGGACATAGGGTACTTAGTTCTTAAGACTTATCAGCAATATGTTATTTCAATTTCATAAGCAAGTAAGATAAATAGTGGCTTTGCAGTTATCACACACTCTATCAATGGGATGTTGTCAAGATAGAATCTCAGTTGTAAGCTCTCTATTCAGAGTCTTGTCTATAAAGTTGTATTGCTTCTATAACTCAAACAAGATCAAGTTGTAGCTGGCACCATTTTCCTCAGAGTAGGAAAGATATAACTGACTCCTGTTTAAGAAATGTCAAAAGTCACCGGAATTCATACTGCCAAGAACAACATGTGTGTGACATGTTGCTAAGCTTCCCTCTGCAGGTTTCCCCTCTGTGTCAGTGGTATGAACCCAGCAGCTCAGAATGAGGTAATTTCACAAAGGTGGGCATGTTGAACCCTTATGGCATCCTTCAGATAATGCATAGGTCAGAGATGGAATAAACAAAGCAATATGCTGAAAGCCAGCTGTTTAAGTGAGGAGGAACAGGCCTGGGAGTAAAGGGCTACATGGAGGATTGCAGTTAGGCTCAGGGGCTCTCCTGAAAGGTGAGCTTGCCCTGTTGGTGCTTATCTTACACAGTGAAAGGAAAGGAGGAAAACTGTCTCCAATTAGAACCAGGGAGAGCTGGTGATGCTGGGGCTGCCTCTATCTAAACCCTGATCTCATACTGCTTCCCTGTGGAGAATTATCTGAACTGCAGCTTCCCTCTGTGGGCCCCTGCCTGTCATGTCCATCCAGTGTGGTCTCGAGCCTGGACTTGGTATCATCCAACAGCAGGAAAAAAAAAAATTTCTGTTAAGAACCTTAGCAAAAAGAATGGGGAGGCCATGAGAAAATGGTCTTCTCCTGAGTCCAGAGTCATATCTCACAACAGGCTGATCTGACACGTCTGCATCCTCACCCTTCCCTTTTTACATACCTTTTTAAAAAGCCCAAAGCCTCCGTCTGCCCAATGGTGTTCCTTCGGTTCTGCTTTCGCAGATATATGTTGTGGCTTGCACCCTGGGGAATTCCAAATCAATTGTTAAAATTCCCTACTATTTCCCTGAATATTTTTCACAAAAGCCAAATCACAAGGCTATGGCCAACATAGAGGTTTCCACTTTTATCTTTTTATAATTATTATCACAGCTTTCTGCTTGTCTTCCTCCATACCCACCCAAGGAAGTGTAGACATAGGCATTAACAAGAATACCCCTACCCTTCAGCTACCCTTCTTCAGAGGGCATTAGGGCAATAAAACACATTTTAGATATAGATCTATAGCTGACTATTTCATTATGATATAAAAACAGTACTGTAGGAACATTACAGTTAGTATGGTGGTTCAATTTTTTTATTTCTCTATAATTTAAAAACCAGAGGCCAGGTGCAGTGACTCACACCTGTAATCCCAGCACTTGGAGAGGCTGAGGCAGGAGGATTGCTTGAACCCAGGAGTTCGAGACCAGCCTGACCAACATAGTGGAATGCCATCTGTTTATTTTATTTTATTTTATTTTATTTTATTTTATTTTACTTTATTTTGAGACAGAGTCTCACTCTGTCACCCAGGCTGGAGTGCAGCGGCGCAATCTCAGCTCACTGCAACCTCCGCCTCCCAGGTTTAAGCAATTCTCCTGCCTCAGCCTCCCAAGTAGCTGGGACTACAGGCACGCACCACTATGCCTGGCTAATTTTTGTATTTTTAGTAGAGTCAGGGTTTCACCATGTTGGCCAGGCTGGTCTCGAACTCCTGACCTCCAGTGATCTGCCTGCCTCAGCCTCCCAAAATGCTGGGATTACAGGTGTGAGCCCAGCCTCTAATTTTAGAAAAAGAGAAAAAAAAAAAAAGGAACTGGAGAAAGTTCAGCTTCTCTTAATTAAGAAACAATCAGGCCCAGTGCAATGGCCTATGCCTGTAATTCCAGCACTTGGGAGGCCAAGGTGGGTAGATTGCTTGAACCCAAGAGTTTGAGACCAGCCTGGGCAACATGGCAAAATCCCATCTCTACAAAAAATTAAAGAAGAAGAAACAATCAGAAGCTAATAGGAAGCTGTAATTAAAGTTTGATATGTTTTAGAGGAGATGAAGAAGAAGGCAATACATCCTTTGGGCTGGTCAGTGGTATTTTCTAGTGAATATTCAGAATCAGAAAGTATAAAGGAAGCTGAGGCTGTAATTCACATTCCAGAGAGAACCTGTGATCCTTTCTGTTCCTCTCCTCTCTGCCTCTGTTGAAGGCTCGAGGGTGAAAGCTGTAAGTTGAAGAGGACAAGCCATCAACAGAGGGTGACTTATGATGAGAAATGAAAATATTTGGATTAGCTATAATACTAAGCCAGTGATATTTACAAATTATTAAACTGCCATCCTCACATCAAACGCTTTTTATTTTATGAAATGCTAAGCTGTACTTTTAGTTTGTTTCAAACTGTCAGGGCCATTATTTGATGTCCCTCTTTGTTTATCTTAATTAAGATGTAGAATCAATCATTTTTACTTTCTCTCTCCAAGAGCAGCAGTTGGCTCAGAGTCAGGATGAGGTCTGGCCACCCTTGAGTGCTGTGCAGGTGCTGAGCCGTGTTTGTTCACAGAGGGATAAAAAACACATTTGTTCTCCAGGTTGTGTGGATAGACTGACAGATTTTGATAAGAGGGAAAAAAGTCTTCCTCTGTGGTGAGAAATAACATTTCTATCTAGAATAAGTGAAAACAGTGGCAAATATCATTCCTGTTATGGAGATGATTTTCCTCAACACATAGTGACAACTCAGCTGGGGGTGGGAAACACCAAGGTAGGTTGGAAATAGGAGGCAGAATGTGGTGACCCAGATCAGCAAGAAGCAGAAGACGGAGAGCCCTAAACCTTGTCCTGTGAATATGACAGTTGTTCTTGCCACACTAGCTTTCTTTTCCATTCCTGATGCCACAGTTCAATCTCCAAGCTGCTAGGTCATAGTCTCCTGAAAGTAGAATGGCTTATTGTTGGAGAGACCATTTCATATCCAAACTACTTATGTTCCTCTTTGCATAGAGGTACTTCTGGCCCATCAACTCTGTATAAGGGCCTTTGCAGGGCGTTTACAACAGTACAGCTTTTTTTTTTTTTTTTTTTGAGACAGAGTTTTGCTCTTGTTGCCCAGGCTGGAGTGCAATGGTGTGATCTCGGCTCACTGCAACCTCCGTGGTGTTCAAGCACGGGTTCAAGCGATTCTCCTACCTCAGCCTCCCAAGTAGCTGAAATTAAAGGCACCTGCCACCACACCCGGCTAATTTTTGTATATTTAGTAGAGATGGGGTTTCTCCATGTTTGTCAGGCTGGTCTCGAGCTCCTGACCTCAGGTGATCCACACGCCTCAGCCTCCCAAAGTGCTGGGATTACAGGCATGAGCCACTGAGCCCGGCCAACAGTACAGCTTAATTCTGCTGAGGCACCCACTCTTTCCTACTCAGCCCCCCATTTTAAGAAGCATGCATCCCCTCAGAATAACTAGCCAGGGGTAGAGAAGCAGTCAACTAGACATGGAACAGAACTGAATTCTGCACGCCAATCAACCCACTTGGGATAAAGCCTTGTCTCCTTAGCACCAGGTCACCTTCGTCTCCTTAGCACCATGTTTCTCTATCTAACTGAGGTAAATAGCCATACGATTCAATGAGCTGGACAAATGAGAAACACAAAGAAAGGAAACAAGTCTATTGCATGATTTAGGGAGATCAGATTGGAAAAGATACAGTGCTTTACTTTTAAAATCATCCTAGTCAGTGAAGCAATCCAAACATTGCCATAGACTTAAACAGATTATTTGTATTTTATACCACATGCATCTAGAACAGCATTATCTGTAACCCTCAAGCACTTGGAGCCCTAGAGTTAGGGAAAAGTATACCTTTTCATTGATCAGAATCTTTTTAAGCACATCTAAGCAAATTTGGGTGTGAAATTAGTACTAACATTTCTCCTACTTTTTGTGAGCACTAACAGCTAGCGCACACTCCAGTGGTCTTATATGTTGTTCTGCTCCTGACAGTGTTATAGAAGTTAACTTCAGGAACTTGGACAAGAAGGCCTGTATTCCAGTCCTTCCTTAGGCAAGAGGTGGACTTTTGAATCACATAATTCCAAGAGGAAACATAACCTTTCAAAAGATAAACCAACACTTCATTTATTTGAGGCCTCTGTTATGATTCTTGGACCACAGATAACTACTTTGAACAAATTCTCACTCTTCATTAGTGGAAAACACTTTCCTCTAATCGCCACGAATTACCCAACACCTGGAATTAAGCAGTCTTCTCTTACCATACTCATTTTCTTTCTTTCCAGTGGGATATTCTAGGTTCATAAGGTGACTGCCAATACTTATTTAGCTGTGTGCAGTATTACTGGTGTAGCTGAGACTGCTAGCTAGCCCCCAGTTCTGGGTTCGTGGCTGCCCAGAACAACTCCCTGCCTCCACGGCAACTAGATTTGACCACGTGATTTAACTTCTGGTTAGTGGAATGTGTAAGTAATGTGTCAACTTTTTAGGGCCACACACAAGTGTCCTTAAGCAGGTAGAGGGATGGTGGTGCTGTCTGTGTTGCCCCTTTCCTCCTTCCTGCTGGCTGGAACTGGAGCCAGTTTGGACCATGACGAACAAATGACATACTTTATAAAGATAGAAAGAGCCTGAAGAGGAAAGGGCGAAGGGTTTGAAACATGGTGGACGACATAAACCAGCAACAAACTACCAACACCATAGAGGAGCCCCTTGATTTCATCAGGCTCAGCCTGGATAAATGAATTTATGGATAAATGAGAGATTACCAGGAGCTTCTAGGCAGATTACATGCTTATGATCTACATTTAAATATGTTATTGGGAGATGTGGAAGAAACTGTGACTACTACAGAAATTGAGGAAGAAGCCATCATATATAAGAGATATATAAATCAGCGAAACAGAATATTCGAATGCTGTTTTTCCCAGAAGATGTTTTGTCCTGGTTGTCCCTCCGTTGAGAGTTGGCTGAAACAATTTATCCCATATGGAAAATAGGAGATTTTGTACAGGTACCTCTTTAAATGTTCAGGACATTCAAAAGAGAAACCAGCAAACATTTTGATATTAAGAAATTCTCCCACTCCTGAAATGAATTGATTTGCAGACAACTCATAACTTCTATTAAAAAAAAATTTTTTTTAATAGAGGTGGGGTCTCACTGTGCTGCCCAGCCTGGTCTCAAACTCCTGGGCTTAAGCCATCCTCCCACCTTGGCCCTCCAAAGTGCTGGGATTACAAGCATGAGCCACTGCACCCAGCCCAGATAATTCATAACTTCTTAAGCTAAATGGCATTTTTATTTTTCTCCAACCCTTCTAATAAATGTGATCACCAAGATGCAAAACTCTTTTTCAGGAAAAAAAAGAGGAGCATGAAGTGCCCTCCCATTCCTGGGGTGCCTCCCCCCAGTCTTTTTATACATGAGGGACAAATTACCTTCTATTTTGTTAAGGCCTCTATTATTTGGGGCTTTCCGTCACACTGGCTAAACTAATCCTAATGATACATCTGGTAAGGACTTCCTTTGGAGGGTAGCCGAGGACAAACCGAGCAGGGTAACACTCGGGAGGAGACTATGAGGAATAGAATGGGAAAGATACCACAGTGATGAAATGACTACAAGTGGCCTCCTCAGCCATGGAAACGATTAAAGCCAGAGTTATATTAGCACAGATAATAATTTCTTTAGTATTTCTTAAATGGTGTTATGCAGAAGTCCTAACTTTTATTGGTTGATTAATGTAGTTTATTCTAGTCTTGGTAATAATGATCCTGGGTAGTTTGTTAAAATTGCTGTGAGTACAAGTTGTCTTGGCTCTTTTCCAGGTCACCTTTGGTTACTTTGGTGCCTATAGCACTTCTCTTGCCCCTCGTGCTTGTTCTGATACTCACTGTCCAGGCCCTCCACCTGGGGGCCTCCCTGGGCCCACCTCACCAAGGCCCTCCAGCAAGCCATCAGGATGATAAGGACCTAACATACAAATCTACTCTGAGGCTGTGGTTCTTAGCCCTAGGTGAGCATCAGAACTACTCATAGAACTTTGTAAAAATAAACATGCCTCAGCCCCACTCCAGATAATCCTGAATCAGTATATCTGGGGTGCAGTTCAGGTATCTACACTTTTTTAAAAAGTAGACAGGTGATTCCGATGTGCAGCCAGAGTTACGAACCACGGCTCCAAGGTGTCGATGACTGATAATGGCTCCGTATAACAGTGCCAGCCACACACACGTGACCTCATGGATAAGCGTCGCTACCTGACATCTGTCAGTTATCTACCTCTACTCAGTGGTCTACCGCATAGGTACAGACAGCTGTGCCTTATCCCTAGGAGAGCTGGAGCTCTGTGCCTCCTCCTCCCAGTGATTTCTGATGTACTAGCTTGTTACCACACTGTGGATGAGAATATCTCGATTAATGTGCTACCTCTCCCAGAGGCATTTGTAGTTCAACAGGGAATAATGCTTTAATCTAAGGGAATGGGCCCCAAATGATGGAATTTCAGGAATTACAGAAGTCAGTTGAAAAGATATTTTGGAAGAGGGGCCCTTTTCCAGTTAACTTAAACACACACCATTTAAGCAGCACCAATTCTACTTATAAAACAACAACAACAAAACAACCGGGCCTGATTCAGAAGATGTTTTAGACTTCTGAGGGGAAAAGTATCTATTTCTTCATCTTCCTTCACCTGCTGTTTGAAATCACCTTCAGCCCTCACACTTTCTCTTACCTCTAGAGAAGCAGTGCTGTTTGCCCCTAATTCAGCCATAGTTAAATGGCAAGAGAGCTCATGTTAAGAGAGCACATTACACTCTTCTGAATATCCTTTCATACATGGAATCCAACCTTAGAACACAGAGCAAAGAGTCATTTAGTGATCATTCCCCTGTTACAGCACAGGCACAGTCAGTCTAATCAATATTTTCATGTATCTGGCCAGCTTTTACAAACCTGGGGTAATTAAGATTCTACAATGTCTTAGGTAATCCTTAATATTTCACTGGCTTTTCTTCTCAACTATTTTGTTTCTTATTACTTTTATCCTATCCTTCCAGACTCTGTAAATACAAACCTAATAGGACTATTATAAAAACCAAGTTAAATAGGAGGTTTGACAGTGCTCTAAAAAATTTTAAAGCCCCACATAAATGTATAATAATGTTTCTATAATAAGGACTGTATTCTTTGTGTAGCAGTACTTAAGTTTTTGATGGAAAGAGGAGGAGGAAAGACTGAGATGTAGACAGACTAATGCTAAGGATTGCCATGATAATTCCTTCTGTTCCTGCCTTGTCCACTTACTAACTAGGAGGCTTGAGCAAGTCACTTTAATTTCTCCATCAAGAGAAAAATGGTCATTTTTCTTATTATAGAAAATTACTCATATTATAGAGGTAGTGGTGAGGATTAATGAATCAAGGTATATTAGGAGAAGTAAGCATCCATAGATTTTGTAAATTCTGCAGAAAGAATCTGGAAGGGAGATTTAGATACAGGCCCAAGTCCTAGCTAGACATGGAACCCTGGCATCCAGACACTTGCCTCTCACTTCTAATTATTAGCACACTCCCTCTGCTAAATAGGATTAAAGGAAGAGCTTTTGTTCTTGTCCATTACAAAAACACATTGAATTGTCTATGGTGATTTTGTAACTGTCAAAGATTTGTTGCCCTGGAAATAAGGATTTGTAATAAGAGTGTTATCACACCTTTGTTGGTGTAAACTGTTCACTAGGAATAGTCAAAGAGATAAATGAAATATAAACAGGACAATGGGCTAAGTGCAGCCTCCCCTAATTGTTTATTTTCTTTCCAAACTGGCAAGAAGTTGTTGGAGTTTCATACTTCATTTTATATACAAATTGAGGTCCTGGGGGAGAGTATCCTTCATGTGAACAGCTCTCCCAGTTACAGGAGAAAACTGAGTAACAGTAAAACCCTCGGGGACATCATTTAATATTTCCAGCATTTCACATGAGCTACTGACACTTGGGTCTTCAAGGGGAAAGCTGATTTATACCTTCAGTCGTTAGACAATGTAAAGGTGAGGTCAGGCATAGGCATCCTTCATCCCTTTCCCCGGTGCTCACAGGTCCCTTGGGCAAGGTGGAATCAAAGCATTTCAAATGGTAGAGGTCACAGGAGTGACATGGTAAGAGGTAAGAGAGCACAGCCTCCTTCCTCTACCAGTGGGTCTAACGCCCATATATCTTCATATTGCCGTTGTTTCCACTTGAAAAATTACATGCAGTTGGTTTTACTTTTCCTTCCTTCCTATTCTGAAAACACGATTTCCACTCCCAATCTAAAGTATAATTTATGTCAAGACTAATGATTATGTGTTTCTGATTATTTTTTAAAAAGGTGAAACCTTTAACATAAATGCAAGACAACAGGTGTCCTGTTTTATAGCCTTGTACTTTTCCAACCCTATAAATTAAAATCATGTCTGTGCTGTCTCTGTCTTTGCACTGATCTGAAGTCATTCTAGGACATTCTAGGAATTCTGTGCTCTCTGGCACAAAACCTCCCACGTGGAAGGTTCCAGATAAATTTTTCTTGATTTGATTTGATCTACAGGTACTTGATCAAATTCTGGTCATGCCCAGTAATACAATAATACTTTGTAAATTGCAACCCAAGTTTATACCCTGGGCTTCTGACCCCAAATTTCATAATGGGATTCCATACCTTTTATTCCTTATGAAATAAAACAGCTCTCCAGTGGAAAGAGACCTCCTGCTTTTGTGGGTCCCCTTGCAATGTAGGAAGAGCTAAGGCAAATTAGACGTATGGTATAAAGTACAATATTAGAATTGTAAATGAGTCTTAAAATTACATACAGACTACAGATTATTAAAGTATTCTTAAGACAATATCTAATTCAAATATAACTTTATGTAAATTTTTTTTCTTTTTTTTTTTTTTTTTGAGACAGAGTCTTCCTCTGTTGCCCAGACTGGAGTGTAGTGGCGCAATCTCAGCTCACTGCAACATCTGCCTCCCAGGCTCAAGCAATTCTTGTGCCTCAGCCTCCTGAGTAGCTGGGATTACAAGCATGCATCACCACATCCAGCTAATTTTTGTATTTTTAGTAGAGATGGTTTCTGCATGTTGGCCAGAACTCCTGGTCTTGAACTCCTGGCCTCAAGTGATCTGCCTGCCTCGGCCTCCAAAGCGCTGGGATTACAGGCGTGAGTCACCATGCCCAACCTGTGCAAGTGGTTTTAATAGCATTGTTTCTCTTCATTCTACACTGGTTTCTTCTTTCTTTTCTGGATTCCTTTGCCACGTACCTTCATACCAAGCTTAGGAATTTTGTGTAATCAGCCACTCAGAATGGACATCATTATATAAATATGGAGACATGGCTGTACTGTGAAATGGTTGAAAAACTATTTTTAAAATTTTCTATTTTTATTTTTATCAAAATAATGTATGCATATAGTTCTTAAAAATCAAATAAAGCCAGGCACAATGGTGTGTACCTGTAGTCCCTTGGGAGGCTAAAGTGGGAAGATTACTTGAGCCCAGGAGTTTGAATTCAGCCTTGGCCACATAGCAAGACCCCATTTCCAAAAAAATTTTTTTTAATCAAATAATACTACAAGCAGTCACCCTGGAGTTCTGCTTTCCAGAGGCAACCCCTTTCCATTTTTTAAAAATTAACTTTTTCATCCATTCTGATGTGTCTCTTCCACACTTCTAAATAATATGATTAGACAGCTATTTTTTTAGTTTATCAATTTCAGACATTACCTATTGATTTTATATTATGATAGGGGAGGAGTCAGCATTCCTATTCCATCCCAGCCATCAATTCCCCATTCTTCATGTTTCGAGTGTGGTTATATCATAATTTTTAGTTAATCAATATTTAGTGTTTACATTAACTATGTAAATATTATTTACGTCAACCCTTATAAAATTGTATAATTAAATTTTATTTCTTTATTTTTTATACCAAGGGGTATAAAAAAAAACGTCTTTATTTTTTACCCAAGAGGACTGGGTTCATAGAGCTTCCAGATAACTGACCACGTGGAGGTTCCTGGAGGGTAGCATAGCCAGGGAGGACATGGAAGCTCCACACCCCTTCCCCCATACCTCACCCTATGCATCTCTTTACCTATATCCTTTGTTATATCCTTTATAATAAACCAGGAAATGTAAAAAAAATTCTTGTTTTTCCTAGAGTTGGCAAATGCCTTGACTTTCTTCATTTGCATAGTTTTCTAAGTCACCATCCCTAATTCTTTCCAAACTTTGCAGAATTGTAATTTTCCACATTATCAAACACACCAGATGATCCATCAGTTCCATTTGTGCTTCTAGTCTCTCCTGGAGATCTCCATCCTCCTCCCCACTCTGGGCTGGCTGCTCTCAGGCCTCCTGCACAGCTGTCATCCTGGGACTTCCCTTTCATCCCTTTCCTTCATCAGAGCACCACGTTCTGGACCCAATGTCACCTTTTTTCTTGGTGGACTCCCTCATTTTGATGGAGCACATATTGTGGTGGCATCCTGAGAAAGGATGCCTGGGAGGTCAATTTCTTGAGACTTTGAATGTCTGAAAACCTCTGTATTCTACTTTTACACTTAACTGTTAGTTTGGGTGTGAGAATGCTAATGGAAATCATTTTCCCTTAGAACTTGGAAAGCTTTGCTTCATTGGCTTCCAGCTTTCATTGTTGCTGTGGAGAATTTCAGTGCCATTCTGATTCTTAATGCTTTGTATGACTTGTTTCTCCCCCCTGATTCAGAAGGTTTTAGGATCTTCTTTTTAAGAATTCTGTTCTGAAATATCACTGTGATTACCAATATGTGAGTCCCTTTTCATTCATGTGCTGGGTGTATGGAGGACCATGTCAATCAAAAGATTCCTATCATTTTGAGAAATGTTATTATTTCTTTGATAATGTCCTTCCCTCTGTTTCTGTGTTCTAATACTTTTTATCTTTTCTGGTTTCCTTTTCTTGATCTTTTTGTTCTATTTAAGATTTCCTTGGCCAGGTGTGGTAGCTCACGCCTGTAATCCCAGCACTTTGGGAGGCCGAGGCACGTGAATTGCTTGAGCCCAGGAGTTCTAGACCAGCCTGGGCAACATAGCTAAACCCTGTCTCGACCAAAAAATCCAAAAATTAGCTGAGCGTGGTGACATGTGCCTGTAGTTTCAGCTACTCAGGAGGCTGAGGTGGGAGGATTGCTTAAGCCTGGGAGGTGGAGACTGCAGTGAACCAAGATCAAGCCACTGCACTCCAGCCTGGGCAACAGAGTGAGACCCCATCTCAAAAAAAGAAAGAGACAGAGAGAGAGAGAGAGAGAGAGAAGGAAAGAAAGAAAGAGAGAGAGAGAAAGAAGAAAGAAAGAGAGAGAGAGAAAGAAAGAAAGAAAGAAAGAAAAAGAAAGAAAGAAAGAAAGAAAGAAAGAAAGAAAGAAAGAAAAGAAAAGAAAAGAAAGAGGAAGGAGGGAGGGAGGAAGGAAGGAAGGAAGGAAGGATTTCCTTGACAAGTATTTCTACCATCTTAAATCATGCAACATTTTAGTAGTTGGTCTTATGGAACTCTTAGCTTTGGTAATGTGGGATGTGCTGCTCAGATTCTGCATCAGAGCTATTCTTGTTCCTCCTTTCATGTGCTCTACACAGTTTGACCCATAGAAGTCCAGCAGTCCCACTCAATGTCTGGGGCTAAACATCCCTGTGAACCTCATACAGCCCAGGTACCTGTCTCTTCTCTGGTAATGCCAAAGATCAGATCCCATTTTAAGGCTGAATATCCTGGACAACTCCCAGGCATAATGGCTCCATTTAGTAGTATATTACTGTAGCCATTCTTAGCAGAATGGGGTTCCTAAAAATCATGAAATTTGGGCTGAGAAATATAGAATTAAAGCATTATTCATCTTGACTTTATAGTTAGGACCATAACATACATTAGATAAAATGTGTAGCATGGTGTAGCCAAAACAAAAGGAAAAAAAACTGGATTTGGAGCTTAAAAATACCTGAGTTTTGGCTGGGCACGGTGGCTCACGCCTGTAATCCCAGCACTTTGAGAGGCAGAGGCGGGGGAATCACCTAAGGTCAGGAGTTCGAGACCAGCCTGGCCAGCATGGTGAAACCCCGTCTCTACTAAAAATACAAAAAAAAAAAAAATTAGCCAGGTGTGGTGGCACATGCCTATAACACAGCTACTCAGGAGGCTGAGGCAGGAGAATCGTTTGAGCGCGGGAGATGCTCAGATCACGCCATTGCACTCCAGCCGAGATCACACCATTGCACTCCAGCCTGGGCAACAAGAGTGAAACTCTGTCTCAAAAAAAAAAAAAAAGAAAAAAATCTGAGTTTATATCTTGGTTCTTCTTCTTCCCAACTGTGTGAGCCTGTTTCAGCTTCAGAAGGCCAGACTGGTGAGATCTTTCTGTCTGAATGAAGGAGATCAGAATTAAGGAGGTGTCATACACGAAAGCATTTTATAAACACTAAATAAAGTGTTATCCAAATGTAAAGTATTACTATTATCATGTTACTGTTGTAATTATTTGGTCAGGAAAGCCTGAATTTCATGCTGCCTCTCCTATGTGCTTTGTAACACCCAGGCAATTCCACAATTAGAAGTGGCTTTTCAAAAAGACACTTTAGTTCTTTTTTTCCTTGAAAACAAATGAATCTGGAACCAATCTACCTTAGCCATCCAATATGTGCAGCCTCTTTTGTTCAGGAACAACCTTAAGGTAATAAACTTCTCTGCCCCTGTGACAGAGAAAAATGTTAGAAGGAAATGGGTTTCCATCTCAGGCTTCCAAGGTGCTATACCAAACAATAACAAGGGAAAAATTATTCAGTTAAACACACCTGACGTGCATTGGCATCCAATATGCCATCCTCCCCACCAGGCATTATTACTTATATACCTGCCTGTGAGAAAGGCTGCTCGGAAGAGCTATTCTGCTTTTGTCAGAAATACATTTTAGAGACTTTTAAATAAACTTATACAGCAATACCGAGCTGCATGTCTTCTAAACTTTGCTATTTCATCCGTCTATACCAAGTGCCGTGAAGCAGAATGGATGTGCCTTCAGCTTTCTACAGTCCTGGAAAATGAGCTAGTCCACCTAACAATAAATGGTGGTTGGTTCAAACACACATGACTGGTCTAGTGAAGAAGAAAAGAAAGTTGAGCTTAATGAAGTCCAGTGTCTGTGTCCCTGTGCACGGACAGGAAAGGACGAGTGTTTTATAACTGTTTATTGGAGTTAATGGTAATAAATTCCTCACTTGTGATGCATTAACTTTAATGTTTTCATTACTTGGTGATTTAGGTTTTCCCTTTTCACATTGTAAATCATGTTGTCCCAGTAGCAGAGCAGGTCCAGTGCCTGCCATAATGTTCATAATGTTCAGTGGGGAAAGAAATGTTCTCTTTCTCTCTCCTGCATGGTCTGACAAAAGATGCTTTGCCTCATCCCGATTTGCTACTTGCTAAATAAGCAATAAAGACAGACAGACAAACAGATGCATCCAACCACAGTGTAGCAGAATGTGGCAGGGCCTAGTTTAGATTCAAGGGAAATATAGGTCTCTATAGTAACTTTCCAAATGTATTTGGTACTAAAGTTTTTTTCTTTTTCTTTTTTTCCCCGTTTGCTGAGTGTGAGCCCTTAGTTAATGAGCTGTGCAAATAGATATTGAGATTTAGTGTTTTTATTTTGCAATTACAGACTTGGTGATTTGGTTGGAAAATTTTGGGTTTAGAAACATCACCCTCATTTTCCCCTCCTAAATCTTTTTCCTTGCAAAGTTTGACTTCAAACTTGCTTGAGTTTTGTCGGATGAAACAGAAAAATCCAGAAATATTTAAATCTAGAATTTGTAACTTCTTTTTTAAGGGAGGGTGATTTTTGCCTTAAAGGTGACTTATCACAGCCAACATCATTTTTCTGTCTCTGAGCCCATACTGCTACACAGAGACACACATGGAGCTGTCTGAGGGTGAGGTTTGGCTTGGGAGTGGCCCTTTGACCAGGAGATAATACATACCAGGTCAAAGCCACATTGCTAAGATCACTGCTTTCCCATCAAGTTCTTCCTGATGGGGTGTAAGAGTTCTCATTAGATCACCCACCCTGAAATACCCCCAGAGAATCACGATAATTAGTTCCTGAGTCTTCTTTTGTCTTTTCTGCTGTGTTTGCTTTTAAAGTTTTCTCAATGCAGTACTCTGATGATATCTGAATGTCTTTTACTAGAGAGACATAGAGAAGGCAAAATTATTATCATTTGATTCCTCCTTAAATCTTTTGCTTTGGATAGCAACTAAAATAGAGATGTCAGGAGTCTGTCACACTAATCTCCATGTAGCCTTCACCATTAACAGTATTAAATGCTCAGACACACATAAGATGTTTGCTCACAGGATGCAAACCAATGTACATGTAAAAGCTCAAAAGGAAAATGCCATTTCTCCAGGAGATAAATAAAAGAACAAGACTGAGGAAACACTATCAGTGACCAAATTCTCAGCCACTCAAAGTCTATAGCTCAGAAGTTGCTATCAATAGCTATTTCCTAAAGAGTAATCAGTTATTCATTTGGCACAGTCTTTTGCCTGTTTATTGTTTCTTCTGAACCCTGTTCTGGAGATAGATAAGGTCCAAGGCAAACAGAATTGGTGTGCCAATCAGGCTGTAACATGGGACTCAGAAATTTATTTCTTGGCCAGGCGTGGTAGTTCACACCTATAATCCCAGCACTTTGGGAGGCTGAGATGGAAAGATTGCTTGAGACCAGAAGTTTGAGACCAGGAGTTCAAGACCAGCCTGGGAAACATAGTGAGACCCTGTCTCTACCAAAAATAAGAAATAAATTAGCCAAGTGTGGCGGTGCACACCAAGTAGTCCAAGCTACTTGGGAGGCTGAGGGCAGGAGGGTTGCTTGAACCCAGGAGATGGAGGCTGCAGTGAGCCATGATTGCACCACTGCACTTCAGCCTGGGTGTCAGAGCAAGACCCTGTCTCAAAAAAGAAAGAGAGAGAGAGGAAAGAAGGAAAGAGGGAGGGAAAGAAGCAAGGAAGAGAGAGAGAGGGAGGAGAGAAGGAAGGAAGGAAGGAACGAAGAAAGGAAGGAAGGAAAGAAGGAAGGAAGGAAGGAAAAAGAGAGAGAGAGAAATTTATTTCTCTCCATTTGAGGTTCATGGCATTTTATTCTAATTTTTTCTCCAAAATCCTTTTTGGTCCTCTTTCTTTCATTCTCAGCGCTGTGATACGAGCTAACTTCTGCACCCCCACTTTCTCCTTGTTGTCTTGGCAAAATCCTCCTTTCCTTGCCTCTTCTTACTTTCTTGTTTTATATGATACCAACCCTAAGATTAAAGTAGAACAAAAATGACTGTTTGTGACTTAAGCGAAAATGGTTTGACTAACAAATATTCACTTCCATATTGCATTCCTAGATCACAAGTCCTATTAGGCTAGAAGTGGTTTCAGTTCAGTTTAACAAACATTATTGGGTACCTACTGTGTGTACGAGGCCCCTGGGGATAAAAAGAGAAACAAGTATACAAATAATGAATTGCACTGCTCTCTATGAAAGGGACCAGATTTCCCACTGGCAGCTTTTCTTTAGGCTTCCAGAAATTAAATAATTAGTATCACACTCCTTACAGTGTATTGTGTATATTTAAGGGAAAGATCCTTCTTAATTCCACATCAGTTCAACAACTAATTAAAGAATGGCCCAGGGCCGGGCGCGGTGGCTCATGCCTGTAATCTCAGCACTTTGGGAGCCTGAGGTGGCTGGATCACCAGAGGTCAGGAGTTCAAGAACAGCCTGATCAACATGGTGAAACCCCGTCTCTACTAAAAATACAAAAATTAGCTGGGCATGGTGGTGGGCACTTGTAATCCCAGCTTACTCGGGAGGCTGAGGCAGGAGAATTGCTTGAACCTGGGAGGCGGAGGTTGCAGTGAGCAGGGATTGCGCCATTGTACCCCAGCCTGGGCAACAAGAGTGAAACTCCAACTCAAAAAAAAAAAGAAAGAAAGAAAGAATGGCCCAATCTTGTGATGGAGCTCAGCTATTCACATGTTCCAGTTCCTCCTCAATTTAATTCTTTTTTTTTGAAACAGAGTCTCCTTCTGTCACCCAGGCTGGAGTGCAGTGTCATGATCTCGGCTCACCGCAACCTCCACCTCCAGGGTTCAAGCAATTCTCCTGCCTCAGCCTGCCGAGTAGCTGGGATTACAGGTGTGCGCCACCACACCCAGCTAATTATTTTTGTACTTTTTTTTTTAGTAGAGACAGAGTTTCACCATATTGGCCAGGCTGGTCTCAAACTCCTGACCTTGTGATCTGCCCACCTCGGCCTCCCAAAGTGCTGAGATTACAGGCATAAGCCACCGCGCCAGCCTTCCTCCTCAATCTAATTCTTACTCTTCTTACCTAGACAATTGCCATGAAAACCCTGGCCCATCCCCCTACGTGCACGGCTATATGCACCAAAGAAGAATCTAATATGCAACTTCGTTTCCCCATTTTAATCCAGGTACTATAACGTTCTGTTCACTTAATTTCTTCCATGGTGTCATCTCTTTTCCTATGACTGCAAGATCTATTTTTACCCTCCTCCCTATTGCCTTGTACCCAGGTCCACAACTACCGTTCTTTTCCCAGGAATAGCCCTTTTTCTATTTGCTTTTTCAAGGATTCTAGCAGCTTTACATTGTTACTAAGGTCTTATGGAAACCCAAGCAAAGTGGCAAGAATGGAGCACGTTGAGGAAAAGATTTAGGGTCCCTGGGAGCCAAGACTGTGCTATAAAAATGTTCTAGAAAATGCTATAGAAGCACAGAAGAGGGAGTATATAATTTTACATGGTGGAATCAAAGATTCAAAGAGGATGTGACATTTGAACTGAAGGAGTACTCCCAACTCGGCAGCTGGATGTAGAGAGAGGAAGTTCCAAACAGGAAAAACAGAATACACAGAGACCTGGCAGTGTAAAGTGCATGGCATGTTCCACAGGACAGAGTCTGTTCCTTATTGTTGCTGGAGTACTGGGAGGTGACAAAGTTGGGAGAAAATGAAACTGGAAGGTAGGAAGACACCAAGTACTTAAAAATCTTTGTATGCTGGAGAGTTTGAGTTTCATCCTGTAGGTAATAAAAAACCATTACAGGATTTAAGCAGGAATGTGACATGATCTGTGTTTTAGAAAGATGACTTCTGGCCACAGTTTGGTGAACCAGTTAAAAAGTGATTCTAAACCCAGGCAAGGCTCTTTTCTTTTTATTTCCTTTTCTCTGTGCTCTTATCACAGTCCAGTGGCATAGTAAATAAACAGATCTGAAAATGACATTTCGTCATTCGTTTTTAAAGATAGGCTCTCAAGTGATGCATGTATAATCGTGATCTGACTCAGGGGGAATACGTCGATCTTGCAAGGTTTGTAAAAAGACAATGTGGCATTTTAAAATCCTCTTCTCCTTTTTAGAATCATGAGACCATTGAAGGATTTCTGCCTTAATTTGTATCAGGATTCCCACTTTGCTCTGTTGCCACTTACTGTGACTTAGCTGCTAAAGATACTTCAGGTCTTTTGCGGTTCTATATTAAGGATGGATTCTTAGGATAAAAATGAAGCTGAGGATGTTGGGTTACAGATATGTGTTATTGATAAAATCAAAAGACACATATGCTTAACCCACCACCACAGAACACTCATGGTTTTGAAGGAACACAATTTTTTTTTTCAAGTAAATAAAGCACTGTGGGAATTCATGATGCCACAATTATGATAGTACATCAGATTCATTTCATCACTATAGGCTGTAGCATACATAGGATAAGCTATAAGTTATTTTTGATTGACTTCTCCCTGTAAGAAAGCGTATCAGAATGCAGTGAGTGGTATTGTTATAGAAAAACTTAAAACCCATTCTTTTTTTTTTTTTTTTTTTTTTTTGAGACGGAGTCTCGCTGTGTCTCCCAGGTTGGAGTGCAGTGGCGCCATCTCGGCTCACTGCAAGCTCCGCCTCCCGGGTTCATGCCATTCTCCTGCCTCAGCCTCCCGAGTAGCTGGGACTACAGGCGCCCGCCAACACGCCCGGCTAATTTTTTGTATTTTTAGTAGAAACGGGGTTTCACCGTGTTAGCCAAGATGGTCTCGATCTCCTGACCTCGTGATCCGCCCGTCTCGGCCTCCCAAAGTGCTAGGATTACAGGCGTGAGCCACCGCGCCCGGCCAAAACCCATTCTTATTCTAAAAGTAAATTATTCAAAATCTCTGTCCTTTAACTGATCAAAGTATACCAATGTTTCACGATTGAGAAGCAATGGATTATTACAGTTAGTCATTCTTTAAGATGAACTCCTGACACCTACCAGAAAGTATTGATTATTACCATTTATTTAGATACTATCATTAGTGCATTGAAGTTACCATGCTTGGAGTTAGAAGGGCTTTTTCCTGACACTTTCATTTCTCATAAGTAAAATCCCACGGAAAGTGAAGATGTGGAAGAGAGCATCTTGCAAGACCACAGGTCTCCTAGACAATTAGCATGTGTTGCCCCTTTGTAGGAATGAGAGGGTTCTTCATCCTCCATGAATACTCATGGTTTCTGTAAGTTACCTTGTGGCTTGGCATTACTGAGGGAATACTTTATGAAAAGAAACCAGTTTGGATATTTGGCTTTAAAATCCTTTTGTTTTGTTTTTGTTTTTTGTTTGTTTGTTTTTTGTTTTGAGTCTTGTTCTGCCACCTAGGCTAGTGCACTCTCAGCTCACTGCAACCTCTGCCTCCCAGGCTCAAGCAATCCTCCTGCCTCAAGCTTCCAAGTACCTGGGACTACAGGCACATACCACCATGCCTGACTAATTTTTTTGTTTTTGGTAGAGACGGAGTTTCACCATGTTGGCCAGGCTGGTCTCAAACTCCTGGCCTCAAGTGATCTGCCTGCCTCAGCCTCCCAAAGTGCTGGGGAAAATCTTCCTTTTCAAACCCAAATCTCTTCCTTCAAGAGTAAGTAAATCATGTCCAAGATTTCTGCATGAGCCCTACACTGGAACAGGGTTTCTTTTTTCTAGATGATCACCCTTGCATCAGAAGAGGTCTTACGAACCTTGGTGACCAATCAGCATTTTTTTTTTTTTTTTTTTTGAGTCGGAGTCTCGCTCTATCACCTAGACTGGAGTGCAGTGGCGCAATCTCGGCTCACTGCCACATCCGCCTCCTGGGTTCAAGCAATTCTCCTGCCTCAGCCTCCCAAGTAGCTGGGATTACAGGTGTGCACCACTATGCCCAGCTAATTTTTTGTATTTTTAGTAAAGACAGGGTTTCACCATGCTGGCCACGGTGGTCTTAAACTCCCGACCTCGTGATCTGCCCACCTCGGCCTCCCAAAGTGCTGGGATTACAGGCGTGGGCCACCACGCCCAGCCCCAAGCAGCATTTTTTGAGAGCTTCTGGCTGTGCCCTCTTATAGGTACTTAACTCATGTGTCCTTTTATTGAATTCTGAGACTTTCTTGTATTTTGCTCTATATCTCTTTTGACCTCTTGGATTTCACATAGATCTGCCCTAGGAGGCAATTCCAAAGATTAATCAGTTAGTACATTTAAAAGTAACCGAGTGCTCACTTTGGCAGCATATATACTAAAATTGGAATGATACAGAGAAGATTAGCATGGCCCCTGTGCAAAGATGACATGCAAATTTGTGAAGCATTCCATGTTTTTGAACTAACGCAGAAACAGAAAACATAATATGGCATTTTCTCACTTATAAGTGGGAGCTACACACTGGGTACACATGGACATAAATATGGCAACAGTAGACACTGGGTAAATGCACGAGGAGGTAGGGAGGGAAGCAAGGGTTGAAAAACTATTATTGGGTACTGTGCTCACTACCTGGATGACAGATTATTCATACTCCAAACCTCAGCATCACACAATATACCTTTGTAACAAACCTACACATGTACCCCGATTCTAAAATAAAAGCTGAAAAACATAAAAATAAAATAAAACCTGCTCATTTTACTCATAAAAAAGTAAATAAGAAATATAGATACTAAAATAATTTTTTGACACCAGGAGTTAGAATAACCACACATCATGCCTGTTTCTTCTTCCAAAAAACAGGGTCTCTTTTTGTGGGGGAGTGAGATAGGAAGACCCAATCTTTCCTCATCCACTTCTGTGCATGTCTGAAGCTCAGAGTATTGGAAACAGCATGGGCTATTCCAACTGAGCAACCTTCAGCAAATTATGTCATTTCATTACACCTCAGTTTCCTAGTCTGTAAAGTGGGGATGATAATAAAACATGCCTCATAGGGATATTGTGGGACTTAGATGTAAAAATGCTTGATACAATGCTGATGAATTTAAAACTGGTTAGGGTTTTGGGGGGCCATTTTTGTTAAAGCATATTCATTTTAATTATTTTGTTTATTATCTGCTTTTTTTTCTTTGTACTACTGACCTAGAACCTCAGAGGTTTTTTTTGTCTTCAGTATAACAGGATTTTCTCCACAGATTTCTGTAACCTGGGTTCACTATAACCTGGATTCACTGGTATTTTTAAAAGACCTTCAAAAATTAGAAGGGCAACATGAGTCTATTGAGGTCTCATGAAAGTTGTCTTCTGTGTTGGTTTGCTAACTACAAATGTGTCATTTCTACCATTTTCTGGGGTCCTTTAGTCTAGCTCCTGTTGCTCATGTTCTGTTTCCTAGCTTCTTACATCACAGCTTGTTGAAGAACTTGATTAAGTACGTTGTGTTCATTCCCTTCCTTTCATCTGTTGTCCAATTTATTTCTCCATGAACAGTTCCATTCAGTTAGTTTAAAGCCATCTGTTTGAGTGCTTTCTATATCTTTGAAATTTTAGATGCTAAATCTATTACTAATGTTTTAGAATTTTTCACCTTTCATATGTTAAGCTAAATTCCTTTATAAGTGAAGCACAATGCAAGAAAAATGTGTGGTATAAGTGTAAACTCAGGTGGATATCAAATGGAACCACGGAAGTTAAAGAATTATATATGCCTGTTCAAGGGACTAATCAAGGAATAGTCATTGAAACCAACTTCCTTGTTAGCATCGGAAGATGACACTTCCTGCCAGACACTACAAACTATCATTTATTGACTGGTTCCTGAAAATTGAGAAGAAGGCAAAAAAGTAACCCAGAAAAGTAAGAAGCTAAGGAAAAGCAGTAATGAACATATTAAAGAAGGCCACAGAAATCAAATGCACAAAAGAGAGGTTCATGAACAGATTTGAAATCCACAATCACCAGACAAGAGAAAACTACCCCCTCCCCAACCTATCTGCAATACCCTCCTCACCTTGGTACATTTGAGGCATTTTAAAGCGTGTGTTTGTGTTTATGTCTGCAGATGCACACACACCAGCCATCTGTGACTGCATTGGAATTGCAGGTGGAATTTGACCATTCCCAGCCTTCAGATGTTAAATTTTCTCCAATCTCATACACCCAATCCCCAGGTTTTTTACATGAGTACTTTAATGAAGGATCCTGCTAAACTTCACCCTGTCTGAAATTCACCCCTGTTAGCTATTAGTCTCTAGGCTCAAGTTGGTTAGGTCCCTCTTTTAAACAGTTGAAAAGAACTTGAATTAAAAGGAAGAGGGAGGATGGGAGAAGTCCATAACTTAACAGGGGGACGATTTGAACAAAAGATGTTTTTTAAAAAACTATTTATTTTCCTTTCAGGATGATTTAGCAAGAGACCAAGCCAGCTGCCTATAATGAAAGTTAGTGGGCACCTGGTTTGTTCTGCAGGGGCTGCAGCCTTTTTGCGTGGAAATTGTGTGGCCTCCTGTGCTATTAGCCTTGTGCTCTGGTGTTGCCAACTGATTTCTCCAATTCTCTTTTCTCAGTGGGCTAGAACGCAGCTGGTTAAATAGGCCGTGACTCACATAAGCTCTCGTGTCTTTTTTATTGACTGCTTTATGGAAATGTATCACACTCCAAAGGGTCCCCATTGTTGTTGCTGTGCATAGCTGACTAAAGAGTCATGTTTAGCATTGAGAGATGGAATCCTATTCTGTCGTTTTTTATTGCTTTTTTTGATGTGGGTGGGATACAAGGGTTTAAAGGAAACTAGATGAAGAGAAAGATATCTGAGAATTTCTTTTATCTTCATCTGCCATGAAAGTTGGGTGGCCATCACTTCTGGGTAACATACTTCTCTGTTGATCTTATCTTTGTGGCCCCATATCCTTCAGCTAAGTGAATCTTTTCTTTATACGGGCTGTTCTGAGAGGTTTAGTTAAGTGTAGTGGTAGGGAGAGATTATGACACTAATGTAATTCTGTTTTGTGCTGATATAATGTAATACACCTTTAGACTTAGCCAAGAGGGCCATTTATTCTCAATAAATCAAAATCATTTTTATTTTTTCATGACGGTGGTGATATCTTTTCTCAGGTAATGAATAAAAAGCTTCTTTTTTTAATTGTATACTTAAATATAAATTGTTTGCCTTAAAATAGCAACTTATACAATTGTTTGCAACTTCTTCCTATTTTTATAACCGTCCTTTAAAGCATATTTTACATACTTTCTATTATGCATTAAGTAGTTCTCTGCAGATCTGTTCGTTTACCAGTAGGTGTGGATCCAGGCATACAAGATTCCTGCCTCATCACCCCATGGCATGGCTAACACTGTTCATCCTCAGGATCACTAGTTCTTGATCAGTAGGACCCTGCGCTGACACTGAAAGAGGAGGTACCTTGCATGCCACTGTGGATTCCCACCTTGGTTATTTGGATTTGTCAGATAGATCATGGAGCTAATGAGATTGAGCTCAGAGCCAACTACATTGAGAACAACTCTGTTATTGAACTCACCACACAGTACCTTGTACACAGAAGACAGTTAGTAGACTAGAGACTGATCTGACCTCATTTCCTAATTTTTTTTCCGTAGACATTCTAAACTGAGCCTATAATCCCATTTTTTCCCACTGCCCATAAGGGGAACCAGGCAAGAGAATTCCTCAATACAGATTCTGTCTAATGAATAAGAAAGCAACATAGACCGGGTGCGGTGGCTCATGCCTGTAATCCCAGCACTTTGGGAGGCCGAGGCGGCTGGATCCCCTGGGGTCAGGAGTTCAAGACCAGCCTGACCAACATGGAGAAACCCCGTCTCTACTAAAAATACAAAAAACTATTCAGGCATGGTGGTGCATGCCTGTAATCCCAGCTACTTGGGAAGCTGGAGCAGGAGAATCGCTTGAACCCGGGAGGTGGAGGTTGCAGTGAGCTGAGATCACACCATTACACTCCAGCCTGGGCGACAAGAGTGAGACTCTGTCTCAAAAAAAAGAAAGAAAGAAAGCAACATAACACATCTTACTGACTATACACAAAAACACACCATATAAAAAGCTGTTTCCAGCTCTATTCCTTTTCAGAATCTTGTTAGTGAATGACCAAGAGAAAAAATTCAGCAGCTCCTTTGGTACCCAATTTTAGCAAACTGAGTTTGACTCTTGGGGAGAGAAGGTGGTGATGGTGCTATCCCTTGTCTCCTAGAATTAGTGACTTAGAGTTACATCTCTGCTGTATTATGTCTTTGTTTCCTTAGTGGTGGCATTCTTGGGTTTCAGTTGGTGGGGAGAGAAAAACCTCATGCTGATAATGTACTGAAAGTAAATGAAATTAAATAAGCGAAGCAGTGCTCATCACTACTTCCTCCCCCCTGGGTAATTCAATTCAAGCTCTCTCTCTGATGGCAACTCACAGGGGCTGTCTCTGTCACCCCGCTGGGGCCTGGAGTCTTAACATCTAAATAAAAGTTTCACTCAGGCATTTTTTATGCTCCTGCCAGCAGGATCAGTGAGCTGGTGTGGGCACATTAATGTAATATTCATACTCACAGACTCTCCCTGCACACGAGGCAATGTCTTCCCATTTTCATAATTATAGATGTTCCATAAAATGGCATTTAAATTTGCATTAAAAAAAGGAGGTTTGAATTCTAATAGAACGTTTAACATGTCTTTTATGATTCAGACTCTTGGCATCTTTGACAAGGAGCTGTGTCTCTAAGTTTAACAAGACCTTTAAAAAGAAAAGAAAAAAAAAACCTGTGGAAAGAAGAGATGGAAACTCCCAGCTTATGGGATCGTGTTTTCCTCATCTCCCTATGTCTTTCATTTAATTTTTAGGCCTCCAGGAGCAATTTTTTTTTTTAAGAGGCAGAGTCTCGCTCTGTCCCCAGGCTGTTGTGAAGTGGTTCAATCACAGCTCACTGCAGCCTTGAACTCCTGGACTCAAGAGATCCTCCTACCTCAGCCTCCAAGTAGCTGGGACTACAGGTTTGTGCCACCACACCTGGCCTCCCCAGGAGCAATTTTTTGACAGCACTTCAGAGAGCCTTCTCTTCTGTAACTGGTCCTCACCCCACTCAATGCCTCACCCTCAGTAGAATCTGCTACTGTTTCCTTGGAGGGTGTTTTCAGAGGGGTAGGAGAAATGAAAGAACCCTAGAAAAATGAACTTTCCTTTGCTGCTGTTCATCTCATGCGTGCACCCTGAGATTGATTAAAAGGATTTATGGCAACCACATAGTTTGCTAACTGTGAAACACACAAATAAAAGTAGTCCATGAACAAGGAGGTTAACAATAAGGACCAATTGGATAAAAAATCAGGCACATAGACACACTTAAAAACAGAAAAAGAGGCTCTTCTGATCTACCTTTTTATAACTAAGCTTGAAACAGCTTTAAAGCAAAATGTAATTTTGATTGCATTTTAAATTGTCGTAGATGTTATTTTAAAACAAAAAGTAGGAAAAGCACTGAGCAAAGTGCCAGCTCATAGCCACCATTGAATAAATGTTATTGTAGGAAATGTTCAAAAAACAATTGTTTGAAAAAAAGTTATTTCAACCATAACTCTCAAGATACTCTATAGGTGGCCCAGTTGATTCATATGTAGTTATGCCTTACTTTGTTTTGTATTTGGTTTGCTTCATAAATTATTTAAGACAATCCAAAAGAGATTTGAGTTCTGGGACTAAAAAGAATAAATGTTAAAATACCGCTAGCCCAATTACCTTCATTTTGCCTAATTAAGAAATGTGGAGTGTGTCCTTAAAAGAGGCTTTTTTTTTCATTCTTCTTTCATTTTATTTTTTGAGAAGTAAATTCCTTCTTTGTCTCCATCCTTTGTCCCTCCCTTCTGTGAAGTAAGTATAAACCCCAGTGGAGGAAGATGGATTAGGATCTTGACTTCTCAATAAATTTGTACCTAACAAGGCTAATTGAAAGCCAAGAATGTTAGCAGCATACAATTAAAGGCTGATGTAAGTTTCAGGGTATTATTTGTGAAGCCTTTTACAGTTCTTAGATTCTTTCGCATACTTTTTTTTGTTTGTTTTGTTTTGAGACGAAGTCTCATCCTGTCGCCCATGCTGGAGTGAAATGGCACGATCTCGGCTCACTGCAACCTCCGCCTCCCGCATTCAAGAGATTCTTGTGCCTCATCCTCCCGAGTAGCTGGGATTACAGGTGTGTGCCACCATGCCCGGCTAATTTTTTGTATCTTTAGTAGAGATGAGGTTTCACCATGTTGGCCAGGCTGGTCTCAAACTCCTGACCTCGTGATTTGCCTGCCTCAGCCCCACAAAGTGCTGGGATTACAGGCATGAGCCACTGGGCCCAGCCTCTTTCTCAGACTTTTAAGAAATCAGGATTTGACAGTTATTGCTAAGTTCAGCTTGCATAGCCCTTCTTCTATGAACTTAAAAAAATTTATGTTCACAGAGATGGCTATCTGTTTGTTAAGAGAAAAAAAATTGAGTGTGTATTTATTGCTCCCTCTTAGGTGACTACGTTTATGGTGGAATCTATTACTCATTAAAGCTGTCTGTGCTGGTAGCTATTCATTTGACTTTTGATTATCTCAGTGAGGTTTATCCAACTTGGAACTTATATCCACAAAAAAATTCTTAAGTTTGGCTGGGCGCAGTGGCTCACGCCTGTAATCCCAGCACTTTGGGAGGCCAACGTGGACGGATCACGAGGTCAGGAGATCGAGACCATCCTGGCTAACACGGTGAAACCCCATATCTACTAAAAATACAACAAAAAAAAATTAGCCGGGCGTGGTGGTGGTCGCCTGTAGTCTCACCTACTTGGGAGGCTGAGGCAGGAGAATGGCATGAGCCCGGGAGATGGAGCTTGCAGTGAGCCAAGATCGCGCCACTGCACTCCAGCCTGGGCAACAGAGACAGACTGTCTCAAAAAAAAAAAAAAAATTCTTAATTTTCTGGAGTCCTTTTCCTGCCCATCAGTGCATATTTACGCTACCTCACCTTACTACAAATTAGTGTATATTTAGATAGTTTTAAGCAATTTTAGCATTAGATATAATTGAAAAGAAAGAAAATTGGCTGGGTGTGGTGGCTCACGTCTGTAATCCCAGCATTTTGGGAGGCCGAGGCGGGTGGATCACTTGAGGTCAGGAGTTCGAGACCAGCCTGGCCAGCATGGTGAAACCCCATCTCTACTAAAAATACAAAAAACATTAGCCAGGTGTGGTGGCACATGCCTGTAGTCTCAGCTACCTGGGAGGCTGAGACAGGAGAATGGCTCGAACCTGGGAGGCAGAGGTTGCAGTGAGCCGAGATAGCGCCATTGTATACTCCAGCCTGGGTGACAGACCAAGACTCTGTCTCAAAAAAAAAAAAAGAAAAAGCAAGAAAATTTACTTTTCCCTCCAATCATACAGAAATTGTTTTATTTTGTACTGTGTTTAAGCAATTGCCCTTTTTGTACTCTGTTATTAATGTGAATTACCTAAAGTAGCCTAAATAAATGAAAATTTTGCCAGGTTTCAATAAAGCATTTTGCCATTGGTCCTTTTAGGAATGGAAGACATCGTAAAAGGAGCTCAAGAACTTGATAACGTAATCAAGCAAGGATACTTGGAGAAGAAAAGCAAAGGTATTGGTCAGACCCACAGATTTCAGAACATTCCAGGAAGGGAAGGGAAGTGAGGAAAAAGAAGGCTAACACATTGGATGCCTTCTCTGTGCCCGGTACTGTGCTAGGCGGATACAAGGCAAAAGCAAAGCAAGGAAAGGAAAGGAGTCTGGTGTTTTCGTGTAGGCTAAAGAGAGATGTCCCAGCCTTGAGCAGACTGTAAGCTTCATCAGGATAGGGATGGTTATGTCCTGCTCACCTCTGTATCCCCAATGCCTGGTATGTGACAGGTGCTTGATAAAACTTGTTGAATCCATGAATGGTGTTCTTGTCCTCATCTCTCAGTGTGCTCCCACTGTGTAGTTTTTGTATCATATGTGAAGCAGTCTACTTTCAAATTTCAGATAAACCCAACTCTTTTGTTTTTTGTTTTTGTTATTGTTGTTGTTGTTGTTTGAGACAGAGTCTCACTCTGTAGTGCAGTGGGTGTGAACCTGGCACACTGCAACCTCCACCTCCTGGTTCAAGCGATTCTGCTGTCTCAGCCTCCTGAGTAACTGGGACTACAGGTGCGTGCCACCATGCCCAGCTAATTTTTCATATTTTTAGCAGAGACAGGATTTCATCATGTTGGCCAGGCTGGTCTTAAATTCCTGGCCTCAAGTGATCTGCCCGCCTCAGCCTCCCAAAGTACTGGGATTACAGGCATGAGCCACCACACCCGGCCTTTTTTTTTTCTTTCTTTCTTTTTTTGTTTTAAGATAGGATCTCCCTCTATTACCAAGGCTGGAATACAGTAGCGCCATCATAGCTCACTGCAGCCTCCAATCCTGGGCTCAAGCAATGCTCCCACTTCAGCCTGTCAAAGAGCTGAGACAACAGGTGCACACAACTGTGCCTGGCTATTTTATTATTTTTTTATAGAGACAAGGTCTCACTTTGTTGCCCAGGCTGGTCTCAAACTCCTGGCTTTAAGCATACTTCCCATCTCAGCCTCCCAAAGTGCTGGGATTACAGATGTGAGCCACCACTTCTGCCTTCAAACCCAACTCTTGACCTTTAACTCATTTAATTAGAGTAGGTACCACTAGAGTTGGCATCTCAGGTTTAACACTCAACAGGCAAATTGGCTCAGCACCAAAACAAAGGCTCTTTCATGGCCAAGGCCTGGAGAATCATTTTGCTTTGTCAAAGGCAACACATAAAGATATAATGGAGAGTTTGAAAATGTACAGGATGAGATTAGAACCCGAAAGATATAAAGGAGTCTAGATAAAAAGACAGCTGTGGGGGCACAGAGCAGGCAACCCTGTTTAGAACTTGGACCTTTGACTGAGCTAGTCCCCTGGACCCTGAGTCAATATGGGATAACCTGTGGGAGTGAAAAGGAGGGTTTTACAGTCCATTAACCTGGGAAATAAAACAATAACACACTGGACTGTATGTTGTTGGATTTTACAGACTCTTCAATGATGGTAGTTACCTGAATTTATGTCCCCTACTGCTGTTCTGTTTAGATCATAGTTTCTTTGGATCGGAGTGGCAGAAGCGATGGTGTGTTGTCAGCAGAGGTCTCTTCTACTACTATGCTAATGAGAAGAGTAAGTGTTCTTCATTTACACAGCAGCATCTCACTCCTGGATGCAAACACTTCGTAAATTCTCAAGCACTTAGATCCCAAGATAGCAGTCCTTAACTAACACCCATAAAGGGACATGCTTAGGAAAGAAATTGGCATGGACAAATAATACCTTGCCCATCACCGAAAAAGCAGAACCCAATTTAGAAATTATTTCACCTTTAAACACTAAGAGTGTGGTCAGCACATCAAATGGTTATCTTTTATGATGATTAACAACACATTATCAAAGTTGAATGTTTTGGTTTTTAAAAAAAATAAAAAGAACTTCAAACTCTTTACAGGCATCAATACCATAGCTAAAAATTGAAATAAATTAATTCTGAGAAAGACTTAAAGAACTTAAACAATGGCCCAGAAATAGAACCCCCTAAGGGCATGCTCCCTGCTTTATCTTCATGACTGCTAGTAAGTAAGTAGTCCAGTGGACATTCCTATAGCCATGGAATATTGAGACCCAAATGGTTGCTGTACCCAAGGCATGCCCTTCAGCCAGATGACAGCAGCAGTGAAGTGTTGACTCGGGCCAGAGATAGTTTCTTAATGAGCCACCACTGACTTAATCAAGTCAACACTCATGAGCTAACCCTAGAAGACCTCCCATCCATGTTTAATGTAATTGATTGGTTTATGAAAAGAAATAGAGGATATAAGCACAATTGGAGGCAATTACAAATAAAGACAAGCTAAAAATTATTATTATAGATGAATGCAAACTTTCGAATAGGGGATACTCTTCTACAGAGTTGGACTGCCCCAGGAGTAATTCTAAGACGCAAGAGGGAGACAAAGTTTAAAAAGCATCAATTCTTCTTGGGGCTTTCCTTGTACTGTGCACCTTCGTACAGAGGCCAGCGATACAGTTTGAGTAGACTCTTCTTTTTCCTTGCAATCATTTTCTGTTTCTCCTTCCTCAAACTTAGTGCTTTCCCAGTGCCTGGATATCCAATATAGGGAATAATCAGACACCCACCCAGTTGCCTTTGTACTTCCTGCACCTGTGGCACTAAGGTAGTGGAAAGAACTGCAGCTTTGGGCCAGGCACAGTGGCTCACGCCTGTAATCCCAGCACTTTGGGAGGCCAAGGCAGGCAGATCATGAGGTCAGGAGTTCAAGACCAACCTGGCCAACATAGTGAAACCCCGTCTCTACTACTAAAAATACAAAAATTAGCCAGGCATGGTGGCATGTGCCTGTAGGCTGAGGCAGGAGAATTGCTTGAACCCAGGAGGTGGAGGTTGTGGTGAGCCGAGATCACGCCACTGCACTCCACCCTGGGCAACAGAGCGAGACTCTGTCTCAACCATAAATAAATAAATAAATAAATAAATAAATAAATAAATAAATAAAAACTGCAGCTTTGCTAAGTGACTTGAAATCCTTAAGATTTGCCCAAGCAATTGTCTCACACTGCCTGCAGTAGTTATCACAGACCTTTGCCTACCTTTCACCATCCTAGATTCCTCAGAACATTTCGCATCTAGGGGCAAAGGCTAAAGCCCTGTTTGGGAAGGATAACAGCATAGTTTGTAAACTGAGCTACAAGTCCTCTGTGTCCTTCCAACCCCCAGCCCACTCTCCAACCCAGCAACCACAATTTCTCCTCTAAATTATAGGCATTCAATCCAGCCAGTTGTTCTTTTCTTATTTTAAAACTTCAAACTAATATGACACTTCTCACTGTAAATATGTTCATCATTTATTTTGCATTTAAATAAGTGGTTGGCATATCTAGATATAAAACCAGGTGTGTCACATCTGTTCATTCAGAATCTTCCATACTCACGGTGAGAGAGGAGCAGGGAGAGCAAGAGCAAGAGACTC